>NC_000021.9:28635109-29265032 GCF_000001405.40 Homo sapiens
TTTTTTTCTTTAGATGGAGTTTCGCTCTTTCTCCCAGGCTGGCATGCAGTAGTGCCATCTCGGCTCACTGCAACCTCCACCTTCCGGTTTCAAGTGATTCTCCTGCCTGAGCCTCCCAAGCTAGCTGGCATTACGGGTGCCTGCCACCACACCCAGCTAATTTTTGTATTTTTTAGTAAAGACAGGGTTTCACCATGTTGGCCAGGCTGGTCTCCACCTCCTGACCTCGTGATCTGCCCACCTCGGACTCCCAAAGTGCTGGGATTACAGGTATCCTCATCTATTAAGTAATAATCAAGTCTTCCTCATGAGATTTTAATGGCACTTAAATCAAAGGAAGTAAAACATCAAGCCCACAAGGATTAAGTGTACAATTAATGTTAGTCATCATTACCACTAAAAATTAACATGAGCTTAAATATATACAAACTATAGAATATAGGCAGCAGGCTCCATTCATTTAAAAACTACTGATACTACACTACTGTGTACCAAGCATGGTTCTACACATCTTATTTAAAAATAACTCATTTATTTAATCCTCATAATAGCTCCAGGAGGTAGGTACTATATCACCTAGCCCTATTTTAAATATGAGGAAACAGTGGCCACTCCATTACTAAGTTGCAGACTCATGATTCACTCCCAGGCTCCCAAGACAATGCTCTTTCAGTGCTGTCTAATAGAACTTTCTACAATAATGGAACTGATTTGTCTGTGCTGCCCAGTATGCTAGGCCCTGGGCACGTGTAGTAATTGAGCCCTTAAAATGTGGTAAATATGCTTGAGGAATAGAATATTTTATTTCATCTCATTTTAATTAATTTAAATTTAAATAGCCACAGGTGGCTGGTGGCTATTGGACAACACATGCATAGACCACCCCGTTGCATTGCTTTATTAAAGGGCCAGTTCCACTGAAGAAACTAGTAGAGACCCTTATCCACACTGTGCTTGTTCCACACTTGCCTACAGTGGTTGTAGTTCCTTCATTCGGGACCTTTATTACTATCTTCTTTAAAAATAAGTTGCCTTTTTTGGTACATTGAGTATCTTCAGTACAAGGAAATTTTGCCTTCAAAATACCCCACTAATAATGGTTCATCCTGTAACTTTTTATCCCTTTTGCCTACTTGTTGTACTTGCTTGATGCCAGACACTATTCTCTAGCCACAGGTTACATGCAGCTTTCCGCACATGGCCACCCCATGTTCTCCAGTTAGGACACGGGTTCTATTTTGCCCTCTTTTGTAGAGCTAGCAACTGCTTTATTGTTGTCTGAGCTGAAAATGGAGCCTTGATGGACAAAAACAGACATCTTATCACTTTTTAACGTAAAACCATCAAACTTGGCTTTCCGTTGATCCACCAAATTATGCTTTTACTTTTGCCTCCATTTCATAAAATTAACTACCCTAAGCATGCCTGTCTAATTGCAAATTTCCATTCCCTCATGTCCAACCTCTGCCTCCCACTGCACCACTGTAATTTGCCAAGTGAAACCTGCCCAAGTTCAGAGAGACTCAGGCAAACAAAACTCACGAAAAGGAGTACTTTTTTGTCCGGAGTTAAATCAATATTGCAATGAAGAAAATAATCTCCTTAGAATGACAGTACATGCATCTTGCTTCCCATTCCCATTTTATGTAATTATCTGTGCTGTGATGCTCGATCCAAACAAGTGCTGTCTCATTTGTAATCAGGGCAGAGAGTACGACTCCATCACTTTTACCCGAGTCCCTCATACAGCATTGCTTGTGATCAGAATTTTCAAAACTGCATTTCCAAAATCACAACTGGGATCATTTTTGCTTAGAAGCCACGTGACAGAAGCCTCACAGACAAACCTGAAATCTTAAACAAGCTTTAAAAGTATGACATAATGATTATCCGATAATGTCTAAAAGCAAGTGGCACATTCAGGTAGTTCAGTTTGATTTGCTGTGCTCAGAGTCGACTGGGTAGTTCATGTGCAAATCTTCTGCTAAGTCATTTCCTCTCTTTGTTTTCAGACTGGATTTCCAAGCAAAATATTCATATCTTTTTCTGTACATAGACTGACTCAGCCTTGCCACAATTTTGTGGGCAGAAAGGGTATGTGTGTTATGTACTTATCTTATTCATCATTGTATGATATTAGGGTGGTGATTCTGAGATATGTTAATTTTTCTTGTTTTCATTGGATTCTTTTCTTTCCAACCTTCATTCCTATTGATGTGTTCATAGGTTATCATTTGTGTGATTTTTGAGACACAATGAATCAAAGGGATTAAAAGATCACTTGGATACACAATTTTTTCATTGATATAACAGTGGGCACTTGCCTCTGCATGTAACAGAAATTAAAAAAAAAAAAAATGGAAGAATCCCCATGTGTTGCTCTCAACAGAGCTGAGAATCGCATTACCAGAGGCATGACTGGCGTAGACCTCTCATGCCACACAAATGCCTCACTTCTCCACCTGGGGTTAGCAAAAAACTTTCAGTCAACACTTGCATTCATGGCTCATAAATGTTGAGACTTGAGCAGCCTTCTTGCTAGGTGGGTTTCTATGCGGGGGTAGGAGTTTACTCTGAAATTAATTGTAGAATTTCTCTAGGAAGCCAAGCTAGCTGAATTCATTTATTCTGAGTTCAGAATTATGAAAAAGTGAGACCAGTTTTAAGTTTTACATTTTGAAGAATTTTAATATAAGCATGATAGTTTACAACTGCTGTGAGTGAGAAAAAAAATTCTCTGTGTTCTTGCTTCTAATTTGATTTGAATCCATAAAGTATATCTCAATCAGAAAGCAACTTGTTGTAAAGGAGAAAAATAGAATTTATAGACATGAAAATAAATAGATGAAAATCATGGGTGGTTATTTGATCTTTAGAAGGTACAAAGTAGCCACAAATTATGGGTACCATTTTCTTCCACATTTTAGTTTTACATTCCTGAAACTTGGGGTATGCATTTATTCAATAGTCATTCACCCTGCTAAGCAGAGGGAACACAACGAAAACAAGATACAAATCTTGCCCTCAAGAAGCTCACAATCTACTTAGAGGGTATTAACATAAATATTTTAAAAGAAAGTCCTTAAGTGTAGGGGTAGGAATATGAATGGAGTATTAGAAAAGCATAAGCAAAGGCATCTAACCCATCAGGCTTTCTGGAGGAGGTGGGATCTGGTCTGCAATTTGAAGGTTATGTAGAGGGTCACTATGTGAAAGGAGGTATAGGAAGAGCAAAGGAACTGGAAGGAGGAGCACGGTGCACAGGCAAATTAAGTGTTTCCACATTGCCAGAGAGAAAACCATGAGGTACAGATTAATAAGAGCTAAGCCTGGAGAGGCCAGCAAGATCCTGATCTTCAGGGTCTTACTTATAGCATGTGGTGGAAAGCATTCTGCCGTTTTAAGCAAAGGAGAGGACATGTCTGATTTTGTTTTTAGTGGCGTATGAGTTGGTTTGTGCTGCAAAAGAAACAACTGCCTCAAAACCTAGAGGTTTAAAAGAATGAATAGTTAGCTCATGATCCTGAGGGCAGTTCTTCCGAGCAGCCCAGCTCAGCTCATTCTACCTGGCCCTCTCCTGTGTCTGCAGTCAGCTGGCAAATTGTCTGGCAGCTAGATGATCCAGGCTGGCCTCACGTACATGGTGATTGGGGGCTGTCTGCCGGAGCTCCTTGGTTTTCCACCACATGGCCTCATATGCACCAGCACGCTAGCTTGAGCTCACTCACATGGTCTCAGGATTCTAGGACAAGCAAGAGTGAAATCTGCCAGGCTATTTGAGGCCCAAGCTCACAATGTGGACAACGTCATCACCACCACATTCCATTTCTTAAAGCCAGTCACAAGGCCAGTCTAGATTCAAGAGAGGTGTAGTGGAGAGGAATGGCTCGCTTTTATGGGAGAAACTGTAGGTTTTACCAAACTGCTACAGAGAAGGACAACCAAAGACAAGAAAGCCAGTTAGGAGATGCTGTGTACTGTAGCCTAAAAATGAGATAATGGGCCTAATCTAAAGAAGCGATAGCAATGGAGAAAAGGAAACCAAGTTAAGAAACCTTCATGGATAAAATGGTAGAATTTCATGATTGACTAGATCAAGATGAGAAAGAAGAAATCTCTAGTTTGACCAAAAGAAAGATAGAAACTAAATATTTGTGTGCCTTATGTGTTTATTGAATTATCTTAACAACATACCAATGGCCAATCCTTATGCAAGTACCAGGTGTGCATCAAGAAAAGTAGAGAAGAATGTGGATCAATTTTATTTAGCACATATTAATTTAACACCCCCAGTTCTAGTGCCAACTAACGACCCTACCTTCAAGGAATTAATACTTCAAGAAACAAGGTACACAGGAAATCAGGTAATAATAGAAAATAGTAACTGATCAAATGATAAAATATATAGTAAAGATAGAAAGTGATACAGAACACAGAAGGAAATTCCAGAAGAGTCAGGGAAGTCTTCATGGAGCAGGTGGGACCTAAATAAGGTGGATTTTATAACCAAAAAGTCTCATAAATATTAGCATTATATTAATTTATCCGAGTATCATCTATATGACTAGTATACATACTTTTAATGTCTTTTCCACATTCCATTGCTAAGAGAATTGAAATAAATAGTTATTCAAATCATGTTCAATATTCTGTGGTTCAGACGAGGAACCCTGATTAAGAAAATCTGGTTTACACATTATTTCTTGGGATTCAGATTCTAGTTGTTAAAAATCTGTCAAAACTTGTGCCAGTAATGAGCCAATCATCCAGTACAAAGGCATGCTAGGAGCAAAGCCAGATTGAACCAAGAGAAGGTATTAGGAAACCAGCAGGGATCTGAGGGGGTGGAGGAGGTTGGAGGGAGAGAAAGAAAGGCTGAGTTGTAATCCTGGAGACAAGGTCCTATTAGCAAAGAGGCCTAGGGAACATTCACTCCAATTTAGAAGAGAAAACAAAGTCCAGAGGAAACCCACAGTCTCTGGCACATGGAAAATAACAATTTTTAAATGAATCTACAGATAGATAGAAGAATGCAAACCAGGGAATGGGGAGGGAAGATATCAAGCTGTCATTCTGAGAGTTCCGAACAGTGTGGAATTAGAAAATGAAGAGTAGCAGACGCAAGTAGGAAGCACTTTCTACCAACCTCCCATGATGACCAGTGCTCTGGGGAGATGGAGACACAATGGAGAGCCAAGATCTTTAGGCTCATGATGGCTCAGGAAGAGGGGTCACCATCTAAGAGTCCTTCAAAAGTGCTTGGAGCTCTTGTGCGAGGGCACAGGATGGACACGAATATTTCTAAATTTTCTCGTATCCAGCAAGGAAGCTGTTTACGTAATAATTCATTGAGTTTGGGGAAGAGTTGAGTCAACATGCAGATCCTAGAAACAATCAGAATGGTACTACAGCGGAATCAGGGGCAACCACAAACCAACAGAAACATTCTCACCCTAAATCAAATTAAGGTATCTCTGAAATCCCTGCATCTGCAGAAATCTAGCTATCTGGAAAGTTTCCTCTGACAACTACTACTACCACTGAGTACTTCTTGGAGTCCCTAGTGGATGTCTGATCTAGGCTTCAAAACAAATCCAATCCTCTAGGACTTGGCTGATTGATCCAATGTTTCTTTCTCATCTGCCCAGCTGCCTTCTGGTTTATGTGATCTGCCATCCTCCAACACCCTGCCTTTTGTTCTAGGTGCATCCACTTCTAATTAACATTTCACCTTCTGTCTAACTCTGGTCTGCCCTGCAGGAGATCATGGCTGCTATGAAGAACAATCACAGTGCTAAGTATGTATGATGTTAGGTGAAGACACCCTTTGACACTCTCAGAAGGAAATTAAAGGAATATTCTACCCTACCGCGCATATTGGGCTTTTAGTAAAAATTGTTGTAAAAATTTACTGTTAAGAAAAACTGACTAGTGCCTCTTTGTTATTGTCTTTTTCTTTCTATTCCTTTTTTCATGCTTTTTTCATCTGTCATTTTTCTTTTGCTGCTGTAAACTCACAAAGGAATAAAAAAATCCTTGTTTCCTCACTTTCACCACAGATAGAAGGTACCAGCAATTGTGTTTTTAAAAGTCTAAACTCTCCTTCAACTACAACTCCAGGGGAAAGTACAGTTTTCATATTTCGGATCCATAAAGATAGAAGAAGTCAGGAAGAGTAATGGAAGGTGATGTTTTGAACTGAAGAGAAGTGCCCCAATACCTAGGGTGGCTTCTTTGAGTTAAAAGAAGGCAGTGGTGACAATGAACTTGCAGTGTGCCCCCCTCCTACCCACAGACAAGGGCTGCAGAACCTCTAAAAAATGGGCTATATAATGGCTTAAGGCCTGACCACCTGGAAGTCTTCTTATCCTGAGCCCAGAGCCACCCATTTCCTAACAGAACAGATAACCCTAAACAATGAGCATCTCAAAAGAGACAATGATGGATAGAAGGTCAAAGGATTTACCCCAATCTTCTGGATTGGAAAAGCTCCTTGGTTGTTGTAAAGACTGGACACCCAGCAAAACATAACTAAGTTTAAATATTCTACAAACCCTAATGAACAGGAACTGAGAGATTTATTTCACTTAGAAAAATATAGTGGTTTTTGCACACATAAGTGAAGCACAGAGATACAAATTATACAATTTCTTCAGTTTTTATTATCAAGTCTCTCTCTCTCAGCTAGAACTGGACCAGGGATGGATCCAAAAACAAACAGAAAGCCATATTCAGAGCAGCCACTTCCCTCACACAACCACTGCTTGGCTGTCAGGCCAAGCTTATCTTTCTGGATCTCTGTCCCTGAGGATAAATTCTCTCCCACAAGATTCAACAATGTCTACTGCAAATAGGCCTCTGGTCTATCTGCCACATCAGTTAGCCAAATGTACAGATGGTTCTGAATTCCAGAGGTGGATGAATACATGTGAGACTCAAGCCATCACGTTGGGGCTCAAAAGAAATTTGATGTTGAAAAAGTGAGAACCCCTGACATATTAGTAAATAGGCACCTTCAGGAGCTTACTGAATACTAGTAGTCCATTAAATGTTGAAACAACCCCAAAATTTCACATTAAGAGTTTATTTCTTGCTGCTCTAGGCTGAATGCATGTGTTCCCCCAAAATTGAAAAGCTGAAATCCTAACCCCAAAAGTGATCTTGAGGTGGGATAGTTCCCTTGACCCCCTTCATGGGCAGGAACTGGAGGGACTCAATTCAGTCAGCCTGCCACTGGCCACTCCTCATGGGAGGGAGCGTGCAAGCAAGTAAGTGTGGGAACCGGAGTGAACAAATGCTGGAAGCATCCGGTCACTCTTCTCTGGTGGGAGCAGGCTCTACGCAGGCCCAGCAGCAGTGTCCAAGCGTGTTACTACCAATCCTCTTTCAGCTCTGCTCTCTGGGGATGGCCAAGTACCAACCAGCTCAGTGGAGGGTTGGGGTGGCAGCCCCTGCCCTCTCAACACCAGGGTTCTTGTCTGGTGTCCAAGAAGAATCAGGTCACATGAACTGTTTGAAAGGTGATGAATGCGGAAGACTTTACTGAGCGGAGGGTGGCTTTCAGCAGAAAGGGATGGGAAGGTGATCTTTCCCTGAAGCCCAGCCATCTCCGGCCAGGGCCCTCTCTGAAGCCGCACCATCCAAAGTTAGCTGCCTCTAACTGTAGTCTCTGACAGTTGCTTCTCTGCTCACTGCTCAGCTGCTTGATACAAGCTGTCTGAATAACAAGCATCCTTCATGCTCAGCCACTTGTGTTGCTCTGCCGGCTAATGTCTTTTATAAGCACAGGATGGGGGCAAGGCAGGGCAAAAAGGCAACATTTGGGTGGAAAAACCAGGTCAGCTGTTTTCGCTTAGGGTCGCAGTTCCAGGGTAAGGGTGGGGTTTAGCCGGGAACCCAGCCCTTCTGTATCAATAGTACTAGAAGCTTGGGCCTTGGCAGTGGTCACATACCCCACAGTCTAAGGCTGGCTGGGTAGCTGCTGCCCTCTTTGGACAGGCATGTGTTCCCCACAGTCCCCACCAGTTCCTACTGCTTTGCTACACTGAAGGTGTCAGCAACCACTTATTGCACTTGCTCTGCACTATGGTCTGAATGTTTGCGTACCTTCAAAATTCATATGCAGAAATCTTCACCCTTAAGGTGATGGTGGCAGGAGGTTGGGACTTCAGAAGGGGATTAAGTCATGGGGGTAGAGCCCTCATAAATGGGATTAGTACCCTTATAAAAGAGGCTGAAGAGAGACTCCTCACCCCTCCACATATGAGAACATAGAGAAAAGATTATGTTGACTGGGTGCAGTGGCTCATGCCTGTAATTGCACATCAAGAGACTGAGGGGGGAGGATTGTTTGAGGTCAGGAGTCCAAAACCAGCCTGGGCAACATAGAAAGACCCCTTCTCTAGAGAAAAAAATTAAAAATTATCCAGGCAAGGTCATGCACACCTGTAGTCCCAGCTACTGGAGGCTTAGGTGGGAGGATCGCTTGAGCCTAGGAGTTCAAGGCTGCAGTGAGACAGGACTGCAGCACTGCACTCCAGCCTAGGCAACAGAGTGACCAGTAAGCAGGTCCTTACCAGACACCTATGCTGCAGCCTTGACCTTAGACTTCCCAGCCTCCAAAACTGTGAGAAATGAATGTCTGTTGTTTATAAGCTATCCAGTCTATGATAATTTGTTCTAGCAGCCTGAATAGACTAAGACACTAGCTCATGTAATAATCAAATGAAGTCAGCAGGAAGCTCTGCTCCATGTAGTCATTCAGGGATGCAGTGTCCTGCCATCTTGTGATAGCAGCATGTTCTAAGGCTTCATCTTCCTCTACATTAAGCCAGTGATAGGAGCATGAAGAACTGCATGTGAGAAGGTTCCATGGGCCAAGACTCGAAGTTGTGTGCAACACTTACCTCCCAATTCCATTGACATGAATTCAGGCACATCAAACCCCACTGTACTGATCTGTTCTCACATTACTATAAGGAAATACCCAAGACTGGGTAATTTATAAAGGAAAGAGGCTTAATTGACCCACAGTTCCACATGGCTGGGGAGGCCTCAGGAAACTTACAATCATGGTGGAAGGCGAAGGGGAAGCAAGGCACCTTCGTCACAAGGTGGCAGGAAGAAGAATAACCAATGGAGAAACTTGCCAAACATAAAACCATCAGATCTCATGAGAATTCACCCACTATCACAAGAGCAACATGGGGAGACCGCCCCATAATTCGGTCACCTCTACCTGGTCTCTCCCTTGACATATGGGGATTATGGGGATCACAATTCCAGGTAAGATTTTGGGTGGGGACACAGCAAAACCATATCACCCACCATCCCACCACCACCACCTATTGGCCACTGCAAAGAAATATGGAAAATGTGTGCCTAGAAATTAGTGGAAATTAGTCTGGTAAACAATCAGCTCATCTCAAGTTCCAGCCACAGAACATCATAGCTCTTTCTCCCTGCTTATGTTTCTTCACTCTGCTGGATCAAATGAGCTAATAACTGAGGAAATAACAAAACAAAGTATTAAATTCTGACTACTTTCCAATGGCCTAAACAACTCATAGAGTCTTAATTCTTTTTGTGAAATTTAAATCCTGAAAATATTTAGGTAAATCAATTTCTCATTCTAATAACTATTTCATAATAAATTGGCTAATTTGTTCTGGTGGTTTTGATGACCAGGCAATGTAAAATACTGGAAATCTAATTTTTTGTTTCTCAGAAATGTACAAATACTGCCTCACTCCACATTTTTGTTAATCTGATGAGAGATTGGCATTTGAGTTTAAGAACCTCTCTAGACTGAGGCCAGTGCTCTGGGGCCTGGAGACTTGGCCACAGATTCGAAGGTTTTTTGGTGAGTTATAGGAATGGAACTGAATGTGCATGCCCTTGGGGTAGGAGTGCCCTCATCAGGGAAACTACAGAGTTACCTCCTTCTCCTCATCTCAAAGACTATGAAGTGAGTCTTTGAGGCCAGACAGGTAATCTACTTGTCCTCCTTTTGGGAGTTCCAGATACACACAGGGCACATTTTCCTGCCAGACTCTGTTTAATTCTCCATGCTGCACTGCACTGTCCTTTTACTAACTGCATGCATCCCCAAGCTTACACCAGGAAATTCATTTAGGGAGGGTCTCAGATAAGACTTCTCTTAATATTCTGTGAATTTAGTCTATCTCAGTCAGCCTCTGTTTCTAATAAATGCCTTCTACTCTAAACAGATTTGAAATTATTCCGTTTATCTCACTGTCAGCTTTTGTCCAAGATCCTGTTCAGTTATAGACTGCCATACACAAGGTAAGAATAATTCAAAAGTTTCAGAGACCTATAAAGGTACTGAAGGATTAAGAAAAATTGACACAAATTCCAAAGGAAAAAGACTCAAAAAGAATTTTTCACATCATGGTCCCCTAAATTTCTGCATACCATCAACTTAGCTGTTTTTTTTTTAACAGTACAGATTCCTGAGCCCCATTGTTATGGTCTGAATGCTTGCATCTCCCCAAAATTCATATGTGGAAACTTTATCACCAATGCAATGATATTAGCAGGTGGGGACTTTGGGAGTTGATCAGGTCATGAGGTCAGAACCCTTGTAAATGAGATTAATGTCCTCATAAAAGAGATCTGAGGGAGTCTGCCCCTCTCATCATGTGAGGACACAAGTAGAAAGTGCTATCTCTGAATTAGGAAGTAGGCCCTCACTAGACACCAAATCTGCCAGTGCCTTGCTCTTAGACTTTCCAGCCTTCAGAACTGTGAGCAATAAGTTTCTGTTGTATATAAGCCACCCCTGTTTGTTATCACAGCCCAAAAGGACCAAGGCACCCACTATATACCTATAAATTCACATTCTCTTAAGGATAGAGCTGGGATTCGGAATTTTTAAACAAATTCCCCAGGTGATTTTAATTCATGTTAAAGCTGAGAATCATGAAAGAAAAGGCTAATTATGAATCAAAAGAAGGTTGTGAGGGTCACTTGATGAAATATCTGTGTCTTGAGAGAGAACATCTGGCACATGTTTGCAGAGGTTTGATGTCTGTATGTTATCATTATAATATGAGCAGCATATGGATGACTATGAAGAGAAAGAGGGAGGTGCTCCTTCCTCCTGCATCAACCTGTCATCTCAGGAAAAGCCTGATGTCCTGATAGATAACCCATAAATAGTGAGCTGGGTGATTCACTTAAGCATATCCTGAAGGACACCATGCCCTATCCCTGCTTCATACATAAAAGATTAGACAGAGGGAGAAGAGGATATGAGGGGACAACTGCCTCTTTCTTAACATTTCCCTGAGAGTGGAGGGGGAAGAACATTGACCTTGTCCTACCTCCTTCAAAGGTTTGACCCAAATAACTCTCTCATAAAGTTTGAGGGTATTTCAGTTATCTGTTGCTATGTAACAAACCACCCCCAAAACAAAGTGGCTCAAAATAACAATGTTATCTCCATGGTTCTATCAATTGACAATGTTCAGTCAGATGGCCTTATTTGGTATTTTTCATATAGCATCAGTCAGGTGGCAGCTGGATTTGGAGATCACTAAAGGTTCATGGGCCATGCATGTAAAATGGCTCACTCATATGACTAGGAATTGATGCTGAGTGTCAGCCTGGAGCTCAGCTGGGGTTGTCAAGCACAGAACATGTATGTGGCCTCTCCATTTGGCATGAGCTTCCAACAGCATTGGTTGGGGCATGGCAAGTCTGAAAAGGACTGATCCAAGAGCAAGTCCTCTTGTGAACTAGTCTCATAAGTCCCAGAACATCCCTTCTGATTCATTCTACTAGTTAAGCATGTTGCTTGGGCCAATCCAAATCCAAGAGAAGAAGAAATAGGCTCCTGTTCTTAATAAGGGGTGTGGTAAAGTCATATTGGAAAAGAACATTAAGGGTGAGAGATATTGTCGCTGCCATCTTTTGAAAATATGATTTTCTATAGAATGTGGCTCTGAAATATGGTACAGAGATTGTTTTTGTTTTTCCACCAAGGGAACTTGGAAGAAAATGCAAAAGGTACCCAAGATTCTGAGGATGGGCTAATACAAATCCAAAAGGTGGTACAGAAAGTAGCACTGGGGGCCGGGCGCAGTGGCTCACCCCTGTAATCCCAGCACTTTGGGAGGCTGAGGTGGGCTGATCACAGGGTCAAGAGATCGAGACTATCCTGGCCAACATGGTGAAACCCCATCTCTACTAAAAAAAAAAAAAAAAAAAAAAAAACATACAAAAAAATTAGCTGGGCATGGTGGCACGTGCCTGTAGTCCCAGCTACTCAGGAGGCTGAAGCAGGAGAATTGCTTGAAACTGGAAGGCAGAGGTTGCAGTGAGCTGAGATCGCACCACTGCATTCCAGCCTGGGCAACAACAGCGAAACTCCATCTCAAAAAAAAAAAAAAAAAGAAAAAGAAAGTAGCACTGGGGGAATTCTGAGGGGCCAACCAAAAACTCCACCCAACGTCACCTCCCTATGGTTCATTATGCCTTGGAATTATAGCAGAGGGAACAAAGGCTGGAACCACGCATTGCCTGTAAGAATTCCCCAGGGGCGAGGGTTGAGGGCTGCAGAAGGCCACCCTGCAGACCTCTTACATGAAGTGAATGGACACCACAACCATACACACACATACCCCATTCTGACAGCAAAGACCAACACAAAAGGCCCTCCTCCACCTCTCCTTTCCACTCAGGCTTGGGATGCACTGAGTAGTGCTCAGAGGATGCACAGGCATTAGGGCAAGAACAAGAGGGAGTGATTGTAACAGAAAGATCAAACTTTCCCTCTTCTCTACCATGTTCCTTGAAGCTGAGCTGAAGACCATTATGGGGGATAGTGATTCTTGAATGTGACTGAATATTTACTCTACATGAGACTTGAGAGTGTAATTACCAGATTATAATGCAAATCACTAGTCAGAACTGAATTTATCAGCAGAGGCTGAGATTTCTTAATGGTGTTTTATACTTTTGCCTCTTTGCATACCTCCTTCCCATTCAGAAGTCCCTGGAAAATGTTAGGAACTTGAAAAATTATGACAGCAGCTTAAAAATAATTATTCCATGTTTGGACATTACTAAGATGCTCAGATTGCTCCTGCTAACTTTATGTATGTAAATACTTTTTTGAAATAAAGCATTTGACCCACTTTCCACTGGAAAAATCCTGAGAGTTAAACCTAATAGTTGCACCAGAGGTGGTTCTTTGGCAAAAAGTAGGTTATGTATGGGGTGTTTTGGCTCAATAGAAATACCTATTTTATCCTGGCAATAGAGCTGTGTGATCATTTATAAATGTCTGTCCTTGTCACTAGTCTGTAAGATCCCTGAGGACAGGGACCAAGTCTGCTTTGCCCATTACTGATTGCATCTCTAGCACTAAACTTGGTGCCTCTCACAGGAAAGGTATTCAGGTAAGGTTTGTTAAATGAATAATTAAATTAAGTTGATGAGTCAAAGAAGCCCAGAACTCTAGCAGTAGAAGAGACTTTTGAGATCATTTAGTTCAACCTTGATCTTCTATGTTGTGATTCTGAGATCCACAGACATTAAAGAACCCACTCACCATAAAGAAGTATGTCAATGGCAGAGCAAGAAGCAAAACTCAGGTCTCTTGTCTCTGAATTCAGGGATTTCCAAAACATACTGTGTTTTCTTTTATTTATTTATTTTTATTTATTATACTTTAAGTTTTAGGGTACATGTGCACAACGTGCAGGTTAGCTACATATGTATACATGTGCCATGTTGGTGTGCTGCACCCAGTAACTCGTCATTTAACATTAGGTATATCTCCTAATGCTATCCCTCCCCGCTCCCCCCACCCCACAACAGGCCCTGGTGTGTGATGTTCCCCTTCCTGTGTCCATGTGTTCTCATGGTTCAATTTCCACCTATGAGTGAGAACATGCAGTGTTTGGTTTTTTGTCCTTGCGATAGTTTGCTGAGAATGATGGTTTCCAGTTTCATCCACGTCCCTACAAAGGACATGACTGTGTTTTCTTCTCTACGCCACGGTACAGCAGAAGAGCTAAGCACTAACCAGAATCTGGCTCTGTCTCCAAGGCAGTATCAATATTTCCTTGCTTTTCCCCTCTCCCCTTAAAGTCATATCACTTAGCTAAATTAAAAGAGGAAGCTCATAAGTAGAATAGAATGTTCACAAAAACTAAACCCATCTAGAAGGAAAGAATGAGGGTGGAAAGGGGGCTCTCGTCTGACCCGATTAAGAAATAAGTATAGGGTACACTAAAGAATCAAAACATATCACCTCAGTGAACAAACCTTTGATCGTTTATTCATTCAACAATATTCACTGAGCATCTACATTGTGACAGACACTGTTTTAGGAACTGGAAAGAGGTAACAAATAAGACAAAGTCGTTTCCCACAAGTAGAGTATATTCTAGTTCGGGAGGCAGAAATAAACAACTACATGAACAGTAGAATTTCTGAGAGTGATAAGTAATTGGAAGTAAATAAATGTTATGCTGGGATACAGGATAACTGCTGGGAGAGGGTCTCCTTTGGAAGAGATGATCAGGAAGGCTTTTCAAAGGCGGTAACATTTTATTTGGAGTCTACAAAGGGAAGGAACTTGCCATGCTAAGCACTAAGGAAATATACCAGAGGCCAAGGGAACAACAAATGCTAAGGTTCAGGGGCAATAAGAATTTGAAGGAAGTGGAGAAGAAAATCAAGGCAAAGGAAACAGCTCAAGGAAAAGCAAAATAATAAAATAATAAAATTTTTACTTTTTTTAAAATAACAAAAGTTTAAAAGCATGAAACTACATGGCATGTTTGGAAACAAATAATTCAAATATATGCATGGGAATGAGGTCAGAAACCAAGGCTGGGAGGCTATAAAGAACATCTGAAATTCTAGATTTTATTCTTCAGACAATGGGAAATCAAGAGAAATGTTGAAATGGATGAATGCAGGAAATGCACTGAAGTGTAAAGAGGCAGGGAGTTCAGACAAAAAACATTGCCAGCCAGGCGCGGTGGCTCACGCCTGTAATCCCAGCACTTTGGGAGTCCAAGGCGGGTGGATCACAAGGTCAGGAGTTCGAGACTAGCCTGGCCAACATAGTGAAACCCCGTCTCTACTAAAAATACAAAAATTAGCTGGGCGTGGTGGCAGGTGCCTGTAATAGCAGCTACCTGGGAGGCTGAGGCAGGAGAATCGTTTGAACCAGGGAGGCAGGGGTTGCAGTGAGCCAAGATCATGCCATTGCACTCCAGCCTGGGCGACAGGGTAAGACTCCATCTCAAAAAAAAAAATGCCATGGTCCGTTTAATATTGGAGGCAGAATCAGCATAGTGGTATTGGTCATGGAAAGGAATAGAGAGAATTAAGAGACAGTCAGAGGTGGAAGCATAATGTATGAAGTGACCAATTAGATATAGGAGTTGAGAGAGGGAAGGAGTCAGAAAACTTTACGGGTTTCCAAATTGGGCAATGGGGGAATGGAAGTACCTATAGCCAACATCTTGGGGAGCAACTGTGTGAGATGAGTTCAGGTGAGGTTGTACCTGGAGGTCAGACATCTTGGAATATTAGAGAGGGGTGTCTAGCCAACTATTCAGAGTTGAAGTCTAGTCTTGAGAAGGAAGAGGTAAAGATGTAGATTTGGAAGTCCTCGGCATATAAAGGGGAGTTGAATCCATGGGGGTGAATGATGTTAACTCAGAAGATGAAAGGGGCTTGAGGAAACAGACAGCTGAGAAGAGGCTATGAAAGATATGCAGAAGAGAACTTTAGGGGATGATTTCATTTAAATGGAGAGACGACAAAAAAGAACCATCAAAGGATGCTAAAGGTGGGTACAGAGTGGTAGTGGGGAAAGTGATTGAATGAGAGAAGCAGCAAGGAATCAAGAATGTCAAAAATATTGTCAAGAGGAGAGGAGACCGTAGTTGGAATTGTGTAATTATTATTTCTGTGGACCAAGTAAATCTTATTCAGGAAGATAGTTAGAGCTACATTGCTATTCTGGAAATAAGTATAAATTGTGCTAGTCAAAGCGCATAGTTTTATGCTCCAATAAAATCTTTGCCAGCTGTCAAATACCAGTCACTTTAAAACATAATAAAGACCTATTTCACAGTGAGAAGTATTCCTTTTCCCCCCAGACTCCATGCAAATTATGGATAAAGAATGTAGCAATTTAATAAATCACTGTACTTTTGAACTTAGCCATAAGAAGAAACTACCAGAAGTGTGATTTAGAAGAAAAACTATAAAAAATATTCTACTTATTGTTGAACTGAATCAAGGCTTTTATGGAAATAAATGTGATGGTAGTTTATCAAAAAGAGGGTACTTGAAACAGAATAGAAATAAAACAGAATAAAGTAGTGTTATTTCACTTCTAAACATTGTCACTTGAATAGACCATTGTCTATGGATTTTTAATTGTAAGTTGCAATTTGAGTTCAATCAAAATTAATACCTATCACAAGAATGATTTCATTTTTGTCTCCTCTGTATAATTACCAAATTGATATAATATCTTGCATAGAGCATTATCACGAAGGTCAGACCATCTTCTTTCAAAACACTTTGTTTTCCTTGGAATCTCTCTATATCAACCACCTCAGAGAATCTCTGGTAATGTCATTACAGAGAAATAGAAAATAAAGTCTGCCATGTTATTAACATGCCATTATTTTGCAAAAGAGAAAAGTTTAATAGAAATTTAAATAAAAGAAATAGGTGGGGATGGGAAGAAAAACCATATCAAAATGTGAAAATCAAGTAAGACAACTTGTTCAAATTCCAACAGTCCACAACATACCACATTATACCTGTCTTATAAATTTTCCCCTAAGCGTGGAATAGAAAATTAAATTACCACATTTCTGTGATTTAAGATCTTTGGATTTGATTTGAATAGCTGTATTTCTGAAGTTGCTTCATTACATTTTTTCCTATGGAGGTAAAGTTTTTATTTTCAGAATTATTCACACCATATTTTTAGTCCCCTAAGATCTTAAAATGCAAACAGTGGTTGCTGACTTTATTAAAACATAAGAAAAGTTAGGTAATATTTATGATACTGTTGATCACCTACCCAACAATATTTCTTCCCTCTTTCCTTTCAGAGTGTTGATTTTATTTAGGCATTCACTCTCCCCTCTTCACTGGGGAAATCCCGATTAGCCTAAGCCATTCTTGGGCATGTCATTGCCCAGGAAACCAACACCAGGATGAACCTATGACCTAAGTTGACCCAATCAGATTGGAAAGAAGGGCTTATAGTTTCTTCCTTTTCTTTCTTTTTTCCTTTCTTTCTCTCTTTTCTTCCTCCCTTCCTTCCTTCCTTCCTCCCTCCCTCCCTTCCTTCTTTTCTGTCTTTCTTTCCTGCTGGACATGAACAAGGAAGCATGAAGTCCCAGCTGTCACAGACAGTCATCTTGCTCCCATGAGGGGAACCCACTTTAGAATTAAAAATGGCAAAGCAGAAATATAGAAATAAACTAAATTCTTGAGGACTCCATTAAGCTATTGTTCATTCCACCTGAAACCCACTTTACCCTTTAGACTACCAGAAATAAAAGAAAATAAATAACATTATTTATTTTCATTTGAGTTGAGGTTTAGCCTTCTTAAGACATAAACCAGATTATCCTGAGATAAAAGACCACAGCATTTATTTCCCAGTCTTGAAGGGATGAAGTGAAAAAATCAGCAGAAACCAGCAGATGGCCAAGAAAGTGATCCCTAGATACCCTCATTGCTCATTAGCCTAAGATACTCCCACGAGTGCCATGACAGTTTACAAATGCCAGGCAATTACCTGGGAGTTACTGACCCTTTCTGTGGCATTGACCCAAAAGTTACTGTTCCTTTCCTAGAAAGTTCTGAATCACCCACCCCTCAATTTGCATTAACCCTCCCCTTAATTTGCATGTAATTGAAAGTGGGTGTGATTATAAAGAGAGATGCCAAGAGTCCATACATTGCCAACTCTCGGCACACTTCATGTGAGTTAGCCCTGCTCCACAAGGAGCAGTACTGGTCACTAAAGGATGTCTAACACCACTGGCTCATCCTTAAAAATATTTCCTGGGTGAAGGCTAAAACCCTCCAAGGCTAAATCCCAATTCTGGGACTTGCCTGTCCTGCATCAATATTGCTTGTTTAACATTCTCCAATGTCTTCCACCATACTCAGAAGAAAACCCAAACTGCTTACTCTGGATAACAAAGCCCTGCAAGATCTCTCCCTTCAAACTCCTTGAACCCATGACCACCCACTCTCTCCTTCATGCACTAGACTCCAACTAAACTGGTCCAGCTCCTTGTTCCCAATTTAAGGATCCTTGTCCTAGCTATTCAACCCAACTGGAAGGCTCATCCTTCTAATACTTTTATGACTAATGTCTTCTTTTCATTCCGATCTTTTTTTAAAAGGAAACAACCTCACAGGGACCTCCCTCAAGCACCCATATTAAAATCGCTTCTCAGTCAATTGCGTATCACTTCTGCACAACATTTCTTAACATCCGACAAGTTTCTTGTTTGTTTACAGTCTCAGCTGCCCACAAGAATAAATAAATGAAAGCATTGCTGCTTCCACAGAAATCTTGGACCCCTGATACAAGCACTGATTTGTGTTTAGTTCATTGGACTATAAAGAGTTTTGAAATCTCAATTGTCACCTGGACTAGGTCTAATGCATGCACTAGCAACAAAACCAGATATTATTGAGAAATTATGTAAGCCTAAATGATCATGAAAAATGTATCTGGCTCTATGATTAGCAAAAGAAAAAACTGTAAACTATCTTTTTATCCCTTGAAGTCATTAGCTTTAAGTCAAAAAGACTAATGAAATAAAACAACTTCAAACGCTAACCTATATGCAAACTGTGTTTACCAACTGGAATTATTGTTGACCAATGGTATTTGAAAGTCACTAACAAAAATGATGTGACAATTGTCAAATGAGCAGAAAGTACAGCAACCATGAAGAGGAAGATCTGATAAAACTCTGAGAAAACATGTGGATTTGAGTCACAGAACATTGCACTGGTCTCACTGTCTTCTTGAAGGCCGATCAGAACAGGTTCGTACAATGAAAGAGCATTTAGTAAGTTATGGATCGTGGGCCATATCCTTATAGGCCATTAATTTGTTAATTTCAAAAACAGCACAGTGTTTTGTGCAACTAAGTATACTGTCTGCCTGCACAGAGTCTAAAAAATGTTGAAGTCTACTAACAGCTTTCATGGTTATCTCCAGCATTTTCTTTCTTTCTCTGCTTAGTTACTCACTTTGGAAGGGAAGGATACTGAAGGATAACCTCTGACAAGTAGTATCTTTTTTTGGTGGTAGAAAGGCACAAAAGTTAGAGATCCATAAAGCTATTTTTTCACCAGCACTCTAAGTCAAGGAAAGCATAAGAATTGTTTCTGAGCAGATGTTCTCTCCCGTGGAACTTGCCAGGACAGAGTTTCTACTGTCTCGAAAAAAATAAAACACACATTTTAATGTATTTCTCTTAACGTCTCATTTTCAGTGCTGTCCAAACAAAAACCTGGCTACAGGTTCAGACTTACTGAAACAAGTCAATGAAATCTGCTTGGAATTCATAGTTTTAGCATAAAGCACCCAATTTTAGAAAAGTGGTTCTGCACATTAGGTTAATACATTAAGTTAGTTGTTTTCTGCAATAGGGTTATTGTAGATACCTAAAAACAGAGGTTTGGCAGCCTAGAATTCCTTATGCCAAGGATACAAAATGCTGGATATAAAATCCAATTTCCACCTGCTTACTTGAATATCTATTTTGACCAGGTATGTAAAAGACATGTACTTGCTGAAAATGTTGTCTTTTACGCTCACCACTCACTTCATGCTGCTTAAATATCCATCTTTAATGAACTCACCTGGAAACTAATTCACTTTGAAAGCAAATATTTACCAAAAAAATCTGAGGCCAATAGATGGGTATTATAGAAAAAATTACATGTGTTCTCAAAGCACATTTTGAGCCTAATATACCTTTAAAATACCCCTCTTTTTCTATTAAAATATTATGACAAAATGTTCTACTGTTGGAAAATACCCAAGTCCCCTCCTCTATTTGTCTATTCTATTTTTCACTAATTTCAATGAATACAATAAGTTTTTTATTTTGAATTTGTTTTGAACAAACTAGTATAGGGCAAAAAATGAACAAATGAAAACTATGTGGTTAGCTGCCTGAGGTAATTGCTTGTAAATGTGATAGTGTCTAACTGCATAAAAATTTGCTATAAATAAGAAAAAAATAAATCTGACTCTAAGTAGTTTTAAAAATCCATTTGAATTCATCAAGGAGAATAGGAAATACATTTTCTTTTCCAAATCCATCTCAATTGAATTAAAAACTCTTTGAGGGCAGGAAGCAGCTCAGACTGGTGGGTAAAACCTTGGAAATTTGAAATAAGACAACTCAGGATAGTAGCCCAGGTATTTAAACCACTGTGTGACCTCTGCCAGGTTTCTTATTCTCTCTAGGCTTGAATTTCCCAACTGTAAGATAAGGATAATAATATCTACTTCATAGGATTGTGGTGTGAATTAAAGATCTGAGCATCTGACTCATGGTACGCTCCAAGTCAGTACTAGCTCTCTGATATTTCCCAAAACACACAGCTCAGGTATTTACATACTGGATACTCAATGACTGTTTCCTAAATGAAATAAAATTAAATGTTATTTCCACTCTATAAAATATCTGCATTTATATAAGAAATAATTACAATTAATAGGACTTTTGGCAACTTTTGATTCTTATAACTTGAGATTGCTTCTACTTTCTCATTTGTACATATCCTATCTTACTCCTAGCCCCAAACCAAAATGTAAAATTTGTGCACGATTAGAATCTATTTAAATGTATGAAAAGTCATACTTTAAATATCCAACTGAGTTTTGTCAGGAAAATAAAGTCAAAATCAACATTATGAGAAAAATGAATTAAATATACAAATTCAGGCTACACAAATAGAGGATGCAGCAATGAAGGTTTAGAAGATGATGGCCGAGGTATCTCTTAACTAGGGGGGGAAGCCATTTATCTCTAGAAAGTTCAAGAAACTGACACAACCCAAGAAGTGGACCTTGTGGAAAATTCTAGAAACCACATCCTTTGCCACAACCTATAGAAAACACGGTCTGGGGAAGTCCAAAAAAGTACCACAACCACTAACGGCTTGTGGAGAGGTCTAAAAACCAGCTGCACCTAACAATCAGGACAGTCCCAGGATAACAGCTTCCACTTCATTTGCAACTTCCAAATCCCACTCAAATCCCTCTTGTGGGTGAATTCTAACCCAGCACCACTTAGGAATAAGAACATAGGGAAATACAGTCCTCAGCCTTAGACAGGGCTCTTGGTGGTGGTGCCACATTGAAAACAACCAACCTAGCACAGTCCATGCAATACCCTTGTTAACTCATTGACTCAACATCCATCCTACTACTAAAACCATCTTTAATTTCCAAATAAAGACAATGACAACATCAGGCCTCCACCTAAACTAATGCAACCTATCATTTACACGACCAAAGACATACTAATCATCTGCCTCACAAAGGAGGCAAAGAGTCCACATGCCACTGTTAATTCTTTCTAAATACAAAGCAAGATAAGCCCATCAACCAAAGGCAATATAGTACAAGGACTTAAGTGTCAGAAAGACCAAGGGTCAAATCTTAGCTCTTTTACTTGACCATTGTGTAACTTTGATAAATTACATAACTCTCTGATCCTTCATTTCTTCAAGAGAAAAATGAAAAACACCTACCTTCTAAGACTACTGTAAACATTTACAATAATATTTGTGACAATTCTGTTTCATAGTAAGTGCTCAACAAGTAATTAGCCTTTATCAATATCTATTTTAAGTGGCATGGATAGAGTAACATTTCTTGCTGATCATTTTTTGTCATGCAGCATATTACATTCATGTTTTCTCAACATTATATTAAACGGTTTTCATACACAACTATGTATGTTTTTCTATTGTAAAAACTTCCTAAAACAAACATCAGCTGAAATTTCCTAATTTAAATGACCAATTTCTTGATCCTGCTTAGGTTAAACAGATCTGCATAAAGATACAGAAAAGTGATTGAACAGTCAAGAGGTAGCAGCAAACCCTAAGAAAAAGGAAGGTCAAAGAACTGAATTATATACAAGTTACCTGATCAGCTCCTAAATAATAGAAAATTTACTGTTTATCCAAAAGGACAGCAGTCCTATTTACCTAAATTATGCCAAGAGTGACTTCAGAGAGGAATTAGCTTTCACTTCTACAAAGATCTAACCCATGAGTTTGTAACTTTAATATTCTGACTTCATGTCAAAGGAGAAAAATCTCAACTCAATTATCCTACCAGAAAACACAAATTGGTTGACATTGGCAGACTACAACAACACCATGAAAATTGTAACTGCAGAGAAAAGACAAAACAAAAAAACCTCTGGAAGTCAGAACACTTGAGATTCATATCCTCATAACTTGGAAGGTTATTCTTTTGTTTGGACAAAGAATACTGGAGTTTTTTAAATGTTTGTACTTCAACTCATCCATACTTATGATATAATCCCCAAAAAGCAGCCAGCAACCCAAACCTTTAAGGCTGCCAACCAGGAAAAATAACTTAGCACAACAATGATCTTTTCTAACCATAAATAATGGTATCTTGGGCCAAGCTTCCTAGATAGACTTGGATTGAAACAGCTCTTTACCCTAGGGCTATTAACTGTATAACATGGATATTGAGAGGAAAAAGGCAAAAAGAAAAAATGCAAAGGAATAAAATTAATTCTTAAAATACCTCAAATTTTGAATAAATGGGGACATGGACTTCTTGAATGGTAGTTCTGTGAATTAAGACAAGCCATTTCTTGGTATGTGTGCAGAAATCCTAGAAGTTGTGGGATGCTTGAAATTATGTTTATGACTCCAAAACTCAAGTGTGCATGTCAAATATAGGTTGTAGGGACAGATCTCAACTAATCTCTGTATGGTATTTGGCTCTAACACCAAAATAATAGGACCTAAAAGAGAAACAACATTAAAGTCCTACCATCCAAAACCCAAACAATTTTGTAACTAGGATACTAATAAAAGAATAACTGGAGCCTCTAGAGTTCCAGTAGCTCAGTTTGGTTAGAGGCTACTTCAAAGGATATTAAAAATGCCCGAAACCAATAGAGTGGGAAAGTTGGCTTGAGGGCCCTAAGAAAATGCATAGAACAGAATTCTGATTCAGTGGGGCTCCTGATGAGGTAGCAGAGGAATAAATACAACCCACTTCAAGTTAAGATGAAGCCTAGGTGCCCATTTTAAATTGCCCTAAAATAGAGCTGAAAGGTCTTCTGCCTGTGCAATTGCCATGTTGAAGACCTTTGTTCTGCCTGCAGGAGGTTGTAATCTGGTCCTGCTATTCTGACTCCTTTTGACTAAAAACAAATGACATGTAAACAAATACAGCTTCCATGTTACACTGGCATGATTTTAATGTCATATTTACCAATCTCATATGAGCTATTTGCCTAAGATTCAATTAGACTTTAAGAAATCGTATTATATCGTTGACTTGTCCCAAGCTCATGACTGACAAAAAACCTCTTGTCCTTTTCATGTAAATTAATGTTAAGGCACATCTTGTCTGCTGCATATGCTGAATCTTTAGATTCATTGTAGCACTTTACGTTAATTGCTATTACATTTCATCTTGTTAAACCTGGTCACTTATTTTACCTGCGTCTGATCTCGATTCTGCCCTCCAATATATTAGCTAAAGTTCCAAAGTCCATGTTAACTATTTGTTTCCTATGGCCACCAACAGTGTTGAGTAGGTATAATCTCAAACATTTGCTGCATGTAACCAGCTACTTCCTGACTGTCAAAAATATTGATTGCTTTTCTTAGATACAAACTATCAGTCAAAACTTTACAAATTCTCCTGAATACATTATCATCCTGACATTTTTCTTTTTGTCCACAAAGATATTCTCTCCATATCTGTCTGATAAACTAGTTTCTGATATACATTTTCCTAATCAATCAGCCTAGAAGCTTTATTCAATAAAGAAATTTGGAAAATTTGAAAAGCCTTGTTCTACATGATTTAATAATAACCCACTGCAAGCGCTTCAGCTTTCTCAAAGAGTTCAAAAGATACCTTCTAATTAACCTGTTAGAGCATTTTGTTCCAAATGGACAATCAAGTTCCTCAATCTGTATCAAAATATTTTTATCAGTTCAGAATTTTGATAACCATTTTAGCAGCATTTGCCCATTTCTCATTTTTCAGCACCTTTATCTTCATCCCAGGCATTTTAAAAGTGCCAAAAGAAGTGAAGAAGCTCATTGCCACATTTTCTGTTCAAGAGGAAAGGTAGAAACCAAAGAGAACTATTTGAGTATGAAATTCCCTTCCATATTCATATACCCTGGACTCAACATTGCAATATAATGAAAAATTAAAATGGGTTAGACTTGAAGATTTGGGGTATACTTCTAACAAAAGAGAAATAGGTAATGAGACATCTCATGCTTAGCCCAAAGGATACCATTATTTTCCACAATCCACTAACCAAATATCTCCATATCAGATAAGGTAAGTCCTCTAACCTAGTTATTCATCTTCAGTATTGCCTGGGCTATCTTTGGTCTCTTGCCTTTCACACAAATTTTAGAATTATCCTAACAATATAGTTACACATACATATGTGCAAGCACATAAAAAAGTGCTAGAATTTTTATTGGGATGGCACTGAACCTAAATCAATTTGGGGAGAATTGAAATACTGAAGAGATTATAGCTTTCTATTTATTAGATCCTTTTTAAATTTTTCTCAATAATGTGTTGTAGTTTTCTGTATAGAGGTTTTGCACAACTTTTAATAGACTTATTCCTGGTATTCAGTATTTTTATATTATTGTTCATGGTATTATTTTTAACTTTTAATCTTTCATTTGTTTTTTTCTAGAGTGTAAAATAAAACTGATCAAGCTGAAATACAATGACTTTGCTAAACTCACAAATCAATTCTCATAATTTATCACTTAATTTTTGGATTTTTCTACCTAAAACTTAATATCATCTGTGAATAATTATAATTTTGTTAATCTTTATAGTTTTTACTTCTTTTTATTGCCTTCTGGAAATGATAAAAAAACTTCCACTAACATGTTGAACAGTAAATTGGGCAAGCTTTACTTGTTCCTAATCTCAAAGGCAAAGTTCTTACTATTTTACTTTTACATAAAATGTTAGCTGGAGGATTTGGGGTAACTCTTCTTTATCAGATTGTGAATTTTTTCTATATAAACTATCTATACTAAGAATTTTTAATCATAAATTTTCTCAAATTATTTTATATATTTATAATATTTTTATCTTTTGTTTTTTAATGTGATGGACTACATTGGTTTATGATCAAATTTTAAACTAATCTCGCATTCCTAGAACATAAAAAAACTTAATTGTGGTGTAATATATTGTTATATTTGGTTAGTGATTATTTTGTTTAGGAGTTTTGGACCATTGTTAATATGTGAGATTGTCCTGTAATTTTTCTTCCTTTGTCTGGTTTTAAAATCAAAGTTTGGAGAACATCATAAAATGAGATGGCTGATTGTTCCCCTATTACTATTTTTTGGAAGAATTTGTAAATGATGGCCATTAAGCCTTTTTAAAAAATGGGACAGAACTCAATAGTGAAGCTATGTGAGCCTGAAGTTATCTTTGAACGAAGTATTCAAATATGAACCAATTGTTTAATACTTAAAGAACCACTTACATACTCTACTTTTTTAAGGCCAGTTTGGTAAATTTTTTTCTAGAAATAGGTCCATTTCTTCTAAATTTCCAAGTTTATTGGACTTGGGTTGTTAAAAATATCTTACCTTTCTCATCTCTATCAGTTCTATGGTTATTTACTGACATTATTTGTGCCTTCTCTATTTTTTCCTCATCATTCTTCCCAGGAGCTTACCAACTTTATTAATCCTTCAAAATAACTAATTACTGGCTTTGTATTTTCTTCTATCTTTGATGTCTAATTAATTTATGGTATCTTTCTGATTTTCTAAAGTTTCTGCCATCTTCGTATTTCACTTTTTGTTCTTTTTCTAACTTCTTGAGCTGGACACATAAATTTCTAATTGCACCTTCATCTTTTCTCAAATATTTAGTTAAGGCTCTAAATGTTCCTCTAAGGACTACTTTATTTATAACTACTTTATTTATGCAATATTTCACTATAATTTTATCATATCATTAATTTTTAAATATATGGGATTTTAACAGCACTGTGATCAGAGAAACTATATTTTTCAATTTTGTGATTATGCTAATGACTAAAAGTGCTAGGTTTTGCTGTCTCTGTCTTAACATCAGCAATGAAAATAACATATATATGTATGCAAATATATATATATATATGTTCTCTTTTCTTGAGGAAGCTCATGCTGAGTCTCTTGTATTTCATTTCCTGGTTCTAATGAAGTTCTTTTACTCATATTTCCCCTCCACCTTAAGAACTCTTCATTCCTCTAGCCCAGCACTCTCTGATGGAACTTTACGTGATGACAGAAACGTTCTGTATCTCCACTGTCCAATACAGTAGCCAGTAGCCACGTGTGGCTATTGAGTGCTTGAAATGTGACTAGTGTAACTGAGAAACAGTTTTTATATTTTATTTATGTTTAATTAACTAAATTTACATCTAAGTAACCAAAGTGAGTAGAAGCTACCACATTGAACAGCACAAGTGGAATCATCCCATTCTCTCTCTGTTAGTTAGGATGTAGTCAGGAAGAAGTTATTTGAACAGAGAGAAAGTACCATAAATAATTGTTAACTAAGTATACATTTTGTTAATTAGAGAAAAAGAGAGACTCTAAGGCATCACAGAAGTGGCAACTGGGTGAAGCAACTGTCATCTCTAGAGCTGAGGGAAGGAAATAAACAATCTGAAATATTAAACTTAGAAGCTTGGGGAAGAGGCCCATGAAGCAGGAGCAGATCTCTGAAAGGGAAATGAGGGTGGGCGGGAGAGGGTCACGCTGATACGTGTAAACTGTACACTACAAGCTGTATTCAGCTTGTCACATCCTGAAAGAATTGCTGCTGCCAAGCTGAAGGAATGTTGCTGATGCCCCACTGATAGACTTTTGCTCTCACAGGAACCAACTGGAAGGAGCAGGTTTGTCATCTGCCTCCAGTCATGCAGCCTCCCTCTTTCCCCCTCCGCTGGCTGAGTCTAACAGGAAGCATTTCACAAAGCAAAAAGGTGGCTTTCAGAGTCCAGGTCCAGGCACCATGAAGCCAATCACAGAAGGGTGTGTTCAAAGTTAAGAACCCAAAACCAACTAATATGGTTTGGCTGTGTCCCCACCCAAATCTCATCTTGAATTGTAGTTCCTATAATTCTCGTGTGTCGTGGGAGGGACCCAGTGGGAGGTAATTGGATCGTGGAGATGGTTACTCCCATGCTGCTGTTCTCGTAATAGTGAGTGACTTCTTATGAGATCTGATGATTTTATAAGGGGCTTTTCCCTCTTTTTCTCTGCACTTCTCCTTCTTGCCATCATGTGAAGAAGGACGTGCTTGCTACCCTTCCACCATGACTGTAAGTTTCCTGAGGCCTCCCCAGCCTTGCAGAACTGTGAGTCAATTAAACTTCTTTCCTTTATAAATTACCCAGTCTCAGGTATGTCTTTATTAGCAACATGAGAACAGACTGATACACCGACATACTCTCTTATCTGTTTCTCCATTCTCCCCTCCTCTTGCTTTCCCCAAGCCCAATCTTAACTGCTCCCTAAGAGAAAAAGCATACCTCTGAGAACCTTCCAGCACCTCCAGCACTGATCCAGTTTCTTAGATCTTTGTTTCAACTTCAGTGGGAGATAAAGGAGAGAAATAATCTCTCAATGGAGAGTGAAAAAACGAGAAGAGAATACACAAAGAATAATCTGATGTAAAGATATAACTCTACCATGCTGTTTTCATATTTTGATAAAGACGCTGGAAGAAAGACATAATTTCCTACTAAAAGAGAAATGAGAAAGTGCAATGATAAGTGTAGTGAAGTCACAGAAACAAGTAGGGACTGTGGAGGACACATGCCTGTCTAAAGAGGGCAGCAGCCATCCAGCCAGCCTGGGACTGCAGTGCGGTAATGTGAGCCCAGTGTTCCCAGATCTCCTAATTTTTTGAGAGATGCCAGAAATCTGGATTTTTATGTGAAAGCATCCAATTTCATAATGTTGGCTCAGGAAAGTTTTAAACATTGTACCAGCCAAATGAAACACTGCGATGGGCCAAATCCAGCCTGTGGGCCATGGTTTGGGACTTCTGCAGTGCAGCATGTGGACAAAAGGGGCTCTGCAGCAATGATATATGGACCTCAACTATCCCATCACATGGCCCATCGGCAAGAACAGACTAGTTCAACATTAGGTGCCAACTTTAATTTTAATGCAATGTTGGTTACTTGGGATGGGTTTCTTTTTGTTGCTGTTTCTGTTGTTTCTCTCTGTCTTTTTTGTTATTGTCA
Source organism: Homo sapiens (assembly GCF_000001405.40). NCBI lineage: Eukaryota > Metazoa > Chordata > Mammalia > Primates > Hominidae > Homo > Homo sapiens. Next base: position 28,663,699 of record NC_000021.9, read on the forward strand.
TTGATGACGTTAGGACAAAGTCCGTCTAACCTAGCACTGTCAGCCACTACCATGATCACTCACTTCAATGTGGAGTTAATTTAAAATGAACACTTTGGAGGAAATAAATTGTATAAATGAAACATATAATCATTATTCTGAGGGTTTGGCATTTACTTCAAGAGAGCGGGCATCTCTTTAGTTTGTAAGAGCAAGAGTCCATCAGCGGGACATGTAGTTGAATATGCAAACTGAAGGCAAATTGAAATAGACTAACACCGATGTATATACATACATACGCATTGTACATATAGTATGCTCATATATAAAGCTTCATTGTCTTTGGCAAAAACTTTTTTACAGCTCTATTACAAAACAATAAAGTATATTGCAAAATAAAACGTGTAGACATTAAAACTGGAATTAGTTTTATATGTGTTTACATTTGTCAAATCTTTTAGTAAGTTCTTTGATGCTTGATTCTTTCATTTGTTTGAGTATAAGAAAATCTTTTACCCATATGGAAGCTTTACACATATTCCTAAGCCACATGGAATAGACACTTTGACTTGTATGCAAAAGATTTGTGGTCTTTGCAAAGCCATTATAATTTCTCTTTTGGTACAATTGAAACCATAAATAAATATATGTACATGCATTGTATAAATTGTGTCATATGTTTCTGGGTATCTTACTTGCTCTTATTCTAGAAAAATAAATCACTACATAGGCCCACACTTTGAAGGAGCAGTGGATTTTATCAAATACAATATTTCTCTTTCTTCTTTCTCTACCTTCACCCAACTCAAATTAGCACTTTACTTACACTACCATCAACCATCTGTACTACAGTTTATTCTTATAAAATAGGGATAGTGCAGAGTATTGAAAGCATGACTTTTTCCTCCTAAAACTTTGCCTTTTAAAAAATATATATATATTGTAAGCTAAAGAGAAAAGATAATCACTCTACTAGAATTCTAGCAGACTATACCTTCAGGTCCTTCTCTATGTGCACTACATTTGAAATAATTCCTGCATGCTTCAGTCTCTAATAATAATTATTTCACAGGTTGAAATGCTCAGAAAGGAAAATAAATTAGACCTTTAGATTACAGTAGCATTACTATATGATTAATAAATGCTAGTTTTTGATACTCAAGAGGGGTAGATTTTGTTCAGAAGATTACTTTGGTTTTAAAAATTAATATTTATTATAAGTTAAAAGTTTGTAAGACTAATTCACTCCTAAGCTTTTCAATTCAACATACAAATCTTACTCCATTTATAGCTCCAGTTACTTTTAAAGAGGCTTATAGGCCAGGCACAGTGGCTCACGCCTATAATCCCAACACTTTGGGAGGCCAAGGCAGGTAGATCGCTTGAGCCTAGGAGTTCAGCACCAGCTTGGGCAACATGGTAAGTCCTCATTTCTACTAAACATAAAAAAAAAAAAAATTAGCCAGGAGTGGCGGCATGCACCTATGGGTCTCAGCTACTCAGGATGTCTTGAGTCTGGGAGGTTGAGGCTGTGGTGAGACGTCGCGATCTCATCACTGCACTCCAGCCTGGGTGACAGAGAGAGACCCTATTCCAAAAGTAAATAAATCTAAAAAAGATTAATTTATAAACACATTTGAAAACTTATTTATATTTCTTTTTTTTTTTTTTTTTTTTTTTACTTTTTAATTTTCTTTTTTTTTTTTTTAATTTTTTTTTTTTTTTATTATAGTCTAAGTTTTAGGGTACATCACACTCTGGGGACTGTGGTGGGGTCGGGGGAGGGGGGAGGGATAGCATTGGGAGATATACCTAATGCTAGATGACACGTTAGTGGGTGCAGCGCACCAACATGGCACATGTATACATATGTAACTAACATGGCAATCATTAAAAAGTCAGGCAACAACAGGTGCTGGAGAGGATGTGGAGAAATAGGAACACTTTTACACTGTTGGTGGGACTGTAAACTAGTTCAACCATTGTGGAAGTCGGTGTGGCGATTCCTCAGGGATCTAGAACTAGAAATACCATTTGACCCAGCCATCCCATTACTGGGTATATACCCAAAGGACTATAAATCATGTTGCTATAAAGACACATGCACACGTATGTTTATTGCGGCACTATTCACAATAGCAAAGACTTGGAACCAACCCAAATGTCCAACAATGATAGACTGGATTATATTTCTTTAAATATTTTAAGTTGCATTTATATATTTGGGTACTTCATTGTCCATTTTTTAAAAAAAATAGCCTTGCCAACTGCTTATGTAATTCTTCTCTATAAAATAAACTTATAAATCTGAGGGACATCAATTTCTCTTACATTTTCTAATATTATTAATAAACTTCTGTCTTGACCTTAAAATCACAATTCTAAATTGATTATGCATGATGCATATTTTAAATTAGAATCTATTTCTAACATTGCAAATGGTCCTCAACTTAGGACCTACGTTGTTCCCTCATGTCCCTGGACTTTTGAGTTTGTTTCCATTTGTCTCAGCTTTGAAAGGAAGCAGATTGGAAGGAAGGAAGATTTCTTCTTACTCTGTCTCCCATTTATCTTTTCTTCGGTATTTAGGAAAATGTGTGACTTTGGTGAGAAATTTACAGAATTTATTTTCTCATTTAATCATTAGATTCCCTTTGCAGTATACATTTAAGATTCTTTAAAGTAGTTGTCTGTTCAATTTTTACTATACACTTAATACTAGAAAAGGAGTTTAGGTTGCTAATACATGCCTTTGGAGAATCCAACATGCAAACAAGAAAATATACACTTCTGGCAATGTGGTCTTCTTCAGTTTGGCAGATAAATAGACTTAGCACTTTCAGAATATCAAACTAGTTTCACACCATGTTGAAGAGAGACATGAATGATTAGATGATTAGATCTACTACTGGAAACAGTTAAGAATCTGTCCTCCACTTAATCATTAATAACAGAGGAGGGCAGGTTTTCCTATAGATTTGTAATATATTTGCCTAGATTGGAGCAAAAGGTAGAAGGGTAATAAATAGCTTAGCAGCTTTTTTGGAATTAGATATCTCTTGATATATATAAATCCTGTTTAACCACTCATCTAACCATAATGTGTTCTGAGGAAAGACTAGAAAATATAGTCGTTAGTTCTCATCTGGTCACTTGGACTTACTATACAAAAGACAGAGAAATTCATTTCAGAGATTTCTATATTATGGGAACAAATAGAAAAAACTAGTTGTTATGCAGTAATCTGAAAGTATTTTTTCTTCAAAGAAACAGAAGTCATGAGGTATGGAGCCCAGGACAACAGAATTTGGAATCATAAAACTATGGCTCAAATGTTGGTTCTATCACCTAGCTATGCAACTTTGTAAAGACCTAATCATCTTGTTCGTAAAGGAAGATAATAATTTTCCTGTAGACTTGTTATTAGAAATAAAGATAATATATATAAAATGTCTCAGAGTAGGTCCTGATGAAATATATGCTCTTATTTTACATAATTTTTAAATTGCTATTTCTCCCTGTGCGAGCTGTATCTCATTGTCATGAACTCATGGAATATATAAACATGTGTTGTTTTGACAGATTTTTATTCCAATGATGTGCTTTGCTAAAAAGTATATAATCCACCATCAGGTTTCTGGGTTAAAGTGAAATGAGAAGCCATAATTTGTGTTTCTTTGATGAAAGAATTAGAATATGGGAAAAAAGTATTCTAAACCAAAACTATGAGAATGGGGGAAAGAGAGAATAAAGAAGCAAATATTGCAGCAGATTGTCCTTCACTCTCAAGAATGTGTCGAATACACATTTTGCTTCTGAAATCTGGAATCTTTCTGCTCTAGGTGGAAATCAGACTGCTTTTCTAGGAGTATTTATGTTGTTTCATGATGTGATTATTTCACATTGCATCATTGCATGCCTCTATCAAAACATCTCATGTAACTCATAAAATATACACCTACTATGCACCTACAGAAGTTAAAAATAAAAAGTTACAAAAGTAAAAGAGGGTGAAATTCATTTAAAAACACTATTCTAGAGGCAACAACAGAGGGGTCAAGGAAACAAGTTCTGAAATCCATCTTCTCATTGGTATGGCCTCCTAGCTGTGGGATCTGAGTTACGAATGTGTGATCCTTTGTGATCCTTCAAGTAAGGTTAATAATAATCACTACCTCATAGAGTTGTTGGGAGTATTAAATGAATTAATACATGGAAAGTGTTCAGGATGGCACCTGGCATATACTAATATTTATTAAGTATTCATTGTTATTACTGCTAATCAACCCAACAGCAAACGAGAAAAAACTCGTACTCTGTCTGGGAAACACAGAAGTCCTTTGGGGGAAAATTTAGTATCAAGAACAATCCTGAGAGTGTTCTAGGTCCTGGTCAAATCTCGTTATAAGCCAATTTTCCCCCTTTTCAGCATTTTCAACCAGGTTAAGTCAAATTAGAACAAACATTAAAGATAACCTTAAATAAGGCACTAAAGGCATCTTGAAATCTAACAGAAATGTGGAAAAAGGAATTTAGAGTACCATATTTTATCCCAGTTTTGCTGTGCTGTTATTGGATGTATCTTTCAGCTTTTGCTGCAATAATGCTGCATAAGAAGCAATACCAAAATCTCATTGACTTATAACAACTGAAATTTGTTTGTCACACATGGATCTGTGAGGTAGCCATGGTGACTATGCTCCAGGCTATATATCTGGTTCCTGTTCCTCAGTCTAAGACTTATAACATCGCTCAAAGGCTGATGCAGCTGTAGCCACCTAAAGAAGTTTTTATCATGGCAGAGGGAAGGAACACAAGAGAAAAAAAGCAACGACATAAACAAATTGAAAACCTTATTTGAACAGGAAGTAGGTCACTTCTGCTCACATTTCATTGACCAAAATAAATCACATGACCAGGTCCAATAGCTATGTAACAAGGAAGTACATGCCTCCTGTGCTGGTATGGTCGAGGGCAGTATTTGCTGAACAATAATACAATCAATCACACTTGCCAAACTACCAGGGTTCCATCCATCAAATTCAAGACATATACTGACCACTTCAATTAACCGTGTATTAGTGATATAGGTCTCAAATGTTGAAGAGCATCAAAATCACCTGGGGAAATTGTTAAAAAGTATAAATGACCTGGCCTTCCCACAGTGATTCTAATGTAATGCATTTGAGGATGGGACCTAGGATCTGTATTGTTACCAATCTCATCAATAATCCCATCATACACCAAAGTTTGAGAATCACTGGTTTGCAGAAAGCTATGCCTAGAGATTAGGACAAGTCACTATTCAGAGCAGGTGCCTACTTTTTGACTTGCTGTCCCAGGGAAGAAGGGAAGATGACACAACAACATTCCCACTTGTAGAAAGAAGAGAATAAACTGGGCTGGGTGCAGTGGTTCATGCCTGTAATCCAGCACTTTGGGAGGCCAAGGTGGGCCAATCACTTGAGGTCAGGAGTTTGAGACCATCCTGGTCAACATGGTGAAACCCTGTCTTTACCAAAAATACAAAAATTAGCCAGATGTGGTGGTACACATATGTAATCCTAGCAACTCGGGAGGGTGAAGCAGGAAAATCTCTTGAACCCAAGAGGCGGGGGCTGCAGTGAGCCGAGATCACACCACTGCACTTCAGCCTGGGTGACAGAGTGAGACTCAAAAAAGGAAGAGAATAAACTGAAGTTTCTGATGGATTGGATGTTGGCTCCCAATTATTTCCCCTCTGTGTTTTCATATCTTTGCCATTTGACTTTGCAGTTCCTCCCACTGTTTCCCTACCTTGTGGTTAGACTTAACCATGTGACTCACTTGGCCAGTGAGATGTGGGCGAAGTAACAGAGTGCCAGTTCCAAGCTTAAACCGTGTTCCTGCTTACCCTCTTGATCTGTACCTTGAGAACAGCTTTTCCTGGTAGCTGCTGCCAGTCCAGACAGGACCCCAGAGTTACACATTGACCAGCCTAAGCCCAAGCAAGAAGCCAAGCCCAGCTGGACCCAACTTGAATCAGAGCTTTTTAGCCAAGAGCAGTTAGATCAATCCATCTCCATATGAAATCCATACACATGAAAGAAAAACTGATTGCAATTTTGAGCCAATGGATTTGGGGGTGACTTGTCACTCAGCAAAAGCTAACTCATAACCTCTCCCCAGTTTTAGCATTATTTGGGTAGCAGGAGTGGGAACTCATGCTCCCTACATTGAAAAGGGGCTCAGACTTTAAGCAAAATAATTTTCCTAATTTTATGAAACATTAAGGATATATACTACTAGGAAGTATTCTCATCTGAATTCACAGTGTGTCATTTATTTGAATATACCTGAAGAACGAAGCATATGAATGTAGAAGAGTGAAATAAGAGAAAATAGGAATATTTAGGTCATATAACAGCATCATTTTTTTTTTCAAAATAGAAACAGATTGTTGTACAGAATCCAGCAATCCTGGTGGAAATACTCTGCAATGGAAGCATGTTTTCCATTAACTTAAATATTGTGTTAACCTCAATCAAAAATATACTTTCTTAAACTAAATACAGAATTTATAGTTTTGAGAAACAGAGCCTACAGTCTAAATGGGCAAAGGAACTGATGCAAATGACTCTGTCCCACATGATTAAAAATATTCTTAGTTTTATTTTGTAAAAATGAAATTAAAACCTAAAATAGAATTTATTCTGTCACTCAACCAAACATTTAGCCATGTGTGGTATCTTTTACATCTCCAGAGTCCATTTTCTTTTCTCATTGCTGTGTACTGTCTTGAGGCCATAAGGACACGGTTTCTCTCTATTCAATAAAACTACTCAAGAAAAACTTCTCACACACAGACAGCCTCTATCATCTCAAGACTCTTGGAGGCTGACATTGCAAGGCAGATCTTTCTACTAAGCTAGTGAATCTGAGAAGTATTGTCAGAGCTCTGTCCTGTTAGAAAGTGTATTAGTCCGTTTTCACACTGCTACAAAGAACTTCCCTGAGACTGGGTAATTTATAAAGCAAAGAGGTTTAATTGACTCACAGTTCCACATGGCTGGGGAGGCCTCAGGAAACTTACAGTTGTGGCGGAAGGCTAAGGAGGCATGTCTTACATGGCAGCAGGCAAGAGAGAGCATGTGAAAAAGGAACTGTCGAATGCTTATAAAACTGTCAGATCTTGGTGTGAACTCTCTCACTATTACAAGACAGCATGGGAGGAACCACCCTCATGATCCAATCACCTCCCACCAAGTCCTTCCTTCGACACATGGGGATTATGGGGATTACAATTTGAGATGAGATTTGGTTGGGGACACAGAGTCAAACTATATCAAAGAAAGTGATGCAACAGGTAATATATTGTATATCTGAGTTGCACTCTGGGCTTTTGGGCTTAATGGGAGTGTCTTGCTATGAAGAAGAAAGATGTATGGAACAAGGAGGGGCAAGAGCCTTCACGGGAGGCTCAGGCCTCAGAGACTGCAGCCAGCTTTGGATCTTGCCTGTGATCCATGTATTTCTCCTGTACTTCATCTTTGCCTTTTGAGGGACCAAACAAATGTGGAAACTTAATCACGTCTTCGAAAGAAAGTGAGAACAGGCAGTGGTGGGAGAGAAGCAGTGCACTGTTGGAAGAAAGAGTAAAGGTCCAAATAAATCCTGTCTGAAAACCCAAGGTAATAAAGTGGGCCCTAATCATGAGAGGAAGATTTCAGGTTAACGCTACCATGCATCCTCCTTTTGCAGGCAACCTCTTCCTCTGGCTGCTAGAAAAGGAAGAATCCTCTTCATATATCCAGCCTTAGAGGTGAGCAAAGACCAACTCTGTATTCATTTGACATGAAATCAAACATTTCTGGGACTAGAAGAAGTGATTTCCCAGCCCAGAAGACTATGATGATAAATACAACCTGGATTACTGCAGTGTGGTAGGAGTGGGGTGGGCAAATAACCTGGTGTTTATAACGTGTTTAGAAGACTCAGAGTGCTTGATGCTAATTCCCAAGAAGCTGAGTTTCGTATAGCAATGCCAGGGATATCATCATTCCATAAATCTCGTTTACACCCTTAGTCACTAGGAAGCTTGGCTTTTTTATTACATCTGACGGTTGCTTCCACAATCATAAACATGATCCTCTGAATCATTTCCACTCTTTGAAAATGTTAGTTTTAATGTCACACGTAAATTCTGCCATAGCACTAATATTCACAATTTAATTTGCAAAACCTTTAATCCAATATATGGTCTCCCCTATCATTTCGCTGGAAAACAGAAAATTGTGAAATTCTGTGACTTATTCACTCTACAGTGGAGCAGAACAACTCAAGACCCATCAATCACATGACCAGTCATAGGCAAGTTTAAAGTACACGTTGTTTTTCAATCACCAGAGCACATTAGATAGTAGGCTCTTTTGCAAAGCAAACTCCCAAAAAAAGAAACATAGGCTTAAATAGTTATCATTCTCATTAAACATTTGTCTAGTTCTCTCTTCACTTGAAACAGATGTTAAATCATTTGGAACTTCCCTTTGCTGAGTCCTGTCCTCCACAGAGGCTTGTTCTCTGTCTCTTTCTCACCCTCTGTCTTCCTCAGGTTAACAACTGCCCCAAGTACCAATCTATAAGGGATACTGCCTATCACTGGGTGTTAAATTTCCACTGGAAATTTAAGATGTAGAAAATGGTATTGACCATAATATTTTCCAAGGAGAGGACTGCATATGTTTACAAAGAGAGCTTTAAGTCATTTGTAGCCAAAAAGACTCTTGAGGTGAATCCTAGAATTGCAAATAAATGTTTGCTCCTCTGCCCTGTCAGAAATGTGCAAGGCTCCTGTTTGGTAGAAAAGAACATGCAAGTTTTGGGGCCTGAGCTGAATTTCTCCATTAATAGAGAAGAAAGCGGGCTCTCCAGGAGGTGGTCTTTCTCCTCTTGTTCCCCAACCAGTGTACACCCCTCCTTTAAATTAAATGTAGAGAGAATATTTAAAGACAATGGTTTAAGGTGGTGCTGTATTAGTAGGCTATCCAAGACACTTGTATGACTCAAAGCAACCAAATGCCCTGCTCTTTTTCTCTTCTTGACGCTGCTCTCTCTTTCCATTTTTCTTGACTTGTTTTAATTTAAAAATTAAAAATGTAATTCTTCCCTCACAGATGTGAGCTAAGTCTCAGCTCTTCCTTTTATCTCCCAACTCCTGATTCAACTAAGCAAACAAAAAATACCTTCCTTTTCTATTCTTCCTTCTACATGATAAACGCAAAAAGAAGGAAGGCAGAGAGAGAGAGAAAGAAAAAAAATAAAAAAAGAGAGAAAGAAAAAGAAAGAGAAAGAAAGAAAGAAAGAAAGAAAGAGAAAGGAGAGAGGGAGGGAGGAAGGAAAGAAAGAAAAGAGAAGAGAGAGAAAGAGAGAGGGAGGAAGGAAGAAAGAAAGGAAGGAAGCAAAGAAGGAAGGAGGGAAGGAAAGAAAAAGAGGAAGGAAGGAAGGAAGGGAGGGAGAGAGGGAGGGGAAGGGAGAGAAAGAAAAACAGAAAGAAGAAAGGATGAAAGGGGGAAGAAAGAAAGATTGTCTAGAAAAATGCATGATAGTGTTTTAGCAATCATTCAAATGAATCATTCATAACTGTTTTCTCCAATCAGAAATTTGTCTGATTCAGAAAATTTAGAAGTATTTAAAGAAAAGAAATTTGTCTGACACTACTTCTCTTTACATTGCTGAAAGTGGATTTAAATCTACTTTCTCACTCCAAAAATAAACTTCAGATAAATTTATATTCTCAGCAACATTCCAAACTCAAACACTTAGCTCACATATAACCCACATATATGGTCATATGAATATATGACTTGAAAAAGCTACATAAGTGAAAAATGCATAAAATGAATAGTTTCTCTTGCATTATAATCAACAATGTCCTTCAAGGTTTGAGGACAAAACATTCGTTAAAATTAACCACTCAGATAACTCAGATGGTAGTGTCAGATTTAAATCTACTTTCTCACTCCAAAAATAAACTTCAGATAAATTTATATTCTCAGCAACATTCCAAACTCAAACACTTAGCTCACATATAACCCACATATATGGTCATATGAATATATGACTTGAAAAAGCTACATAAGTGAAAAATGCATAAAATGAATAGTTTCTCTTGCATTATAATCAACAATGTCCTTCAAGGTTTGAGGACAAAACATTCGTTAAAATTAACCACTCAGATAACTCAGATGGTAGTGTCAGAGGCATTTGAACCAGAGCAACTCCATCTTAAATAGAAGCTGGGTAAAATGAGGCTGAAACCTACTGGGCTGCATTCCCTGAGGGTTAAGGCATTCTAAGTCACAGGATGAGATACGAAGTCAGCAAAAGATACAGGTCACAAAGACCTTGCTGATAAAACACGCTGCAGTAAAGAAGCCGGCCAAAACCCACTAAAAGCAAGATGGCGACAAGAGTAATCTCTGGTCATCCTCATTGCTACACTCCCATTAGCGCCATGACAGTTTACAGATGCCATGGCAACATCAGGAAGTTACCCCATATGGTCTAAAAAGGGGAGGCATGAATAATCCACTCCTTGTTTAGCATATCATCAAGAAATAACCATAAAAAATTGGCAACCAGCAGCCCTCAGGACTGCTCTATGGAGTAGCCATTCTTTTATACCTTTACTTTCCTAATACACTTGCTTTCACTTTATAGACTTGTCCTGAATTCTTTCTCGCTCAAGATCCAAGAACCCTGTCTTGGAGTCTGGATCTGGACCCCCTTCTGGTAACAGCAGCCCCAGTCAAAGACTCTCAAAAGCATAACTCATTCAGAGGTAGGCAGACAGAATGAGACTCCCAGGGAGCTTGTCCTGCTTCTCTGGAGTTAAATGGAAGGCTCACTTCATGATCTCACTCCTTGATTGCCCAACTGCATTAATTTTTTCTGGTTTTAGTTCTTTTTGTCTCCAGATCTGAGCACTCACCTTGAGAACTCTTTGCTAGACCCAGTATGTTAGTCCATTCCTGCTGCTGTCACAAAATATCTTAGACTGGGTAAATCATAAAAAATTTATTTCTCACAGTTCTGGAAACTGGGAAGTCCCAGGTCAAGGTGGTGGCAAGTTCAGTATATAGTGGAGGCCCTGTTTCTCACAGATGGTGCTTTCTCTGTGTCCTCACATGGCCAAAAAGGCAAGGCAGCTCGCTTCAACCTCTTTTATAAGAGCATTAATCCCACCCATGAAAGTGGAGTCCTCATGACTTAATCACTTCCCAAAAGGCCCCACCCTTTAATACTATTGAATTGGGAGTTAGGTTTCAACATATGAATTCTGGGGGCACATCAACATTTAGATCATAGCACCCAGTAACTAAATGATTCATTAGCTACCTAAGGACCTACGGGCTAAAACACATTGGTAAATTATAGTAAACTTATGCTTACTGTGTGATTTTAGCACATTTACCAAGTGCTTCCAAACAACTGGCTTATTTGTCCATGTCTTCCTCATACAAGATAGAACAAGTAAACTTATTCCTCTTTTATGTACAATGATTACGGAAGTGAAATAGCAACCTTTTGCTGCTTTAAACAATACATTTATTCAAACATGATAATAAAAATGAAAAATGGATCAATCCTAAAAGATAATAAATGAATACATCTCAAGTTGGCAATTCACAAATTATGTCAGGCAGAGCACAGCCTGACTCATCAACCCCTCCCAGTGTCCCTATTTTGAAAACTCGTGATCTAACTGTTATTAAGTGTTTTGAATATCTAAAGTGACTGCCAACAAGACTGTCAGCAGTAGGGCAGGATATCCATCATTGGCAACAAAAAGAGGGCAAGTTGAACACAAATGTTACAAGACAGAGACAGAACAGGGAACATTTTAACCTTGCTCAGGGCATGCCCTTAGAAACTATAAGGATTGATGATGCATCAAGATTAATTTGATGACTTGCATTTCAACCAAGAGGGCAGATTTTCAGGAACGCATATTCTGACTTGGAGCTGGGAAAGGCACAAACCCTGGGCCCAGTCCATCTTTGGGGACTGAGAACAGAGAGTTGAGAACTCATCTTACTAATAATTCCTGCAATATTGGAGTGTGTGTTTTTAACTTGGAGTCAGACACACTTTTCCTCACCCGCAGAGTGGACAGTAAAAGTAATCCAGAATGTTGCATCTGTGTTAGCTCTTCTTAGAAGGGCCTGGAGCTGCTACAGGAAGTTTCTCATTTGGAATTATGAAGTTCTTTCTTCTCTTGGGCCACTTTCTCTTGCAAGTCCAGCTGGGCATTACCCTGCCCCGTGGAATTTACTCCAACACAGAATCCTTCATGCTTAACCCCAATTCCACTGTCTGGGCCTTCGGAGTCAGAGCCAAAGCTCAGCAGCAGATAAAGTACAAAAGCTAGCAAGGTAGAATTTGAAGCAAACTGCCCTGGTGTATGGTTTTTAGGGCTGCCATAACAAACTACCACAGACTGGGTGGCTTCAACTACAGAAATTTATTGTTTAACAATTCTGGAGGCTGAAATCCTGATATCAAGGTGTCAACAAGGTTGATTTCTCCTGAGGCCTCTGTCTTTAGCTGGTAGATTCCTGTGTCTACACATGGTAGTCCCTCTGTGTGTGTCTACGTTCTAATCTCCTCATTTTGTGAAGACACCAGTCAGCTTGGATTAGGGCCCACAATAGGACCTCATTTTAATTTAATTACCCCTTCAAAGACCCTATTTCCAAATACAGTCACTTTCTGAGGTACCAGGGGGTTAGGACTTCAACAGGAGCTGATCATAATCACAAAAGACACAATCCCAAATATCATCATCTTGAAATCCTGAAAGATCAAAATCCTGAAAATACAGAGACAGCCAGGTGGGAGGGGGTCCCGAGAGAAACTCCAACTGGCCTGCACACTGGGAGGAGCATGCACTGGGGTGTAGCCACAGAAGTTCGCGCCTTTGCAGCAGCGAGGAGCCTGGCCCCTCCTCTTCCTGGGTGGTACCCAGGATTCAATCTGTGAGGCAGGAAGCACACTAGCGGACCCTGGCTTTGTGGAGGGTCCCTATTTCCCCTTTTTCCCCCTTTTGCCCAATAAATTCCATTATTCTCACCCTTCAAATTGTCTGTGAGCCTAATTTTTTATGGCCATGTGGCAAGGACCCACATCTTTAGTGGAACTAAGGAGAGAGTCCTACAACAATATAATTCTGGAAAAAATGACTTTTAAAATTCTTTAAGATGGAGCCAAGATGGCCGAATAGGAACAGCTCCAGTCTACAGCTCCCAGCGTGAGCGACGCAAAAGATGGGTGATTTCTGCATTTCCAACTGAAGTACCGGGTTCATCTCACTGGGGAGTGTCAGAAAGTGGGTGCAGGACAGTGGGTGCAGCACACCAAGTGTGAGCTGAAGCAGGGCAAGGCATCGCCTCACCCGGTAAGCGCAAGGGGTCAGGGAATTCCCTTTCCTAGTCAAAGAAAGGGGTGACAGACAGCACCTGGAAAATCGGGTCACCTCCACCCTAATACTGTGCTTTTCCAACAGTCTTAGCAAACGGCACAACAGAAGATTATATCCCACGCCTGGCTCGGAGGGTCCTACACCCACGGAGCCTTGCTCCTTGTTAGCACAGCACTCTGAGATCAAACTGCAAGGTGGCAGCGAGGCTGGGGGACGGGTGTCCACCATTGCCGAGGCTTGAGTAGGTAAACAAAGCGGCTGGGAAGCTCGAACTGGGTGGAGCCCACCACAGCTCAAGGAGGCCTGCCTGGCTCTGTAGACTCCACCTCTGGGGGCAGGGCATAGCCAAACAAAAGGCAGCAGTATCCTCTGCAGACTTAAATGTCCCTGTCTGACAGCTTTGAAGAGACTAGTGGTTCTCCCAGCACGCAGCTGGAGATCTGAGAACGGACAGACTGCCTCCTCAAGTGGGTCCCTGACCCCCGAGTAGCCTAACTGGGAGGCACCCCCCAGTAGGGGCAGACTGACACCTCACACGGCTGGGTATTCCTCTGAGACAAAACTTCCAGAGGAACAATCAGGCAGCAACATTTGCTGTTCACCAATATTCGCTGTTCTGCAGCCTCCGCTGCTGATACCCAGGCAAACAGCGTCTGGAGTGGACCTCCAGCAAACTCCAAAAGATATGCAGCTGAGGGTCCTGAGTGTTAGAAGGAAAACTAACAAACAGAAAGGACATCCACACCAAAACCCCATCTGTACGTCACCATCATCAAAGACCAAAGGTAGATAAAACCACAAAGATGGGGAAAAAACAGCAGAAAAACTGGAAACTCTAAAAATCAGAGCGCCTCTCCTCCTCCAAAGGAATGCAGCTCCTCACCAGCAATGGAACAAAGCTGGATGGAGAATGACTTTAACAAGTTGAGAGAAGAAGGCTTCAGACGATCAAACTACTCTGAGCTAAAGGGGGAAGTTTGAACCCATGGCAAAGAAGTTAAAAACCTGGAAAAAAATTAGACAAATGGCTAACTAGAATAACCAATGCAGAGAAGTCCTTAAAGGACCTGATGGAGCTGAAAACCAAGGCATGAGAACTACATGATGAATGCATAAGCCTCAGTAGCTGATTTGATCAACTGGAAGAAAGGGTCTCAGTGATGGAATATCATATGAACGAAATGAAACGAGAAGAGAAGTTTAGAGAAAAAAGAATAAAAACAAACGAACAAAGCCTCCAAGAAATATGGGACTATGTGAAAAGACCAAATCTACGTCTGATTGGTGTACCTGAAACTGACGGGGAGAATGGAACCAAGCTGGAAAACACTCTGCAGGATATTACCCAGGAGAACTTCCCCAATCTAGCAAGGCGGGCCAACATTCAAATTCAGGAAATACAGAGAACACCACAAAGATACTCCTCAAGAAGAGCTACTCCAAGACACATAATTGTCAGATTCACCAAAGTTGAAATGAAGGAACAAATGTTAAGGGCAGCCAGAGAGAAAGGTCGGGTAACCCACAAAGGGAAGCCCATCAGACTAACAGCAGATCTCTCAGCAGAAACTCTACAAGCCAGAAGAGAGTGGGGGCCAATGTCCAACATTCTTAAAGAAAAGAATTTTCAACCCAGAATTTCATATCCAGCCAAACTAAGCTTCATAAGTGAAGGAGAAATAAAATCCTTTACAGACAAGCAAATGCTGAGAGATTTTGTTACCACCAGGCCTGCCCTAAAAGAGTTCCTGAAGGAAGCACTAAACATGGAAAGGAATAACCGGTACCAGTCACTGCAAAAACATGCCAAATTGTAAAGACCATCAAGGCTAGGAAGAAAACGCATCAACTAATGAGCAAAATAACCAGCTAACATCATAATGGCAGGATCAAATTCACACATGACAATATTAACCTTAAATGTAAATGGGCTAAATGCTCCAATTAAAAGACACAGACTGGCAAATTGGATAAAGAGTCAAGACCCATCAGTGTGCTGTATTCAGGAAACCCATCTCACATGCAGAGACACATATGGGCTCAAAATAAAGGGATGGAGGAAGATCTACCAAGCAAATGGAAAACAAAAAAAGGCAGGGGTTGCAATCCTAGTCTCAGATAAAACAGACTTTAAACCACAAAGATCAAAAGAGACAAAGAAGGCCATTACATAATGGTAAAGGGATCAATTCAACAAGAAGAGTTAACTATTCTAAATATATATGCATCCAACACAAGAGCACCCAGATTCATAAAGCAAGTCCTTAGAGGCCTACAAGGAGACTTAGACTCCCACACAATACTAATACTAATGGTAGACTTTAACACCCCACTGTCAACATTAGACAGATCAACGAGACAGACAGTCAACAAGGAAATCCAGGAATTGAACTCAGCTCCGCACCAAGAGGACCTAATAGACATCTACAGAACTCTCCACCCCAAATCAACAGAATATACATTCTTCTCAGCACCACATCGCACTTATTCCAAAATTGACCACATAGTTGGAAGCAAAGCACTCCTCAGCAAATGTAAAAGAACAGAAATTATAACAAACTGTCTCTCAGACCACAGTGCAATCGAACTAGAACTCAGGATTAAGAAACTCACTCAAAACCACTCAACTACATGGAAACTGAACAACCTGCTCCTGAATGACTATTGGGTACATAACGAAATGAAGGCAGAAATAAAGATGTTCTTTGAAACCAATGAGAACAAAGACACAACATACCAGAATCTCTGGGACACATTCAAAGCAGTGTGTAGAGGGAAATTTATAGCACTAAATGCCCACAAGAGAAAGCAGGAAAGATCTAAAATTGACACCCTAACATCACAATTAAAAGAACTAGAGAAGCAAGGGCAAACACATTCAAAAGCTAGCAGAAGGCAAGAAATAACTAAGATCAGAGCAGAACTGAAGGAAATAGAGACATAAAAAACCCTTTAAAAAATCAATGAATCCAGGAGCTGGTTTTTTGAAAAGATTGACAAAATTGATAGACTGCTAGCAAGACTAATAAAGAAGAAAAGAGAGAAGAATCAAATAGATGCAATAAAAAATGACAAAGGGGATATCACCATCAATCCCACAGAAATACAAACTATCATCAGAGAATACTAGAAACACCTCTACACAAATAAATTAGAAAGTCTAGAAGAAATGGATAAATTCCTCGACACATACACCCTCCCAAGACTAAACCAGGAAGAAGTGGAATCGCTGAATAGATCAATAACAGGCTCTGAAATTGAGGCAATAATTAATAGTTTACCAACCAAAAAAAGTCCAGGACCAGAAGGATTCACAGCCAGATTGTGTCAGAGGTACAAGGAGGAGCTGGTACCATTCCTTCTGAAACTATTCCAATAAATAGAAAAAGAGGGAATCCTCCCTAACTCATTTTATGAGGCCAGCATCATCCTGATACCAAAGCCGGGCAGAGACACAACCAAAAAAGAGAATTTTAGACCAATATCCCTGATGAACATTGATGCAAAAATCCTCAATAAAATACTGGCAAACCGAATCCAGCAGCACATCAAAAAGCTTAACCACCATGATCAAGAGGGCTTCATCCCTGGGATGCAAGGCTGGTTCAACATATGCAAATCAATAAACGTAATCCAGCATATAAACAGAACCAACGACAAAAACCATACGATTATCTCAATGGATGCAGAAAAGGCCTTTGACAAAATTCAACAACCCTTCATGCTAAAAACTCTCAATAAATTAGGTATTGATGGGACGTATCTCAAAATAATAAGAGCTATTTATGACAAAACCACAGCCAATATCATACTGAATGGGCAAAAACTGGAAGCAATCCCTTTGAAAACTGGCACAAGACAGGGATGCCCTCTCTCACCACTCCTATTCAACATAGTGTTGGAAGTTCTGGCCAGGGCAATTAGGCAGGAGAAGGAAATAAAGGGCATTCAATTAGGAAAAGAGGAAGTCAAATTGTCCCTGTTTGCAGATGACATAATTGTATATCTAGAAAACCCCATCATCTCAGCCCAAAATCTCCTTAAGCTGATAAGCAACTTCAGCAAAGTCTCAGGATACAAAATCAGTGTGAAAAATCACAAGCATTCTTATACACCAATAAGAGACAAACAGAGAACCAAATCATGAGTGAACTCCCATTCACAATTGCTTCAAAGAGAATAAAATACCTAGGAATCCAATTTACAAGGGATGTGAAGGACCTCTTCAAGGAGAACTACAAACCACTGCTCAATGAAATAAAAGAGGATACAAACAAATGGAAGAACATTCCATGCTCATGGGTAGGAAGAATCAATATCGTGAAAATGGCCATACTGCCCAAGGTAATTTATAGATTCAATGCCATCCCCATCAAGCTACCAATGACTTTCTTCACAGAATTGGAAAAAAATACTTTAAAGTTCATATGGACCAAAAAAAAGCCTGCATTGCTAAGTCAATCCTAAGCCAAAAGAACAAAGCTGGAGGCATCACGCTACCTGACTTCAAACCACACTACAAGGCTATAGTAACCAAAACAGCATGGTACTGGTACCAAAACAGAGATATAGACCAATGGAACAGAACAGAGCCCTCAGAAATAATGCCGCATATTTACAACTATCTGATTTTTGACAAACCTGACAAAAACAAGCAATGGGGAAATGATTCCCTATTTAATAAATGGTGCTGGGAGAACTGGCTAGCCATATGTAGAAAGCTGAAACTGGATCCCTTCCTTACACCTTATACAAAAATTAATTCAAGATGGATTAAAGACTTATATGTTAGACCTAAAACCATGAAAACCCTAGAAGAAAACCTAGGCAATACCATTCAGGACATAGGCATGAGCAAGGACTTCATGTCTAAAACACCAAAAGCAATGGCAACAAAAGACAAAATTGACAAATAGGATCTAATTAAACTAAAGAGCTTCTGCACAGCAAAAGAAACTACCATCAGAGTGAACAGGCAACCTACAGAATGGGAGAAAATTTTTGCAATCTACTCATCTGACAAAGGGCTAATATCCAGAATCTACAATGAACTCAAACAAATTTACAAGAAAAAAACAAACAACCCCATCAAAAAGTGGGTGAAGGATATGAACAGACACTTCTCAAAAGAAGACATTTGTGCAGCCAAAAGACACATGAAAAAATGCTCACCATCACTGGCCATCAGAGAAATGCAAATCAAAACCACAATGAGATACCATCTCACACCAGTTAGAATGGTGATCATTAAAAAGTCAGGAAACAACAGGTGCTGGAGAGGATGTGGAGAAATAGGAACACTTTTACACTGTTGGTGGGACTGTAAACTAGTTCAACCATTGTGGAAGTCGGTGTGGCGATTCCTCAGGGATCTAGAACTAGAAATACCATTTGACCCAGCCATCCCATTACTGGGTATATACCCAAAGGATTATAAATCATGCTGCTATAAAGACACATGCACACGTATATTTATTGTGGCACTATTCACAATAGCAACGACTTGGAACCAAGCCAAATGTCCAACAATGATAGACTGGATTAAGAAAATGTGGCACATATACACCATGGAATACTATGCAGCCATAAAAAATGATGAGTTCATGTCCTTTGTAGGGACATGGATGAAACTGGAAACCATCATTCTCAGCAAACTATCGCAAGGACAAAAAACCAAACACCGCATGTTCTCACTCATAGGTAGGAATTGAACAATGAGAACACATGGACACAGGAAGGGGAACATCACACACTGGGGCCTGTGTAGGGGGAGCGGGGAGGGATAGCATTAGGAGATATACCTAATGTTAAATGACAAGTTAATGGGTGCAGCACACCAACATGGCACATGTATACATATGTAACAAACCTGCACGTTGTGCACGTTGTGCACATGTACCCTAAAACTTAAAGTATAATAAAAAAATTAAATTAAAAAATAAAAATAAAATAAAATTCTTTAAAATATTTCTATATTATATTTATGATTATATTTATATTATATTTTAAAGGGGATTTATTTCAGAAACACACAAACACAAGAGAACACTTCATAAGCCACTTTACACAATAAAATAGGTAATAGTAACATACACATTTTGGCAAGCATAAACACTGAGGTATACTAATAACAGTCACACAGGTATAACAATTATGAGCAGATGAACAATATTCATAAAGAAATAGGTCAAAAAGCAAAATGTATGAACGCTTATCACTATGGCTGGTAACTGTGTGCACCCAGCTTTATAACTGCAGTCATCTGAAACACTGTGATGAACAACCCAAGTCTTTTGATAAGATTAATCCAAAACCATGATGGGTCACTGCCGCGTCATCACTGTAAGTAGCCCAAAGAGCCAGTATCTCGAGAAATTTTATCTTTCACAAATGCAAATGTACAAAAAGGATATCTCTTATATAACATTTTTACATACACGCACAATGTTTACACACCTAGTCAACATTGTGATGATGCACGTTCATGGAATCACATTTGTAAAAAATTACATAAAACAAATTAGAACTCTCTGAAAGTCTTAATACAATTTACATCTCCAGTGTTAGCGATTATGAAAAGGTGAAATATATAGCACAGCATATTGTAAAAAATAATGCCAACAATTTTAAATAGTGAAAAACACTAAAAATAAAAGAAAATTTAACATGAAAAAACACATTGCAAAGAAAGACTGTGAGCAATTGCACACAGACAGCCCCTAAAAGCTAACTTTCATAATCACTAACTATATTCTGAAGTCTGGCATCATGAGAAGCTTCTTTTTATCTTTTGGGATATGTATCTCCTTGGAGAATATGTTGACATTTATTTTCTATGTGGCACTGCTCTTTTTAAAATTACTGTATAATTCAATAGACACCAACATAAGCATTCCCATCTTAAACTATTAAACTCTCCCATCTTCTGTGCTATGCTTATATGTTGTTTTGGATACTCAGAAATCCATTCCACATGCACCTATATGCAGACCACAAATTTGGCAGAAACAATACTGGTGATTCAACAGCAACACCATTGTGTGTTTCCTTATCCTACCGTGCACATAATTATTCTCAAACACTAAGTAACTTCTCTGGCTTCTTCAGCCAAATGCAGCTTTAATTCTTTAAAATCTGGAATGTTGTCAGCTAGGAAGGAATGTCAATGCAGGCAAATGACACATTTTTTAAACTGAAGTTTTCACTGGACCAATTCATCCATCTGAATTTCCCTCCAAATGCACTAGGCTAAACGGAAAAACAAACTTCATTAGTAATACCTTGAAATTCACTTTTATAATCCTTTATGACACCTAATTTCGAGTCTGTCATTACGGTTTGGGAATTCAATTGAAATCCATTTCCTTCTGCATAAAGACTACAAGGTAATAGTTCAACCTGACATGATGCAACCATCCTGTGACTGTGACTTTCATCATTTTAGACATAAGGGATATTATACTGCAGGGATTTTCATCATTTGGGATTTCATCATTTGAGATTACGGCATTCAGGATTGTGTCTTTCAGAATTATGATCCAAACCTGACATCAACACGTGAATGGGGGATGCACAATCCCACCCATAGTACTTGGGAACTCCAGTGGACCATGGGCTCACTTGAGCTCCAAGCTCCTGGGTCGAACATCCAACTGCCCTTCCTCACCTTGATGACCAAGTACCTGTGAGATCAGCTCTATTCTACAAGGAATGGTTATGCACACTTAGATTTCTAGTGGCCACCAAAAAGATTTAAATGGTGTAAAAAGTAAACAAAGTCAGACACTAGTTAAAGAGGTAAAGACAGATTTTCATCAGTAATGTACTATTGCAATAGGGAAATGAGTTCTGCATGAACCGAAGTCAACTTCAATTTGTGGAGAGGTGACTGGTGTTTTAAAGGGAGAATGAGAGAGTTGGGAGGGGGCAGGTATTAGAGTCAGGGAAGTAAAAAAAACCTACAAAAAACAGAAATAGGGAATCGGTTCATGTGAAGTATCTCAGGATGCAAGACTTCAGAATATAGTTAGTGATCATAAAAGTCAGCTCTTAGGGGCTACCTCTATGCAATTGCCTTGCCATATGTTTTCCATATGTTAGATTTTCCTTTTTTAAGTCTTTTTCACTATTTTAAATTGTTGGCATTATTTTGTACAATACACTATGATATGTATTTCATCTTTTCAACTGATCATGAGCCTTTATGTCCCAAAAGCCAGTATACCAGAAAGGACAGGAAGTTGAAGTTGAAGAACAGCAAGACTTTCATCAGAAAGTCACAAAGAGCCACAGTGATGACTCCCTCTTTTTTAAACTTTAGCTAAAGGCTGTGGTAAAGTGGAAAAGGAAAAATATATTAAGAAAGCAGAAGATTTAAGACCCCACTGACTCTCAAACCAAAACAAAGCCCATCGTTGCAAACTTACAGAAGCCAGTTTGGTTATGCACACTTAGATTTCTAGTGGTCACCAAAAAGGTTGAAATGGTGTCAAGAATAAACAAAGCCGGATGCTAAAGAGGTAAGGACAGATTTTCATCAGTAATGTACTATTGCAATAAGGAAACATGTTCTGTATAAACTGAACTCAGCTTCAATTTGGAGGGAGGTGACTGTTGTTTTAAAGGGAGAATGAGAGAGTAGGGAGGGGGCAGGTATTAGAGTCAGGGAAGTAAAAAATTACAAAAAAAACAGAAACAGGGAATTGGTTCATGTAAAATCCACACAACTTTGCTAACTGGAGCTTATCAGAGTTAGGCTCCTTCCCTCCCACAGAGGCTGGGAGACAGGGTCCCTGTATTCAGGTGTTGGCTGAAACAAACAGTACATCCTTGTGACAGCCTTGAGTGTTCTCAGGCAAGCATTTTATATGTGGGTCTAGGGTCATTCTTAGGAACACTACTTTGAGCTATTAGAAACTATATTAGTGAGTGTTCAAGTCTTTATATGCCAGGCTGAGGCCTAGTCAAGAAGAGGGCTCCAAAGAGCCTGGCTAGAGTTTGGTGAAGGAGAGAATCTGTTATAGTGAAAATTTACTACTCTCCCACACCTCACCATTAGGTTTTTTGTTTTTTGTTTTTTTGTTTTTGTTGTTGTTGTTGTTGCTGTTTGTTTTTTGAGATGGCGTTGTGCTCTTGTTGCCCAGGCTGGAGTGCAATGGCGCAATCTCAGCTCACCACAACCTCTGCCTCCCAGGTTCAAGCGACTCTCCTGCCTCAGCCTCCCAAGTAGCTGGGATTACTGGCACCCACCACTGTGCCCGGCTAATTTTTGTATTTTTAGTAGACATGGGGTTTCACTGTGTTGGCCAGGCTGGTCTCGAACTCCTGACCTCGTGATCCTCCCACCTCAGCCTCCCAAAGTGCTGCAATTACAGGAGTGAGCCACCACACCTGGCCACCATTAGGTTTTAATAAAAACAAATCTCAGCATAAATTTCTTTATATAGACAGACATGTAGTAGCAACTATTCATTAGCAAGAAAGCATAAAAGAGTTTATACTATTTGTTCTGTGTGCTGGATGAACGCTTTTTAGGTGGCCCAGGGATGAAACATTCAGTTGAAATAGACACTGTGAGATTTCCAAGGCAGGATTCTGTGCTTACACAGCACCATGCAGTCAGAAATTCTCCTAAGTCAACATCTGGATTGAAGGGAATCAAACCATGACTGTCATCCTTAAAAATATCAGGTCAGGCCTTCGTGCATTTTTATACTCTTTTTAAAAAGGATGGAGAGACTCTGAACTATTTTAGCCAATCCATATGTTCAAAATATGTTTAATTTCATCAGTGAGAGCCAAAGCCTATTTCTAACATCCATCAGGCTAATCAACAAACACTAGATTCAGCAATGGAAACCCAAATTTGGAATTGATATGCTAGTTCATAGAGTATCAGAGGTTGAACAAAAGGATATAATAAAGGGCATGTAGCAGCTGTTTCCACAGTGGGCCCCTCTCACATTATACCCCCTGCCACATCTGAACTGTGCTGCCCTGCTAGCATTCTATCTGGCCACATATAAAGTTAATGCCTTAGCTAAAGTTTGCTCATGCTGTATGTACTTTAAAGTAAATTACAGAGATTGTAATACATGTCTTATACAAAGCTGAACCATGGCAATGGCAAACATACTGCACCTGGGGCTAGGACCCCTGGATTCTGATTTTAGGGCACCCACCTTGGACACACCGTCTCTTTGGACCTCATTTTCCTCGTCTAGAAAATAAATGGATTGACTTAGGTCACATTTCTCAAATTTGTCCTACAGAAACTTAGGGTTTTGTGGAGGAGATTCAGGAATCCTACAAACCTGTGATATACATTTTTATATCATTTATTTGCAGTGTGTTTTTAAAGAAAAAAAGAGAAAGTATGATGTACATGTCAGCATAGCATGCACACACCCAGCAAAATTCAACAGAGTAGACTTAGTGCTACCAGACCAACTTGTTTTTTTCAATCTTAGAATAAAGCTTCTCTAACCATATCTGTAAATGATATATAAAGATACTATAAACATGTGATTGAGAAGGTAGATTGTAACTCAACCTTTTTTGTTGTTAAATTTAGGCCCATGCATGTCAACTCATGTAAAAGTACGTGACAAGGGACATGACTAAGATACAGGTAATGTACTTGGCTTAATGCCAGGAAAAGCTTAAGGATGGAGGCCTTCATCACAGCATAGTTGTCAGTTATGCAATAGAAAGGAAAGGCCCAACATTTTGTGCATTTATTGTAAGTTCTTGTTAAAATTTGACTCTTTAATTTTAAGGCTAGATGCATTGTAAGTCTTGGGGTCTTTTTACCTAACTGTTTCTTTTCCCCAGGTAAGAAAAATAAATCCTTCTAAAGCTGAAAATTGATATGAATCACTGGTTAAAAATAAAGCTTCCAAGAAGATTTGTTGATGGATATGGTGAATGGATGTGGCTCAAGTTAAACTGTCAAAATGCCTGATGATCACCAGCTGATTTTTCAACCAGGATTCCATTCACAACTGCACGTCAAATGAAGGAAACCTCTCTCAAACTGCATAACACAACTTGAAGACAATAAAGAATGAGAGTACATTGCCCATTCATTGAGAGTACATTCAATGGGTTCGAGTGAAATTCTTCAAAATAATTTTGCCTTCAAATATACTCCAGTGTAAATCTGAAACAAAACATAGTGAACATACAACATAAACTCAGATTTTTCAACAGTAATTGAACAATTTATAGGAAACATATGCAAACAATACTTACATCTAACAACAAAAATGCATTAACTTTTATCTTCAGATGCTGCTCTGTGGCAGGTCTGGGAGAAGCTGTTAGAAAAAGTTTATTATATCCTGGACTCTTGATACCAGCATGTCAACTAGAGTGCATGCATGATGAAGCAGGGACTTTGCTTGGTTAACTGCTTATCTCCAGGATCTAGGATGACACATACTAGGTTCTCAATAAATGTTGTTGAATGAATAAATGAATGAGTAAGTTGATACAAAAATATACTTAGCATTATTATCAGAGCTGAGAGAAGAATTCAGATATGTACACTACAGATGCGTAAAAATTTATTCTAAGAAATGTTTATGCTATGACTAAAGAAGCAGTAGATTTTCATGGCTGTCTCCATTTTGTTTACTTTTATATAATATGCCCATATAAACAAATACAATGAAAATATATCCCTAGTAAAATACAGAACACACACACAACAGGAGAGGGAATCTTTAAATGCATAGACAGGAGATCTACAAGTGGTGATATGTGGGCCAAATCCAGCCATGCCCATTAATTGACGTATTGTTCATATGCTGTCAGGCTACAATGGCAGAGTTAAATATCTGCAACAGAGACAATATGGCACACAAAGCTGAAAATATTTACTGTCTGGCCTTGTACAGGGAGAGTCTGCCCACCCCGGTGTAGATAAAGTATAACATACCATCAATTAAGAAAAAATGTAATGACAATTATACCAAAAAGTAGTTATAAAATGGCAGAAAAAAATCAAAGGAGTATCTTCTAAAAGCTATTGCCAAAGTGATTGAGGCATTCCTTGTACATTATGAACCTGAGCATCCACTATAAAGAATATCCCGTTAAAAGCCATGCTTAATAATTCCATGCAAATTGTAGATGTTAAGACATAATCATTTAATCACAAATGTCTTAGGGTTACAGTAACAAAAGCAGCCAGTTCAAGAATTTACTTTTTTATACCTACATTTTCACTATCCTTAGAGAAATATTTCAGCTAAGAAAAAAATAATTTTCTTTTTTGTCTTTTTTTTTCTTAAAAAGAAGGTTAAGTACCTTTGGTAAGTATCTTTCAAATATCACAAGAAGGCACCAGCATGTATATCTCAGTAATTTTTTAGCCTTCATATATTATTTGTGAAATAAAATACAAACACATAAAACAACACAAAACAAGGTATAAGGCGATCACACCTTTGGCAGGCAGAATTCTAAAGACATCCTCCCAAGATTCTAGTCCCCTGGTTATTCAATCAAACACACTCACCTAAGTACTGCTGTGAAGAGACATTGAAGATGGAACTAAGGATACTTATTAACTGACCTTAAAATAGGGAGCTTATCCTGTATTCTCATATGGGACCAATGTGATCACATGAGCCCTTCAAAGCAGCAGAGGAAAGCAGAAGAGTTGCAATAGAAGGAGAACTCTGAGAGATTCAAAACGAAAAAGGGACTCCGTTTACTGCTGCTGTTTGAAGATGAAGGGGGCAATGTAGGGGTGGCCTTAAGAAGCTGAGTATATTAGTTCATTTACACACGGCTAATAAAGACATACCCAAAACTGGGTAATTTATAAAGGAAAGAGGTTTAGTGGATTCACAGTTCCTCATGGCTGGGGAGGACTGACAATCATGGCAGAAGGCAAAGGAGAAGCAAAGGCACATCTTACACAGCGGCAGGCAAGAGAGTTTGTGTAGGGGAACTCCCATTTATAAAACCATCAGATCTAGAAAGACTTATTCACTACCATGAGAACAGTATGAGGGAAACTGCCCCCATGATTCAATTATCTCCACCTGGCCCTGCTCTTGACACATGGGGATTATTACAATTCAAGGTGAGATTCAGGTAGGGGCACAGCCAAACCATATCACTGAGGGAGCTCCTAGATAATAGCCATCAATAAAACAGAATCCTCAGCCTTGCAGCCTCAAGAAACTGAATTGTGGCAATCATCTGAATGAACTTGGAAGTGAGCTCTTGCTCAGAGGCCCCAGATAAGAGCCCAGCTGACCAGCAATGTGATTCTAGCCTTATGAGACTCATAGCAGAGAAGCAAGTCAAGCTCACCTGGACTTCTGACCTACAGAACCATGAGAAAATAAATTGTGGTTTTTTTAAGCCTCTAAGTTTATAGCAATTTGTTACAGCAATAATAGAGAACGAATACAATGCCCTTGACATCCTCACCTGAACCAAGAAGTAGAGCTTTGCCAGCCACCTAGAAGCCCCCTCTATGTGCCCCAACTCAAATGCAGCCACCTCTTTCTCCACAAAGAAACCACTCTCTTGCCTTTACAGTATCTTCAAAGTAATTTCTTTCTTGCATTGTATAGTCTTATCATCAAAATGATAAGCCCCAGATATTATGTATAATTTACCTCAATTTTTTAGAAATCAACACGTCTGTTACTTCCAATATACAGCATCTCCCTCCATCTCCTTCTTTTCCTTACAGTCCATCTGTGTAAAAACACAGCCATTTTAACCTGTAGAGCTTCTCTCGGTCAGGATTTTGTTGATTGATATTCACAGTGCAATTCAGCAAGCTTCTCAGTCCTCTCTATTTTCTGCAAATTGGCAGCTAGATACAGAGTCTTGATCAATCTCAGATTGCATCCCTTTGTCAAGGTTATAGGTGTTGCTGTACTTCTCTCCCTTTAGGAGGCACAGAAGGTCTGATTTTCACTCTGGTCATGACATTAGCAGCTGAATACCTAGATCGTATTTCATGTGTGTTGCAAAATGGTGATAATTCTATCACTTCTTTCTCATTCATTCATTGGAATACTCTTGTTAAAGAGATGCTTCCCCTCATCTACTATTGATTACCCAGTGAGACAGTTCATATGAGAGAGGGACTGAACGCTTGGGTTTTTCTCTTTCCTTTTAACCAGTTTTTGAAACAATGAATTGATTCAGCATCTTCCAAAGATAATCAATTAATTTTTAAATATCTTTATGAATTTAAGGATTTAAATATCTCTGATGGGGTTCACTCCACGTCAGTTAAAATCCTTATTAAAAGCCCAAATTGTTCCATTTTTGGCCAGTGAGTTGGCCTCTTCAAGTTGGTTTCTGAAGCCTTTTCTCATGACCCTGATGGTCTCTGGTGGGTTCCTTGAAATCTGGCATGACAAGGTGTTACAGGTTGATCTTATACATATACTGCCCCCGAGCCTGCAATCAGCCATTTCTCCAAAAAGTTCTGGTTGCCTCAGTGGGAAATAGTATTTCAATGCCACAATCTAGGAGCTAGGATTAACGATATTTTAAAAATTGGAACAAACTCAAGTTGGCAAGAGATAGTGATGTTACGATTCAACAGCAGATAAAGTGTCAACAAAGATGTCAGAATATAAAGCTTGGACCCAGCATAGAATCAAATGTTTACTCTTTTGAAACAACCTGTGAATATCTAACAAGACAACACTGGAGATAGCTGAACATTCTTTAAATGACTTTGTTAAACATTTCATTATTTCAGAAAATAATATGCATTTTCACCAACACAAACTAACCAAAAAACTGTTTATTGGCTCTCTCCAAATTTCAAAGTTTATCATACAGAAATGCAGGAAGCTACTAAATCTTACTCATTATTTGACTGGAACAAATGTTCTACTCTTCTTTCAACCTTCCCAAGTGGTTTAGTTAAAGAATACACCAGAATGGTAAAGTGCAGTTTAAAGGCCAAAATTATAGTCATTAATTAAAACCCACTTTATCTAAAAGATTGTATCACCCATGTTATTCACAGTACTGTTGACCCATGAGATTCCTTGCAACCCTGGACATTCTATGATTCCATATGCATTATAAATTTATTTCAGCAAGAGACTATTACTCTTACTAGTCTCAGCAAGAGACTAGTATCCATGAGATACTAATGGAAGCAAAAGAAAGAGATACAATCAGGGACAAGAAAAGCAACTGTCCTCAAGAAATGCAATTAATAGTGTACAGAAATGCAATCTAAAAATTAAAACAAAATATGAAGCTATATGCAATGATTAAAAATTCTATCCTAGGAATATATATACTGTATATGCTTTACAATAAGGAAAGTAAAGTAAAAATAGAATATGGAACAATATTCATATTTTGATACCATTTTCTCTTTTAAATAAAAACACTATAAAACTAACCAAAGAATCTAAAAGGAAATAAACCAAAATGATTAATAGTATATTTTATTTATTTTTGATATTTTTATGTTGTAGTGATTGAATAGTTTTTAAATATTAGTATTTTCATTTCAATAAAATACATTTAAATGTAAAACATGATCTATGCAAAAACTTGTATATGAATGCTTCTAGCAGCATTATTCATGATAACCAAAAAGTTCAAATCACCTTTCATCAGCTGATGAAAGGATGAACAAAGTGTGGTATATTCAAACAAGAGGCTATTATTCTACAATAAAATGGAAAAAAGTATACACTACAACATGATGAACTTTGAAAACATTATACTAAGTCAAAGAAGCCAGTCACAAAAGGCCACATTTTGTATGCTTCCATCTGCATGAAATGTTCAAAATAGGCGAATCCAAAGTGGCAGAAAATAGATTAGTGTTTTGCCAGCAGCTGGAGGAGGGGGAGGAATGGGGAGTGACTGCTAATTAGTACTGGGTTTCTTTGTGGGGTGATGAAAATATTCTGGAATTAGATAGTGGTGATGATTGCATAACTTCATGAAAATGCTAACAACCATTGAAATGTACACTTTAAAAGGGGGGACTTTGTGGTAATGAATTATGTCTCCAGTAAAAACTTTTAAAATATATGTATAATGTAGATGGTAAAATAATTCATTCAAAAAACATTTACTTTTTATAAAGCTCTATACAGATGAGAACAGGAGAGGAACTAGAGATCTTTACAAAGAAGGTGGCATTTGTGAGGGGTTTTAGGCATAGAAGCGTGCACCATTTGCCCAAGTTTTAGCAAGCATGACAAATTATTAAAGCTAATGTCATCATAGTAATAAGGACTTGGGTACTATGACTTATAACATTTTCAACCTAACAAGGATTCACTTTTAAGCCCGATCAACTGGAGGTGAAAGTTTTCTGCCAAGCCCCCAAAAGAATGAGGAATTTTTCAGGTTGTACATGTATTTCTTAACCAAAATCTCTGATTCTGCTTCAACATTTTGATTGCTGCAGCAATAATGTTAAAATGACACCCGTTAAGCATGCCGCAGCCTGCCAAAATGAAGTACATTTTTATCTTTTGGGAATCACATCATTTTGTATTCATAGAACATGCAGGAAAGCATGCTTTCTTCTTTATCATATTAAAGACAGTGAGCCCTCATCATTTCAGCTGGTTTACCTAACTAACTTGCCTTGAGGATAACAGTGACACATTGGCAATCTCATCTAGCTATCTAAGATGCACATATATCACCTCTTATACACTGCCAGAAAGAAGGAAGAAAGACTCTAATTTTGTCTTTCTTAATCAGTGTTTAGCTGAATTAAAATTCAACATGGATTTTTCACTTCTTTACCCACACAATCAAGAGAGAATTTTTTTTCAAAGTATTTCCAGGAAAATGTACCCATTTAAAAATTTATTTACAAATGTATGAGTAGTAGATAGTACAAACAAAGCATTAAATGATTACCAAATATATCTGCTTAACCATTACAATGTAATTACAGAGGCAGTTTCAAAAGTACATTGTCAAAGGAAGGGTACCTGTTTGTAATTATTGGCCTGGCCTACAGTTTCTTGGACAATTCCATTCCTCAAGCACACTGGGCATTCATACCAAGTACACTCTGAGGCTTACTTTCCGTTTTCTCTTGTTTCTTTTAATGGTTACGGTACATACTTGCCATAAATAGTAGACTACCCAACATGTAGAATTTGCTTTGACCTAATTTGCAGGAATGTCTTATAAGTCTGTGTGCAATATCTATATAACTAACATACACATCATCTTTGAATGCTCTAAGTACTATGAGAAAAACAACAAAAGGAAGGTACAGAAAATCTTAGTATAGCACTAAGAGGTCATCAACATTACAAGCTCTTAAAATTCTTTAAAGCCTCCCTCCATCATTTATGGTTGAAGTTCTAAGCCCTTAATGTGGTTCTCAAAACCAGCCATAATCTGGTCCCTGCCTCACTACACTATCCTCTTTCTTCAACTGTCCTTGACACACTCTACAATGTAGTTATACTTGCATTTCCCAAATGTTCAATTTCCCTCCTCTATTTTTTTTTGTATTTTCTTCTCTCTGCCTGGAACATTTATCTCTTCCTGGTTCTTGGAGTAATTACTTTTTCAAGATTCAGGGCCGGACGCAGTGGCTCACGCCTGTAATCCTAGCACTTTGGAAGGCTGAGGCGGGAGGATCACGAGGTCAGGAGATTGGAGATCAAGGCCATCCTAGCTAACACGGTGAAACCCCGTCTCTACTAAAAATACAAAAAATTAGCCGGGCGTGGTGGCGGGCGCCTATAGTCTCAGCTACTCAGGAGGCTGAGGCAGGAGAATGGCGTGAACCCAGGAGGCGGAGCTTGCAGTGAGCCGAGATGGGGTCACTGCACTCCAGCCTGGGCAACAGAGCGAGACTCTGTCTCAAAAAAAAAAAAAAAAGATTCAACATTGTAAAACTTTGCTGAACTTTCTCCTCCTAGCTAGGCTGAGTCAGGTATGAAGGCCAATATGCGATCTTTTATCTTGACTTTCTTATGCCCAAAATACTGCCTGATGCAGTTAGTGCTTAATATTTTTTTCTAAATGAACAAATAATGAACCAGTGAAAAAATATATATAGCAGCTTGTCTTAGTTCATTCAGACTGCTACAACAAAATACCATTGCTATAGTTTGTTTTGTTTAACCCCTCCAAATCTCATGTTGAAATCTGATCCCCATGTTGAAGATGGGGCCTAATGACAGGTATTTGGGTTGTGGGGGCAGATCTCTCATAAATGACTTGGTGTGTGTATTAGTCTGTTCTCACACTGCTAATAAAGACATACCCAAGACTGGGTAATTTATAAAGAGGAAACATTTAATTGACTCAGTTCAGCATAGCTAGGGAGGCCTCACAATCATGGTGGAAGGTGAATGAGGAACAAAGTCATGTCTTACATGGAAGCAGGCAAGAGAGCTTGTGCAGGGGAACTCCCATTTATAAAACCATCATATCTCATGAGACTTATTCACTACCATGAGAACCGCCCCCATGATTCAATTATCTCCACCTGGCCCCACCCTTGACACGTGGGGATTATTACAATTCACGGTGAGATTTGGGTAGGGACACAGCCAAACCATATCATTCTGCCCCCGCCCCCTCCCAAATCTCATGTCCTCAAATTTCAAAACCAATCATGCCTTCCCAATGGTCCCCCAAAGTAAGTCTTACTTAACTCATTTCAGCATTAACTTAAAAGTCCACAGTCCAAAGTCTCATCTAAGACAAGGCAAGTCTCTTCCACCTATGAGCCTGTAAAATCAAAAGCAAGTTAATTACTTCCCAGATACAATGGGGGTTGTATCAGTCCAATTTCACACTGCTGATAAAGACATACCCGAGACTCGGTAATTTTTATATATATATATAAAGGTTGAAGGAACTCACAGTTCCACATGGCTGAGGAGGCCCCACAATCACAGCAAAAGGCAAAAGGCACATCTTACTATGGCAGCAAACAAGAGAGAATGAGAGCCAAGTGAAAGGGGTTTCCCCTTATAAAACCATCAGATCTTATAAGACTTATTCACTACCACAAGAACAGTTTTGTGGGAAACTGCCCCCATGATTCAATTATCTCCCATCAGGTCCCTCCCACAACACATGGGAATTATGGGAGCTACAATTCAAGATGGGATTTGGGCAGGGACACAGCCAAACCACAACCGGGGTACAGGCATTGGGTAAATATACCCATTCCAAATGAAAGAAGTTGGCCAAAACAAAGGGCTACAGGCCCCACGTAAGTCTAAAATTCAACAGGGCAGTCTTTAAACCTTAAAGTTCCAAAATAATCTCCTTTGACTCCATGTCTCGCATCCAGGTTGCACTGATTCAAGTGGATTCCCATGGTCTCGGGTAGCTCTGCCCCTGTGGCTTTGCAGGGTATAGCCCCTCTCCTGGCTACTTTCATGGGTTGTCATTGAGTTTCTGTAGCTTTTCTAGGCACACGGTGCAAGCAGTCTGGATCTACCATTCTGGGGTCTAGCGGATGGTGGCCTTCTTCTCACAGCTCCTCTAAGCAGTGTCCCAGTAAGAACTCTGTTTGAGGACTCCCATCCCACATTTCCCTTTGGCACTGCCCTAGCAGAGGTTCTCCATGAGGGCTCTGCCCCTGGAACACAACTCTACCTAGACATCCAGGAATTTCCATACATCCTCTGAAATCTAGACAGAGGTTCCCAAACTGCATTTCTTGACCTCTGTACACCTGCAGGCCCAACATCATGTGTAAGCCACCAAGGCTTGGGGTTTGCACCCTCTGAAGCCACAGCCTGAGCTGTACCTTGGCCTCTTCTAGCCATGGCTGGAACTGAGGCAGCTGGGACACGGGGCACCATGTCCGGAGGCTGCACACAGCAGGGGAGCCCTGGACCTGGCCAAGGAAAACATTTTTTTTTCTCCTAGGCCTTCAGGCCTGTAAGGTGAAGAGCTGCTATGAAAGTCTCTGACATGCCCTGGAGACATTTTCCCTGTTGTCTTGGTTATTAACATTTGGTTCCTCATTACTTATGCAATTTTCTGCAGCAGGCTTGAATTTCTCCCCCAGAAAATGGGTTTTTCTTTTCTACTGCATTTTAAGCCTGCAAATTTTTCAAACTTTTATGATCTGCTTCCTGTTGAATGCTTTGCTGCTTAGAAATTTCTTTCCCCAGATACCCTAAATGCTCTCTCTCAAGTTTAAAATTCCACAGATCTCTAGGGCAAGGGCAAAATGCTGCCAGTCTCTTTGCATAGCAAGAGGGACCTTTACTCCAGTTCCCAACAGGTTCCTCATCTCCATCTGAGATCATCCCAGCCTGGACCTTATTGTCCAGATCACTATCAGCATTTTGGTCAAAACCATTCAACAAGTCTCTAGGAAATTCCAAACTTTCCCACATCTGCCTGTCTTCTTCTGAGCCCTCCAAACTGTTCCAACCTCTGTCTGTTACCCAGTTCCAGCGTGTCTTCAGAGTAATGAGTGACTTCTCACTCTATTAGTTTCCACAAGAGCTAGTTGTTGAAAAGAAGCTGCCACCTTCTTTCTCTCTTGCCAGGTAATCTTTGCACATATTAGCTCCCCTTCACTTTCACCATGAGTGGAAGCTCCCTGAAGCCCTCATCAAAAACAGATGCTGTCTCCAGGCTTCTTGTACAGCCTGCAGAATCATGAGCCCAAAAAAAAAAAAAAAAAAAAATCTTTTCTTTAAGAATTACCCAGTCTCGGGTATTCCTTTAGCTTACAGTAATACAAACAAACAGACAACCATAGACACGGTGACTTGTAAACAATGGGAATTTATTTCTCACAGTTCTGGAGGCTGGAAGTCCAAGATCAGGGCAGATTCAGTGTCTTGTAAGGGCCTGATTCTCTGGCTCATAAACAGTGTCTTTTTACTGTGTTCTCACATGGAAGAGGTGAACAAGCTCCTGTGGGCCTCTTCTATAAGGAGATGGATCTCACTCATGAAGGTTCAACCCTCCTGATTAAACCACCTCACAAAGGACCCACTTCTTAATACTATTGTATTGCAGTTTAACTATCAATATATGAATTTAGGAAACACACGAAGATTCAGACCATAGCACATCATACAACTTTTAGCTGGAGCATGAGCTCTGGAGCCAACTGTGTTTGAATCACTATGCAACTACTTACTAGCTGTGTGCTGTTAGAATGGGCTTTTTAACCTCTCTTTAACTCAATTTTCTCATAAACTGGAGAGCAGATATATATATATAAAGCCTGCTTCATAGCTTTAAATCGGTTAAAATGAAAAATTGTTTAAAATAATGTTGAGCACATTACAAATAATATGTTAGTGCTTACTGACATTATAATTGTAATTACTTGTATTACAGCATACATGCCAGGAATACAAAGACTTGGTCCTATCCCCCCTCAAGCGGAGAGATTCTTTTTTAAAGAATTATTTAATTTAAAAAAAGAAAGAAAAGAAATGAGGAATGACTATGAAAATGTGTAACTAATACAGTAAAACCAACAAAAGCTGTAAATAAGATCAAAAAACTGCAATTTTATGAAGGATTGAAGTATTACAAGGCTAAGAAAAACTAATTTTTTCTACTCCATCTCCTATGAACTGTTTGAGCAAACATATTTTCACTGATTAGATGTTTTCACTGATTAGATATTTTCATGAATATATTTTCTATGAACTGTTTGAACAAAGACATTTTCACTGATTAGATATTTTCCCTGATTAGATATTTTCCCTGACTAGATAGATCAATTATGTTTTTAAAAAGACAAACTATATCTTGCATACCTACCCCGACCAAACCCCACATGGGTGGCGAATGAAATCCATCACCAAAACTTATCAGAATTCACATTATCCCATGGTTTTGCATATTCTTTATAAGATCAACCAAAATGTAAGCATTCATGTGTTTTTTTAATCTCTGAAATGTTCACCTCCTAATATTATTTCATATTTTAATTCATGCAACCATTGCTCAAATTATTGTTGGAAGTCATCTTTCTGAATGGCCTCTAGTAGTAATTCATGAACCACCAGAGAAAATCTAAACTATGCTTTTTAGTTAAAATTACCCTTTTAATGAAATGCTACATGACTGTCTTAGTCTGTTTGTGTTACTATTGCAAAGTATCTTAGTCTGAATAATTTATAAACAACAGAACTTATTTCTTACCATTCTGGATGCTGAGAATTCCAAGAGCAAGGCACAAACAGTTTTGGTGTGTGGTGAGGGCCTGCTTCCTGGTTCACAGATCGTGCCTTGTAGCTATGTCCACATTTAGGAAAAATGAATACATTGAAATTGTCCAAAGATTTTGAAGATATTAAGTTGGGTCAAAATTTACAGGTAAGTTTATCAGTCAGCTGAGTTTGAATTATTTTAGGAGAAAGATTAATGTGGGACCAAACAAAAATTTAACAAGAAGAATACATGATTTTTTAAAGTATCATTGGCATTTTAGGGTTTGATAAAGGTAAAAATAAAATTGCATTCACTGAACTTTAGTTCGATTTAAGATTTTATCAAATTTAAGAGAAATTTGTTTACCAAGAAGATATAATCAATAAAAGGGTGGAGTGCCAAGGGCAGGTATAAAAGTTTTTCATTAAATATATTTAAGGAAAAAGTTTGCAAGCACAAACATGTCTGTCCTCTTTTCAACTTTGAGTTTGTTAACACTGTGCAAGAACAGATGGTTCAGATAGGGTTTCGTCATGCCCCATGAAATGGGAACTGCAAACGCTTGATTTATGTGACAAGAATCCTTACTCAGATTAATTTCATTGAATTTTACAATTAAATCACTAAAATATTACCATGTTTTCCATATCATTTAGATTTCTTCAATACAGTTTAATAAATTTATACCAATTTTCTTTCCCCAAAACTAAATGCTAAATAAAGCAGCAACTGATCCTTAAGGTGAGAAACAGACCAACAGTCCCTGGCCAACACAGTGTTTGAGACTTAACAAAACATCCAGGAGGAGAAATGCATCCCCAGGGTGTCCCCATCTCTCTTCCTCTTCCCAAGTAGTGACCCCCTTCCCCTCTCCTCCCACCAGGGAATTGGTGTCACCCCCACTATGTAGCTTTTCCTATTCTGCTTTGCCTCTCTAACTTTGTTCTCTCAATAATACCTCTATTATGACAACTGTCCTCATCATAATCAATGGTATTTGAAGTATTGTTCACCTCAGAAGAACACGTTTCCATTTTTAAACAGTCATCAAAATATTTTGCTTTCTCAAAAAACAAGGGGAATTATTAAGATGGATAGACTACTAGCTAGACTAATAAAGAAAAAAAGAGAGAATATCCAAATAAACACAATCAGAAATAACCATGGGGACATTACCGCCAACCCCACAGAAATAATATTTTAAAAAGCCTTCAGAGACTACTATGAACACTGCTATGCACGCAAGCTAGAAAACCTAGAAGAAATGGATAAATTCCTGGAAATGCAACCTTCCAAGATTAAACCAGAAATAAACTGAATCTCTGAACACACCAATGATGAGTTCAGAAATTGAATCCGTAATAAAAAGCCTACCAACCAGAAAAAGTCCAGGACCAGAAAGATTCACAGCCAAATTCTACCAGATGCATAAAGAGCTGGTACCATTCCTATTGAAGCTATTTCAGAAAATTGAGGAGGAGGGGCTCTTCCCTAACTCATTGTATGAGGCCAGTATCATCCTGATACCAAAAGCTTGCAGAAACACACACACACACACAAAGAACACTTTAGGACAATATCCCTGATGAACATAGATGCAAAAATCCTCAACAAAATATTAACAAACTGAATCCAGTAGCACATCAGAAAGCTAACCTACCAGGATCAAGGAGGCTTTATCCCTGGGATGCAAGGTTGGTTCAACATATGCAAACCAATAACTCTAATTAATCACATAAACAGAACTAAAAACAAAAACCATATGATTATCTCAACAGCTGCAGAAAAAGCTTTTGATAAACTCCAACATGCCTTCATGATGAAAACCCTCAACTAGGCATTGAAGGAACATACTTCAAAATAGTAACAGCCATCTATGACAAAGCCACAGCCAACATCATACAGAATGGCCAAAAGCTGGAAGCATTCCCCTTGGAAACCAGAACAAGACAAGAATGCCCTCTCTCTCCACTCCTATTCAACATAATACTAGAAGTCCTTGCCAGAGCATTCAGGCAAGAGAAAGATATAAAAGGCATCCAAATAGGAGGAGAAGAAGTCAAACTATCCCTCTCTGCAGATATGATTCTATATACCTAGAAAACTCCATACCTCTGACCAAAACCCCTTGATCTGATAAACAACTTCAGCAAAGTTTCAGTATACAAAATTAATGTACAAAAATCAGTATCATTCCTATACACCAGCAACATATAAGCTGAGATTCAAATCAAGAATACAATCCCATTCACAATAGCCACACACACACATACACACACACACACACACACACACACACACACACACAGACAAAACCTAGAAATATAGCTAACCAGGGTGGTGAAAGATTTCTACAATGAGAATTATAAAACACTGTTCAAAGAAATCAGAGGTGACATAAACAAATGGAAAAACATCCCATGTGCATGGATAGGAAGAATCAATATCATTAAAATGGCCATATTGCCCAAAGCAATTTACAGATTCAATGCTATTCCTATCAAACTACCAATGACATTCTTCATATAATTAGAAAAAACTATTTTGAAATTCATATGGAACCAAAAAAGAGCTCAAATAGCCAAGGCAAACCTAAGAAAAAAAGAGTAAACTAGAGGCATCACATTTCTCAATTTCAGACTGTACTATAAGTCTACAGTAACCAAAACAGCACGGTACCACTACAAAAACATATACACAGACCAATAAAAGAGAATTGAGAGCTGAGAAATAACGCAGCACACCTACAAGCATCTGATCTTCAACAAAGTCACAAAAACAAGCAACAAAGAAAGGACTCCCTATTTAATAAACGGTTCTGGGATAACTAGCTAGCCATATGCAGAAGATTGAAACTGGACCCCTGCCTATTACCATATACAAAAACCAACTCAAGATGGAATAAAGACTTAAATGTAAAACCTAAAACTATAAAAACCCAGATGGTAACCTAGGAAGTACCATTCTGGAAATAGGACCTGGCAAAGATCTTATGACAAAGATGCCAAAAGCTATTGCAACAAAAAAAAAAAATTGACAAATGTGACCTAATTAAATTTAAGAGCTTCTTCACAGCAAAAGAAACTATCAACAGACTAAACAGACAACCTACAGAATGGGAGAAAATATTTGCAAACTATGCATCAGAATCTATAAGGAGCTTAAATCAATAAGCATAAAACATACAACCCCATTAAAACATGGGCAAAGAACATGAACAGGCACTTTTCAAATGAAGACACACACGCAGCCAACAAGCATATGAAAAAATGTTCAGTGTCTCTAATCATTAGAGAAATGCAAATCAAAACCACAATGAGATACCATCTCACACCAGTCAGAATGACTATTATCAAAAAGTCAATAAATAACAGATTCTAGTGAGGGTGCAGGGAAATGGAAACACTTATACACAGCTGGTGGGAATGTAAATTATTTCACACATTGTGGAAAGCAGTTTGGTGATTTCTCAAAGATCTCAAAGCAGAATTACCATTCAACCCAGCAATCTCATTATAGGGTATATACCCAAAGGAATATAAATCATTCTACCATAAAGATACATGCACTTGTATGTTCATTGCAGCACTATTCCCAATACCAAAGATGTGGAATCAACCTAAATGCCCATCAATGGTAGACTGGGTAAACAAAATGTGTGACATATACACAATGGAATACTACACAGCCATAAAAAAAGAATGAGATCATGTCCTTTGCAGCAACATGGATGGAGCTGGAGATCATTATCCTAAGTGAACTAGCACAGGAACAAAAAAGCCAAATACCATGTTCTCACTTATAAGTGGAAGCTAAACATTGTGTACACATGGACACAAAGAAGTGAACAACAGACACTGGAGCCTACCTGAGGGAAAGAGACTAGGAGGAGGATGAGAATCAAAAACACTACCTATCAGGTACTGTGCTTATTACTTGGCTGGTGAAATAATCTTTACACCAAACCCTGGCAACACACAATTTACTTATATAACAAACCTGCACATGTACCCCTGAAACTAAAATAAAAGTTAAAAAAAAAAGGTGGGGGAAGGATGATTCCCTGTAGGATCGCTGGCTGGACAGATGGGGAGGGGATGCAATAAGCATTATTATCCTGGTTTTGCAGGTTAAGGCCAGGGAGAGAATAAAGCCAACCTCATTAAGCACCAGATGTCAGGCACCACATTGGAAGTCTTGCTTCCTTTTTCTAACATAGTCTTTACAATAATGCTCCATGTTACTGACATTGTATTATGAAATAAGAAGCTCATGAGAGGAACTAAGCATCTTTTATCTGCTCATCCTTTATCTATGGATAAAGACAGGCTGAAACCCCAGACTTCTGTTCCAGTGCTCTATCCATGGGTCCAAGCCAAAGGCAGCACTTCCCTGTGGTAGCTGTTACTGTATTTCATTTCTTACGTTCCACATCCCTTACATTTTATCAGCATCCTCTGGAACAGGAAAGAACATTGTTTTTATAGAAGTACATTCGTCCCGTGTAAAATTTATTGGATGCTCTGATTCAGAGTTACAGAAAAAAAATTACAGTGTAGTAACACTATATTTAATGAGGTGTTACATATTTTCCATCCTTCTCTTGGCATTTTAGACATTATTCTCTTAGGTCAGGACACCAACATTTCATGCTGTTTTCGTGGACTTGAAGCTTACTTGACTATGGTTAATGCTAATTAATATTGTGAACCCATACAACATGTCTGCTCATGTCACATTAGCATTGAAACACTATCCAAACTATTGTTTTGGAAGTTAAGATACTGAAGAAATAAACCCCTTGATATATAAACAGTAGCTTGGAGGTCATGTTTCTAGCACCTTCTCGTGCCTTGAAAATTAGCTAAGTTAGCTGCATCTTCCTAGAACTGTAGAGGGAAGCCAGAGGTAGTTCAAAATGCTGACTTTCTATAAACTAAGCCCAGCTGGGGAATATAATTCAGACCACATAGAAAACACTTTTTCCCCATTTTTATCCCTTCTCAGACCTCCTAATGCACTGCTCAAGCAATTAAATCTCCTTATACTCATGAGGCATTTCCTAAGTGCCCTGAGACTTCAAACAAAACGCATGGCTGGTTAAAGGTTTGCTTTTTTTACGTCCTGGTAGAAAATTTATATTGGATCTGGGACACCATCTGGGTGAGAAACAAGTGATTAGGGTGTTAGCTCTAAACCCCTTGCTTAGCAATTTTACTAAATATTTTCTTCATACCATGATATTCAGCATGTTCCAGAAGGTTTTGGCAAAAAAAAAAAAAAAAAAAAACTTATTCCCATTATACTAGGGTTATGAAATGCAGGTAGGTTTTGAATGGACACAGAAGGGAACAACCGTTTAAAAAAAATTCAAATTGCTTCAGGTAACCCTAATTTACCCCTGACTTTCAGCGGTCATTCATAGGAAAACTGTCACCCCTAAGATGTACTAAAATTACTCTGAAGTAATTTAAAGCCAATTTAAAGCCAATCATTTAAAATAAATGTTGATGACAAAGTATACAAGTTTCAAAATAAAAATGCTGAATGTAAACACAACTTAATTTGTCCTGGTCCCTGTACCAGGTGGAGCATGTAAAGGCAGCAAGCACTGATGTTTTCCTGGCTTGGCAAACTGCCTCACTGGCTTCAAACTGCTTTGGCACTTCTAATTTTACATTCGGAGTAACGGCCTCCTTCCCTCTTCACTGCTGCTATCGTTCGTACTTGCTGGTCTCCCTCTAGGCATCTTTGGCTTGAAGTCAACAAAATTACGTGAGGGTGAAAGAAATAGAAACTGCAGTTTTCTCTCCAAGCAGCTTGGTAAATTTTCATTTCTTTTCTTTTTTCTTGTCCTACCTTGACTTATTCCTACCACTATCATACTACTAGATCAAGGCTCAAAATATTAACAAATATTTTTTAACATTTTACTGAGCCCATTCTCTCCTATACATTGAAATCTATATGTCTATGGACTTTAAATAACTACAATGAAGAATTTCATTGATTTGAATAATTTTAAGACTCTTTTTTACTACTTTTCTTTTCTTTATCTACCCAAAGAAAAATCAAGATTTTTAAATAATTTCTTCAGGAGGCTACCTTCCTAACTCATTCATTGATAGAAGGAAAGACTTAGAAATAGGTTCCCATGTGTTCCTCATGACAGAAATAGAAAACCAACATAATATCTCTTGGCTTCTTCTCTTATTACTTGGTTAATATGTTAGCTGCATAGTACAGCCTACACAATACTGTACTTGAGAGTGAAGAGTTGGGAGTCAGAAAAATGTCCAACTTCAAAGACTCTGCTGTATTCATTTTCCACCATAATGAATTACCATAAACTTAGAGGTTTAAAGCAACCCAAATGTATTATCTGACGGTTCTGTAGGCTAGAAGTCCAACAAGGCTCTCGCTGGGCCAAAATCAAGGTGTCTGCAGGACTGTGTTCCTTTCTGGAGACTCTAAGGGTAAATCAACGTTCTCGCCTTTTCCAGCTTCCAGAGACTTTCCACATTCCATGACTCATGACTCCCTCCCCCATCTTCAAAGCCAAATGCAACAAAAATGCAGAGAAATGCAATTCTCTGACCATTCTGTAATTCCATCTTCCTTTCTCTGATCACAATGGGAAAGGTTGTCTGCTCTTAAGATTAGCTTGAGCCCACTTGGATAATCCAAGATAATTTCTAAATCTTAAAGTCTTTAATATCACATCTTCAAAGTCATTTTTGCCTTGTAAGGCAACATATTCACACATTCCAAGAATTAGGATGTAGACATCTTTGAAGTGGTCATTATTCTACCTACCACACCACCTATCAGTGCCTCATTCTACACGGACAAAGTCACAGGTTAATTGTTCTATATTTGACGTAACTCTAAGTTCTCGTAAGAAATCTCAAACCTGTCTCTAAATCTCCTCTGTTTTCATCTAAAGATTTTGTTAGTGTATATCTTTGAGCATTCAGAAGTAGACAGTTGCAACTACAAATTCATTTCATCTGTTCCACAATGGTTTGGTTACATTGAAGGATTATTTAACGACTCTATAACATCCTAGTTATATTTTCTGAGAAATTTATGGTCCTTATCGGGCCTCAATCAAATGTCATTCATGTCTTATTTCACATGTAGTTAGAAGGGGAGTGTGTGTAAAATATGGCCATGAGGTGACTCTTGCAGTATCTTTACTCATCTTGGAAACAGAAAAAATGAGCTAGTTTCATAAACTTAATTTCTTTACCTCTTCAGTTTTCTCTACCTGAAATATTGAGGCTTCTCTTTAACTCATCTTTTAAAGCACAGAATTTCCTAAACTTTTTAAAAATTAAATGACTTTTCCTGATTTTGCAGTTTTCTTTTCCCTTCATGAACGTTATCACTGCAGAAAAAGCAACGCTTGTACTTTCAAGACTATAAAATAAGCCCAGTTTATAAAATTATTATTTGGAGGCTAAATATGGAATTTCAGATACTCACTCTGAACCACAAAAAAACTGAAATTAGCATTATTCTTGGTAGCTGTATTCTCTGCTACTGTATTTCCTTATTGTTCTATGTACTGTGCTCTACTTTTGAAACTCCCAGTCAGTAGGAAACTGCTCTATGCTCTCAGATAAATATACTCTGGTGAATGAAATGTAATGGACCCTTTGAAAAAGTAAATACTTAATGTACACAAAGAAGGTGGAAATGACATTTGGATTCTCTAAAGTCTAGCAGTTCTCAAACTTTCTGGCCTCAACATCCCTTTACACTCTCAAAAGTGAAGGGCCTCAAAGTTCATGTGGATTGTGTGTACTGATATTTCTAATATTAGAAAATTACATTGAGAATGTTTAAATATTTATTAGTTTTAAAACGACAATAAACACATTAAAGGTTAGCACAAACAACATCTTAATGAAAATTTACTATATTTTCCAAATCACAAAACTTAGAAGAGTTGCACAATTTTAATTTTTTTTTTTTTTTTTGAGATGAAGTCTCACTCTGTCACCCAGTGTGGAGTACGGTGGCATGATCTCAGCTCACTGCAACCTCCGCGTCCCCCATTCAAGTGATCCTCCCACCTCAGCCTCCCAAGTAGCTGGAGTTACAAGCATGCGCCACCAGACTGGGCTAATTTTTGTATTTTTTGTATAGACGGGATTTCACCATGTTGGCCAGGCTGGTCTCGAACTCCTTGCCTCAAGTAATCCACCTGCCTCGGCCTCCCAAAGTTCTGTTATTACAGGCATGAGCCACCACACTCGATGTAAATATTTTTATCTCTTTAACATACACCCTAGTAGAAGGCAGCTAGACTCACCAGAGAATTGCCTGCTTGTAAATAGTTTTTCTACTACATTTAGTTAAAATGCTCTTCTCAATAAACTATCCTACTATATATATATATAAACACACACACACTGTATCCCTACATAAAGCTGAGGGTTACCGAGAATAAGTCAAATGTATTCATTAATG
Organism: Homo sapiens; assembly: GCF_000001405.40. Lineage (NCBI taxonomy): Eukaryota > Metazoa > Chordata > Mammalia > Primates > Hominidae > Homo > Homo sapiens. The sequence continues at coordinate 28,707,767 of NC_000021.9, forward strand.
TCAATAATGAATTGGGTGGGAGTGGATTTAGACAGAAAAGAAATAAAAACAAAGGGTATATGTATATCAAATCATCACACTGTACACCTTGAATATATACAATCTTTATTGTCAATTAAATATTGTTTTAAAAAATAAAGGACCAGAAGCTGAATATAGTTATAGAATGCAGCAAATGATGAAAACAAAAGTGGGAGCAAAGAACAAGCCTGAGATGATCGGTGTGAACTTGGCTAGGAGGATTCCAGATTGCTGGATCTGCTGCTAATTGGGAAGCATGGGTGAAAAAAGCAATTACTTTAAAAACAAGCCCATGGCCAAAAGTTTTCAGGACCCATATTTTCAAAATTCCAGATTCCATGATTTTTAATCATGTTTAAATAACATTAATGCATGTTAATATCTTCTTGACACAATGTTTTTATGGTTTAAATAAAATGAGGAACTTTAATGTAGTCAAAAAAAAAAACTGTTCTACCATATGAAACTTACATGTGGAAACTTAAAGATCTTTTGAAAATCAGGTTTTATTTTTACTGGTTTCTCCTACTATTAATCCTTTTTTGCCTCCTGCCAAAGAGTATTCTTTGTCTTCTTCCACTCATTATGTTATTCATGCTTATGTAGTAAATGATTATAATTTATCTTACAATTTCCATTAAGTTGTTCTTGGATCACAATCCCCAGGGTATGGTTATAATCCCAGGGATGAAAGGAAATGGCAAATAAGATATCATGTGGGCACAGGTTAAACAGGTACAACAATTAATTCCAAGCATATGTACAGAAGGATAGCTATGACAGTTGTCAACAATGGTTATGACCAAGGAAAAATAGAAAGTATTATGGTGTGGTTTGAAAGATATTTGTCCTTAGGAAAGCTATTAACAAAAATAATGCTAGGTAATAGCAAAAAAGGGTGTTAAAAGTAAATCATACAAGTCTGTCATTCTTTATTCAAAACGGATTCATACCATACCTAGAACACTGTGAGCAACTGTGACCTCTATAAAGGCATAGCCAAACTGGATGAAATCCAAGAAGATTAACTAAAATGCTTAAAAGAATGGAGTGGTTTCTCAAAAATGAGAGATTAAAAAAAGGAAAGGTTATATGTGTAAATGAAGACTGTCTTAGTTCAGGTAGCTATAACAAAATACCAAAGACAGAGTGGCTTATAAACAACTTAGTTCTCAGTATCCTGGAGGCTGGAAGTCAGGGTGACAGTATGGTCTGGTCCTGGTGAGGGCCTTCTTCCAGGTTGCAGACTGTCATCAACTTGTTCTATCCTCACATGGTGAAAAGAGCTGGGGAGTTCTTTGGGGTCCCTTCTATAAGGGCACTAATCCCACTTATGAGGGCTCCACCCTAGTGACCTAATCGCCACCCAAAGGCCTTCATTGTCCTAATACCATCACACTGGGGATTAGGATTTCAACTCATGAATTTTGAAGGCACACAAACATTCTGTCCATTGCAAAGTCTTTGAAATCACAAAAGGTATATGTAGAATACAGAGTTAATATGGAGGCAAATTTAGAGTTGTTTATCAAATCTGAGAATTCTCAAATTACCTTCCATTGTGGAACCCAGGAGTGGCACAAATTTAAAATATAAGTAGATTCAGGAAGGGCTTAGGGTAAAGTCATGAATGAGAGTCATAATATAGGATGGAACTTCGGAATGCACTTCTCTAGTATTTCCAACCGGCTGTTATAAAAGACAACCAAGTCTACTGTTAAGAAAATGTCCCTTGGTGCTGTCAGATAGAAAAATTTCTTATATCCTTATTTATATAATTTAAATACAAAGATTATCTTATGAGGGTCCCTTGCCTTTCCCATCCTTCTGCCCTATAAAAAAGATTCTAGCTTTTCCTTGTCTGTCTTCCTTTCTTCCACCCTCTAAGGAGCTCCCACCTTTGCCAGACTGACCCTGTAAGGCTTTGTAAGGCAAAATCAGACAGAGGGCAGGGGAGAAAAGCACAGGAAACTAGAGGGCTGGGGCGAGAGGAAGAGATTTTCCCAGGTGAAGGGCACCTGAAAATAAAAGTCTGGGTATAACTACAGAGAATATGCATGGAGGATGGGAGAGGAGTAAAAAAGAGGATATTAGAAAGCATTGCTTTTGACAGATGTAAAGGATTTAGGTTACTTTGAAGCTAATTTTGGTTTCAGTGCTGTGTTCTTTTGACCATGATACTGCCCCAGACCTAACCACACCAGTCAAGGGTTTACAAACATTCCCATGTGGGCTCATCCAATAATACTCTTTGGGATTCCCTGTTAAAACACCTAGAATTCCTACTTATGATTTCTGTTTTACCACATGACACTTTTCAGAAGAAAGTGGTTAAATAAGCTCCTTGGATAACCTCCTAAGTTAGGTAATTGGAGCACAGGGAAGAATCTGTCATCAGATGCCTTTCACTAAGTTAATTACAGATAAAACCAACACGAAGTGGTTAGAAGCAAAGGTTAAAATTTCACTCCCTTGGACTTTGTATAATAATGAATTAAACTGCTGGACTGCATTGGCATCCTGTTGGGAATATGATTTGGAAATAGAAAAACCAGCCAATGGTGGTCTAATTTTGTTCTTGAAAGTAATTTAAAGTAACACAAACCCACCAAGACTTTACCTCTTTTTTACTTTAAAATGCTATTCGTGATTTTAAAAAATGGTGCAGATGTACAAAAGAATCTATATGCTTTTCCTCAAGTAAAGATACTTTCTCCATATGTGTGTGGACCACAAATCACCTAAATACTTTATAACTCAGGCACCATGACAGCATTTCAGTGCTGTTTCATTTCTCAAAACATTAAATCCTCCACAAATCCAGAAATCACATCACCTTAAAAAGCAGCCAGTGCTGGGGAGTGAGGAAGAAGGAGTAGGAGTGAAGAGAGGGTGCAGTGGAGAATGGAATGAAATATATGGAGGATGGAAAGAAAAGGATCAGTTATTTTCTTTTCTTCAATAGGAAAGAATCAAGTGATCCTGTCTCAATGAATATGCTTCATGTATAGTATTTTTGCTATTTTTTAAAACTTCAGAAAACACATTCCTAAATGAAGATCCCACCCAAATTCCAAGTTCTTCATTAATCAGGCTTTCCATTACATTGTTCATGAGAAAATTCTCCTTTTTTAAACTACGTGGTTTAATGCCTCCCATATTCCATAAGATTTTATAACCCGTCTTTTCTGCTGGTGGCACCTATATGCTAAAAGTTGTCAAGCTCCAGAGCCTTGTTATTTTTTACTTTACTTCTTCTACATCTACTATAAATACTAGATCCTGATTTTTAATATGTTCAACTATTAAAATATATTAGCTAGAAACTCTAAGTACTTTTAATTAAAAAATAAAAAATCCAAGTCCCTACCTCCTACACTCCCTTCGGATAATATCCCATTTTCCTTTCCAAATACTATGTCCTCTTAATTATTTTGGAGGAGGAATGAGACGCTTTCATTATTGTATATGAGCAATAAATAAGAAAATATTCTATCTATATGAGGGCTGGGGGGCATTGCAGACACCATTAGTGCCTTTTCAACATCAAATATCTGTGTATCTCTGCTTGAGGGGGCCCTCTGGCTGCTGAAGTGAATTTGGTCCAGGCCAAACCAGGCAAGAAGTGCTGGGGAGTCATGGTTCCTCAGAACAGCCCTCAACCACTGCCTGATGTGAGAGGATGTCTTTTTCAGTTTGGGCTGCTAGAACAGTTGGGGAGCCCAACTTCAATTAGAGGGTGTGCTCACAATGTTTAGTGATAGAGAAGAGGCAAAAAATGTTTTAGAACCTGTTGATCTAGAGGAGGGGGCTGATAGGAACAATTTAATTCAAGTCTGTCTGTGATATAAACTCACATAAGAGCAAAGCAGCTTGGAAACAATTTGACAGGGATCCAGAAAAGCTTCAGAGGCAGTGACGTTTCAAGGAGGCTTTGAAGAATTAATAGGATTCATCTCGGCAGAAGTGTTTAGAGGATATCCTAGCGAGGGTAGCTTAAACAACAAACATTTATTTCTCACACTTCTGGAGGCTGAAAGTACAAGATCAGGGTGCCCATATTTTCGAGCTCTGGTGAGAGCCCTCTTCCGTCTTGCAGACTTCCATTTTTTCACTTGTCCTTACATGGCAGAAAAGAGGGTGAGGCAACTCTCTGAGGTCCCTGTTATAAGGACACTAACCCCATTCCTGAGGGCTCCACTCTTATGACCTAATAACCTCCCCCAAAGCAACACATCATAATACCATCACCTTGGGGATTACATTTCAACACAGGAATATTGGAAGGACACAAACTTTGAGTCCATAGCAGAGGACAATCTCCCCAGCATCTTTGCCTTCAGTTGCACAACTATGAGGCATGTTATACACAGCCTTTGAGAGGTCCCAGCAGAAAGGATCCCTGGTTGCCCACCACCATGATCTGGTTGATAATTCCCCACTCCCTCAAAAGCACTTCCTGGGATCATCTCCCAAAACAGATTACTTACACTCAAATCCATATCTCAGGATCTGCTTCTGGGGGAAGCCCAACTTCAATCAGAGGGTATGCTCACAATGTTTAGTAATAGAGAAGAAGAGGCAAAATAAGTTGGAGAACTTGTTGATCTAGAGGAAGGGGCTGATGTGAACAATTTAACTTTAATTCAAGTGTGCCTGTGATATAAACCCACATAAGAAAGCTCAGAAACAATTTGACAGGGATCCAGAAAAGCTCCAGAGGCAACAATGTTTCAAGGAGGCTTTGAAGAATTAGTAGGATTCAGCTGGGCAGAAGTGTTTAGAGGACATCCCAGGCAGAGGAACCAACAATCAAAGCCAAGAACACCCTTGGGGGCAATAGAGAAGCCATGAAGATGAGGCAGGAAAGTGACTCAAGACCTTGGATATGATGTTAATTGCAAAGAGCATACATTTCATTCCATAGACATTGGGGAAGAGAATAAATGTTTGATCAGGGAATTGATACATTACAATTGTTTAGAAACCTAACTATGAAGAAAGCATATGAAATTGGTTTTTTAAAATAATAAGAGTATAAAATGTTTGAATTACTTACATTTATAGTAAAGCTAAATAAATGTTTTGACTAATTTACACCAATCATGGCAAACCTACTATTTTTGTGTATATTTGTTTCCATAGATACATACATACGAATATGATGCTCTTTCATGAATGAAAATAAGATTTTAGGCAAAAGGTACACTAAGGTTTCAGATCTGTGAAATATGTCTGCAAGTAAATAAGGACAAAGGTACTCTGCAAAGTCAGTACTTTTCTGGTATTGCCTTTTGCAATGAATGGCATCACCACAGGCTGAGTTTCCAATTTGGGAGACCAGGATTCATGCTTAGCACCTCCCTCTTCTTCCACTGCCATATCCAGCCCACCACAAAGTCCCATCCATTTTACCTCCTAAATATCTCCCAGATTCCTCCACTTTTCTCCATTGCTCATGCCATCACCCAGTCACAGCCACCATCATCTCTCACCGGGAGGACAGCGAGAGCAAACATTCACCCTTACTCCGCCACTCTATTAACAGCACAGAAGCTCATGTCTCTCCCCAGCTTAAAGCCCTGCATTGGTTCCCACTGCACTTAGGATAAAGTGAAGTGGCCTCTGCCCACCTATTCCGCGTTGACTCTCAGGCCTCCCTCACTCATTCTTGATGCTCCAGCCACAATGGCCAACCTTTAGTTCCCCAGGAAAACCTGTGATCCCCAACTGGGGGCTTTGCATGTACAGTTCCTCTTGCTAGGATGCTCTTTCCCCAGGCCCCTCCTTCTTTACTCATTTAACTCCCATTCCTCCTTTGCATCCTAGCCTAGTAGCACTTTCTCAGGGAACCTTCCCTGTCCCTGGGAACCAAACCAGGTCTCCCTATTGGAAGTTTGTAACCTTCTGCGCTTTTCCTTTTCTGTCTGTTATTATCTACCTACGGACCCATGTGACTGTCTACCTCCGTCTTTAGACCATGAACTCTGTGAAGATGGCACATAGCAGGGGCTTAAGAAATAAGTGTGTGAAGAAATTATTTCAATTATATGTTACCTTGCCTCAGGTATATGGTTCATCATTTTATATGGCCAATATGTACATATGCATTCTATGCACATTATATACGCATATATAGCTAAGAAAACTCAGGCTGAGAGACTCTTAAGTTACTTGTTCATCAGGAATAATGGACCTGGAATTTGTCCATGAGTCTGGCTTGAGCAGACGCTCCTGACCAACACCTTGTACTGTACGCCAGAATAATAGGTAACAGTTATAGAGTTGTCTTCATGTTAAGAGTTATGGGGCCATTTTTCTATTTCTCAACATTTTATTGTATGTCATTGCCTTGATGCCTCTTCCATAAAAATAGCCTTCTAAATGATGGATAAATTTTTCTAAGCTTTGTCTTACCCAAATTCTAATGTATTGTTTGTGTTCTTAGAACTTTTTTCCAGGTTAGTTATTTGGCTTCCCATTGTATCATATTATGTCATTCTAGATATATTATTTCTACTCTTTGCCTCTGTTCTCCTTAATTTTTGCAAAGATGCAATAAATTGAGAAAATATGCCCATTGAGGCCTATTAATTTTGCTCAAAATATCACTATCTTCCTATATAGTTAGGGTGTGGAGAGTGTTCTGAAATATGGTAGGTACAGACAATGAGATGAGGCTGAATTATACATAGAATAAAGAGTAGGAAAAATCAGCTCCAGGTTGGAAACAATGAAACCAGATAACACTTCAGGTTAAAGGAACAAACATGGTTAAAGAAACAAACATGGTTAATGAGTGTCTACTGTGACAAAGAGTTGACTAATACACAGAAGGCCAAACATAATCTTCATTTTTAAAAATTTAAACCTTTGTTTTTGATTTGGGGTACATGTGCAGGTTTGTCACGAGTATATTGCATGATGCTGAGGTCTGGGATACAAATGATCTCGTCACCCAGGTAGGGAGCATAGTACTCAATAGGTAGTTTCTAAACCCTTGCTCTCTCTCCCCTCTAGTAGTCCCCAGTGTCAATTGTTCTCACCTTTATATTCATGAGTACCCAGTGTTTAGCTCCCACTTATAAGCAAGAACATGTGATATTTGGTTTTCTGTTCCTGTGTTAATTTGCTTAGGATAATGACCTCTAGCTCCATCCACACTGCTGCAATCAATGTGACTTCATTCTTTTTTATAGCTTTGTAACATTCCATGGTGTATATGTACCACATTTTCTTTATCCAATCCACCACTGAAGGGCACCTAGGTTGAATCAATGTCTTTACTCATATTAATAGTGCTGTGATAAACATATAAGTGCATGTGTTTTTGGTAGAATGATTTATATTCCTTTGGGTATATATCCAGCAATTTGATTACTAGGTCAAATGGTAATTCTATTTTTAGTTCTTTGAGAAATTTCCAAACTACTTTCCACAGCAGCTGAACTAATTTACATTCCCACCAGCAGTGTGTAAGCATTCTCTTGTCTCCGCAGCCTTGCAAGCATCTGTTATTTTTTTTTTTACTTTTTATTAATAGCCAGTCTGACTGATGCAAGATGGTATCTCATTGTGGTTTTGATCTACATTTCACTGATGATTAGTGATGTGGAGCATTGTTTCATATATTTGTTGGCCACTTGTATACCTCATTTTAAGAAGTGTCTGTTTATGTCCTTTGCCCACTTTTTAATAGGGTTATTTATTTTTTGTTTGTTGAATTAAATTCTTTACATATTCTGGATATTAGACCTTTGTAGGATGCATAGTCTATGAATATTTTCTCCCATTCTGTAGGTTGTCTGTTTATTCTGTTGATAGTTTATTTTGCTGTGCAGAAGTTCTTTAGTTTCATTATGTCTCACTTGTCAATTTTTGTTTTTGTGGCAATTGCTTTTGAAAACTTAGTCATAAACTCTTTGCCAAGGCTTATGTCCACAAGAGTATTTCCTTGATTTTCTTCTACCACGTTTATAGTTTTAGGTCTTACATCTAAGTCTTTAATCTATCTTAAGTTAATTTTTGTATATGATGATAGGCAGTGGTCCAGTTTCATTCTTCTGCATATGGCTAGCTAGTTATCCCAGCACCATTGATTGAATAGACAGTCCTTTCCCTATTGCTTATTTTTGTTGGCTTTGCTGAAGATCAGATGATTGTACGCAGGAGGCTTTATTTCTGGGTTATCCATTCTGTTCTATTGATCTATGTATCTGTTTTTGAAGTTGTACCATGCTGTTTTGGTTACCATAGCCTTACAGTTTAGTTTGAAATTGAGTATTGTGATGCTTCCAGCTTTATTCGTTTGCTTAGGATTTCTTTGGCTATTTGGACTCTTTTTTGGTTCCATGTGAACTTTAGTTTTTCTAATTCTGTAAAAAATTATGTTGATAGTTTGATAGGAATAGCACTGAATCTGTACATTACTTTGGCCAGTATGGCTGTTTTACTAATAATCTTCTGATACATGTGCCTAGAATGTTTTGTTACTTGTTTATGTTATCTATGATTTCTTTCAGCAGTGTTTTGTAACTCTCCTTGAAGAGATCTCTCCCCTCCTTGACTAGATGTATTCCTAGGTATTTTGTGGGTTTTTTTGTGGCTATTGTAAATGGAATTGTGTTCTTGATTTGGCTCTCAGCTTGAACACTATTGATGCATAGAAATGCTACTGATTTTTCTACTTTGATTTTGTATCCTGAAACATTACTGAAGTCATTTATTAGTTCTAGAAGCCTCTTGGCAGAGTCTTTAGGGCTTTCTAGATATCAAATCATATCATGAGCAAACAATGATAAAAGCATCCTATATGGATGCTTCTTATTTCTTTCTCTTGCCTGATTGCTGTAGCTAGGACTTCCGGTACTATGCAGCAAAACTAGACATCCTCATCTTGTTCCAGGTCTTAAGGGAAATGCTTCCAGCTTTCATCCATTCAGTACTGGCTGTGGGTTTGTCATAGACAACTCTTATTGTTTTGTGGTATGTTCCTTCATGCCTAATTCTTGAGGGTTTTTATTATGAAGGGATGCTGGATTTTATGAAAAAGCTTTTCTGTGTCTATTGAAATAATCATACAGTTTTGTTTGCAGTTATGTCTTCAGTTTTTAGTTGTGTGGTGAATCACATTTATTGATTTGTGTATATTAAACCAACCTTGCATCCCAAGAATGAAGCCTACTTGATCATAGTGAATTAACTTTTGGATATGCTTTGGGATTCAGCTTGCTAGTATTTTGTTGAGGATTTTTGCATCTGTGTTCATCAGGAATATCGGCCTGTAGTTTTCTTTTTTCATTGTGTCTTTGCCAGATTCTGCTATCAGGATGATGCTGGGTTTGTAGAATGAGGGAGGAGTCCCTCCTCCTTGATTTTTTGGAATAGTTTCAGTAGGATTGGGACCAGCTCTTCTTTTTATGTCTGGTAGAATTCAGATATGAATCCATCAGGTCGAGGGTTTTTTAAGGTTGGGTGTTTTTTTACTACTGATTCAATTTCAGAGCTCATTACTGGTATTACTGGTCTGCTCAGGGTTTCAACTTCTTTTTGATTCAATCTAGGGTGGTTGTGTCTTTCCAGGAACTTACCCATTTCCTCTAGATTTTCTAGTTTGTATACCTAGAAGTGTTCATAATAGTCTCTGAGGATCTTTTGTATTTCTATGGGATCAGTTGTAATGTCATTTTAGTCTTTTTTTTTTTTTTTTTGAGACGGAGTCTCACTCTGTCACCCAGGCTGGAGTACAGTGGCATGCTCTCGGCTCACAGCAACATCCGCCTCCTGGGTTCAAGCAATTCTTCTGCCTCAGCCTCCCAAGTAGCTGGGATTACAGGTGCATGCCACCACCTCCAGCTAATTTTTGTATTTTTAGTAGAGACAGGGTTTCACCTTGTTGGCCAGGCTGTTCTCCAACTCCTGACCTCAGGTGATCTGCCCATCTCGGCCTCCCAAAATGCTGGGATTACAGGTGTGAGCCACTGTACTTGGCCATCTAGTCATTTCTGATTGTGCTTATTTGGATCTTCTCTCTTTTTTCTTTGTTAGTCTAGTTAGCCGTCTATTGATCTCATTTATCCCTTCAAAAAAGCATTTTGGTTTTCTTGGTCCTTTGTATGGATTTTGGATCTCAATTTCATTCAGTTCTGCTCTGATTTTAGTCATTTCTTCTGTTCTGGTAGCTTTTTAGTTTGTTCTTGTGTTTCTAGCTCTTCTAGGTACAATCTGAAATTGTTAATTTGAGATCTTTCTAACTTCTTGATGCAGGCATTTAGTACTATAAATTTTTCTCTTAACACTGCTTTTGCTGCATCCAGAGATTTTGGTATGTTGTGTCTGTTTTCATTTATTTCAAAAATTGTTTTGATTTCTACCTTAAATTTTGTTGTTTACTCAAAAGTCATTCAGGAGTAAGTTGTTTAATTTCCATGTAATTGTCTAGTTTTGAGAGATCTTCTTGGCATTGATTTCTATTTTATTCCACTGTCATCTGAGAGTATGCTTAGTATGGTTTTTTAAATTATTATTTTACTGAGACTTGCTTTATGGCTGAAGATGTGCTTGATCTTAGAGTATGTTCCATTTGCAAATGAGAAGAATGTATATTCTGTGGCTATTGGCTGAAGTAGTCTGTAGAAGTCTATTAGGTCTAATTGGTCAAGTGTTGAATTTAAGTCCAGAAATTCTTTGTTAGTTTTCTGACTCAAAGATCTGTCTAACAATGTCAGTGGGATGTTGAAGTCTCTAACTATTACTGTGTGGCTAAGTCTTTTTTTAGGTCTAGAAGTACTTGTTTTATGAATCTCAGTGCTCCAACATAATCTCCACTTTAAAAAAAAAAATAAACTGCTTGAGATTTATCCAAAGGAGAGTTATGTGAAAACAGATAAGCTTATATAATAGAATCACTACATATTTTAAATATGCTGCATTTTTCTCAATAAAATCAGAATTATTTACAACATATACATATATTTTTCTTTGTTTCAAACAAAGAAAATTGTTTAACAAAAGAGATAAAAGGTGAGGTCCTAATGAATTCAGAAAATCCAGTCAACCTGATTCATGATAAGACAAAAGAGTAGATGAAAGTATCAAAAATTCTTGCAAAATCTGTCAATGATTGTGCACAGCAAGCTTAGGTATGAGTCAAGGTTAATGTCTTCACTCACAATCTTATGCTTTTATCCCAGAAAAACCTACTCATGCCCCACAAAGCCAGTCCCCAAAAAAGGCAACAATGGGCGCCACAGTCCATTCACCCATGAGTCCTGGCCTTTTCAATTTCTTCCTGGCTGATGTCTGGCTCTTATTTCTATGCCTTCTTTTATGGGCTCTCATCTTTTGACTTCATCTCCAGCCCCTGTGGGAGCATTGCAATTGAGCATCATTATGCTTTGGGTTTATCTGCTTTTGCCTTTTGCCAAGTAGGGGCATTGCTCATTTTCTGGCTCTGTTTACAGTTGACTCTGCCCAACTGATATCTTTCAGATGAGTCCCCACCCAAATCTCACCTTGAATTGCAATAATCCCCATGTGTCAAGGGTGGGGCCAGGTGGAGATAACTGAATCATGGGGGTGGTTTCCCCCATACTGTTTTTGTGGTAGTGAATAAGTCTCACAAGATCTGATGGTTTTATAAATGGGAGTTCTCCTGCACAAGCTCACTCTTGCCTGCCACCATATAAAACGTGCCTTTGCTTTTCCTTTGCCTTTGCCATGATTGTGAGGCCTCCCCAGCCATGCTGAACTGTGAGTCCATTGAACCTCTTTCCTTTACAAATTACCCAGTCTCAGGTATATCTTTACTAGCAGTGTGAGAACAGAATAATACACCAACCAAGCTCTATGATACACTCACTTGGCTGTTCCACTCCCTGGGAGTAGGAGTGGGCAGTTCACCATTATGAATATCCAAGTGACAGGGTTTGAAGGAACCCAGTAGCTTCTCAGCTGCCCACCCAAATACACGGAAAGCATCTCTTAACATGCAAGTGTTGACGAAAAGCAACTCAGCTTATTCTCATTATTCAGAGATTCACTTATTTGTAACTCCAAAATCAATTCTCTCAGTGCTTTCATGGCCATTCACAGATTTGCATAGAACAGGAAAAAAGTCTGAGTCACTTGCCACATATATTCCCAGCTGAGGTTGAACAAGGCAACATGCTGCCTTCTTGTTTCAGTGGACATACTGTAAAACAAGTGTCCTTTTAACTGTCTATTTACTGCCCTGTTTTTTACATTTGTGTGCTTCGGTTTGATGATTTCACTGCTTAAAAAGTTCCCAAGCACAGTGCTGAAGTGTTGTCTAGTATATGTGTTAGGCAAGCTTCATTCAAACCTGAGCTACAGTATTGTTGGCCATGAGTTCAATACTAACAATCCAACAATAGACAGTAAATAAGGTGATTTTAAATAGAAACACACATAAGGTATGTGATGATCAGATAGTGAACATACTGTGACCAGAGGCTCCTGGGAGCATAACCCTGTATTTCCCCTAGGAGCAATGGTTCAGTATTTGCTAATTCAGTGTTTACAGTGACTTTATAGAAGACAATTACTATGAATAATGAGAATCAACTGAACTGCATCACATTATGGTCCTGGAGTATGAATAGGACCCAGAACAGACAGTAATGTTAAAATATAAGGGCCTGGGGCCAGGCATGATGGCTCATGCCTGTTATTCTAGCACTTTGGGAGGCCAAGGTGGGCGGATCACCTGAGGTCAGGAGTTTGAGACCAGCTTGGCCAACATAGCAAAACCCCGTCTCTAATAAAAATACAAAAATTAGCTGGGCATGGTGGCGGGCGCCTGTAATCCCAGCAACTCAGGAGGCTGAGGCAGGAGAACTGCTTGAACCTGGGAGGTGGATGTTGCAGTGAGCCGAGATTGCGCCACTGCACTCCAGCCTGGGCAACAAGAGCAAAACTCCATCTCAAAAAATACATATATAAGGGCCTGGATGGAGGTTTTGATGGGCTCCACCGTGAGAAACTAAGAAAGTGTCATGCGAAATAGGAGAGCACTCAACTGGAGCTGGAGAAACACCAGACAAACTTGTACCTCTTCTCCATACTTCTTGAGCCCAACCCTATTGCTATGTATATAGTATTAGTAAATAATCTGGTAATAATATCACACAAACTATCCATGGCAAAAGAGGTATTATCTTAGGATTTTACACTTAATGTTTGACAGTATGGATTGCTACTGCTCAGTATAGTAGCTACCAGCAAAAGTAGTCACTGAGTACTTGAATGTGGCTAGTCCAAATTGAGATGTCGATTTCAGACACAGTATGATAAAAATAATGTAAAACTGCTTGTGAATATTTTTTGAGACAGGATTTTGCTCTGTCTCCCAGGCTGGAGTGCAGTGGTGTAATCATAGCTCAATGAAGCCTCGACCTCCAGGGCTCCATCCATCCTCCCACCTCAGCCTCCCTGGTAGCTGGGACTACAGGCATGCACCACCATGCCCAGCTAATTTTTGTATTTTTTGTAGAGAGAGGTTTTACCATGTTTCCCAGGCTGGTCTCGAACTCCTGGGCTCAAGGTATCCTCCCACATCAGCCTCCTAAAATGCTGGGATGACAGGAATGAGCCACCACGCCCAGCATGAATAATTTTTCTATTGATTCCATATTGAAGTATTTTTACATAATAGGCATTAAAAGTATTGAAATTAATTTTATCTTTTTTTAACCTTTTTTAAATGTGGCCACTAGAAAACGTTACATGGCTTATATGGACTGCATTGTGTTTGTATTAGACAGTGCTGATTTGAAATAAACAGCTGAATTGGGAGGATTTATAGTAAGAATTTATAGTGAAAATAGTGAACTAGACCACCATATAACAGCTATACTTACATCCTACTTACTCTGAGCCAGGCACTGTTCTAAGTACTTTACATATATTACTAATTACATATATTACTTTACATATATTAACTTGACTGATCCTCACTGGAATTCTCAGGGATAGATGCTATTCATTTTGCAAATGAAAAACTGAGGCAAAGAAAAGTGAAGTGATTTGCCCCAGGTCACACTAGATTTGAGCCAGATTTGACCTAATTAATATAGCTCACATTCTTAACCATCACACACACACACACACACACACACACACACACACACATACACCTATTTGATGCAATCATCAAACCCATAAAATAAAAATTACTTATCAGTAAATAGAAATCATAGCTTATGCCTCAGTTGCATTCTCTGAAGATATAAAAAGAAACAGACATTTTTATAAAGGAATTAACTTCCAAAAGTTTTGCAAGGTTTTGCAAAAATTGAGCCACCATGAATGTGAGGATATTGTGTTGTCTTCCATCTAGATCTAGTATAGAAACGCAGGTCAAAAGGTAGGAAGATAGAGTAAAAATATACCGATTTTACTGGTTAAAAAAAATTGATAAAAGAGAATACAAAAAAATTTAAAGGGGGATTTGGGGATAAATATTAGAAAAAGAACTTTTCAAATGAGAAGAGATAGCATACAGTGAAGTTTGCAGATGAACTAAGGTGCTAGGTAAATGAAGAACCAAGCCAGCAGGAACAGGAGTCCGATGGAAGAGGCAGAAATGTGCTAAATAAACAGACTTAGGATTTGTAAAACAAAACTGCTTAAGCTGACCATATAAAGCTGCTTGTTTGTTGTTTCAAAAATCAATTGAAAATTATTTGAGAGAGTTGTTTCCATTTAAAAAATAATGATTATATTCACTTATTAGCAAAGGACAATGACCTGGCTCCTGTGCTGGTTATTCCTGGGAAGAAAGGCATCCATAGGCCGGGCACGGTGGCTCACGCCTGTAATCCCAGCACTCTGGGAAGCAGAGGCAGGCGGATGACCTGAGGTCGGGAGTTCAAGACCAGCCTGACCAACATGGAGAAACCCCGTCTCTACCAAAAATACAAAAAAATTAGCCGGGCATGGTGGCGCATGCCTGTAATCTCAGCTACTCAGGAGGCTGAGGCAGGAGAATCGCTTGAACCCAGAAGGCGGAGGTTGTGGTGAGCCAAGGTCGCGCCATTGCACTCCAGCCTGGGCAACAAGAGCGAAACTCAGTCTCAAACAAACAAACAAACAAACAAACAAAAAGCATCCAGAAAGGCCATGAGAGGAGCCTGACTCTCTTTTATACCTGCAGGATCTGCATCTTCAGAACTCCATACAGGCCTTGTAGATTTCTTTTATTAAAAAAAAAAAAAATAGAGACAAGTCTCTCTCTCTGTTACCCACGCTGGAGTGCAGTGGTGCAATCATAGCTCACTGCAGCCTCCAACTCCTGGGCAGAAGCAATCCCCTGCCTCAGCCTCTCAAGTAGCTGGCGCCTACAGTTGCACACTGCCATGACCAGCTAATTTTTTTTTATTTTTATTTTGTAGAGACAGAGTCTTGTTATGTTGCCTGGGCTGGTCTCAAACTCTTGGCTTCAAAAGATCCTTCCATCTCAGCCTCCTAAAGTTCTGGGATTACAGGCATGAGACACTGTTCCTGGCCTAGATTTCATTTTAAAACACTGAGAACAATTAGTCTACATGTCACTGCACACTTGCATGGAGACAACTCCTCTGCTACACAGGGAAGCCTGGATTAGTAGCAGGTGTTGCTGAACCGCATCACCAGCCTGGGACTCAGAAAACCTGCATTCGAAGTCTCTCTGTTACTTATTACCCTGGGGATCTTGGCATATCACAGAGTTTCCAAGGGCTTTATTTCTAAAGAGAAAAGATGGAACAAAAGGAAGAAGTTTACACAGAGATTAAAAATCTAAAACAGGGCTCAGATTCTTGCTCTTCAACTTCAAGTTTAAGACGTTGGCCACATTACCTCTTGGAGCTTGTTTCTTCATCAATAAGATGTTGATAATCATCCCCGCCTCATGGGACTGATGAAATGAAGGAGTGAGATCATCTTTGTAAAGTTTTAGCACAGTGTTTAGCCTGGCACGTACTACGAACCCAAAAATGATTTTTTAAAATTAGATGATAATTCAGCTTCTTTCCAGCTCAGACATGCTATGAAGATACGCAGCCAGCACTGCCTTGCCATGGTGTGTCTTTTTTTCTGACTCAAGCCTGTTCCTTATTAAAATGCTGCAACTTTGTGGTGAGAAAAGGAGTTATTCCGTAACTTTGACCATCAGAAAGTGAACCAACTGACACCAAGGCCTCAGCAATGATTCTAAGTATTAAGAGTTGCTTTCATCTTCACAGATGGAAGAAGTGAGGACAATACTTGGTCAAGGTCACACACGTTGAGGAACCACCCAAGAGAGATCAGAAACTCAATCCCTTCCTCAAGCCCTTGGACTCTGTTTGCTAATTACTTGTGAGAGTTATTAACGTGCTTTTTATTTTTCTTTAATTTTGGTTTTCTTCATTTATGGCTATCAACATAATCCCTTGCTCAAAGCTCAAGGCTAAATACTAGGTAAGGCTCATATTCTCACTGGCAGAAACCTCTGTTTTAAACACTTCTCTAAAAAATAGAACCTTGTTTATAAGCTTTATACCATTGCTGTAAAATGTAATATGCAAATAAGGCATTTTATAACTTTAGAGTTAAATAATAAAGGCAGCACTCCAAACCTCAACTAGATATTTACATAATTGCATTACTAGCATTTGCATGAGCTGTAATGAAAGCTAAGGGGGAAAACCTGCTTATTTCCTATTAACTCCATAATAGAACATGATTTTTATTTGCTCTTACAAATAAAACTTAACTGCTTGTTTGTTTGTTTGTTTGTTTTTTAACCAGACGCTACATTTGGGTTCCTTATAGTTCCTGATTATAATAACAGAGCGCCAGCAAATTTCATAAGAAGAAAAACCTGTTTGATGAAAAATTAGTTATTCCAAAAGAATTCCCCTAAACATCTGACTTTAGTATGCCTCTGCATTTGCTTTCTGGCTTTTGACAGATCAGCTTCTTCACTACATGTATCAGGTTTTTTGTTTTTGTTTTTGTTTTTGTTTTTTGAGACAGGGTCTCACTCTGTCACCCAGGCTGGAGTGCAAAGGCATGATCTCAGCCCACTGCAACCTCTACCTCCTGGGTTCAAGTGATTCCCCTGCCTCAGCCTCCTGAGTAGCTGGGACTACAGGTGCACACCACCATGCCGGCTAATTTTTTGAATTTTTTTGGTAGAGGCGGAGTTTTGTCATGTTGGCCCGGCTGGTCTCAAACTCTTGGCCTCAAGCAATCCGCCCTCCTTGACCTCCC
Organism: Homo sapiens; assembly: GCF_000001405.40. Taxonomy (NCBI): domain Eukaryota; kingdom Metazoa; phylum Chordata; class Mammalia; order Primates; family Hominidae; genus Homo; species Homo sapiens. The sequence continues at coordinate 28,725,044 of NC_000021.9, forward strand.
AAAGTGGTATCACACCTTTTTAAGATTAATTTCTTTAAGGTCAGTTTTCCCTAAATCTCTCTATGTACACTCAGTACAGAGGACCAGCTGATAGTCCTGACTTCCATCCTGATTAATAAGTCAATCAATGTTGTTGGGTGTCCCTAGAGCCAACCTAGCATGCACCCAATAAATGCATGCTAAATTGTATTGAAATTAAATCTATTCCATGTAAGTAAGTGACTTATGGCACATCTCTTGGTTTTGATGTCCCCCAAATACAGATTCTGAGATAGAAGCTGGGTGCAGGTAGTTTATTTGGGAGATAACCTCAGAAAGCACAGGTAGGGCAATGGAGAAAGTGAGACTAGGAAGGGAGGTAAACTAAAAGGGATACATTCATGAGACAGGTAATCACTGCAGACAACTGAGCTGCAAACTCAGAGTGAATACTGGGAGGAAACACATGGAGGGAACTTGATGAAATCTCAGGCATTTCTCCCCCTTAGCCTTCTCCTAACCACACATCAACAGCTTTCCAGGGATACCAGACAAGAGTGAGGGCTTAGGTGCTGCCAACTCTCAGACTGAACTCTGCAAGTTCTATCATGTCCTGACTCAGACCCCAGTTACTGTCAGAAGCAATGCTCTCTGCCATCCGCAGTCCAGATTCTCAATCTCATTTCAAGTCTTGCTTTTAAATAATTCTGGATGATTTTTATAATTTGGTCTTCAATTTGTCTATTTTTACTCATCTATTCCCTAAAATAATTTCAAAAGACATTGTACCCCCTAGCACATTATTAGGTTGACATCTATAGGCTTTCTTGGTCATCAGTTTAAGTAGTTGCTAAAAGTGACTTCCAGTAAATTGTAAATATTGAAAGTCTAAAATAAAATTGTTACTCAGATCCTTCAAATGTTTCCAGTGGAATTTAAATTCCAAAGAAATGGGATACTCATCACTGTTCACTTAACGATATAAATGTACATGCTTATCTTGTTTTATAATGTTCCTTAAAGTCATATTTCCATTCCATTTTCCCCACAGAACTTTATTCTAATACAATAATATACTTGAAATAATTTAACTAAATTTAACTAAATAAGAATTTAACTAATTATTAACATAATTCACCACAGAAAAGGGTATAAATTAACATTTTTTAAAAAAGGTCCTTTGACTATATAGGTTCAAATGTATATTTTTAAGTTTTATTTGGGGAATTACCATACTATGTTTTACTTAGTTCACAACTGATCAAAACAATACAAATATATTTTAAATATTAATAAATAAACTTAAAAATTTAAATTTTAATGGAAAATCATCTCAATGAAATGGGCGGGACTGGTCTGATTTTTCTAATTAGTTAATCTCTCCATGAATGAATACTATTTATCAATAGAATGAGACAGAGGTTAATATCAATGTTGTTCTTTGTTTAAAAAATAGCACTGAAAAGACTTGTCCAAAAAGAATTTATTTAAGTAGTTGAAAATAGAATCGATTTTATTATAGCAGTGTCTTTCACTTCTTTGAGATTTTTTAGAGTTACATCCTAAACATAGCATAGTAGTCTACCGTCAAAGATTATTTTCAGGCCAGGCACAGTGGCTCATGCCCGTAATCCCAGCACTTTGGGAGGCCAAGGCCTGTGGATCACTTGAGGTCAGGAGTTCGAGACCAGCCTGGCCAACATGTCAAAACCCCATCTCTACTAAAAATACAAAAATTAGCCGGGAGTGGTGGTGGGTGCCTGTAATCCCAGCTACTTGGGAGGATGAGGCATGAGAATCCTTGCACCACTGCAGTCCAGCCTGGGCAACAGAGTAGGACCCTATCTAAAAAAAAAAAAAAAAAATTATTTAGAATATCCTAAGTAGGTTTTCAAACTTTATTCTGAGCAAAGAATAAAAAATCATTGTAAAAGAATGTGGTCCCCAGTTATCAGATCAATTAGTTTTCTCAATATCAGTACTAGTTCACAGGGTCCCTTTGCTTGGGTTTTTCCACCATAGCAAGATAAGGAGTGAATCAAAGGATGGAAGTAGGAACATGAAAAGGGCAAGTGTGGGGAGAAAAAATAAGCAAGAAACTCTGCAAGTCATAAGGGTGCCTATGGAGAGATGAGTCTGAGAAAAGCAAATATAGGGGATTTGAGGATCTGGAGGTTGATTTTGTTGACACTGTCTCAGTCCCCACGTATTCCCTTGGGAAGGAGATGCATCCCCAGGACACCCACACATTTACATACACTTCAGTGGCTTTGGAATAATTGTATGGTCCCAAAGTCTTTCTTAGTTTTGCCTTATGAAATTCAAAGCCCAAGCGTTTGAAACCCAAAAACTAAGAATCAACTCTTTGGTTTGGTTACATCATCCTCAGGAGAAGTTAGTAAAACCTAATGCCCAGGCAGCTGCCTGGAAAGGAGGGAAGGATAGAGGACAAATAGTTTCTAGCAACAAAAAATACATTAGCTAACCTTTCAAAGTTGCACCCTGCGTGCTCAAAATAACAAAGGAGCCACATCCATTATGGATGCTATAGAATTCATGAAGTGCAATCATTTGATTTGGGCCTTTAGTTTGTAGATTTAAGATTTATTGGAGAAGAAAAGAAGTGCATATAATAGATTAATTTGTGGGGATGTTAAAAATGCCTGTGCATGGACTTATTAGATAACCTGCAATGCGTAGGTAAATTTGATGTTCAAATAGGACCACTTGTTTATAAGCCTGATTTCTTTGGGAAGAAAATCAATTCAGACCAGACCTGTTTCATTCAAGTAAGCCTGAGGGCTTGCTTGAAATAAACTGATAAATTCTTCTGTTCCCAATTAAAAAAATAGGGCCAATATCCCTCATTTTAAAAATGCTTCTGTTTTTCATGAAGTGTGTGTATGCATACACATAATAATCTGAAGCAGTCTGCTGCTATTTAATTATAGCAATACATGTGACAATGGAAACAGAGATTGGAGCGATTCAGGGCCATGAGCCAAGGAATGCAGGGTGCAATTTTAGCCCAGTGAGGCCCATTTCAGACTTGGGACCTCCAGAACTAGAAAATAATAAATTTGTGTTGTCTTAAACTCTAAGTTTGTGGTAATTTGCTACAGTGGCAATAGGAAACTAATTCAGTGCCCTAATAAAATGACATGCCTTTACAAATTAACTATGTAGACACATCCCATAATCATCCTACATTAAAAGTATTTAATGTCCTCTAAAATAAAATTCCATTTTAATAATTATCACCTATGACTTTGGATTGCCCTAAATAATCTAATACAGATATGAAAATGAGTGTATCACCAGGCTAGGCCCAAAGGAAATTGACAGGGCTGAGCAGTAGAAATCAGGAGTTATTAGAAATCATGGGGCCTCCCTAAAGGGTGGGAAATTTATCAACTGTGCTTTTCTTTCCTATTCAAGTGGTTATGTTTGCCCAGAAATCCATGAACATGGAAGAACTCTTAAGTATGTCTTCGGTAGGCAAATACTTGTTTTCTTCTAAACTCATGATGTAGAGGGAATGATTAAAAGCTACAGACCACAGGGGGTGGAAAAGTATTAGCTTAAAAAAAATGGATCCAATCCAAATGTCATGGGCCAGCTTGAATTTTGGTGAGCCTAATGATTTTTGAAAAATGTCTGTTAAAACTGTTCTCCATGCCAAGCTCCAGGGTAAAACCACAAGTAGGAATTGATCTGTTGTATTTTATAAAATCCAAATGCTGTTTTTCTGATTTAAATACTTTTTTAACAGATTCTGAAATAGGACACAAGGGAAGAAACTGAAGACAGTACATTTTAATCTTCTCAAGCTGCCAGGACACAGATCTCTCCCTCTTTCCCTACAGAAGGGATCAAGCAGTGCCCACTCTCCACCCTCCAGGGAGCTGTGACTCCTGGTGAGGGGCTATTCATACAGTGTCCATTCCCAGACCATGCTTTAAACATGGCCAGGAACACTGAAGCTTTGGGACTGAGAGTGTACTCATTTAGTTTCCCTGAATTGAGAATGCATGAGAAAAAGCAAAGGGCACCCAAATACTTGTGGCCTTATTAATGCTTTCTGGAAAGTCTTTAATTATTTAATAATCTTCTAGGTTTCTCTGTCTCTACTTCTCCCCAAAATAACATGGGCAGGTGCGAAAGCCTGTTGTTCTCCTCTTCAAGTAACCTCCAAATTTAGTTGCTGCTTAAGCCCCAAAATTCCTCCTACGCTGGCTTTGCATGCACTTGAGATGTTCATGCCTGAGATCTAGGCCTTGAATGGGAGGGGTTTTAATAGGAGCAAATGGCAAAACCAAGACCGTGGCCTAGAAAATGTTTGTGAATGGGCTTAGAGGTAAAGGGACCTCAAAGCACATAAGCCTCTGCCAAGTCCTATAGCAGTGCCTAGAAAGAGCGTGGGCATTTTTGTTGATAGCAGAGGGACTGGAAGAGCACTGTCTCAGGCAAAGCTGGATCCCAACTATTTCACTTGCAGAAATGTCTACGGCAGGGGTGTCCAATCTTTTGGCTTCCCTGGTCCACACTGGAAAAAGAGAACTGTCTTGAGCCACACGTACAATACACTAACACTAACGATTGCTGATAAGCAAAAAAAAAAAAAAAATCACAAAAAAATTTCATAATGTTTTAAGAAAGTTTATAAATTTGTTTTGTGTTGCATTAAAAGTTGTCCTGGGCCGCGTGTGGCCCACAGGCTGTGGGTTGGACAAGCTTGGCCTACAGAAATTCTTGCAAGAAACTAATATCTATGGAGAGTTTTCACGTTGAGGTTTTTAGAAGACGGGTTGTCGAGTGATAAACAGCACACCACTCCCTTGCCCAGTTTTTCTAATTAAAAAATAATTGGGAAATAATGCAAAACACACGTGGAGAACAAACTGTCATCTTTACGACCCAATATAGGGAAGGTCAGAGTATCCACTTACATCTGAGGGGCAAAGGGCTTCCTCAGACTGAACACGAGATTAGCCAGACCTACCCAGCTGTACTAGTTATCTATTGCTTTGTAACAAAATCCCTCAAAGCTAAGCAGCTTAAAAGAACAAACATTGCCGGGCTTGGTGGCTCAGACCTATAATCCCAGCACTTTGGGATGCAAAGGCGGGAGGATCACTTGAGTCCAGGAGTTCAAGACCAGCCTGGGGAGCATAGTGAGACCCCCATTGCCACAAAAAAAAAGTTTTAATTAGCCAGGTACGGTGGGATGAGCCTGTAGTCACAGCTACTCAGGAGGCTGAGGTAGCAGGATCGCTTGAGCCTGGGAGGTCAAGGCTGCAGTAAGCCATGATCACACCACTGCACTCCAGCCTGGGCAAACCTTGTCTCAAACACACACAGACACACACACACACACACACACACACACACACACATTTCTCACAATTTCTATGGATCAGGGATCTGGGTACGGCATGGCTTCTCTGGCTCAGGGCCTCTCACCAGGCTATAATCAAGGTGTTGGCCAGGCTGTGGCCACCTCAAGGCTCCACTGGAAAAGGACCTGCTTCCACACTCACTCATGTGGCTATTGGCAGGAATTAGTTCCTCACAGGCTATTGAACTGAGGCCTCAGTTTCTTGCTGGCTGTTAGCTTGGAGACGTGAGTCCTTGCTATGTGGACCTCTCCATAGGGCTATTTAGAACATGGCAGCTTGCTTCCTTTTATAGCAGGGCTCCAAGACAGCAAGAAAGAGAGGACTGCAAGCCAGAAGTCACAATGTTTTACAACCTAATCTCAGAAGTCATATCTCACCACTTTTGCCACATTCTGTTTGTTAGAAGCAAGTCACTAAGTCCAGCCACATTCAAGAGGAAGAGATTATACATGTGTGTGAATATTATAGGGGCCCTTCTCAGAGGCAGCCCACCGTGACAGACAAGTCAAGCAGTGCTCTGGGAGGATTGGAGGCCTCCCTCTACCCCATCCCAGCAGGAAAAACTCACGCTCCCTATAAGAAGCCTGTCCATGGGTGAAATGACAGAGGATGGGATACACAGCACATGCTGTGTCATACCCATCAATTGCATAAATAAATCCTGAATGAGGGAGGAAGTGGTGGAGAGAGGCTTAGGCTAAAAAAGTTGGGGGAAGGGAGAAGAGGGAAGGAGCAGATCTTTTCAAATCGAAAGGAGCATTAGTAGTAAGTAATGAGAACCCGCTAATTCTCACAATACCCTGTTTATATTATGATACTCAATTTACATATAAAGAACTTGAAGCTTATAGAGCTTGAGTAACCCAAGGTCACATAGATACTATGTAATGGAGCTAGAATCTATAAATATCCAATTTCTGAAAAAGTGCCATATTCTGTGTAATAATTATACGTCCCATACTCAGAATCTGTTGGAAGCAGCTATCTGATGAAGACATTTATACTTGCCCATGAAAATATCCCATTTCAGGAATGATGCTGCCCCATTCTCTCTGTGTCCTTAGATGTCCCCTAAATCTAAAGTTTTATGAAACAATGGCTTGGCCAGGAAACAAAATACACACCTGGCTTAGAAGTGAGCAGTTGCTCACAGGAAGGGGAACATCACACTCCGGGAACTGTTGTGGGGTAGGGGGAGGGGGGAGGGATAGCATTAGGAGATATACCTAATGCTAAATGACAAGTTAATGGGTGCCGCACACCAGCATGGCACATATATACATATGTAGCTAACCTGCACATTGTGCACATGTACCCTAAAACTTAAAGTATAATAATAAAAAAAAAAAAAAGAAAGAAATGAGCAGTCCCTTCATGACATAGGGCTAGAGAGAAAAGAGAAGTGAGCAGTCCCTGGAGCCACCTGCAAGCTGTCTGGGAACTCTGCAGAGCACCCTAGGACTGCACAGCCTGTGCCTGCAGCCATGAACCTTGCCAGTAGCTGGTAGCCCACACAGAGGTGGTGACATGCAAGGCAACTTGTCCAGAGTCCCTGGGTGGTACGTGTCACTCCTAGAAACCTAGCAGGTCGGAAAAGCGTTGCTTTGAACTTGAGACAAGATACTTGCTTTCATCAGCCACCCAGCCTCTCCTGCCGTTTTGTTCTAGGACGCAGGCTAAATCACAGATGGTGACACTTGGCTTCCTGCTGCCTTTGAGGTACAGGGCTGGACAATGGCTATTTCTAGCCCTACATGCTGCATAGAAGTAGAATGCCCAGGGACTATCGTCTCTTCAAGATTTCATGTCCTGTGTTAAAGAGAATGGGAAAAATATTTACTTGAATTGCTGTATAGTTCTATGTGTGCTGTCACAGTTAGTGTTCTTTATTAAATGGTATTTCAGTGCCACTGTGTGCCAGGCACTGTGATGTGTGCTGAGGGTAACTGATGAATAAAGCAGAAGCACACATGGTCTAGTGTGAATTCCCAAAGATAATACAGCATGTGCTGGCATCAAGGGATGTCCCAGGTCACATAGCATCTCCTAGGATGGACTGCATATGTGAAGGGGATTCACAAAGGCAGAATACTGTGGGTTGTGGACATCACTATCAATTTCCCTCTCTGGGACGCAGTTCACTAAGATACTCTTCCCTCGCCCAGAAAAAAAGAAGGCTGTAGGCAGGAGGAGTGGATGTAAGCATGAAAGGGACTGGCAGGGGGGCCACAGGTAGGGATGAAGGAACTTGTGTAAATAATGTTTCCCAAGGAGACGACAGAAAGGATCACCAGCATATATCCAGTATGTGCACCCAAATCATCTGAGATTCTCCACTGCTCAGAGGGAAAGACTCTGTCTGAACAAGAAAAACCTTGATTTCTGCTGAGTCTCAGACCTGACCATTATTCCCTTCTCCCAGATGTCTTTCAAAATCCTCTGTCTGCCTCTAGATAAAATTTTGCTTGTCGGTAATACCCGGGTACCTCCAGAATAAGGACTGTGCAATATTGAAGCTTCACTGGGGTCAACTTGTGCTCTACTCATCACGTCTCCCAAACAAAAACATTAAGAATGACCAGGCGTGGTGGCTCATACCTATAATCCCAGCACTTTGGGAGGCTGAGGCGGGTGGATCACAAGGTCAGGAGATCAAGACCATCCTGGCTAACACGGTGAAACCCCGTCTCTACTAAAAATACAAAAAATTAGCCGGGCGTGGTGGTGGGCACCTAGAGTCCCAGCTACTCGGGAGGCTGAGGCAGGAGAATGGTGTGAACCCGGGAGGCGGAGCTTGCAGTGAGCCGAGATCGTGCCACTGCAGTCCAGCCTGGGCAACAGAGCAAGACTCCGTCTCAAAAAACAAACAAACAAACAAACAAAAACATTAAGAATAAGCAGCAATATTGTTTACATGAATTGTGTGGTCTTCCATTTCCCTGTTTGTAGCAGAATTCCTCTTAGATAACATTGGCTTTTTTTCTCAGCTAAGCATCCACAACAGTCTCCAGCTGAAAATCCCATCATGTACCCTAAACATCCAATAACTGCCTCTTCCTGGGACATACACGCAGGTCTCATGATAAAGGAACCAGTGATGCACTTGTGGACCTCTCTACAGTTGAACCTGAACATGTATTTCCTCCACCCACACCTTACATTTTGCTCTTCCTTTTCTCTCTGGGTCACCAATGTTTTGAATTAAGTTGCGTACCCACTCCCCCCAACCCCATTTTTTTCACACACAGGAGTTTTGCCCCATGTAACCTTTTGGTAGCCTGATTGCCACCCTTTGCAAGCCACTGGTTTTTTTTTTTTAATAATAGTTTAAGTTCTAGGGTACATGGGCACAATGTGCAGGTTTGTTACATATGTATACATGTGCCATGTTGGTGTGCTGCACCCATTAACTCGTCACTGTTTAGTCTTCCTCTGCGACAGCCTCTCCCCACCCCCTTCCCAGCAACGGCAGCGCTATTGCTGATCCTTTTTCCCCTTCACACTAATCTTCCAGCAATCTCCATCCACAGATGTCTGTTCTATCATTTTTTGGTTCATTTAGGGATGGAGAAAAGCCATTATCATCTTTCCTGAGAGAGGGTATTAACATCGGATGCCATTGCAGACCTCCTATTACTGAAATACTATAGCAATCAAACCTTCTAAGTCCAAGATCCCTAATATCCGTATCAGGAGTTCAAAATGAAACTGAGCCACTCACATTTGCTTCACACACCTGCCTGATTATCTTAGGAATATAAAGTAGACAGTAGCCCCCCGAAGAAGAAATCCAAGTTTGCAAACAGGCTGAGTTCATTGAAAACAGTTTAGACTCCACACAGAGACACACTGCATATATTTATAAATATACGTTTTAAACTCTGACAGCATGAGTACACCACTGAAATGTTTTCATCTTTGTTTTTTATATCTGTTGTCTGCCACGGCATGTCTGCTTTCAACTATAATCAGAAATTTGGCAAGACAATTTTTTTAATATTTTATTTATAATTTGCAATCATATTTATAATGGTGAAAAGGTGAGTTGGTAAAATAATTTACCCTGAGCTCCTGATCATAGAAAGAAGTTTATATAATGAATTGTTTTTACATGAAGTGTAAAACAATTATAAATGAATTGTTTTTACATGAAGTGAAGGTGCAGTGAGGAACTTTGATATGGCCCATGGAATAATCCTGATTGAACCCATGCCAGAGCTTTGATCAGCTCTGTGACGGTGTGCTGCCTAAGTACCTCATTGAAATGGGTGGGTCTCATCATGAGTCAACAAAAGCTTTCTATCTGAAGAATCATCAGTTCCAACCTTTCTAAATGTGGCAGTGTGCACGCTCAGCATTAAGACAAGTTTGGTGTCTGCTTATAAAGACAGACTTTATATCAATGAGATATTGCTCTGTAACAAACCAACCCAAAGCTTAATGGCCCAAACAACAATCACTTGCATAACTCATGGTTCTGGAGGTCAGCAAGTCAGAGTAGGATAAACTGTGTGGTTCTATACTCGGCTGAACTCCCTCAGGCATCTGTGATCAACTGTGGGTTGGTCAGGTGGCCCTGCTTCTGGAAGTTGGCCAGCTTCAGTGGGGGCTCCTCGGCACTGCTTCATTGATCTCTCATTCCCCAGAAGGCTAGTCTGGGCATGGCTTCTTGATCTTGCCAAGGTTCCAAGAGAGAGAATAGAAGTGTATGAGGTCTTTTGGGGCTATGTTGGTTTTCTGTTGCTGCATAACAATTTCTACAAACTTAGCACCTTAACACAACACTCATTTACTAGCTCATAGTTCTGTAACTCAGAAGTCTAGTACAATAGGACTGGGTTCTCTACCCTGGGTATCATAAGGCTGAAATTGTGGTGTCACCTGGGCTAAGTTTTTAGCTGGAGGCTCTGGGGGTGAAAATCTGCTTCCAATCCCATTCTTGGTGTCAGCAGAATTCAGTTACTTGTGGTTGTAGGACTGAGGTCCCTGATTCCTTGCAGGCTGTTAGTGAGAGGCCACTTTCAGCCACTAAAGATGACCCACATTCCTTATCACAAAGCTCCCTCCATCTCCAAGACAGTCAGGGTATGTCAAGTTCTTCCCTACCATATATAAAATTTGAGCAGCTGGGGAGATTTAAAAGAGGCTTCCCATAAACTCAGAAGTAAAAAGAGACAAGGGTCCCAGTAAATACAAAACGACTGGGGTTGGGGAGGCGGATTTTCTGTCCTCAGTGACGTTTTGTTGGTTGATTGGTTTCAGACCTTGGACTGCCTCTGTCTCTGACCACTAGACTCAGATTTAAAGAACTCATGTGATGAGGTCAGGTCTACCCAGATAACCTCCCTATCTTATGCTCAACGGATTTGGAAAGTTGGTTATATCTGCAAAATCTCTTTTGCTATATAACATAACATAATGACAAGAGTAATAGCTCATCATATTCACAAGTGCCAACCACAGTGAAGGCAAGGAGATTACACAAGAGTAAGGGTCATGGTGGAATTCAGCCTCCTGCGGAAGCCTGGGCTTGACCGGCTCATTGGCCCTTCTACCCCATACTAAAAACTAAAGCAGATCAGCCCAAATTTAAATGGTGGGAAAACAGATTCTACCTTTTGATGGAAGGAGCTACAAGGGCACATTACAAGGAGGGTAGACACAAGGAAGGGGTATAGATCGACACCAGATTTTGCAATCTACTACAGACAGGATATATGAGACTTAAAAAATCCAGGCAGCTCAATGCCTTATGATAGCTCTTGCTGCAACAAGGTGGCCTGCAGAGAGAGCCCACTTCTAGTTATTAGGATGAGAATATGGAAGGACAAGCAAGAAATGTCAGGCCCACACTGTCCGTGAAGTAGGATAACCCACCTCTATTTCCTAGCTGCTCCACCTCACAAAGCCTAGCTATCTTTGCCTCCTGCTCCTTCATTAGTGCAATGGAACAGCAAATCAGGATACTTTCACAGTTCTCTTAAGTGAGCCTAGAAGTGGGGAGCTGCTTGTTCACAAACTTGAAGCCTGAATATGTTAATATTCTTTCAGTGGCCGGACGCGGTGGCTCATGCCTGTAATCCCAACACTTTGGGAGGCCGAGGTAGGCAGATCAACCTGAAGTCAGGAGTTCGAGGCCAGCCTGGCCAACATGGTGAAACCCCACCTGTTGGTCTGTACTAAAAATAGAAAAATTAGCTGGGCATGGTGGCGCATGCCTGTAATCCCAGCTACTCAGGAGGCTGTGGCAGAAGAATCGCCTGCACCTGGGAGGCAGAGGTTGCTTTGAGTTGATATCGTGTCACTGCACTCCAGCCTGGGCAACAGAGTGAGATCCTTTCAGAAACCTGCTGTCTGTATTTGGATACAATTAAAAAAAAAAAAAAGATGAGACAGGCAGGTGCGAAAGAAATAAAAGTCACAACTGATCCAGTTGGGAAACTCAGAATTGACAGTTACGTGTCCTTTCATTTATTGATATTTTGAGATTCACAGGGGTTTAAACTTTATTCTTCCAAGACTGAATAGTTCCCACCTCCCTTCCATATATAAAATTTGAGTAGCTGGGGAGATTTAAAAGAGGCTCCCCATAAACTCAGAAGTTAAAAGAGACAAGGGTCCCAGTAAATACAAAATGATTGGGGTTGAGGAGGCAGATTTTCTGTCCTCAGTGAAGTTTGTTGGTTGGTTGGTTGGTTGGTTGGTTAATTGGTTGGTTTTTGAGTCAGGGTCTCACTTTGTCACCCAAGCTGGAGTGCAGTGGTACAATCTCAGCTCACTGAAGCCTCTGCTTCCAGAGTTTAAGCGATTCTTGGGCCTCGGCCCCCCAAGTAGCTGGGACTACAAGTGTGAACCACCCCACCGAGGTAAGTTTTGTATTTTTAGTAGAGATGGGGTTTCACCATATTGGCCAGAGTGGTCTTGAACTCCTGGCCTCAAGTGATCTGCCCACCTCAGCCTCCCAAAGTTCTGGGATTACAGTCATGAGCCACCACGCCCAATCCCTCAGTGGAGTTTTATCCACTTATTATAAAATGTTTTTGAGGCTTTAGAGGCAGAGCCAGAGAAAACGAGAATTCAAAAATCTGCCTTTTTTTCTTTAGAAGTGTTGAAATCATGGCCTACTTGTGTTTTAATGGGTTTTCAGAGCTTAATTAGTCCATAGACTGTTAAAAAAAAAAAGAAGAAGAAAAGATGAGCTGCTCTATGATTCCCCAGCTGCCTTAGAAATGTGCACCAAGCTTACGATGAAAATTTGTAAGGAACATATATTTATTTTAAGGATTCTCAAGAGCTCTGGAGAACTGTGCCTTTCTCTACATACATCACTTCACTGCTCTCATATCTCAGTTAAGTGAGCTAAATTCACCAAGCCCTGCTTAACTTCACAAGCCAGGTCTGCCAGAACTCTGGGAGGTGTCCATTGCTGATTGGCAGCTAGCCAGTAATATACACAAAGAATGCAAGGATGAGAGGATGACCTACGAAGTAAAGAATCATGTTCAGGGAGAAACACAGGAAGGGGCAGGTTGGGAGCAAACACTGAAAAGCCAATTGCACTGTGTTTTCATTTGTTTGGAGAGGGCATTATGGGAGGGCTGGAGGATTGTTTCTTAGCTTCTTCCAACAACAGTTAGATAATTGCTGCAAGTGGAGAGCTCAGAATAGCAACAATTTGCCGACACATGAGGGCCCCTCTTTACATGTTCATCTTTTTGGTCACCTTCCACTTATGTATGTGTTATTGAAGTAGCAATGGACACTTTGAACTTTCTTTCTCAGAAAGCTATTAGCTTAGCTGGTGTTCTGTATTATTTCCACATTTAAGCAATAAAGCAGTGTTTCTTTGTAAAAATCTGACTTTTTTCAGTTAAGTTTGTTGCCAGATCTCCCAAAAAGACAGCTGAAGTCTATTACATATGTTGATCGCTATTATTGGGAGAAGGTGTTGGCAACCTTTTGAGTGGGCTGTGATGTTGCCAATGTGTTTTTCCAACAAGGTAAGGATGAGACAAGATAAAGGGCAAGGAAGGGGGAAAGGGTGCTGATGTGGACACAGAGAACGTCTCCCTCTTGCTGTCCTCCCTCTGCTTTCCATCAAGGTCAAGTGTCTCTTGTAAACACCGGCAGGGACAGTTCAATCTGCCCATCTCTGACACTTGGGTCTCCCTTTCTGTGACCCGGGAAACAGTCCCACGGAGAAGCCAGGACCCTGGGCCTTCTCCCTGGGGGCTCTTTATGCAGGTCACTGCCCCACTCCCTGAACTCCGAAACAACAGAGCTTACGTCCTAGGAAAACCTCCCAGAGATGGCTCTAGTCCCCAACATTTTTGCAATTGCAACATTTCTTATCCTATAATAATACAAAAACTTCCACATTTAAATGCATTCATTCAACAGAGGCCAACTTCAGCACATGCACTTCTGGGGCACTTGTGTTTACAATGGGGACAAAACAAGACAGTTGGTGTCCGTGGGCAGCTTAATCCTAGTCATTTTAATGCATTTTGCTTTCAATTAGCTTTCTCTGAATAATTCTATGACCACATTGAAATTGTGAGTGACATCCTGAAATATACCTACACTGGATCGTAAACCACAGTGAAAAAAATATATAAATATCGCCCTTTCCAGAAGCTCATGTGTACTTAAAATGAAACCAAAAAAACCTAAATTAGGTATTCACAGATACCCTTTTGAGAAATTCGCGAGAGCAGCAAAAGTACATTGACATGCGTATTTCTGACCCCATTTGATGACCTGAAACATTTCCTCCCTCTTCATTTTCTATTGCTGAACCACAGTATTTTCCTGTTTGGCACAGATCAAGAACACAGGTCTTTCTCTTTTTTCGTTTTTCCCACTGAGGCTATGAAATTGGCCATTCAGTTATTATAGTAAGGATTAGTAAGGACATTTCAAACACAACTAATTAAAGAAGTGTTTTCTGAAATTAAGATATTTTTGTTTAATTACATTAGAAGGAACTAAATATAATATGGTATAGATAAAAATAGACAGAATTACTCAGAACTGAGGGAAAAAATAAGTAGTGAGAAAATGTTAATAAGATCTGAATGCCATCTTCGTGGCATTTTTCCCTAAACTTCATCAGTTGGGAGAAAACTAAATCTTCAATATTAAAAACAAGTCTTATGAGCAAAAATTACTGTCCGGTCACCCTCCAGAGCAGGGTGCTGTCTAAACAGAACTTTCTGTGATGATGGAAATGTTCTCTATCTGTACTGTCCCTATAGCCATTAGCCCTAGGTGCCTATTCAAATTTAAATTAACTAAAATTCAATAAAATTAACAATTCTGTTTTTCAGCGACAGTAGCCACATTTTAAGTGCTCAAAAGCAACACATGGCCAGTGTCTACCATATTGGACAGCACAGTTCTAGAAGCCAGGAAAGAAGGTTAAATACACAGTGAAAATACACACCCAAGGTTTTCCAAACATAAGTAGAAATGGGAAATTTTTCCCGAAAGACCTCTATGGAGCATGAGAAGAAAGGTCTACTTTGTATCATCTGGAGGATTTTTTCCTCTTTCCATCAAGTTTCAGCCAATAATTAAAACAAGTTAGCAATATTTTTCATCCCAACACCTTGTGTAAATTCTTGTCTTCCCCCAAAGAGTTCCCTTGATATGCGTTTTACACACCGTCTATAGAAAAAGCACTTTCCAAACACCCAGTGTATGTTTTTCA
Organism: Homo sapiens; assembly: GCF_000001405.40. Lineage (NCBI taxonomy): Eukaryota > Metazoa > Chordata > Mammalia > Primates > Hominidae > Homo > Homo sapiens. Next base: position 28,740,134 of record NC_000021.9, read on the forward strand.
TGTAAATTCACTTTTCTGATCCTTTTAGTATATTTATAATGGAAATTCTCTCTACTTAAAGCCTATCTATATCTTAGCAACCACAGTTTCCAAAGCTATTCCATGAAGCAGGTTTCTCTATTTACTTTTGTCTATTTGTGTAGCCCAGACCACGCAATAAGATTTTCAAACTGGCCAAAACACATGAACATAGACAAAGTCCTTTATTGTGTGGGTAACCCTTTGGAATGTCTTATTCCCTATGAGAGCTGACATAAAGCAGGAATTCAAATGACAGTGGGTCAAAACCTGAGGGCCAACTGCAGATTTCAGCCTACTTTACAGTCCGTTGGCTATCATAGCTTCCATATGGGCAATAGTGATTGTTTATGAATTAATCCATGCAAAATATATCAAATCTAGTTGGAGAGGATTTTTGTGGGAGAGAAAAGGTACCCTTCCTTCACCAGCCTCGGCTTCATGCTAAAGTATTTCACAACTACAGTGTTTTCATAAGCTTAGAATTCAAATGAGGCCAAAAACTATCAAAAGCAACCTGCTATCTTTACCTGACCCAGAAGTTTACAAGATTGAATTCCTAGAAATTATTGGCTTTATTCTTCTGGAGTCTGCTCAAGTCTAGATAGGCAAGAAAGAACCTAACAGATCAATGCCTCTTAAGGGAATTGATCCCTTCTGCCCAACTTCCTGGGCAGAGTGGCCTTGAGTGAACCATATTCAGAATTAGCTCCTGTGGAACCTGACTATGGATAAGTATGTTAATAAATACATTACATTTTTGAAAATTATGTAATGCATTTTTTTGGACACAGGGCACTGTTCATAACTGTATATATGCTTTACCTCTAATACAATTACTACTATAATTTACTTCCTAAGTTGGTTTCTGTTTGGTTAATATACACATGTGTTAGCTCCAAGATAACTGAAGAGCATTTTCATGCTCACCAAGCCAGCTCCAAACCAAGCACAATCCCAAATCTGAACTCTTATTCCTAAAGTCAAATCAAATCAGATGGGTCCCATGGGAAGAAATGAGATATGTCCAGGCCAACATCATGATTAGACCCATCTCCAATGTCACACTCACAAGTCAGTTTCCTAACCCACTCAACCCAACATTTTACCTCCAAAAAAGATGACACAAGATCATGCTTGAAACATATGGGGAAAGCATAAGCATGAAGTTTTAAAAGGCAGGAGAGAGAAAATGTGTGTATTAGGCATTCAAACCTACTACAGAAAGAGGTTTCTTTTTTTAACTTTTATTTTAAGATTTTAAGTTCAGGGATATATGTGCAGGTTTGTTACATAGGTAAACTTGTGTCATGGGGGTTTGTTGTACAGATTATTTCATCACCCAGGTTATTAAGCCTAGTACCCATTGGTTATTTTTCCTGATCCTCTCCCTCCTGCCACCCACAACCCTCCACTAGGCCCCAGCGGGTGTTGTTCCCCTCTATGTGTCTCTGCGTTCTCATCATTTAGCTCCCACTTATAAGTGAGAACATGTGGTATTTGGTTTTCTGTTCCTGTGTTAGTTTGCTAAGGATACTAAGGCCTCTAGCTTCGTCCATGTCCCTGCAAAGGACATGATCTCATTCCTTTTTACGGCAGCATAGTATTCCATGGTGTATATGTACCACATTTTCTATATCCAGTCTATCATTGATGGGCATTTAGGTTGACTCCATGTCTTTGCTATTGTAAATAGTGCTGCAGTGAACACATGTGTGCCTGTGTCTGTATAATAGAATGATATATATTTCTTCCTTTGGGTATATACCTAGTAATGGGATTGCTGGGTCAAATGGTATTTCTGTCTTTAGGTCTTTGAGGAATCACCACAAGAGAGAGCCTTCTTTACAGGGAAAGCAAGCCTGGGTTTGAGGAGGTGACGGCAAACTATCGCTCAGGACCAAATCTGCCACCTGTTTTTGTAAATAAAGTATTGTTGGAACACAGCCATGCCTGTTTGTATATGTATTGTCTATGGCTGCTTTCAGGGTAAAATGGCAGCTTTGAGTAGCTTGGACAGAGACCGTGTAGCCCATAAAGCTGACAATATTTACTATCTGGATGGATCTGTACAGAAGAAGTTTGCTGGCCCCTGGTTTAGAGTTTTACATTTGCTGAAAACAGTAATTATTGAACAGTTTCTTTACGTTTGCCACAGAGCACCATTTGTGCCTCGGTCTTAAAGCAACCCTACATCTCATCACTTTGCTGCCATAAGTTCTGAGAACAATTATTTCTTTGTTAACATTTGGTAAACTTATCTCTAGGGACATAAAAGAAGGTTGGGAACATCTCTGAGGTTTAATTTCAAAACACGTTGAGTTTAACATGGGGATTCACCAAGTGCTGGTAGCTAGAATAATGATGCACTTATCCAAAGACTTTTCAAGGGGAGGTTACTGACTAGTGCTTTGTAGTACAGGCCATGAGAGTAAACATGAAAAAAATGGGCATAATTCCTTTTCCAAGTTTTAATCATAAATGATCATTTTTTTAAAGATTCCAATAACTTGCCCACTAAGAAAAAAAAAAGGAAAAAAAATGGGGGAGGGAGATAACGACACAGTGGTTTTGTTCTAAAACAGTCATGTGCAATGTCATGGTGCCATCTACAGTATTTCAATATTTTCACCCAAACACCAGAATTTGAAGAAGCCCTATAGACACATATCTATTTATTGAGGGAGAAACGTTTTTCTAGCACAACAGTATAAGAAGGCTTTAGGCTAAAATTTTCTCTGTGGTCACGGTCTTCTGTCTTCTTCTCCTATGAACCATTTTTAAGTTTATTCCGTTTCCTGACAACTTCTTAGTTCCCATTGTGATAGTAAATATTAAAATTAATGAATGCGCTGTACCTGGTAGGAGTGCAATGAAACTGTTCAAAAATGTTGGGATTTAGTATCTGCTCACGTTCACACAAACACAGTCACTATTGTCAAATGCGCTGCAGTGGTGGAGTGTAGCAACAGGAGGGATGAGACCCAAAGGTCTGAAAAGCCAGTATTTTAAGAAGTCTTGGAAAATGTGGAGGTTGAAAAATCTAACAGGAGTGCTTGCTTCAGCAGCAATTTAGAGTAGATTAGCATGGCCTCTGCGCCAGGATGACATGCACATTCCTAAAAGTGTTCCGTGTTTTAAAAAAAAGAGAGAGACAGAATCTAAGGGGATGTGTACATTTGCTAGAGCTACTATAACAAAGTACCAGAGGCAGGGTCACTTCAACAACAGAAATTTATTTCTCACAGTTCTGGAGGCTAGACGTCCAAGATTAAGGTGTTGACTGGGTTGAATTCAGCCCATAACAGGAAATAAGGAGTTAAATAAAGCACTTGCTTCTATTGTTTGTACCTAAACTTAACAGAACACAGTAAGTAACAAGTCATTGGGATGCAGAAAAGAAAAAAGAGAGTGAAGGAAGGAGAGAAGGTGAAGGGAGAATGGAAGAGAGGAAGGGAGGGAGGAAAGAAAAGTTTGATGAATGATTGCAGTCTAAACTGGTTCAAACAAGAGATCTTGTTTAATTAAGGAATTCATCCCATCTCTGCCTATTAGGAGGAGGAAAAAGTCTAAAATAGAAGATGGTGAAAGTTGGATGACCCCAGGCATTAAGGCCATTCATCTTTAACTGTTATGCTTGGATCATGCAAATGTGTCTGGTAGCTACAAGGGTTGCTGTGGGTACTGAATGTTTTATTGTTCTGAGACTATCAAAGAAAATAGCCATGGGACATATAGACCACAGAATACTATACAGCCATGAAAAAGAACAAGATTGCATCCTTTACAGAAACGTGGATGGAACTGGAGGCTGTTATCCTCAGCAAACTAACACAGAAAACCAAATGCCACATGTTCTCACTAATAAGTGGGAGCTAAATAATGAGAATTCATGGACAGAAAGAGGGAAATAGCAGATACTGAGGCCTACTTGAGGGTGGGGGCTGGGAAGAGGGAGAGGTTCAGAAGAGAAAAAACTATCTGATACTATGCTTAGTACCTGGGTAATTAAATACTCTGTACACCAAACCCCTGAGTCATGAGTTTACCTATATAACAAACCTGCACATGTACTCCTGAACCTAAAATAAACATTAAAATATTTTACAAAAATAAAATAAATTAACAATTAAAAAAAGAAAAAAATGAGACAATAAATAGATCCTGGGAAAAACTGTCCCCAGAAGTGTTCTTTTAAATTTGCACTACAGATGTAATCCAAGTTGAGTAAAATAGAAAAGCATGGATTTGCTGTTCCTGAAAGTCATTCATGGTTAATTGCCGAACACTTTCATCTGCAGTGTCTGTGGAAGGGTAGAACCTTAAGTAGTTTTTCATTCTCTGACTACTCAACTAGAAAGGCATAAGAGGCAACTCACTCTATGATATCTCACTGTTTGGCCTCTCCTGTTTCATAGTAGCAAAGGATTTTTGCACTTATCCACTAATTTATGATTTCTTCTTAATAAAGGAAACAAGAGCCTCTATTTATTATGATTCCTGCCATGTGTGAGGCTTGAGCTGGGTATTTTACATACATTATTTCATTTGATAATCACCTTTTCAAACTCTTCAACCACATAAATGCATTACAGAGAGCTATTTTAGATAAACATGGTTATAAATATGTAAACTATATAAAACCATATGTTAGAACCATTCTGTTTCATGCTTTTAGAAAATCTTACTATAGACCATAAATTAAAAACAGTAAATTATAAACCAAACACTTTTATGGGGTTTTTTTGGTCTTGCAGTTCTAGCTGAAGGAATACTGCACTTTAACTCACATGCTGATTAATTTTATTCACAAATTTTGAATTATAAAATGTGTAGAGTCACAGACAATTCAATTTTTTCAACACCCATTTTCCCAAGACAATAACCGAAGTATACATACAGTAGCCACTATTGGCAAAAAATGTATTCCTCATTTATGGAAAAAGTGCAAATAAAGAAAAATTGCTGTTTATAAGCATAATTCCAATGACTGCTGCGAGTGGGAAGCACAGTGATTTTGTGTTAGATCTCTAAGAGCTTACAAGATGGAAGCTTGTGGTGTAAGCATTTAGTGGTGCAATACTGTCATCTCGTGGTCAGTATGCAGTATTTCAGATTTAGTTGGAGAAAATGTCTGAAAATCGTTAACGATATTTCCAGTCTCCTTTCACATACTTACTCCCCAGAGAGTCTGATTTGTACACATAGACATGATAGAATCGGCTTGTTATTTAAACAAGCAGATGGATGTTGTATGAGATTGTTCCAGGAGTTTACTGCCTTAGACCCGGACGAGAGGGGCCCTGCCCTGGCCCCGTCAGTTAGAGGGCTCAGCTTTGACCTCTCCTGCCTGTACCCCTCTCCACAGATCAAGAAGTCCTCGGAACCAAGAAAACGCCCATCCAAAACCAAGCCCTTTTCTTCCCTTTACCTGCCCTCTATCTCACCTCACCAGCAGTTCCACTTTCCTGCATCTGGATGAATGCTCTAATGCTCTCACGTTGCCTGAGGTTTCATGAATAATAGCTGGCTGCCACTTCCCAGATATCATTTGCATTTGAGCAGCTTCCCGACATATAACACACCCCTTCCCAACAATAATAATGATGAAAGGAATTTTGAAGATGCAAAAACAGCCCCATGGAATAACTTTTCTCACCCCCTTCAAATCCTATCCCAGCATGTATACAAGAACATGTGAGCACTTTCCAAACCTTAGCTCTCCGCTGCCACCTTCAGGACGATTTCAGTAACCGCAGATACTGCAGCTGCTTAGCTAAGAAACATTAACACTCCCAGACAGAGAAACCTGGCTGAATCCTGAAATAGAGCCAGGTGAGAAAAAAGTGGTCGGCATTTAGTTTATGGTATTTAGCAAAATCTTGTAACATATTTTATTGGATACTCTATCAAATAACAGAATAACAATAGCTAACACCATATATAATGTAGACATGTGTAAGTAATAAAAACTGATAAAACGTTTTGTTTTATATGTATAACAAAACTATATGAATATAAATAAAAATATGTATACATCCTACAGTAACAACAGCTGATATTTATTTGGAGCTTTTTCTGTGGCAGGCAGTATTCTGTATACTTCATCACTGTAAATATGTTTACATGTTTTGAAATGTCTCAATAACAACATGAGGTACATACTACTCTTAGTATGTTCCTTGCCCGTGGGGGACTCCTGTCTTTGCAGTGAGTCAGAAGATAATGACATAAAGCATAGACATAGCATTGCCCTGCATTCATTCAACAAATATCACCGAGCACTGAGAATGCAGAGATCAGTAGGACAAGCAAGTTCTTTGCTCACGACCATGTGTGCAGGTAGGGAGATGAGCAACGGAAAATAAATATTTTTAAGGGAATATATGAGTGATAAATGTAGCTTATAAAATGTATAACTATACTGGAAATCAAAATAGGGTGACGTGATAGAAAGTGACTGAGAGGCTATCATACATTGAGTGGTCCAAGAAGAGTTGCTATTAAAGTAGGGCCAATCTAAAAAAAAAAAAAAACTATATGATGATCTATGGAGAACATTCCAGAAAGATATGAAGAGCTAGTGCAAAAACTTTGAGAAGGGAAGCATTTCAACATACTTGAAGAACACAAATAAGGCCATTGGCAGGGGTGAGAAGGGAAGGGAGAGGGTGGAAGAGGGAGGGCTGAGAGCCAAACACAGCCACAGCATGGAGGGCTTGATAAGCCAGGGCTGTGCAATGAGGTTTTTTACCAGGTGGGAAGAGAAGTTCTTAAAAGGCTCTGAGACTATCAAAAAGATCACTCCGGCTGCTCCATGGAGACAGGAATTTATGGTGCAGAGAACGTAGAAGCAAGATACCTAGTGAGAAATCACGTGCAATATAGAGGCTCAAGAGACACCACCTTTGACTAGCAATGGAAATGGACAGATCTAGAAGATCCAGGTTTGTTGTGGCCATGGAGTCTACAGGTGTACCTGATGTTTTCAATGTGGAACAGAAGGGAAAAGATGAACTGAAAGTCATACTTAGATATGGGAATTGCTATGACCTGGGAGGAGAAAGTTTCTGGGTGGCGAGAAGCAAATCTAGAGTTGTCCTGCAAGGCCCGGATGGAGGAGCCCATTCTGTCTTCCTGTTTGACCGCAGTCCAGCTATTGGACCTCATGGAGCCCTAATGTACTTATCTGTAAAAATGCAGGAGCAGGTTCCTGCCAGATCAGTTTCTCTGAGTCTCGTGGGATTTAATTGAAGTTGACACAGAATGACTTTAAAACCTTCCAAGCCAATGGCTAATGATGAAAATACATATGAAAATTAATTTGGGGGATCCTGTGCAGAGGAAAACAAAATAGTTCTATTCAACCCTCAAAGGAAATGTCCAGAAGTGAAGATGAAGTTATCTTTCAGAGTTCCAATACTCCTACCCCACTACCTGTTTAAAATGGACTTTTATGTTACATAATCCTGAAAATGTTAGGAGTCAAAATTCCTCTAGATAAATGTGGTACACATATACCATGGAATACTATGCAGCCATAAAAAGAAAACAAAATTGTATCCTTTGCACCAACGTGCATAGGAAATCTTATCCTTTGCACCAACATGGATAGGACATCTTATCCTTTGCAACAAGGTGCTTTCAGAAGCAGGATGAGCACTGCAATTGAAGGCTAAGAGGAAATGGCTCTTGGCCAATTTAACTGATCAGTCTGTAAGAAATTAAAAGGAACATAACCAGAGAGAGATAGGGTATCTCTTATGAGAACATCAGAGGAGCGTCTATGGCTGTGTAATGTTGACATTCTCTTCTCAACGTGGATGCAGCTGGAGGCATTTCCTAAATGAATTAACACAGGAACAGAACAGCAAATACCACATATTCACACTTCTAAGAGGGAGCTCAGTATTGTGTATGCATGAACATAAAGATGGTAACGATGCTGAGGACTACTAGAGTGAGGAGAGAGGGACAGGAGCAAGGGCTGAAAAGCTACCTATTGGCTACCATGCTCACTACCTGGGTGACAGGATCATTCAAACCCCAAGTCTCAGCATCACACAATACAGTCATGTAGCAAACCTGCACATGTACCACCTGAATCTACAATGAACATTGAAAAATGTAAAATAAACATTGAAATTATTTTTAAAACAGAAGCATAAGAATATAAATTAATAATGATATTCACCTTTTACTATACCTTGGTAAAAAATAATTATGAGTTCAGTTTAAAAAGTCTTCTAGATAACAAAAGTATCATACTGCTTTTAAATAAACATGGTAGGTTGGAGTAAGTTCTTTTTCATTTGGCAGTGACATTGCTCTTCACACAAGTTTCCATCAAGTATTGAACCACTTGGGCTTGATTCTTTCCCTCAAGTTACTTTTGAAGGAGTCTGTGAGGTTTGGGGATTATTGCTGTGATATCTGGGTTTTCTAAAGAAAATTCCAGGAAACCAAAAGGATTTGGGACAAAGCATACATGAACAGGAAACAGAGACATGGAAATAAATATTCCATCTTCTGGGAAAACATGCACCATTATCAATTATATGGAGCTAATCTTCATTTTAAAAATTGGTTCATCTTTCCATTGTCAGAGAGAGATTACAAAGATTGGTAATATTCCTGCCCTGTTCCTTAGAACTTTTAGAGAATTTCCATTTTCTAGTTTGCTTTCTCCAAAGACTTGGAGGTCAGCTGAACTATTCATATTACCAAACTCACGGGGATATGTGTCCCACCAACTGACCCATATTTGAGCAAATTGATCTAGATTCTTGATAAATATTATTGCCCAATAAACATCACATACTTTTAAGATCTGGGTTTAACATATTATCAGACCTTGGAGACATGGCTCCTTAGATCCCCAGAAGCAGAGTTAATTTAGCTAACCAGTGGTGAGCTGCATTCTGCTGTACGAGTTTGCTCTACCTCCTAATGTAGCTATAATATTTGTAGGAGATTCCAGCATTGGCCAAAAGAGTGGACTACCCTCCCTTTATGATTTCTTGGAACCCTAAAACTTTATGAGACTATGAATATGACTAGGAACAAGGAGATGATTTTCTTCTCAGTAGTGAAAATCATTATATATACATATATGTCTTTATAATCCTAATAGCACAACTTATATTGTTACTATGTTATATGGGCCAAGCATTGTTCCATGCTCAAATTAACTCATTTAATTCTCATAAGAACTTATGTGGTAAATACTATTATTATCCCATTTTTAGAGGAGGAGATTGAGGTAGAGAAAGTTGAAATGATTACCTCAAAGTCAGAGGATCCAAAGTACCTGCCCATCTTAAGATAATTTGAAAGTATAAACTTGTTTTCTGCCATGAAGGACACACAGCCAAAATTCCATACAAAATTCCTAACAGCCCTGTCACTTTTTTAAATGTGCAAGAATCCAATCAAGAAGTGTGAATACTGATACTGTTCAGCACTTGGTGACCTTGAACTTGATCGTCAGAGTATGATCCTCTAAAAGGCAATCTGTTTTAACATGGTCTTTGCTCACAGCACAGGAGGATAGCAATTTCAGGAGCAGGATGAGCACTGCAATTGAAGGCTAAGAGGACATGGCTCTCGGCCAATTTAACAGATCAGTCTGTAAGAAATTAAAATGAACATAACCAGAGAGAGATAGGGTATCTCTTACGAGAACATCAGAGGAGTGTCTACAGCCATGTAATGTTGACATTCACTTCCAAAAACTGGCATATTCTCTAAAAGGACAGCAAACTGGATTGACATGCCAAAACCACTAGTTGAAAAATAAAAATAATCCGTTATTAAGTCAGTTGTTTTGTCATTGCTATTTTCACCAATCTAATTGAACAGGCCAATGCTTTTACAAGAAGCAGACAAGTCACTCATCTTGAAGTTTAGGACTAATAGCTGAGTAAATGCTTCTGAAATACACAGAGAGTAGACTAACCAACAGTACTCACAACACAGTGAATAAATACACTAATATATGTAGAAACCCAGGCATATATTAGGTTAAATTAAGAAAAGAGAAACACATGAATATCCTATAGAATGAGATTTGAGGAGAAAAATCTTCTAAATATGAAATTAGGTTCCCTCATCATATTTAATTTTTAGCTGTAAGTAATCTATTCTAAGACCACAGTGTAGAACATCCCAGTACAGACACACAGTTTAATAATTTAATAACTTCAGAAATAACCATAGATGTCAACTAGGCCAAACCCATTTCACAGAGTAGAAAACAAAGTCTCAGCTGGGAGCGGTGACTCATACCTGTAATCCCAACACTCTGGGAGGCCAAGGCAGGCAGATCGCTTGAGGCCAGGAGTTCGAGAACAGCCTGGCCAACATGGTGAAGCTCCATCTCTACTAAAAAAATATAAAAACTAGCTGGATGTGGTGATACACACCTGTAATCCCAGCTACTCAGGAGGCTGAGGCAGGAGAATCACTTGAACCCAGGAGGTAGAGGTTGCAGTGAGCAGAGATCGCACCGTTGCACTCCCTCCTGGGTGACAGAGCAAGGCTCCATCTCAAAAAAAAAAAAAAAAAAAAGGCAAACAAAGTCTCAGAGAAGTTAAGCAATATTCCCAGGCTCATGCAGTTCATTAGTGACACAGCCAACTCTACAACCTGGTTCAGTCTTTCACAAAAATGAAAGAAAGAATTGTTGGCAACAGAAATGCAGTTGGGCCTAAAATGTTGTGATACAGAACCTTTCAGCCATCTCTTCTCCACTCGCCATGTTTAGAAACTTCAGAGAGCATTAAGATACATTAGTTCGGCCAGGTGCGGTGGCTCACGCCTGTAATCTCAGCACTTTGGGAGGCCGAGGCGGGCGGATCACAAGGTCCAGGAAATCAAGACCATCCTGGCTAACAAGGTGAAACCCCGTCTCTATGAAAAATACAAAAAATTAGCCGGGCGTGGTGGCGAGCACCTGTAGTCCCAGCTACTCGGGAGGCTGAGGCAGGAGAATGGTGTGAACCCGGGAGGCGGAGCTTGCAGTGAGCCGAGATCACGCCACTGCACTCCAGCCTGGGTGACAGAGCAACACTCTGTCTCAATGAAAAAAAAAAAAAAAAGATACATTAGTTCACTTTCATGACACAGAGAGATCCTAAGTTACTCACTACCTAATACTTCTAAGGGGTGTGGGTTTCTTATCAACTGCATGAATTCTTCCTAAATGATCTTGAAAAGAACCCACTATCATTCTGAATGTTGCTTGGAAACATATCTACTGTTCAAAGTAACTTTGTTGAGCTTAGAATTTAAACAGAGGAAGATTAATGTCAGAGCATGTACCATGTGCAGATTAAAAACTCCACTGTGGGTTATTCCAGAAGTAGACCAGAATTTTTTTCATTTTCTTTTTGAAATCGTGTGTCTAAAACCAGCAGTTAGTTAAGGGCAGAAGAGATGTTGCAAATGAAGATTTAGACAGAAAAATTTCAAAGCCAATTTTTAACATCTACGTTTTGTTCAGAACCACCATAAGCAAAAGTTTTTTGTTTGTTTGTTTGTTTTTGAGACAGAGTTTTGCTCTTGTTGTCCAAGCTGGAGTGCAATGGCATGATCTCGGCTCACCGCAACCTCTGCCTCCTGGGTTCAAACGATTCTCCTGCCTCAGCCTCTTGAGTAGCTGGGATTACAGGCATATGCCATTACGTCCAGCTAATTTTGTATTTTTAGTAGAGATGGGGTTTCTCCATATTGGTCACAGGCTGGTCACCCGCCTCAGCCTCCCAAAGTGCTAGGATTACAGGCATGAGCCACCATGCCTGGCCAAGATTTATTTTTAAGAAAAGAAAAAAAAAATGTTTGTTTTATAGACAAGAAATTGGGAAAGAATAAATTGAACAGAACATAAAACCCTTTCACTGTCTAAAAACAATTGGATTAGTCTCTGGTTCCCACTTAAGTTTTAAAATCTCTAAAATTAAAGTATCATGTGAAAGTCATGAAACCAGTTTTTAATGTACATTTTCTCAATTCCTGTTTGCCAGTGAATAGACTAATTGTCCCCAAACCAAACAAAGTCCAATCTTACAGAGCTAAACAAACAGAAAATCAAAATAACTGGAAGGAGCATCATCATCTGGTTATCTGGTCATCATAATAACCAGAGAGTGAATCAACTGATCCCAGGATAGTCCAAAGGACCAAACAAACAGCTGTCATTCCAGTTAGTAGTACCTCACTTGACGGAGCACATCATAAAGTCCTTCTAAGACGTTTCTAATCAAGGTATGTGAGCCTGGCTTCCAACATACCTCAGAGACATAGAAATGCCCTATGATAATCTTGATGCTTCTTCCATAGTCATGTCTTGAATACTATTATTCTTGCAATATAGTATATGTTTTCTTCCACTGTCATAAAAAAATGGAAATGCTTCAATCTCACCTAAAGACAGACCCTTCCAGCTGTGGATACTGAGTGTCCACACACAGCGAACAGAGCCCTGGGTTAGCCATCAGGAGAACAGGGACCACTCTCAACTCAGTCTTTTCCCAGCCTTGTGTCCTTAGCAAGTCTCTGCACCACGTCCTCATCGGATGGGGGCAGAAATGAGAGAGAAAGGGATAAAGCCAGCTCTACATGCCTCTTGAAAAGCAGAAGCACTACAAAATGTAAGATATTATTGTTGTTACAATGCAAAGGGTGAAGCCAGGAGCACCCCACTGTCATGACACAGAGGGCCACGGCAGAGGCCCATGGGGATGTGGGGCAGGTATCAACGGATGGCCTGTGTGCACAGTGAGCCCATCCTTCTCCATTCGTGCTTGGCATCATGAACCACGAATGGTTCTTCTTACCCCTGAAGAACCATTATTGTTAAGTTCTGCAGTCCCTGCTATGGAAATGAGGCTGTGGTGATGCCTTGGTGCGATGGCTCTTAAGCAAGAATGGTTCTCCAGGGTTAAGAAGTAGAAGGTACACTTTGGAAGGCCAAGATGGGTGAAGCACTTAAGGTCAGGAGTTGGAGACCAGCGTGGCCAATATGGTGAAACCCCATCTCCACTAAAAATAACAAAATTAGCCAGGCATGGTGGCACGTACCTGTAATCCCAGCTACTTGGGAGGCGGAGGCAGGAGAATCGCTCAAACCCAGGAGGCAGAAGTCGCAGTGAACTGAGATTGCACCACTGCACTCCAGCCTGGGCAACACAGTGAGACTCTGTCTCAAAAAAAAAAAAAAAAAAGTAGAAGGTAACGCACATGTTTACATTTTTCCAGAATCCTTAGTGCCTGCAATACTAGAGCATGTGCTTTCTTGCATATGGCCAGAATAGATCATCTGGCACCTCCCAGAGTTCACCCCTAACTCCCAGGGTCATTATGGGAGCAGAAGGATTGACATTCTCAATCATCATTGAAGAAAGGATGCCCCTAAAGAGAAAATAATGCCCAGTACATCATAAATCCTACCTCAGCTTTTAAGGCAGGTGATTTGAATCCTCAGCAGTAACTTCATCTCTAAGGGTAGCCATTTACAAATCTGAGAGTTAGCCATATACAGTAATGTGAAAAGAAACACCTTTCACAAAACAGCACTATTTCGGAAAAAGAATTTATTCTGCTTAGTTTTATGAAATTCTTTTCTATAACCTACCTATCTACTATTTTTGTCTAGATAGAGATTTGGTCCTTTCAAACACACGTGCACACGCAATGCCCTCCTGTCTCCTTTTTTGGGATGCTCCTCCATCTAAAAAGGCAGTGGAATTCCAAAGGTTACTAAATATACTCTGGCTTTTTCATGGCGTGCAATAATAAAATAATGCTCTCTTTTCATCTGTTTTTGTCTTTTTAGGTAAAAGTATTTTTTCAGGAAGGAACTTTCTAAGATCATTCAGTACGTGTTTGGAGTGAAGCCCTGTTCATTTTCATTTCTACAAATCTCATACCAGAAAGATCTAATGCAGCCCCACTCCTATGTGTAGCTTCCATCAGTGTCAATGCCAGAGAGGCCCAAGGGCCCCCTCGCACAGTTGAGTATATAACCTCATGAGTCCACAACTTCACTTCCCCGAGTGAAGAGAAGAATGGAAGTGAAGAAAAGAATGGAAATTCAATCGGTACCAGCAGACTGTCAGTTCCTCCAGTAGCAAACAATAAATGCATCTGAGAAAGTTCTGGTGAACCAATCAACAGGGGGGCTTTGTTCTGAACTTGGCGGAGCCTACCTCGTGCCTTGTAAATGTCAGTGTGTGTACGTGTGAGGGTCTGACATTACTCAGCAGCACATACCAAAGGCCAGGAATTTGGCAGAGTGAGGCTGATTACAATGCCTAAAAATATTCTGTTTTATCAAAATCTATTCTGATGCCTTTTAGCATGTGGGCAAAATGCTAGAGCAGCAGGCTCTTTAGGAAGCGGAAATTCTGAGAGGCGTTCCAAATATCCAAAACGACACAACCTCATTGTGTAAGAAGTAACCCTTCAGCTTAAATTCTTGTTGTTTGTCTATTTTTATCTCAACAGAATTTTTTTTTGTAAACCATGTAAGGCAATGATCTCTCCTTTGTAAACATTTATAAAATGTAATATAATTTATTTAACAAATAATTATTGAGAGCCTATTATACACAAGGCACTTTGTTGGGCTTAACAGGGACTATAAGGTCAAATAAAAAACTGTTCTTATTTTTAATGTGCCTGCAATAAGAAAAGCGTTAAGACCTTTCCTGAGAATGAGCTGCTCTGGGCAAGGCAAACTGTGATCCAGGCTTTAGAAGAGGCAAGAAGCAAGAGCTAGGGAGAAACGGACAAGGGAGGAATTAATTTTCTGCTAAGAACTGGCAAAGGCTTCTTGAGGGTTGTGGCATTTTGATGTGGGCCTTTCAGAGTAGATAGAGTTGGCCAGGCAGAGCTGAGGAGTGCTCTAGGCAAAGGCAGCAGCATGGGTGTGTGCAGAGATGGGAAGTCCAGGGCAGTAGAAGAATTCGTGTGAGGTCTTCAGAGGTCTTCATCATCACCAGGGATAGGATTTTTCCAAAATGAGAAGGCTAATGGCACCTAGAAAATGTACTACAGTGCGGTAGACTCTAAACAAAAGGAAGGGTATCATTTCTGTGAAACTGCCAAAGCCACAAGAGTGATAAATTAGGCCGGAGGGAGGCAAGGCTTAATCCTCATTTGTTGAACATGTTAAAAACATGTGTGTCCACCACGTACATGTACACACAAACACACTCTAGGCACGCCACCTTATAGCAATTCTTCCTTTTTCAGCAACTGATGTACTCTTTGTCCTGGGTTTTAGTTTAGGTAGCTCCCTCTCATTACAGATTGACCAAGAAGCTGCAACTTATGTTTCTACCATAGAGTTTGTGGGAGTAAATACAAGAGGTGTGATGTCTATCTTCTGTGGGAAGAGCTCTGGAAGGCTTGCTCAGGAATCACCTTTATGTTTACCTGTAAACTGATACTTAAAGAATAATTGTCTAGCAATTGTGAGGAAGACTGATTGCCAAGTTATGACACTACCAGATAGAGCCAGCCAGGTGCTACTGCATAGCCATTCAACAAACAGTTACTCAGTGCTCACTGTCTACACAGGTATGAGGCGATGAAAATTGTGCCTGAGAAATGCCTAATAAGACAGAAATAAGAGCAACGCCATTTCTGTGTGTGAGAGAACAGGACTGGTCAATCTACTGATGGATTGCAGTCTCTCTCTTATACCCAGATGCCTATATGCATATACCCTTATACCTATATGCACGAAGAAGAGCTAGAAATAAAGGATATATTCTAGCACAAAAGGTATATTGAACCAAACATTAAAATATATGTGTGAGCCCAATTTTCACATTTCTAAGGCCAGAATTGTAGCAGCTGAAGTCAAGTAACTTCTGATCATCGGCACAGTTTTCATGAGTGTTCTCCATAACTCCCTAACTCAAGAAGACAGACACAAGGCCAGTTCTGGCATTTGGTTCATTACCAGTGGCCACAGATATACTTTGTTTTTCCGAGCAACAGGTGAGTTGTTCAACCATGCATTCCCTATGAACTGTGCATCTGTCTACCCTGGGGCCACCTAATGTCACAACCAACCAACCTTAGCCAACAGCACCACTGATGGCTAAACCACTTAGTGGTTTAACTTCCAATCTCTTCCTCACTGCACCTTCCTACAGAGGCAGATCATGCATATACCATGTGCCCAGTTTTTCTGTCTTTCCCCACCCTCTAGCCATTTACTGTCACTTCAGGCGGCCTTTTTTCACACTTCACTCTCTACTTCATTCCATGTAGAAAATGATCTCAGGAAAATCTCCATCCATTCCAACCATAAACCAAAAATTTATTTTATTCTTTAGCTCCTATTTGAGTCTCACCTTGTATTATAAAACACATTAAATATGTATCATTTCACTTGATTCTCCAAACAACCTTGTGAGATAGATATCACTTATCACAATTTACAGAGAAGACAAGTGCCTTTTGCCAGAGAGTTTAGCTAGTAAGTGAAAGAACAGGTCTACAAACCAAGGCCTCTTGATTCCCAAACACTTTGTCCTTCTAGGGTAAAACAATAGTACTAATGGTTCACCTGCTATAAATAAGAAAGGAGAATTTTTACATTTTGACATGAAATTAACATAAGAAACCAAAACTTCCAACAGCAATATCATGTAAAACTATTCAGAAGTCTCCTTCAGCATCTAGACAATGTTCTGACTTAGATAGCTTTTTCTCAAGAAGGGTGTCTAAGATTGATGTAATCAATGCTATTTTCTACTTATGGTAAATAATTCACTTAATAACTTTTGTTCTATCATTCATTGCAAATACAATATTTTAGTTTCATCATGTTGTACATGGAATAGCCTGGATAGTTAGTATTGCTTTGAACTCTACTACACATACTGCTATTCTTGCATTAATTTATTCAGCAAATGTCTATTAAATATTTTCTATAGTAAAGATGCTACACCGTACAGTATTAGGAATATCAAATTATGCCAGCACACTCTAAGTCGATCTATTTATAAGGTGTCATCCATGCTTAATTCAGGTATCATGTAAGTGATTCAAACTAAATGACAGGAATGAAGAGAACCCAATTATGGTTAAATTTTTTAAATAATAAAACCAATTGGCACATTTTTATGTATTTATAAGAATATTTCATACCATGGGAGCAGAATGGAGGAAAAGATGAAAGGGAAACAAATTTTAGTTTGTTTCCTTAAAGAAATATATGTTAGATTTTCTCATTCCTGCCTGCCCCATTCCTCTGTCTGCTGAACAGAATCAATGATAGCAGCAGCCGAGATCCCAGTGGACCCTCTGGCCAAATGCAGCTGCATGAGTAAGCCCAGGTAAAGACAACAAAGGAACTCCCCTGCCCAAATACAGATGTGTTAGTTTTAAATTGTTTAATTTAACTTTGTTGTTTAAATTTGTTGTTGTTAAATCACTGTTGTCTGCAGATGAGAAGTTGCAGGGTAGTTTGCTACACAACAATCGACAGCAGATAGAACAAAACAGAATTCCCTAAAGACTGCAGGGCCAGAAGAAAGAATTGAGTTGGTCAGGACAAAAGAGTGGATAACAGTACTGACTAGGATAAGCGTAGACGTAAGGCCAAGAGGGGGTTTCCATGAAGGAGTGTGAGGAGGGCATTCTGGGACAGCAGAAACAGAGTTTGTTCAGGAGCTTTTCCTGGGTATAAGAGACAGACTGCAACCAGAGGAAATACAGCAGATAAGGCTATGCATTAGGAATGAATTTCTCCATTCCATCATTTTCTCAGTAAACTGAGTAAAGATCTCAATTGCTTTCAATTGTTTATTATAAATGAAAATTTGCTTTGAGATTCATTTTAAATATGCATTCTCAGTAATTCTTTTTACTTTAGGGGCAGAGGATGTATAACGGATGATTTTCCTCTTAGCCATATGGAAGAGTTGGACAAATAAACTAAGTAAGATTCTAAGAAGAAGGAAGATTAAATACAGCTAGATTGTGATCCTAAGACAAAAATGAAGGAGCTAAGGCATGCAGACTAGCTGGTCAGTTATTTGCTGACACCTTAGTATTCTAGTGTAGATGGAAGACTGAATAGGAGGCCAAGAAAACAACAGAACAAGAAAGGCAGGAGCCATGATTAAGAATGAGTTGCTCTGTGCAATCATGTTGGGCGGGACAAAAAGAGAAAGTCAATTTTTGGACTTAAGAACTAGAAATTAAGAGGCAAATATGATCATAGCAAAGGAGTAAAAGTAGAAAGGAATCTGGAAAAGACAAAAAGGAAGTTGGTCACAACACTAACTCATCCATCGCAGAGAACCAGAGGAGTTGGCAGCAGATGAGGGAAAGGAAATCCGTGTGGCAGTGAGGAGCTCAGCAACTGGCACAAGAGAGAACTATGAAGTTGGAGAAAACTAAGTTAGGAAGGGCAACGAGCAGAAGAGAAGATGACTAAGAAGAGAAATTCTTAATAGTAAGGCAACAAGAATAAAACCAACGTGCTCTTAATAATATGTGTGTTGCATTGTATTAAATTCTTTGGAACACTTCCCATGAAACCCGATCCTCAGGCATGAAAATAACATGTCAAACCTCCCCATGACAGGTTACCTAAAAATAACTTCCAGGTACCAGGGGAAGCTGGTGAATAGGCTGGAGCTCAGTGATTTGTGGATCTAGATAGGCTTTTTAGATCCAGAAAGTACACAATCCAGCAATTCATTCCAAGTTAGAGAAGTATGTATGCCTGCTGCGGCCCCTCTCCAGGGCTACCAATGTCTGCTGCACTCTCACTCCTGGTAGTCAGCTGAGTAGTCTGGCATAGCTGGTTTTCAAAATGCAATTGTCACAATAAATGGATAGGTGCCCTCTGATGTCCCTTTGAGATCCAAAGTCCTAGGATCAGGGCCAGCTTTCTGGGCATGCAATCTGTGCATTTGCACAAGGCTCTGTGCTCCAGTGGGTCCTGCACTTGGTTTAATGCTCAGCTGCTACCATCTTAAAATTCTTGACAGTTTATTAGCAAGATCCCAGCATTTTCATCTTGCACTGTGCCCAAGGGCATGGGAACCCACCTCTTGCATCAGTGTGACCTGGATGTGAGACATGGAGTCAAAGGAGCTCATTTTGGAGCTTTACGATTTGACTGCCCCACTGGATTTCAGACTTGCATGGGGCCTGTAGTCCCTTTGTTTTGGCCAATTTCTCCCATTTGGAACAGCTGTATTTCCCAATGCCTGTACCCCCACTGTCTCTAAAATGTAACTAACTTGCTTTTGATTTTACAGGCTCATCGGCAGAAGGGACTTGCCTTGTCTTTGGTATGACTTTGGACTGTGGACTTTTGAGTTAATGCTAAAATTAGTTAAGACTTGGTGGGACTGTTGAGAAGGCATGATTGATTCTGAAATGTGAGGACATGAGATTTGGGAGGGGCCGGGGGTGGAATCTCATCTTGAATTGTAGCTCCCATAATTCTCACATGTTGTGGGAAGGACCCAATGGGAGATAACTGAATCATGGGGCAGTTTCCCCCACACTGTTCTAATGATAGTGAATAAGTCTCATGAGATCTGATGGTTTTGTAAGGGATTTCCTCTTTTACTTGGCTTTCATTCTCTCTTGTCTGCCACCATGTAGGACATGCCTTTCGCCTTCCACCATGATTGTGAGGCCTCCCCAGCCACGTGGAACTGTGAGTCCCTTAAACCTCTTTTTCTTTATAAATTACCCAGTCTCGGATATGTCTTTATCAGCAGTGTCAAAACAGTTTACTACACACTGAACATGACAAATTATGTAACTGGTCCTGCCTGGGATCTGTGTCCTGCACTAAAACTGAACAAGGACTGAATTGCCATCACTTGTGGGATATTTTCTGGACTTCTTTCCTTACAGTACAAAGTACCACACCAAATGTATAAAATCTCACAATGCAGCAATTGTCCAAGGCATCTTACTGCTTCTATCTTGACTGTGAAGAAGAGGGTACAATAACAACTCCCAACTCTCAGGGTGAGAAGGATGATTGAAAAGGAAATCCCTGTAGATGGATGAGATTTTTGGTGATCTCTGAAAGTTTCAATTAGGCTTTGCAGCATATTTCTAGAGTCAATTATCAGGAATATCAAGCCCATGCTATATCAAGGCCTTCATCACTTTCTAGATTCAACAAACTTTTTCCATAAATGGCTATAGAGTAAAATTTTAGGCTTTGTGGCACATGTGATCTTTGCTGCAGTGACAATGTGAAAGCAGACATAGACAATACCTAAACAGTTATGTCTGTATTCTGTTAAAAATTTAATTGCACAACCCAGGTACCAAGGACATTAACACTGGAAAAGAAACTTTTATACAGATTACAGACTTCCTATAAATTTTGTAAATTGTTTTGACTGTATCCATTAGTTACAAAATAATATCCAATATCACATATAGCATTAACTCAACATAACTCTTTGGTTCCCTTTAATCTTGAACACTTTCCGTATCATTCTTTATATTTATGACATTGATATTTTTAGAGGATAGTCATTTATTTTGTACACTGTCCCATCTTATGATGGCCCCTTCATTTTTGACATGGGTAATTTGTGTTTTTGATCAAAGTCCAATCCTGCCAGATATACACTGAATTAACAGTGTTTTGACAAAGCCAACATTTGGTCTTCATTCTGTTTCACATTTGTTTTCTATTTCAATAATTTCTACTGTGTGTTTATTGTTTCTTTCTACTTTATTCGGGGATAATCCAGTCTTTCCCTTTCAAACATATACAGATTTACCTTTTGTCATAGATCTATTCATTTATTATTGAGTTTATGTTATTATTTATTTTCACCTTAAATTATACATAATCAGAAAAAAATAATTCCAGTGATTTTATTACTGTTTTGCTTTGTTCTGAGGGGACTTCTTTTATGGCCCAGTATATGATTATTTTTGAAAAATGTGATGTTCAACAAATATAAGTTAGCTGAAACTTATTGACTGAGGTTTTTTGAATCATCTATGTCCTTCAAGAATCAGTTCATAAGAAATGGACCCTGAAGAATTTAGGTATAAATGGGCACCATATTTGCAACTTACTTTTTAACAATTCAGCGAAAAAAATATATATATGCATGTGTTTATTTCATTATTTTACACTATTTTAAAAACTTTTCTGTGAGTAAGAAATTATCCAAAATGTTTAAAAGTAAAGCCAAAAAATTAATATTAAAAATATTTTTAATTGCAAGGACCTGTGTTGAGCAGGATTTGGCCCATGAGTCAAAATTTGCCAACCCTGCTGTAGAGAAAGGAGGCATCTCATTGTATCATAGATTACAGTAAAAATCGGATGACCTGAAGTTTATTCCCTTGGTTACCTGTGTCACATAACTCAGACTGAGTCCTTTCTTCACTCGGTGTCTCAGTTTCTCTATCTGCTCTACAAAGCTTTTTTTTTTTTTCAATTTAGTATTAAATATATGGGAAGCCTTAGGAAAACTGTATAAACTGGCCTGGGAAGGGTTACTGGTCTCTCTTCATTCTGTCTCCTCCCCCATTTGCCACATACAATGCACTAAAATGCCTTATAAAATGAAATGGAGGGAAGACACAGAGAAGGCACGCAACAGGTTGAATAAATGATGAGGCATCAAGAAGATGAAAAGCAGCAGGATCTTTGAAGGAAAGATGTAGACCATAAAATGGGGCAGCAAATTGAAAAGACGAAGATTGGAATGAAAAGAGTTTGAAGCCAAACCACAGAGAATTCAACCCAATGAGATCACTAGACTGAGGTAGGAAAAGAAACATCATGATATACTTCCAAATGTGTTTCCAGTCTCTGCTCATTAGGAATAAAATCTCTACCATTGTGTATTCCTTACACCCACAGATAATTTGATACCCACTCTGGGGTAAATCTGAATATCTTAGCTTTCCCTAAGAAAAGACGTTGCCCTCAGATTGCTGACAACCTGCAGAAATTCACACAAGAAGAGAGGAATGCTGCCTGGGTGTTGACTCCTGGAGATGCTGTCTCTAGCACATTATGTTTCACAGCATTTATTAATACCATTATTGGCCCAAGTTACCCACATCACTTGCTATTCCTGTAATCCTTTAAAGGCTTGCACAAGGAAACAAAGAACATACCCATGGATATTTTTTAAATGCCTACAATATTTTCTGCTTGACATATGAAGGTTATCCAAACCATGGTCTACATTAAAAACAAATAAAGCTGAGTCTCACCTTATTTATTTATATCCAGCCCACTATAAAAACAAGGCCTCTCTCACCTGTCTCACATTGTTGGGGTTGAAAGGGTCACCAAAAATCACTGAATGTGAAAAATTAACTCCAGAGAGAGTATGTACTTTGACTAATGTTCCAGAACTAAATGGAATTGGTAGCAAGCTGCAATGGTTTTAATGTGCCCCACAAAAGTTTATGTGTTGGAAACCTAATCTCTTTGCCCTCATGAAAGGAGTAGTGGAATAATGTTGCTATCACTGCAGCGGGTTTATTATTGCAGGAGTGGCTTTGTTTTAAAAGCAAATTCCCTTGGCTCTGTTTTTCTTCATCTTTCCCCTTCTACCATGTTATGATGCAGCATGAAGGCCTTCACCAAGTGCAGGTGCCATGCTCTTCCCAGCCTTTAGAACTGTGAGCTGAATAAACTTCTTTTCTTTATAAATTACTCCATCCGTCATATGGTGTTATAGCAAAAGAGAATGGACTAAGACATGGGACAAAGATTCAGTAGGCTTATTAAATTATCTATGTAACTACAGAGAGCTAGCGAACCAATTTCAGCTTAGGGGAAACAGGAAATTCGGAAACAGGAAGCCCAGAGAAAAATGGCACTGGACTGTGACTCCTATTGCCTCAGGTTAGATCATCTGACTTCACAAGGTAAAAGCTTCTGCACACAAACCTGCTTCAGCCCTTTTCCACCAATGGGACACCCTTGCTATGTAGAGTAGTGCAAAACTCTGTCATTTACTTGTCATGGGACATTGGGTAAGTCACTCTGTATTAGTCCATCGTTTTGCTATAAAGAAATACCTGAGGCTGGGTAATTTATAAAGAAAAGAGGTTTAATTGGCTTATGGTTCTGCATGCTGTACAAGCATGGCACTGGCATCTTCTCACTTCTGGTGAGGCCTCAGAGAGCTTTTACTTATGATGGAAGCTGAAGCAGGAACAAGCATGTCATATGGTGAGAGAGGAAGCAAGAGAGAGAGCAAGAGGAGGAGGTCAGGCTCTTTTAAACAATCAGCTCTTGCGTGAACTCACTCATCACCAAGGGGATGGTGCTAAGCTCTTCATGAGATCAGACCCCACGATCCAGCGACTTCCCACCAGGCCCCACCTCCAACAGTGTGAATCACATTTCAACATGAGATTTGGAGGGGACGGACATCCCAACTATATCACACGTGAACATTCTCAGCCTCAGCAGTCTTATCAGAAGAATGAGGATAACCCAGTAAACTCAAGCCTAAGTGATGGAGGTGTGGAAATGCTTGACAGACAGAGTTGTTAAAGGGGAAGCTATGTCATCATAAAAGGGAATGAGCTGATGACTATGACCATGTTCTTTTCAGGAGACACAGTGAGGTGCACTTAAGCAGATGTGATTGGTGCTTCCAAACCAACTCGTTTGACTGCCAACACCAACTACTCTCTTCCTGAGGTGATCTCTGGCCATTGTAGCCCACATGGACCACATGGAGCAGACTAGGGAGTTAATGTATCCCTAGAAGCAGTCCTCAACCGTGACTGAAAACTCCAGCTTCCTCATCCTGGGATAGGAGCAGGCACAACAACTCTGAAGCATGTTGCATAGTGTCCCCCTGGCAGAACCAAACCTCAGCTGTACACAGCAGTGACCTACTTAGCATCACACTCTTTAATAGTTTTCTCTTTTTTTCCTAACTCACCTCCCTACTCCCTGCTGCTGTTTCCTGGAAGCACTTCCCACATAAACTATTTACACTCAAATCCTTATCTTAGAGTCTGTTACTGGGTACTTAGCCAACCTAAGATAGCCAAGTAGAAATACCCAGCAGGTAGTCTAATATCCAAGTCTGGGAGTTGTGTCAGCAGGACAAACTGTATCTGCAAGTTGTTGTGCATTCATATTTGCTATGTGGAAAAGAGTGGTTAGAGTGAGTTTAAATAAAAATTTTAAAGTGAGGCAGAAGCTGCTAAGACAAGAGAGAATTTGAGGAAGAAATATTTCCACAGAGGCCCAAAAAATCAGCAAAAGAAGATGATAACAAGAACGCCCCTTATAATAAACAAGGAATATAGGAGACAGAAAAAAAAGCTACAATGAAACCTGTTTTACTTCTAGCACACTTATGTCTTATCAGGATATACACAGAGAGCACAAACGTCCTATAAAAGATAAAGAAGCATGTCCCTTTGGCAGTCTATCAGTTGCACTCAGCATCTTCAGGAGAGAATAGCGAGGGCATCTGATTTCCTATCCAGTATTGCCCCCTCCTAGAACTCACAGATGCAAGTTGATAACTCCTTTTTTATAACTTAAGGCTGCAGCTGTCAGGAAAGAGAGGGAGACAGGCTCAACCACTCTCAGTGGCCAGAAATCAGGTAATGTGATTATTTCACCTCCTTCCACTAGGTATTTCAGCAAATCATAAATGTATAATGACAGCTACATTTACTTCTAATTCTGGACATGAGTATTACTAGTTTTTCAGTATTGCTAACTGTCAAGACATACTATAAATTGTCCCCTTGACCCACCTGATATTCAAAATATCCTACTGGCATTTAATCTCTTGTGTGATGCTCTCCCCTTGAGTGTAGGCAGGACCTGTGACTTGCTTCTAACCAACTGAGTATGATGAAGTTGATAGAATATATGTAATTACATTACATAAGATTCTAATGTCTTTCTTGCAAGCAAAGTTTCACCCTTATGGCCTCTGAGGGAGCAAGTGGGTATGTTGAGAAGAAAGAGTGACCTCCAGCTAACAACCAGCAAGAAATGGAGGCCCTCAACCTAACGTGCCACAAGGAACTGAATTCTACCAACGACCACATGAGCTTGGAAGCAGATCCTTCCCCAATTGAGTTTCAGGTGAGACTGCAGCTCCATTTAACATTATGGTTTCAGCCTCATGAAGCCAAGGACTAGAAGAGCCAGCTATGGTACACTCAAACTCCGGATGTACAGAAACTAATAAGTGTGTGTTGGTTTAAACTGCTAAAGGTGAGATGATAAATGTGTGTTGTTTTAAGCTACTAAGTGTGTGCTAATATTGTTACACAGCAATAGCTAAATAATACGCTAACTATAATCTTGTATTGACTTACTGGCTTTTAGTCCTAAGAATTTTGCTATTTATATTGAATACTTTTAAACCAATAAACCATGTGGTTTGCAAATTATTGGATTTGTCATTGCCTTTTTGAAATACAGGCTACCAAATCAGCCAAAAAGTTTCCACCGACACACAATTCCTTGGGTGAGTGATAAGAGAGACCCTGGTAATAGCCAGATATGAGGAATAACTTGACAAGTCTTACTGTGCCCCTGTAGGTCAGAATCAACCTCCAAACAGAAGGAAATATTTGGTGCTGTGAGCTCCATTTCCCTCACACTTGAGCTTCAGGAGAAATTTGAGAAAGCCAAGTGTGAGTAATGACTAGCTAAAGAGCCATGATTTGCAAATGTTCAACATTATTAATCAACAGGGAAATGCAAATTAAAACCACAATGAGATACCACCATACTCCTGCAAGAATGGCCATAATTCACATATACACCATGGAATACTATGCAGCCATAAAAAAGAATGAGTTCATGTCCTTTGCAGGGACATGGATGAAGCTGGAAACCATCATTCTCAGCAAAGTATCACAAGGACAGAAAAACAAACACCACATGTTCTCACTCATAAGCAGGAATTGAACAATGAGAACACATGGACACAGGGAGGTGAACATCACACACCAGGGCCTGTTGGGGGTTGGAGGACTGGGGGAGGGATAGTGTTAGGAGAAATACCTAATGTAAATGATGAGTTGATGGGTGCAGCAAACCAACATGGCACATGTATACCCATGTAACAAACCTGCACATTGTGGACATGTACCCTAGAACTTAAAGTATAATGATTTTTTTTTTTTAAAAAAGAATGGCCATAATTAAAAAGTCAAAAAACAATAGATATTGGCATGGATACGGTGAAAAGGGAACACTTTTATACTGCTGGTGGGAGTGTAAATTAGTTCAACCACTATGGAAAACAGTATGAGATGCCTTAAAGAACTAAAAGTAGAACTATCATTTAATCCAGCAATCACACTACTGGCTATCTACCCAAAGGAAAAGAAGACATTATATGAAAAAGACACATGCACACTCATGTTTAAGGCAGCACAGTTCATAGCTGCAAAGATATGGAACCGACCTAAATGCCCATCAACCAACGAATAGATAAAGAAAATACGGTATATATACACCATGGAATACTACTCAGCCATAAAAAGGAAGGAAATAATGTCTTTTGCAACAACTTGAAGAGAGCTGGAGGCCACTATCTTAAGTAACTCAGAAATAGAAAACAAAATATTGTATGTTCTCACTTATAAGTGGGAGCTAAGTTATGAGGACACAAAGGCATAAGAACAATATAACGGACTTTAGGGACTCAGGGATGAGAAGGTTGGGAGGGGGTGAGGGATAAAAGACTATGTATTGGTTATACTGTACACTGCTTGGGCAATGGGTGGACTAAAATCTCAGAAGTAACTGCTAAAGAACATATCCAAGTGATACGGTTTGGCTGTGACCCCACCCAAATCTCATCTTGAATTTCAATGTGTTGTGGGAGGGACCTGATGGGAGGTAATTGAGTCATGGGGCCAGGTCTTTCCCGTGCTGTTCTTGTGATAGTAAATAAGTTTCATGAGATCTGATGGTTATAAAAAGGGGAGTTCCCCTGCACAAGTGCTCCTCTCTTTGCCTGCCACCATCCATGTAAGATGTGACTTGCTCCTCCTTGCTTTCCACCATGATTGTGAGGCTTCCCCAGCCACATGGAACTGTACGTAAGTCCAATTAAACCTCTTTCTTTTGTATATTGCCAGTCTCGGGTATGTCTTTTTCAGCAGCATGAAAACAGACTAATACACCATGTAACCAAAAACCACCTGCACCGCACCCCAAAAACTACTGAAATTTAAAAAAAAAATTTAAGAGCTATGATTTGAAACAAAAAGGGCATGAGATTTAAAAAAAAAAAGAATTATGTTCTTGAAAAATTATTGAGACTACAGAGCACTGACCAAGACCCAGGAGAATTCAGGACTCCAGTCTGCATATAAACCTATCTGATAAAGGGTAGTCGTTAAACAATTGGCAAGAGCAACAACATTATGCTAACTGGCATAATACCCTTGATAATGAAAGAAGGGAGTTATACAATTTATTATGAAATGACTTTACTGGAATCCGTTGTAACCACACACAGAGCCGAGAGGAGCATATGAAACAGGTCTTACTCTATAGTCAAGTCATATCATCTAACACATAACAGTTGATGTGCCTTGGGGTAGGCGGTAGTTGGTGTCTCAGGAGTGACTTCTTTCCTTCCATAAAGTCATTCTGCCCAACTCCTTTACAATCGTGGGTTCTTTAACATTGGCTCATGAAACATCCTCTCACAGTCACCTGTCTCATGGCTGGCAAGTCCTGTGAGAACTCTCCTCTCACAGGACCCCACAGTCCCTTTAGCTTTTCTATGTGCCCCTCCAGCGACCCCCCTTTTTTTGTTTCAGCCTCCAACGTGATTGTTAGTTATTCGGGTCCATATGCGTCCTCTATGGATGAGGAGCAAGGAATCAGGGTGTCGGGAAAGTGTGAGAAAGAGTTAGAAGAGGGTCTCTCTTTCATTATATCTCTGAGAGGCTGAGATCTCTCACAGCTAGAGGTAGTCTCCTTGCAGAGATGTTACTCCTCTGCCCAAACAGGATGCACTTCTCTTACCCTGGGCTTCCCCTCTGTGAGCCACGCATCATGCCATGGAGACCACTGGAGGTTGGTGGAAGCAAAAGGCCATCCTCTACCTAACCTAACTCTTGAAGCTTGTCCAAAGGATACATTCTACTTCTTCCCCACCACAGACACAGAATACTGGGGATTCTTACTGTGTAGCATGCAGCATCCAGCCACTTGCAGAGTGTCCACTCAGTTTGTGCTCACCTTATTTCATGGATTGGCCAAAGAGATAAAGGATTTCCTGTGAGTGTTCCCGTATGGAAATACCCATTCTTTTTCATTTCAGATCTCCATCATCCCACACTCAATTCAGAGGAAATCAGACCTTATTCTCCCTTTCCTCAACTTTCATCCAAGAAGTACCCTTCTCCTCATGTTCAGCCTACCACCCACTCCTGGATAGGGAACAAGAAGGAAGAGGCAGATCCTCGTCGGTCTCCTCTAGAGTACAACCAATGGAGCATCTCATGGTCAGTGAGATGAGTTCCTTTCCCTCCAGTTTCTTGATGGATTGAAGGTCATTGCTCTAAGGTCCTGTTATGGACTAAATTTTGACCCCCTAAAAGTCATATGTTGAAGCCCTAACCTCTGATGTGACTATATTTGGACACAGGATCTTTAAAAAGGTAATAAATTAAATGAGGTCATAAGGGTGGGCCCCAAACCTAATAGGACTGCTGTCCTTACACAAAGAAGAAACACCAGGGGTGAGCATGCACAGAGAAAAGGCTATGTGAGGACACAGCAAGAATATGGCCATCTGCAAGCCAAGCAGAGAGACCTCAGGAGAGAGCTAACCAGCCAACATCTTAATCTTGGACTTCTAGCCTCCAGAATGGTGAAAAAATAAATTTGTGTTGTTTAAGCCATTTAGACTGTTGGTATTTTGTTATAGCAGCCCTGGCAAACAAACAGAGGTCCAGTTGAATTTTACAAACTGGCAAGGATCCTGACTGGTCTACTAGCTGACAGGAGATCTCTCCAGATGTCAGGGATCTTAGGCCCACCTGGGACCCCCAGGTTTCAAAACAAGACCCAATCTCTACCCAGAAGCTTCTGGCATTACCCCTAGATGATGTGTAAGTATTTTTTCTATTGCAAAATTTGTGCGCTGGGCTGTCAGATAGCTAACTTATACGGTTTGGAATTTACCTCTCAGCTCAGTAGCATAAGGGAGGTCTTTGTTTTCTCCCCCAAAATGAACGTCAAAGATCCTACCAGAACCTTCAGCAAAGCATAATGAATCCAGATACTTGGTTCCTAATAGCAGCAGATATATGCCCTGGGAGACCCATATTTGGACTTCACTGTCTTTTCTACTCCAGATGTAAATTTTCTAGGTTATTATTAAAGTAAGGTTGTGGATTCTCTTGAGGGTGATATAAAATAATCATAGATATTTTAATCCCTCTGAATTTAAGTATTTCCCATTGAAACAGAGCCCCTTTTTCTCTCTCACTTGCTTATAATGACTCAAAAGGGAACCAGTGAACTGAAATTTTTCTTAACCAAATCTACAAAGTGTAAGCTTTCTTGTCCTACAGGGAAAAGCCTGCACATACTAAAGTTATCTAGGTTATCTTGGAAAGTTTTAGCTGTCCAGTTCCCAGGACAAGAATTCAAAGCTTTCTAACTCTAAAGCTTTCTTATTCTGAATAATTTCTAAATGGGCTTCCTTTGTAAGCAATAGTTTGTACTGACTCAATTGCTTACAAGGGTCACATTTTGACTAGACATTTCCTGCCTTTGGGCTAATGAATTACATCATAATTCAATTTGAATGCCTCAAAGTCATCAGCCAGCACCCTCAGCATTGTGGGGCAGTACTTCTAAGGCAATAGTAGTTACTGTCTGAGAGCTGAATTTTTTCTGCAGAATGCACCATCAATAAATGATTTTTATTTGCCTTCCCTAAAGCAAGGCTTTTGTGACGTTGAATTTGTAAGTTGTATTTTCCATCTCACAAAAGATTTCACAAGGAAGTAGAGTTTGGGGATTGCTTCTCTGCTCTTGTGCATCCCACAAATCCTCACCCACATCCTGACTCCTCAACAGGTCACCGTGTTAAGAGTTGGTAGGAAGAAACCCTTTCCTTTAGGATTTTTCCTCTTCTCTATACCCCATGGCCACCTAGTGTAATCAAGCCCCTTTACTTTCTTCCCTCTGGGCTCTTCTTAGGTTTTCCTTACCATTCAATTCAACTTGTTTCCAAGTGAAGGGAAGAGGATGGGGAATGAGGCTTCCCAAGGATATGTCCAGTATCTTTATGATACTGAGACCTTTCCAAGTGCTGTCATTTGAATGTGTCCCCCAAAGTTTGTGTGTTAGAAACTTAATCTCCAATGCAACAGTGTTGGGAGGTGGGGCCTAATGAGAGGTGATTAAGTCACGAGGGCTCTGTCATCATGTATGGATTAATGTCATTATTGTGGGAGTGAATTAATTATCTCAAGAGTGGGCTTGTTATAAAAGCAAGTTCAGCTCTCTCTCTCTCTCTCTCACTCGCTCTCACCTTCCACCATGAGATCACACAGCAAGAAGGCTCTTGCCAGATGCTGACACCTTGACTTTCTAGCCTCCAGAACCATGAGCCAAACACATTTATCTTTGTTATAAATTGCTTGGTCTGTGGTATTCTCTCATAGCAGCATCAAACTGACCTACACACTGAGCACCTAGATCAGACTCCTCTTAGAATATCTCCTGAGTAGCATCATGCTACAATTCTCTACCTCTTTCTCCACTGTGAGTCAGTACCAAATGCTGTCTCTCTTCCTTATTCTAGCCATGACTCTGGATGGAGAAATAAGATTAAAACACACACACACACGCGCAACTTACTGGAATTTAT
The DNA here is from genome assembly GCF_000001405.40 of Homo sapiens. NCBI lineage: Eukaryota > Metazoa > Chordata > Mammalia > Primates > Hominidae > Homo > Homo sapiens. The sequence continues at coordinate 28,771,042 of NC_000021.9, forward strand.
AGAGCAGTTACTTCATGCCAGACACTGTGATAAGTACTTCAGAAACATTACATCAATTAATCCTCACAAACAACTGTTACTCCCATTTTATAGGCAAGGATATTGAGACACAGTGACCACACAAATAGCAAGTGGCAAGCCAAGGTTTGAATCCCAGTTTGAGGTCACCACTGTGCTCTGTGAACAGGACTTATGATGGCCAAGTACTAATATTACAATATTGGAATTTATACTCTCTGGAGTTACGATTCAGGGAGAGATGATTTGGAAGTATAAAGTCAGATATTTTCATATTAAATCTAGGTCAAATGTTCTCAACCAGAGGTTATTTGCATCACTCTCCCACCACCCTGACCAGGAGACATTTGGTAATGCCCAGAGACATGTTTGGTTGTCACAACTGGGGACTGCTACTGGCACCTAGTGGGTACAGGCTAGGGGTGCCGTGAAAAATTCCATAATGCACAAGATGCACCACCCCCCCCCGCCAAAGAATTGCCTACTCCAAAATGTCCACAGTGCTGTGATCCAAACACCACCTCTAGGGGTTTGGTTTAGTTGCCATATTTTCCTCTCCCCTACCCATTCTTCTCTTTGGATTTTAATTCTCTGTGTCCATTTTAACAGTCTTGTTTTAGGTTAATCTTTTACTATGACTTTCCAAGGTCCTTTTAGGAAGCAAGGGGAGTGTGACTGAAGGAAAAACTGACATTCAAAAAATCTCCTGAGAAATAGCACCCTGCTTGGAACAAAATCCTCTGTGAACACTATTTTGGGAACAGTGACCAAACAAGCCAGTCGTCTGCCACTTACACATCCAATCCTGCTTACTACCACTGCTTCCTGGAATCCTGTCCCAAGAAAGGGGCTAGGGGTGAGGAGAGTGGTTACCCTGGAACATACCATTTCTATGAGAAATCTTAAAAGAAAAAAAAAAATGAAGACAACAAACCTGTAACTTGATGCCAGCCTGAAATCCTCTTCACTAATCATAAGTCAGAGAAAGTGAAATTATTTCCATCACACTCATACAGCATGTTCTCTGGGGTTTGCAGGAACAGAAGAGACAATGTGGAGAAAATGCATCGTCTGTGGTTCTGAAATCAAAGCCTAATTAGTCAGAAGACAAATCCCATGGGCTTCAGTACTAAAACCTATGTTTCAACCATGCCTATGTTGGGAAAGTCCTAAAAGTCAAAGAATGATAAGGCAACTTTAGTGGAGAACATCTTTGTTTACATTACAGGACTCACATGTAAACTTTGAAAGCATGCAATCAAGTGAACAAAATATTTTAATTGGCCTTTAAAATATTATTATAAGAGCAAGACCAACTTGTTTAAAGTATTGCCTGGCTGGTCTCTGGTTTTGGCAGCTCATTATACTGTCTTAATGCCGTAAGATTTATTAATGGTCACATGCATTTCTCTGAAAAGCATTCCACATTTTATCCAATTCTGGGTAAAGGTTATTTATACCTTAGAATGCTCTTAATTGCTTCACATTAAAGAAAAATATGGAATAAGTTATAAGTATTGCCTCATTTAATGTATTTTCAAATTATAGCGTTTTGGCAAGTTTTGCTCATTGACTTCTTTAAGCTTGGGATATCTTTTATCCCTTTTACATTCTCTCAAAATTTTCCTTATCACTCAAAAGCTAATTCAGATACCAATTCCTCCATTAATCTGTTCCTGACTCCCACATCAGCATTAACCAAATGTGCTTCTCTGCTCCCAACCATATTGCTTCTGTATTCACTAGGCATATGTAACAATCATTTTGCTCTACATTATATTTGTCTCTGTCTTTCTTCTTTAATTAAAGTAATTAAAGTACCTTCAGTGGGAAAGACAGCATGTTATTCATTTTGCATCTGAGGAAACTGATAGGGTGTCTGGAATTAGCATCCAATAACGATTGATTAAATTACATGTAATCATATGAGTTTTATCAAATAAAAATTGCTTCAAGTTTGTTCTTTTGGTTTGTTTGAAGCGGTTTGCTCATTTTAATAATTACATGAGACCCAAGCCTCAATCTCTTAGAACAGGTAGCTCTAGTGCCTCTCCTGCTCTAGACTTAATTTTGTTTCCATTGGTGCCAGGATATGAACAAAACATTTTCTGATGCAAATATAGTCTCAGATTGGGACCACACCAAATACCACAGTCCAAGTAGGTGAATAATGCACTGAATATTTGGCCTGGTTTGGCTGATTGCAGGCAAGCTAGCTAATAATTAATTAAAGTAGGATCTTCTGTATTTACTTCATTTCAAAACTCCTTGACACTCTCTCACTCGGCAACTCTCATTATCAACTAATGACATTTAAACACCTAATACATACTAGGCATCTTTAACAACTAGAAATACAGAGCTCAGTAAAGACACAGAACTGACTTCATATGAACAAATGTAGAAACATATTAATAGAAGATTCTCTCTTTTAATATCTAAAAGATTGAAAAGATTGTTTAACAGAAAATATTGACCTAGAATGTGACTTGAGCAGGCAAGTAGTTTGTTTCCAAGAGAAACAGGTACTCTCCTAGTAATTGCATTTTAAATATACACGATGTGCCACTGAGATCCCATAAATAATGCAGACCAAGGTCTCTAGGCCATGCATGGGAAGAGACTTGCAAAGATTAATTCAAAGACAAGGATCATCTCTGGGAAAATCCCAGCTGCAATGCTCTACTGGTATTCTGCATCAGATTCTCCATGGTTTCTACCTGAAAGCCAGAACCTCACCAATCTAGTTTGATTTTGTTTTCTTATGGCCTGATACTTGATGTCCTGTAGCAGGAAAACTGCTCCCAAGCTGCAATCTGTGGCTTGAATTCTGCTTGCAAATATCAAGAATGGTACAAGTCTTTCTGAAGCTGTGAGTTTATTTTCACAAAGGAGGAAATAAGCCACAATGTAAGAATAGATCCCAAGTTTTCCTTATCATTTGCAATTCTTACACCTGCAACACTGGCTGGAAACCCAGAGACATGGGTTTTGGTTCTGTTTAGGCTTTTCACAAGTTGTATGAGCTTGGGCAAACTACTTAACTTCTCAAACCCAGTTATCTTATCTTCAAAATAAAAGAGATTGACAAGGTTATCTCTAAGATACACTCCAAATCTGGAGGCCTATGACTATTTGGTTTTTAAGTTCAGCTGTCTCACGTTTCTCCTGGAACATATTGTCAGGATATCTGGAGAATCAAGCATACCTACTAAAAACTGTTACCAATATTAAGACATGCCCATAAAAGCCCGGTGTGGTGGCTTCCACCTGTAATCCCAGCATTCTGGGGGCTAAGGTGGGAGGATCACTGAGGCCAGGAGTTCAAGACCAGGCTGGGCAACATGGTGAGACACTGTCTCCACAAAAAGTTTAAAAATTAGCCAGGTGTGGTGGCACATGCCTACAGTCCCAGTTACTCAAGAGGCTAAGGCAGGTGGATCACTTGAGCCCAGGAGTTCGAGGTTACAATGTGCTATGATCATGCCACTGTACTCCAGCCTGGGTGACAAAGCAAAACCCTGCTTCTAAAAAAAAAGAAAAAAGAAATGCCCATATACAGAACTATTCAGACTTCCCTTGAAATATTGTAAATTAAATTAGCAAATTAAATTTCTTATTCCTTCTCTCTAGTGATATGATGATCTCATAAAAACCCTACCAAGGTCACTAAGAGTAGAAATATTTTCCTATTTCAAATCTATTTTTGAATACGTAAGTATTATTTCTTTTGAATCTACATTATGTATTCCTGAGTAGTATGTAGCAATTAAAAGATGAGCATCTTTGTAATATTTATTTAATTTTGAAAAGATTATCTCTTCAACTTATCTTCAAGATGCATCTAAATTTAGATCCATCTTGTTTTTAATAATTTCATGAGGAAAACCTGGCAGAAAAGAACCCTATAAGTGGAAACTAATACATTCCAGAAAGAAAGGACTTTCCTTCAAAATGGAAAAATTTACAGTATAAGGAAGGAGGCCCTTCAGGCAAAACACATCTCAAATTCCTTTTATTCGGTTTTCATTTAATATTTTGCATACTTGAAGAAATGAAAGTAACATTAGAGATAATCTTATGCCACCCTCTTATTTTGGAGGTTAGGAAAATCAAAGCCATGATTTATGGCTGGAGCAAATGGGTGACTGATATTGGCATTTACTGAAATTGAAAGCTCTAGAGATGATCATTTACTGAAATTGAGAGCTCTAGAAATGATGTATAGGTGAGGAGGCAGACAGAGTGAAGGAAGAGGAGAAATGATGAGTCAAGAGTTTGAACTTGTTGAGACTGAGATGCCTGCAGAACATTCAGGAAAACAAAGTCCAGAAAAGAAATGGATATACAGGTCTTGAGCTGAGGAGAATTTAAAACGTGTGTGTGTGTGTACATAAAATATTGAAATATACACACATGTGTAAAAGTATCACTATGTAAATCGTAAGCTTTAGCCATAGCCATGAATGATAGATTGATAGAAAGAATGTAAAGGAGACAAAGGGAGAACTATCCAAGTGTCAGAAGAAAAACCCAGAATGAGGCTCCATGGAAGTCAAAAAATAATGCTTTTTTTCCCCCAACAATGTCAAATTCTTCTGAGAAGTTCAACAAGAAAGACAGTAAAAGGTACCTGAATTTAAGGTCCTAAAAGGTCATTGTTGACAATAACATGAGTTGTTTCAGTGGAGTGATGGGTACTGAAGCCAGATTATAAAAGATTAAATAAATGGTGAGTGAGAGAGAAGAAAATGGAGACTAAGTGTACACAACCCTTTCAAGTTGTTATTTAAGAGAAAATAAATTAGAGAGCAAAGTGAAGTAAATGGAGGATTTTATTAAGATGGGCGTGACTGTTAAAATGCCATTGGAAAGGATTCAGTAGAGTGGTGGAAATTGGAGAGGTGAGGGTAAAAAAAAAAGAGGGAAGACAAAATATGCAATGGCCTTTAACAGAAATTGGCAGAAAAGGATCCTGCAGAGGAGTTATAGGTTTTAACCCCTTAAGTTCTTAAAGGGAATGGGTCCCTTTTTAATTCAAGGAATGGGGAGAAAAGTCTAGCAGACAGGCAGCGTCAAGAAGAATTTGTAGACTTCTGGGAGTTTCAATGGCAATGCCTCAAGCCTGGGAACAGGGTAAGCAGCCCTAATTAGGATTTCTTCTCAAAACTTGAAGCATGAAGAAAACATGAAAGAATCTCTTGTGCCTTCTATAGGCAACCCAGCTGAAGTCAAGACATCTTTTAACATTAAGAGTGGATGCCACAGAGCCAGTGGCTTATCTGCCTGATGAATCAGTTGCACCAGCCCAGAATGAGGTGCAATTCAAAAAATTCTTGCCCCACTAGTAGGCTGCTGTGTATAATCCTATTCTGAGAGAGGCCCACGCAAGTGTGGTGAGAGTAGGAGAAAGGCTGTGGACTGTGGTTGTATTAGTCATGGGTCTCTAGAGGAACAGGACTAATAGCATAGATGTATATATGAAGGGGAGTTTATTAAGGAGTATTGACTCACACGATCACAAGGTGAAGTCCCACAATGGGCCATCTGCAAGCTGAGGAGAAGGAAGCCAGTCTGAGTCCCAAAACCTCAAAAGTAGGGAAGCCGACAGTGCAGCCTTCAGTCTGTGGCTAAAGGCCTGAGAGTCCCTGGCAAACCACTGGTGTAAGTCCAAGAGTCCAAAAGCTGAAGAACTTGGAGTCCAATGTTCAAGGGCAGGAAGCATCCAGCACGGGAGAAGGATGAAGGCTGGAAGACTCAGGCAATCTAGTCCTTCCACGTTCTTCTGCCTGCTTTTATCCTAGCTGCTCTGGCAGCTGATTAGATGGTACCCTCCCAGATTGAGGGTGGGCCTGCCTCTCCCAGGCCACTGACTCAAAAGTTAATCTCCTTTGGCAACACCCTCACAGACACACCCAGAACAATACTTTATTCATTCTTCAATCCAATCAAGTTGACACTCAATATTAACCATCACAGTGGTTATTCTATGTATTATTGAACATGTTTTTCACTAAAATGTGTTCATTCAGTTTTCCTTAAGCATTAAGTAATCCATTAGAATGTTTTTGATGCAAGTCACAGACTATCCAATTTGAAGTAGTTCAAACACTAAGAAGGCTTATGATATGGCAATGAAGCAGCAAAGCAATATCATCAAGAACCCTTGTGCCTTCTCTATTTCAGTTTTGTCATCTTTAGAATGTCATGTGACCTCTTTACAGTCCAAACATGGTATTGGCAGCATCAGCCAACAACTGCAGACACAAAAATACCCAGCAAAGAGAAGGTGAATTTCTTCCTGTATCTCAATTGCTATTAGCAAGGAAGTTTCCAGAAGCTCCCAAAATTGACTTCTCCTCAGGTCTTATTGGCTAGATGTAGTCACATGCCCATCCCTAAATCAATGTCTACAAAGGAAATGAGTCCACCATGATTGCCTTAGCCCAAACATAATTCACTCTCTGGGGTCCAGAGAGGTTGTCACTTACCCTGAACTCATGACAAGGTGACACCAGGATGAAATCAAGTCTCTGCCCTCAAGGAAAAGGGGATGAAATGGCTTAGGATAGACCAGCAACTGTCACAGCAGAATTAAAGAACACGTTTGGCAAGAGGAGGAGATCTGGTCACAAATGAAGGACCTTTGTTGTTAGAATAAAAAACATTCTTGTCCTCCAAAAGATTAAAGATAAGGTCATCAAACAGTGTTTGATTTCAGAGATATCTTCAAAGCCTAGCTAGTGAATTCATTTATTTATTAAACAAAGTTAATGGGATATTTGTATCTATGAGACATCAATAAAGTTCTAAAGAAAATTTCCTAAATTTAAATAACAGATTTACTTATAAGCAAGTCTTCCAAAATCCCATGAGAACCTTTACTTTAAAAAATAAATGTTTACCCTTGAAAACATTCTCAGTAGTAGAAAAGAATTGTCATAAATTTTTTGGTGTTACATTTTTAATTGACAAATATACATATTTATGGTGGACAACATGATGTTGTGAAATTTGTATACAATGAGAAATGGCTCAGCTTTTATATAACCACACTCACCTCTTTACCCCACCCATTTGTACACTCCCAGCAACTATTAGGCTATCCTCCAATTCTAAAATTTTGTCAAAATGTTATATAAGTGGGATCATACAGTATTTAACCTTTAGGGGTTGGCTTTTTTCTATCAGCCTAATTCCCTGGAGATTCATCCAAGTTGTCGAATGTATGAGTCTTCCATTTCTTTTTATTGCTGGGTAGTATTCCATGGTATGGATGTGTCATGGTTTAACTATTCGTTTGCTGAAGGCAAACCAAGCTTTTATACACATTCATCAACATGTTTTTATATGAACATGTTTCAATATATCTGCAACCAATGTCCAAAAGTGCAACTGCTGGGTCCTATGGCAATTGCAGGTTAGTTTTATAAGTAAGAGACTACGAAACTTCTTCAGAGTGGTTGTCCCATTTTATATTCCCACCAGCTATGTAGAAGTGGTCAAGGTTCTCTGCATCCTTGCCAGCATTAGGTTTCATTACCATATTTTAGCCATCCAGATAGGTATGTGCTAGTATCTCACTGTAGTTTCTAGTTGCATTTTCCCAGTGGCTAACAATGAATATCTTTTCACGTGCTTTTTGCCGTCTTATATCTTCTTCATTGAAGTGTTTATTCATGCCTTTTGCCCTTTACTAATTAAATTTTTTACCTGACTTTTTTCTTCATATATTGGGGGTTTAGTTGATTTTTTATATATACTAGAAACAAGCCTTTGCTGGATATGTGGTTTGCAAATATTTTCTCCCAGTCTATATATTATATTTCCATCCTTTTCACATGGGCTTTCACAGAGCTAGAGTTTTTAATTTTTATGAGATCCAACTTAATCGATTTTTCCTCTTACGCATCACGTTTTGGTATCCAGATCAACCCAAAGGGAAGCCATAGGACAAGGAGACTTGAAGCTAGACATTAAAATTAGCCTCCTTAACTCCTTAAAAAACTAAACATAGAACTACATATGATCCAGCAATCCCACTTCTGGATAGATGTTCAAAGGAATGGAAATCAGTATGTTAAAGAGATAGCTTCCACTCCCACATTCATTGCAACATTATTTACAATAGCCAAGAGGTGGAAGTAAACTAAGTGTTCATCAATGGATGGATGGATGGATAAAGAAAATGTGGTATATATACACAATGGAATACTATTCAGCCTTTAAAAATAAGGAAATTCTGTCATTTGTGAGAACACAGATGAATGTGGAGGATATCATGAGGAGTGAAATAAGCCAGGAATAGAAAGAGTAATACTGTATGATCTCACTTACATGAGGGATTTTAAAAAGTCAAATTGTTAGAAATAGAGAGTAGAATGATGGTTGCCAGAGGTTGGGAGGAGGGTGTTGGAGAGGTGTTGATCAAAGGGTATAAAGCTTCAGTTAGGCAGAAGGAATAAGGCTTTTAGATCTATTGAGCAGCAGGGTGAGTACAGTTAATAAAAAGGTATTGCATATTTCAAAGTTGCTAAGAGTACATTTCAAACATCTTACCACAAACATATAATGGGTAAGTGAGATCTTCTGTCTCCTTGGGTCACTTTCTCCTGCCATGTTTCCCAGAAACTTTCTCTCTAGATCTTTTCTATCATCTCTCTTCTTCCAGTTCTCAACTTCTCAAGCACCAAAGGACAATTCCAAGGTGTCTATTTCTTTACAAGATGCAGGAATTTAACTCCAAATACTCACCTGAGACTTAGCTCCTGGCCTCCTCTTTCAGTATGCAAAAAGAGTTTATTGTAAGAATTTTCTTGTTTTTAAAAAAAAGCCATCTACACCTGAGATTAATGCTGCTGTTTCCTGAGCATTTCTTTTGTTGCTACATTATTTTTTATTAGACATATAACTCCCTCTGCCAACCCATCATCTGTGTCACTTTAAACAAAAAAAACCCCACAAACTGAAACCTCCCATAGCAGGAAGAGTCTCATTGACCAACAAAGACTGGATTCCCATTGCAAACACTATAACTCAGGTCCATGAGCTATGAGCTTATGAGTAGCTAATGAGACATCACTGGGTTCTGCTTGGGTGACTTTAGAAGACTGACCTAAACAATTTTTTTTTTTTTGAAATGGAGTCTCACTCTGTCTCCCAGGCTGGAGTGCATTGGCACAATCTCAGCTCACTGCAACCTCTGCCTCCCAGGTTCAAGTGATTCTCCTGCCTCAGCCTTCCAAGTAGCTGTGACTACAGGCGCGAGCCACCATGCCCAGCTAATTTTTGGTATTTTTAATAGAGACGGGGTTTCACCGTGTTAGCCAGGATGGTCTCCATCTCCTGACCTCATGATCTGCCCGCCTTGGCCTCCCAAAGTGCTGGGATTACAGGCGCGAGCCACCATGCCCAGCTAATTTTTGGTATTTTTAATAGAGACGGGGTTTCACCGTGTTAGCCAGGATGGTCTCCATCTCCTGACCTCATGATCTGCCCGCCTTGGCATCCCAAAGTGCTGGGATTACAGGCGTGAGCCACCGCGCCCAGCCAGACAACTTTTAAAGTTCATTCTAACCTTGAGATTCAAAGGGACCACCATAATAGTGAACTAAAGCTTTGCTCACTAAAGTAGTCAGACCCAATGTCTATGAAATAAAGTTGTTCAAATCCAAGTCCCAACGCCCTAGACGTCATGGGAGACTTAAGAATTCCTTTAAGCAGCCATTACAGTTCTTCTGCACTTCTATTTTATTTCAACCCCCCCTCCTGGTGGCCTCTATCTTCCCCTGCTGCTCTGGCTCTTGACCACCACCCCTCCTTGGTGACTATGATGTCACTGCTCAGGGACATCACTCATTTATCACCATAGCTCCCAGATAGGCTACACTTATCCTGCAGTGAAGACTTTTCATTGAGACAGGAAGAGTTCTCTCATCATCTTTATAGATATTAAGAGTTTCCCAAAAGCATTTTCCTTTCTCTCTCTGGTTCCTAAATAACTTCTACAAATATGGCTTTATTATCTTCATTTTTCAGGTTTTTTTCAAAGCCTCTATCTCAAGTTGCTTAGAGTACATGCACCCAGGGCCAGGACAGCAGATATGAAAGAGGCAACTCATAAAATCAAATCTAAAAGCACTCTTTTATTATTTGACTTCTTCCTGCAGGTGAATTACCTATCAACTCAAAGTACTCCCTGAAAATTAGAAGATAGCTTTGTATGCTTCTGTTCTATATCAACTTTAGAGGCTTTCAACCTGTTCATCCATCTCTATCATTCTTATTACTTCTCCCAGAAGGATCATTGAGTAATTGGGCAAATGAGACATATAGCTACCCATGACGCCATGCCAGAGTTCCCAATGCATGTTCCTGTGTTCAGAGCTCCCCAAGATCACCCTCAGGCTCAATAATCTTGAAGGATTTCACAGAACTTCAGAAAACTGTGATACTCACAGTTACAGTAATACTACAGTGAAAGGAATCAGATTAAAATCAGCAATGGTAAAAGGTACATAGAGCAAATTTTAAGAGAAACCAGATACAAGTTTCCAGTTGTCCTCTCACAGTGAATTTGTGTGAACAGCTTAATTCTCCCAGCAGCAATGTGGAACAACATGCACAGAGTATTACCAACCAGGGAAGCTCACCTAAGCCTTTAGGCCAGAGTTTATATTGGGAGTCATTTATATGGGTATAGTTATCCACCCACATGGCTGATCTTCAGTCTCCAGTCCCTCTAGTGGTCACATTGATACTGTCTGGCCCAATGTCAGACATAATGGAATTATTTGCATAGATTTTCTGGCCCCAAGGCTTCTAGGTAAACAGACACTGTTATCAGGGAGGATATTCTAAGGGCTTAGAGGTTACCTCCAGAGTAAGGGTCATCCTTTCTTTGGATTGTGCAGGATGTGAACAATCTGCTGAGCTGATCCTTTACTATACAGTTTCATTGGGGCCACCTATAATTCTTAACTTAAAAAACTATTTCATTCAAGATGCAAAAATTGCTTAATCATCAACATAAGCATGAATCACATTCTAGCCATTCTCCCCTTTAACTTTTCAAAACTGAATAGTCTTAATCTTTGCAGTGTGTTCCCAAGTGACAGTGACTTTATTCCTTTGGTCATTTCCCTTCTTTATTTTAATTATTTTAGTTGACACATACAGAACAGAACTGCATCCAGCAGTCAAGGTTCACCTAATACTATAATATACACATAATATTAGGAAAATATATTGTGCCCAAAATGTTTCTGTTTATATCTCAACATTTATAGGCACTCTAGGCAAAAGGAATGGACCTATATCTTCAGGGAACAATCAAGGCTTAGGTTCCTCTCCTAGCTAAATGCAATAAATCCAGTACATTCAATATACACATATAGTTCAGAAACGTTAACTATAAATGCATTACTTTGTGCCTTCACTAACCCACAAATTATACCTATTCAAAAGGAAAAACTTCTTCATGTCATAAAAGGAGACACGAATAATCAAAAAACCTTAAGTAATAACTATAACATATGTAATAGGGAAAAGTTTTAATATCCTTGATATATAAAGAACCCATGAAAAGAAAACTGTTAAATGTTTAAATTTTTAAGTGGTCATGGGGATAAACGGAGAGTGATTGCTAATGAGTATGGGGTTTCTTTTTTGGGTGATAAAAAATGTTGTAGAAATGATTGTGCTGATGGTTACACAACTCTGTGAATATAGTAAAAGCCATTGAATTGTACACTTTAAATTAGTGATTTGTATAGTATTTGAATTATCTCAATAATTATACCTCAGTGGTTATATCTCAATAAAACTACTATTACTTTTTTAAATGGCCAATCTCTCTATAAATTAAATTAACAGTTGACCAGTATGTAAAATGTTTTTTCGCAAGTGCTGGTAACAGTGTAGAATAATGATCTCTTTCACACAGACATCCCTGATACAGGTTGAGTATCCCTTATCCAAAATGCTTGGGAACAGAAGTATTTTGGATTTTGGATTTTTTTCAGATTTTGGAATATTTGCATATATATAATAAGCTATCTTGGGGATGGGACCCAAATCTAAACACAAAATTTATTTGTTTCTTAAACACCTTATACGCATAGCCTGAAAGAATTTTTTTTTTTTAAACAGAATCTCGCTCTGTTGCCCAGGATGGAGTGCAATGGTGAGATCCCAGATCACTGCAACCTCTGCCTCCTGGGTTCAAGCAATTCTCCTGCCTCAGCCTCCCAAGTAGCTGGGATTACAGGCACCCACCACCACACCTGGCTAATTTTTGTAATTTTCGTAGAGACGGGGTTTCACCATGTTGGTCAGGCTGGTCTCGAACTCCTGACCTCAGGTGATCTGCCCACCTCGGCCTCCCAAAGTGCTGGGATTACAGGCATGAGCCACTGCACCCACCTTAAATAATATTTTTAGTATTTTTGTGCATAAAACAAAGTTTTGACTGCGACCTGTCACATAAGGCCAGGTAAGAAATTATATACTTGTGGCATCGTATTGAGAGGTGACAGTGTGCTGGCAGCCCTCGCTCGCTCTTGGCACCTCCTCGGCCTCGGCACCCACTCTGGCCATGCATGAGGAGCCCTTCGGCCCACTGCTGCACTATGGGAGCCCCTCTCTGGGCTAGCCGAGGCTGGAGCCAGCTCCCTCTGCTTGTGGGGAGGTGTAGAGGGAGCAGCGCGGGCAGAAATTGGGGCTGCATGCAGCACTCACGGGCCAGCACGAGTTCCGGGTAGGGATGGGCTTGGCGGGCCCTGCACTCGGAGCGGCCGGCCGGCACCACCAGCCCCGGGCAGTGAGGGGCTTAGCACCCAGGCCAGCAGCTGCAGAGGGTGCGCCAGGTCCCCCGGCAATGCCAGCCTGCCGGCGCTGAGCTCTAATTCTCACCGGGCCTCAGCTGCCTCCCTGCGGGGCAGGGCTCGGGAACTGTTGCCTGCCATGCCTGAGCCTCCCCCCACGGCGGTGGGCTCCTGTGTGGCCTGAGCCTCCCCGACGAGCGCCATCCCCCAGCTCCACAGCGCCTGGTCCCATCGACCACCCAAGAGCTGAAGAGTGCGGGCACACAGCGCGGGACTGGCAGGCAGCTCTGCCTGCGGCCCCGGTGTAGGATCCACTAGGTGAAGCCAGCTGGCCTCCTGAGTCTAGTGGGGACTTGGAGAACCTTTATGTCTAGCTAAGGGATTGTAAATACACCAATCAGCACTCTGTGTCTAGCTCAAGGTTTGTAAACACACCAATCAGCACCCTGTGTCCAGCTCAAGGTTTGTAAATGCACCGATCAGCACCCTGTGTCTAGCTCAAGGTTTGTAAGTGCACCAATCAGTGCTCTGTGTCTAGCTAATCTAGTGGGGACTTGGAGAACTTTTGTGTCTAGCTCAGGGATTGTAAATACACCAATCAGCACTCTGTGTCTAGCTCAAGGTTTGTAAATGCACCAATCAGCACCCTGTGTCTAGCTCAAGGTTTGTAAATGCACCAATCAGCACCCTGTGTCTAGCTCAAGGTTTGTAAATGCACCAATCAGCACCCTGTGTCTAGCTCAAGGTTTGTAAATGCACCAATCAGTGCTCTGTGTCTAGCTAATCTAGTGGGGACTTAGAGAACTTTTGTGTCTAGCTCAGGGATTATAAACACACCAATCAGCACCCTGTCAAAACAGACCAATCAGCTCTCTGTAAAATGGACCAATCAGCAGGATGTGGGTAGGGCCAGATAAGGGAATAAAAGCAGGCTGCCAGAGCCAGGAGTGGCAACCCACTCAGATCCCCTTCCACAATGTGGAAGCTTTGTTCTTTCACTCTTTGCAATAAATCTTGCTGCTGCTCACTCTCTGGGTCTGCACTGCCTTATGAGCTATAACACTCACCGCGAAGATCTGCGGCTTCACTCCTGAGGCCGGTGAGACCATGAACCCACTGGGAGAAATGAACAACTCCAGACAGGAGGAACGAACAACTCCAGATGCGCTGCCTTAAGAGCTGTAACAGTCACCACGAAGGTCTGCAGCTTCACTCCTGAAGCCAGCAAGACCACGAGCCTGCCAGAAGGAAGAAACTCCAAACACATCCAAACATCAGAAGGAACAAACTCCGGACACACCACCTTTAAGAACTGTAACACTCACCGCAAGGGTCCGCGGCTTCATTCTTGAAGTCAGTGAGACCAAGAACACACCAATTCCAGACACAATATCATTACTCAAAAAGTTTCAGATTTTCTGATTTCAAATTTTTAAATCAGGGATGCTTAACTTGTAATATAGTTTGGTACTTTTCAGGAAGACAATACAGCAATATGTATCAAACTTTAAAATTAGGCATGTTCCTTAACACAGCATTTTTACTGCTAGCACTTACCCCATGATAAATTACAAATATGTCCCCAATTCTTTACTTCTCCCTATATCCACAAGGTTTGCCATGTAACATTAAGTATATTCCCACTTTGACTCTTGCTTCAGTGCTGTAACTTCTTGTAGCAATGAGATATCAGCAAATGTTACACAAGAAGAGGATTGAAAAGGTGCGCATTTCTGCTTACATTCTTACACCTCAGTCATCACTATGTGAATATGCCCAGGTTAGCCTGCTGGAGAATAAGGGGCATTAGAGCAAGTCAAATCATCCTCATAGCCCCAGCCGACACTCAGTCATTCCCTACACATAAACAAATTCAAATGAGACCAGAAGAACCACCCTCCTGAGCCCAGCCTAAATTTCTGACTCAAAATTTATGACCATCTCCCGTATACACCATATTCCTTACCATTAGCATATTTTAGTCCTTCTAAAAGGACGCCTGACTCAAAATTTTATCAGTCAACTCATACTCATGTCTTATTTGATCTGAGAAAACTTTAAAAGTGAATTTTAAGATATTTGTTTATATTCCTTGTTCACACTTTCCTTGTGGTCTTTCACACTTGCTGCACCCATCTACCTCTAGACAACAAATTCATTATGGACAAGAACTTTGCATTATCTTTGATTCCTGGTGCATAACCCAGTGACTAGATGCTTGTTAAATGTCTGTTAACTGAATGGAAATGAGATCAGGACCAAGAGATCTAAGCTCTGGTTCTGGCTTCATAACTTAGGCAAATCACACCGCCATGTTTCAATCTTCTCAACCTGTGAAATGGTACAATATCATCTTATCTCTCAGCTTCACAAGGTTGTTGCAAAAACAAAATGATCTAATTTTTAAGTGTTTCGTAAAGTCTAAAACATTATTCACCCATAGGTCAAGTCTGTTATCTTTATTAAAACTTAATCTAATACCCCATTAAGGAATTGTAATTCTTGGGCCAGGTGCAGTGGCTCATGCCTGTAATCCCAGCACTTTGGGAGGCTGAGGCGGGCAGATTACCTGAAGTCAGCAGTTAGAGACCAGCCTGGCCAACATGGTGAAACCCTGTCTCTTCTAAAAATACAAAAATTAGCTGGGTGTGTTGGCACACACCTGTAATTCCAGCTACTTGGGAGGCTGAAGCACAAGAATCACTTAAACCCAGGAGACAGAGGTTTCAGTGAGCCAAGATTGTGCCACTGCACTCCAGCCTGGGTGATAAGAGTGAGACTGTCAAAAAAAAAAAAAAAAGGAATTCTAATTCTCTAGAAACAGAGATGTTCTCTGTTGCCAGATACATTAATATAAGAAAGACTGATGATATTATTAAAATCTATTTTCAAAACTTTTCTACATAGATAATAGTAATAACAGTACTTTTTTAAAAGAATGAAAATCTTGTAATATTTTCAACCATTGATAGAAGAAGCTACAAATTCAATGCAATCTCCATCAAAATACCACCATCATTCTTCACAGAGTTAGAAAAAACAGTTCTAAAATTCATATGGAACCAAAAAAGAGCCCACAGAGCCAAAGCAAGACTAAGCAAAAAGAACAGCTCTGGAGGCATCACCTAGGCACATAGACCAATGGAACAGAAGAGAGAACCCAGAAATAAATCGAAATACTTACAGCCAACTGATCTTCAACAAAGCAAACAAAATCATAAAGTGGGGAAAGGACACCCTTTTCAACAAATGGTGCTGGGATAATTGGCTAGCCACATGTAGGAGAATGAAACTTGATCCTCATCTCTCACCTTACACAAAAATCAACTCAACATGGATTAAGGACTTAAACCTAAGACCTGAAACTATAAAAGTTCTAGAAGGTAACATTGGAAAAACCCTTCTAGACATTGGCTTAGGCAAGGATTTCATGACCAAGAACCCAAAAGCAAATGCAATAAAAACAAAAAGAAATAGCTAGCACCTAATTAAACTAAAGAGCTTTTGCACGGCAAAAGGAACAGTCAGCAGAGTAAACAGACAACCCACAGAGTGGGAGAAACCTTCACGAGCTATACATCTGACAAAGGACTAATATCCAGAATCTACAGCAAACTCAAACAAATCAGTAAAAAAAAAGAACAATCCCATCAAAAAGTGGGCTAAGGACATGAATAGACAATTCTCAAAAGACATACAAATGGCCAACAAACACATTTAAAAATGCTCAACGTTACTAATGATCATGGAAATTCAAATCAAAATCACAATGTGATACCACCTCACTCCTACAAGACTGTCCATAATCAAAAAATGAAAAAACAGTAGATGTTGGCATGGATGCGGTGAGCAGTGAACACTTCTACACTGCTGGTGGGAATGCAAACTAGTACAGCCACTAGAGAAAACAGTGTGGAGATTCCTTAAAGAACTGAAAGTAGAACTACCATTTGATCCAGGAATCCTACCACTGGGTATCTACCCAGAGAAAAATAAGTCATTATTGGAAAAAGATACTTGCACGTGCATGTTTATAGCAGCAAAATTTACAACTCCAAAATCAGGGAACCAACCCAAATGCCCATCAATCAATGAGTGGATAAAGAAACTATGGTATGTATATATATATGTATACTATTTCAAACTAGACTATAAGGCCATAGTCACCAAAATAGCGTGGCACTGGTATAAAAAATAGGCACATAGACCAATGGAACATAGTATTCCATCATATATGTATATATGTGTATATATGTAAATATACATATATGTATACATATATACTCCATCATATATACACATATATACGTATATACGTATATATACGTATATATGTATATATACACGTATATACGTATATATGTATATATGTATACATATATATTCCATCATATATACACACACACACACACACACACACATATATATGTGTATACATATATGATGGAATACTATGCAGTCATAAATAGAAATGAATTAACAGCATTGCAGTGACCTGGATGAGACTGGAGACTATTATTCTAAGTGAAGTAACTCAGGAATGGAAAAGCAAACATTGTATGTTTTCACTGATAAGTGGAAGCTAAGCTATGAGTACAAAACGGCATAAGAATGATACAAACGGACTTTGAGGATTTGAGGGAAAAATCGGAGAGGGGCAAGGGATAAAAGACTACAAATATGGTGCAGCGTATAACTGCTCGGGTGGTGGGTGAGCCAAAATCTCACAAATCATCACTACCAAGAACTTACTCATGTAGCCAAATACCACCTGTACCCCAATAACTTATGGAAAAATAAAATAAAAATCTTTAGGTACTCCAAAAAAAAAAAAAAAGAAAAAATGCCACTGTCCTGGGTTGAACAGTATTCATGTCCACCAGACTCTCAGAACGTAACCCTATTTGGAAATAGGGTCCTTGCAGATGTAATCAGTTAAGATGAGATCATACTGGATTAGGTAGGGCCCTAATATAATGAGTGATGTCCTTAGAAGAAGGCCATATAAAGACACCCAGTGGAGACAGCCATGTGAAGACGCAGGCATAGATTGGAGTGATGCATCTACAAACCAGGGAATGCCAAGGATTGCTGGGGCTACAGAAACAAGGAGAGAGGCGGGAAACAGATTCTCCCTGCAACCCCCTAAGAGGGAACAAACTCTGCTGACTCCTTGATTTCAGGTTTCTGACCTGCAGAATTGTGAGAAATAAATTTTTGTTGTTTTAAGTTTAAAAAAAAAGGCAAATATCCAGTTAAATTTGAATTTCAGATGAATATCAAGTAAGTTTTTAGTGTAAGGACGTCCCAGGTAACATTGGCAGTATTTTTATCTTCTATATGTGGCAACCTTGGTAATAGAAGGCTTTTTATTTTTAATGCCCTACTGCTTTCTATAGGTTTGAGGATGTAAGATTGGCTGTGAGGTGCTGAGAAATAGCTCAATAAACGGCGTATAGCTCTCAATTGTGGAAAGATATGGATGCCCAACTGAAAGCCAGGAAGTTAGCACTAGCAAGGAAGGGGAAGAAGACAAGATGCTTGGCAGAGGCCTAAGGGGCATGGGAGAGGGGATATGAGGGAAAGTTATGAAATGTTATGCTATTTTCTTAAAAGATAAAATAAAATCATCCTTCTAATCTTCTACAAGTGCATTTCAGTAAAATCTACATTGCTAACTAATGCCTTGGGGTAGAAGTAGGTAAATTCTTTCTAGAGTGGATTCTTTCTTGGCATTAAATGATATCAAGTCCTACTTAAAGTTTGACACAAAACAGCCGACATGTAGATTATACGAGTAATTGGAGAAAGTCTTGCAAGCAACAGCAAGCCCACATATGACATATACTTGCTTCAGCCTCTAACGGGCAGGTCTGCAAAACCACCCTGAATAAATGTGAACCAAAGTAGATAAGGCCCTGCTTAGGGCTAGTAACTGATAGCTCCTGAGCAACTAAAAGCAGAGTGTTTAGACTAAGACCAGACTAAAATCACTCACTCACTCACTCACTCATAGAAAACAATACCCATATGAAGATTTTTTTTATTATTAAACATTGGTCTAATGCTAAAAAGTTTAAACACCAACAGAGCATTGTAAACCCACTGCCTTGTGAGTTAACTTTAACTTACTTAGTTAACTAACTACATTTTTAACGTAGTGTTTCCATTTTTAAAAACAAACTTGGCCACTTCACAAACACTTCATGGCTAATCATTTTATAATATAGTTTATTTACAGAAATGAAATGAATTTTGGTAATTTGAAGCAATGAACTACATCATAAAACATCTCTGAAATCTTTTTGAATTGTCAGTTTTCAAAACAAAAACTCAGAAATGTGATTCCATTTTGATGATAAACACCTGCAATAAACTAGGAATATTTTTTCAACCCACTCTCCCAGTTGTGTTACACATCAAACTGCTATTTGGTTAGGTGGGAAGGAGGGGGATTAATTGTTGTTAATGGTTTTTATTATTCAGAAAGAATTTAAATCCGTGAAACCTGCATTTGTCAAGCATCAAGCGTCTTGCAGACTGCCACAGAGAGTACCAAAGTTCTGGTGTTTTGCTGATCCTTTGTTTTGGACATTGTTTGACTGTTTTAAATACAACAGTTTCCATTCAGCATTAACTGTGAAAGACACAGCACAAGAATACCCCAGGGCTGGTGTGAGAAAAACATAGCAGGATTATCTGATGGAACAATTCCGGGCACAGAGTAAGGGATCTATCCATAGTCACTGAATGAATAAATACTTCTGTAGCTTCCCTCTAACTTTAGGAAAAAATATTAATGAAGGAAAAATGAATTCTGGATTCATTGAGAACATTTTGGAAATAGTTTAAATGATATTGCATATGTGTGTATTCTAAATGCTTTTTTGTATTTTCTAAAGAATATTTTGACACAGGAAGGGGAACATCACACTCTGGGGACTGTTGTGGGGTGGGGGGAGGGGGGAGGGATAGCATTAGGAGATATACCTAATGCTAAATGACGAGTTAATGGGTGTAGCACACCAGCATGGCACATTTATACATATGTAACTAACCTGCACATTGTGCACATGTACCCTAAAACTTAAAGTATAATAATAAAAAAAAGAATATTTTGCAAATAAAGTAAAAGAAACACCCTTGATTGACAGTATTCCATTTGTGAGCCAGTGGTTAGACATAGAAAATGATGGATTAGGGACAGCAGGTAGACCAAGAGTTCCCAACCTTGGCTGCATGTTAATATTACCTCAGTTGCTTTTTTAGAATCCCAATTCCCAGGTCACACCCCACACTCATGAAATCAAAATCTGTGTGGGTAGAACACAGGCATCAATATTTTAAAAAGTGATTTCATTATGCGATCAAGGTTGAGAATAACAGATATGACTCTAATTCTTCTCTTGTCCCATGGAATAGTGTACAGAAAGCTACATTTGGGACAAGCAATGGATAAAAATTCACCCTGTGTTTCTGAGATGGTGGGGTATTGTTCCTCCTGGATAAAGAATCTTTCACCTTTTTCTACACTGTGTTTTCAACTGGGAGGTGAATAAAGTGGAAACAAAAAATAAACATAATTCAAAAAAAGGGTGAGAGAGTGGGGCTAAGGTAAGCTGAGTGTTCAATATTTCCTCTTCCAACAAGATTCCTCTTATCATGCTCTATTTGACATAATCTTATAAAAGTTAATGTTTAATAGAAACATACAAACAATTTTAAGAAATCTCTACTAGCATTTTGTGTCAGGGAAGGTCAAAACTGAGACCCACTACTCTGGTGTCTTCTGCTACTGGATTTATTTGTGCCTGGGTTGACCATGAGGGAGTCATTGGCAACTTTAAGCAGCAGTAGGAGGATTGGCCAATCCACTGTGCCCAAATTACCAGAGTGACTCCATCTTGAATAGGGGACGGGGAAAATGAGGATGAGACCTGCTGGGCTGTATTCCCAGGTTAGGCATTCTAAGTCACAGGAAAAGACAGGAGGTTGGCAGGACTGTTATCACAAGATACAGGTCATAAAGACCTTGCTGATAAACCAGGATGCAGAGAAGAAAAAAAAAGAAAGCCCACCAAAGATGGTGGCTTTGGCCAAGATGGCAACGAAAGTGATCTTTGATCAACCCCACTGCTCATTATATGCTAATTATAATGCATTAGCATGCTAAAAGACACTCCTACCAATGTCAGGACAGTTTACAAATGCCATGGTAGTATCTGGAAATTACCCTATATGGTCTGAAAGGGGAAGAATGGTCAGTTCCAGGAAATGCCCGCCCCTTTCCTGGAAAACTCACGAATAATCAACCCCTTGTTTAGCATATGATCAAAAAATAACCATCAAAATGCCAACCAGCAGCCCTCTGGTTGTTCTCTGTATGAACATAGCCTGTTCTGCCTATGGAGTAGCCTATCTTTTATTTCTTTACTTCCCTAATAAACTTGCTTTCACTTTATTGTGTGGACTTGTCCCAAATTCTTTCTTGCTCAAGATCCGATACCCCTCTCTTGGGATCTGGATCAGAATCGCTTTCTGGTAACAAAATCTCTTAAGCCCCCACAAGTGAGAGGGATGAGACTTAGAGGGAAAAGCTCAGGGACTCCAAAGACTATTCAATGGAAGGTCCTCTGTGCCCTGCTCTTGCGGTTGTAAGAAACAGAGTCCCATGGTCTATCTCAGATGATGTCTTTCTGGGTGAATACTTGGTACAATAAGAGAAATGTGACTTCCACAAGAATCCCCAAATTGTGAAATGGTCTAACTCAGCAACAGCTGTGTATTGAACCTCTGCCCCTAGAGTGACATGGCAATGCTCCGTCTTGCTTTCTACCTGCTCAGCAACTGCTGAGCTTATCAATACTGCGTCTTCTCTTCCTCATTATGCCTGCTTTCTCAAGAGTACAGCTTCCTATGCCTTCCTAGGGTTCTCACTGTTTTTCATCTCCATCTGGATCTTTTCAGCATTTGCTCCCAATGCCCAGGTAAATCAGGGGCACCTAGGCATCAGTATCTTCTAAAGCTCCCCAGAGGATTCAATGTGCAACCAAGCAGATAACCACTGCACCAAAGAACAGTGGGTACAAGTAAGGCAACTTGGATTTATAATTACCACCTTAGCCCAAAAGGAAGAAAACTGGAGAAGGTAACTTATAATGCCTGGGAATTCTGTTCTCCTTGCATTTTATTTTAATTCAGTGTCTTGTTTCTCTATCTATACAGCACACATTTATTCACATGGATTTTAGTATTTTAACTGTGTTGTACTTAAAGGAAAGCAAACATGCCTTCTGAAGTGATGGTCTTTGAGCCACTAGTCAAGAGATTGGGGCTCTCTAATGAGCCAAGACTCCCATCTAGTGGTAACCACCTCTGAATTGCAAATAGAAGGTTTCTCAACTTTTATTAATGACAAAACTTTTTGGGAAGTGGCTGGTCAATTTCAATAACTCATTTGCCTAAAACGAAATGCACCTATTTGTCAAAAGACCTTTGCCACTTCCAATCTGTGTGTGTAAATATCCCCGGGATAAATTATTGCTATTTATTTGAACTTATGAAGGAAAACCAACTTCACTTCACGATTCTGTCAAATAAGTGTGTTTTAGTGAATTCAGAGGTTGTGTGACTGATAAAAGTAAGTGGTTATTATGAAATAGTTCATACACATCCAAAGTGAAATGACTAATGATAAAACCTTAGAGGATGCTGTGAGGTGAGTGGTGGTCCCTGAAAAAGTATGTCAGCATCCCAATCCCCAAAATCTGTGAATGTGACCTTATTTGGAAATGGGGTCTTGGTCCATATCATTATTATGTTATGTTAAGAATCTTGAAAACAGATCATCCTGGATTATCCAGGTGGGCCCTAAATCTAACACAAGTGCTTTATAAGAAGCACAGAGAAGAAGAGAAAAAACAGGGAGAAGGAGTCAAAGGCCATATGAAGACAACAGCAGAGATTGGAATTAATGCAGCCAGAAGCCAAGAGGACATCTGAAACCACCAGAAGCTGAAAGAGGCAAGAAATCTCCACTCGAGCCTTCGGAGAGAACATGGCCCTACTGACACCTTCATTTCAGACTTCCAGCCTGAAGAACTTTGAGAAAATAATTTTCTGTTGTTTTAAGACATCCACTGTGTGGTAATTTGTTACAGCAGACTTAAGAAAGTAGTATGGTTTCCTCTTCCTTTCTTTTCAGTACACTCCTTCAGAAAACAAAAATAGCATATTTGGAAATGACCTAGGTACCTAAAGTTTTTTTTAATAATATACATATAAATTCATTGCTCTACAATATTATAGGATGGTATTCAATCAACAGCATAAATACTTCACTGTCTACCTACAATTTTCAAAGGTATTTTGGATAGCAAACTTTTCATTTCAGAAGTTTTTCACTACAAATACCTTAACTGAAAGACTAATCAACTAAAATTCTTCTTTCTAAGATAGAACATGAAGCAACAAGAGTTTTGCCTAAATATGGATGAGTGTAATGAGAATAACTCAAATTTCATGTCCAGTTGGGACAGCACAGTCAATTCAACAGGAATGTTTATGAGTTGTTTATCATGTGAAGTATTTGGAAGGTATGCAAACACTAAAAACAACAATGTCAATACAATTAAATGGAGGCATTCATAAAACTGTTGTTCAGATCAGCAGGTAATCTTGTAACTGCATATTTGAGAATTTCAAGGAAGGAAATGTACAAATAATCAAAGGCAGAAAATTCCCTTCAGGAAATGTGGTATCCACATATTGTATGACAAGCTTGCTTTTACTGAATAATGCATGAAGATGTCTGTTTTAAATCGTTCACTGACTACAGAGTTGACAAATAACCACTGAAGAACAATGGGACTGGGCACCAGATGCCTTTGTTTCATATCTGACTCTGCGAAGGCTGTTTCTTTCCTAGGGAACTGGGGGTTCTATGTAACATGAGACTCAAGCAAAAAGTGTGGATTCTGTGGTATGCTCATGGGATGGTTCCAGTAAATGTGCTGATAGAATTCTGGGGCCCAAGAGTTGACGATGGGTGCCATTAAAGTCCAGACCTGGTGCCGTAGCACTTTGATGTGTCAAAGGCTTAGGTTCTGCCATTTTTCTGAACAAATATATTCAAATAGAACACTACATAAAAATGTAAAGGGCCTTGTAGGGTCAAATGAAAGTCTGAGCAGAGAATGAACAATATCCCTATGAGATCAAAGTGCTGTCTTTGTTGAATTAATTCCATTATTTTTTGTTCTCATTGTTTTCAAAACAATTAATAGATACACTGAGAAAGAAGGAAAGCAAGAGAGTTACTCTGATAATGATGGCTCTCATTTATAAATCCATGAAAAGTAATATCAATTTTCTTTCTTAATAGATGAGAAATCTAAAACTAAGAATGGGTGAGGAACTTGCCCCAATATCACAGAGCCAATAACTAAGGTGCTTCTCTCCCAGAACCTTTGCTACTTCCTGGCTGATGCCAAAACACTGCCTAATAAGGACCTCAAAAAAAAAATCTTTCTAATGAACTGACCATTGGTCAAGTGTCTCCCCTCTCCAGTTCCAACAGACTCTGCTGGAGTCACAAACGACAAGGAACCTTGTCTCTTCATCTCTTTATCTGCAATACCTACCATGGTGATCATTCATAATAAAGCACTCAACATGTGTTTACTGGGTGAACAGATAAAAGGTACAGAAAAGAGGGAAAGGGCTCAGGAAAAACTACACAGAACATTTCAGAAGTATTTGCCATTTCCATGTGGAAATGTCAATCATAGATAAATATCCCAATCATGATGATTCATAAAATATATTCAGAGGAGCCCAATGTTCAGGAAATGCAAACTATCTGCAGTGTGAATTTGGAGCACAGGTTTGAAAACTTAGAGGCTGATCGAAAAGGAAATTTGGTTTACAATTTTGTAATTATCAGGTATATGATAATTAATTATCCTAAAGTGATATTGAAGGCTTGGCCTGAGTCTGATGACAATATTAGAAATCTGAGTGAGAAAATGATCAGCAGTTTGACTGTTTAAAGGTTTGTTGGTTGTTCCTTACCTTTTAAAACTGAGTCTCTAGCCGCTAGCTACTGTGTCCCAGGGGGCCTTGTGCCCTCTACCTCCTGTTTTCTCTGAAAACAAATGAGATTTTTTATACTGCCTTGACTCTATACAGATTTTCCTGCTCTTAAGAGACAAACAGAAGAGTGATACTTCAAAGCTAGAATAAATGTATTTTATTTTATTTTATGTTTTCAGACCGAGTCTCACTCTGTCGCCCAGGATGGAGTGCAGTGGCGCTGTCTCAGCTCACAGCAACCTCCGCCACCCGCCCCACTCTCTGCGATTCTCCTGCCTCAGCCTCCCGAGTAGCTGGGATTTATAGGTGCCTGCCACTACGTCCGGCTAATTTTTGTATTTTTAGTAGAGACAGGGTTTCACCATGTTGGCCAGGCTGGTCTAGAACTCCTGACCTCAGGTGATCTGTCTGCCTCAGCCTCCCAAAGCGCTGGGATTACAGGCGTGAGCCACGACACCCAGCCAAATAAATGTATTTTAAATCTGGGATATATGTTCCAATTAGCTAGACTCTGAAATTTCAGACTTTAGCTTCAGTCAGAGGCTATTAGAACTATTCCAAAAAATGCACAGAATTAATAAACTATTGACGGATGAGTAAGAAAAAAAAACTGAGTCTTACTCTGCCATCAAGGCAGGAGTGCAGTGGTGCAATCACAGTTTACTGCAGCATCTACCTCTTGGGCTCAAGTGATCCTCCCACCACAGCCTCCCAAGTAGCTGGGACCACAGGTACATGCCACTATACTCAGCTAATTTTTATTAATTTATTTTGTAGAAACGGGAGTCTCCCTATGTTTCCCAGGCTGGTCTCAGACTCCTGGGCTCAAGTGATCCTCCCGCCTTAGCCTCCCAAAGTGCTGGGATTACGGACATGAACCACTGCACTTGGCCTGTTGGTTGTTCCTTTAGGATATAACAATTAATATTAAAGGCACTTCAATATAAATTTCAAATTGTAATTTAAGTTTTTTCCAGGGTCACTATTTTGTATATTTATATTTTTAGTTTATTCTGTTTTGTTGGTAGCACCCAAGTATTCCCTAGGCTGTTGGTTGTTCCTTCCGACAGTTTCTAGGACAGAAAATGGGTCTTTCTCCCAATAGAGATAAGGAATTGGTAAACTGCCTTGGATGCCAAGATATTCTTGTTTTATGTACACTTGGCAGAAGTCATCTACAACCATCTGCAGACTCTAACTCTTCACTGGGGCCCACAGTCATCCCCACTGTTGAATGCACATTGCACTCCTGTTCTGAAGGAACAAAGGAAGGACAGGAAATGAGTGAACCCAGTGAGGAAAAAGCTTTTAAGATATGTATCAAAAAGAAAAAGGAAGGCCGGAACCAGTGGCCCATGCCTGTAATCCCAGAACTTTGGGAGGCTAAGGTGGACGGATTGCTTGAGCCCAGAAGATGGAGCCCATCCAAGGCAACATGGTGAAACCCTGTCTCTACCAAAAAAAACAAAAAAAAAAAACAAAAAACAAACAAAAAAACAAATTAGCTGTGTGCCTGTGGTCCCAGCTGCTCAGGAGGCTGAGGTGGGAGAATCGCTTGAATCTGGGAGGTGGAGGTTGCAGTGAGTGGACATCGTGCCACTGTATTCCAGCCTGGGTGACAGTATGAGACTCTGTCTCAAAAAAAAAGAAAATGAGAAACCTAGAGACTGAAGAATCCAATTCTCAGTATTAAAAGATGGGAAAAAAATAACTTGGGTGACAGCTATTAGGCTGAAATAGGCACAAGATAATAAAACCCAACATCATAATAATGAGGAAAACTAGCTTGTGTAAAACAGAAGATGACAGTTGGAAGATTAAAAAGGTACTGCCTGTTGTTGCTAAAAGGTAAAAATAAGGGGTTCTGTGACATGTGGGTGCAAAAGGAGCTATTGAGAGGCTTAAAGGAGCATTTAGAGCTGATACAGATAATCAAAGTTTCTGTTGATTCCTATCTGCATGGCTGGACTTACTGATCCCACCAAACATTCTTCCCTCATGCTCCATGAGTTTTCAATCCTTTAACTTCTAACTGGAACACCATGCACCCTGCCTCCTTTTAGGCTTAGTTTCTGCCAACAGCCAGTCCTGAGGATCCAGGCAAGTGACCCTGTGTTATCTTTCCGCTCTCCCTTCTCTCCTTCGTTCATCAAGCAGCAACCGCTACTTTCAGTGCTTCTCTGCACACGGAGTATAGACAGGTTCCGAGTATGTGAAGCTCAGCTTGGGGTTTGAGGAGGGTGTTTAAAATCACTACCTCCATGCCTCTTGACCACTTCCAGATGAAATTCAAGAACAATCAAAAGATAAACAGAACAGCACTGAACTTTGCAGACATACTTTTTTCGCATGGTAACCCTGTGGCCTGGGGCAATTTAATTGATCTCTCTGTGCTCAGTTTACTCATCTGCAAAATGAGCATATAGGCATACCCACCCCATAGAGTTTCTGTGAGAATAAAATGAGATACTGTATGTTCAGCAGTCATTCTGTGCTAGACACCATGCTAATAACTGAATAAGTAAGCCTGTTTTTTTTTTATTATAATTGTTCTATTTATCACCCATAAAGTCTGTAACTCTAGAGCCTGAGTGGAAACTAAATAAGGGATGTGTGGCCACTCATTTTTTCCTTTTGATCCCTGTCCTGTGTTCTTTGGGGGCCTGGACAGGAAAAGAAATGGTAGCACCAGAGCTGTCAATTAATAGAGATGAATAGTAGTCATGGTGGGTGTCATAGTAGGAATTGTGCCACTAGTAGTAGAAGCTGTAGTAACAGCTAATACAGCTAATACAACTCCTTGGGTTGTGCCAAGGAGTGTGTTAACGACACAAATCTCCATGCATTGCTCATTGCCACTACTCTTAAAGCTAGAGATGTGTGCAGCCTTAGGGCAGTTATATCTCCTGCAGCAAAATGCATCCCTATCCCTCATCAGTAATTTGAGATGTCTGTGCCTTCCTAAGGATCTTTCAGGATACTCTTTCAACCTACTGGAATCCTAATTTGAGTGCTGTCCTAAGAATGTAAACTGACACTGAACTGGTGGTTTTCCAACTGCACTGTGCACACAACAGAGATTTCCAAATTCCACAGCACCTCCCTAGGATTGCCAGGGCTGGTGGCATGATCAACAATTTGGGTTCTGTATTAGTCCATTTTTATGCTGCTGATAAAGACATACCCAAGACTGGGCAATTTACAAAAGAAAGAGGTTTAATGGACTCACAGTTCCACGTGGCTGGGGAGGCCTCACAATCATGGAGGAAGGTGAAAGGCATGTCTCACATGGTGGCAAACAAGAGAAGAGAGCTTCTGCAGAGAAACTTCCCTTTTTAAAATCATCAGATCTCATGAGACTTATTCCCTATCATGAGAACAGCAAAGGAAAAACCCACCCCCATGATTCAATTACCTCCCACTGGGTCCCTCCCACAACATGTAGGAATTGTGGGAGCTATAATTCAAGATGAGATTTGGGTGGGGACACAGCCAAACCCTATCAGGTTCCAAGACTCAAACCCTCTTCACCCAGAGTGAGTCTGCATTCATCTGTTTCAACATTGTCCTCTCCTCATCATCTCACTGAGAAAACTTTGTAGACAAAGAGCTCACAGTTTTCAAATGACTGTGAAAGCCAAAGCACTAAACTTGGTTTCCTCCTATAAAATCACAATTCTAAACCCTCTGAAGGATTTCATCAACCATATTAGTGCTTAACTCCTGAAGGTTTGGAAAGCCCTATGAGATTTTCAAAAATGTTCCCTATTTTTCCCTATGTGAATACAAAATATTATTTTTAACTTATCCTCTCATTCTTCTATCTGTATCTTTATTTATGCAAAACTATCCATATTTTTGATCAGGTAAAATGTTTGGCATGCCCAAATTTGGAATCTTCTTTTATGGTTTTGTTTTTTGTGTAGTTCAGTGATGAGAGGACCCAGCTTCAAGCACATAACCAGATACCCATTTTTTATGTCTACAAGTAAGAGCATTTTCCAAGAACACTCAAGTCTGGCAGTATACACTTTGAAACTCACATTGTAGCTTTGGCAATCCTGTTTTATGCACGTGATGCTGCAGTTTATGTGCAATCGTGCTTTCCAAGACACGGAAACTCCTCATGGCTGTACCCATCAGTCCAGACCTACGTTGGTTGGGAAATCAAAACACTGTCACCATGACTGAGTTATCTGTCTCTTGCTTCCAAGTGGGCCCCTTTGTTTTAAAGCAGTGGTGCTTAAACACCAGACAGACTCATCTCATGCTGACGTACATGTGAAATTCTCGCACTACACAATCTTGGATGGCTTCACGTTGTAACAGAAAAACCAACCCAACCACTAAGAAATCCAGTTAAAACAATGCTTTAATGTAATCTTTTTTTTTTAATGCAGTGGAATTGAGGAAAGGATGTGTAAGCTCTGTGTTCACGACCCTTTCAGATCACACCCTATGTTTCCCTGCATTTGGCAGGTCCTGATCTGTACCCATTATATTAAAAGTGTAACTGTAAATGCATGTACATATATATGCTTATACACATTATATATAAATGTATATATATCATATGTATGTTTTATGTGTATAGATGTATCTGTGTGTATGTAAATATATATTGTGCATGTGTATGCCTTTGTGTGTATATATCTGTAAATCTATATATATGTGTATATGTAGTGGAGGATTGTGAGACCTCACAAGATTGATAAAGTATCAAACAATGCCTGTATTTTTTAAAAGGAGCTGTTTTTCAACATATAGAGAAATAATGTCAATTCCTGGATTAATACTCTTTTAGAAAAGGCCAATTTTCATTGATTTCAAGTAGCTCATGTTATTCAGTAACAATCTCAGCCTTCAAAAGTAGCCAAAAGAAAAGCAGAATAAATGGTCTCCTAAATAAAATGACCTGTGGGGCCCATCATTGACTAAGTAGCCTTTTTACTCATCTCATACAGCCTCTTCCTAATAAAAATGAAGCAGCATCGTGAGAACAGTAGGGAGAAAGGGTGAACAGACAGAGGTTTACGGGTCAGGACAGAGTACCAGGGTTAGGACAGATACCAGGAAAGAGGAAAAGAACACACTGTGGAAGAAACAGGGCACCAGCTTCACACTTGTGCCTCAGGCCAGCTTTGTCAAAGTGTCCTGAGTACATGAGGTATCCTCTAAACATTTATTAACCAAATGCACAGAGAGGCATGTTGACAGGGATTTAGCGTATGACAAAGGTGGCATATCAAACCCATGGGGGAAAGGTGCTACTCAATAAATGGTTTGGAGACAACTGGGAGCCAACTAGAAAGAATAAAATAAAATTGGATTCATACCTCACATTTTATACTAGGACAAATTACAAATGGATCGAATATTTTATAGTAAAAAATAAAACTATAAACATTCTTTTTTTAAAAGGGATAACTTCTTTATAATCTTGGAGTTGTAAAAATAAATTATAATTTTGAACTAGGGAAGATCTTTCTAGCCATAATTCAAAATATATAAATGAAAAAAGAAAAAATGATAATTTGATGACAAACTTCTTCATGGACAGAAACATTAAAAGCCAATCAATAGGAAAATTTGAAAAAATATATTTGAAATTTATATCACAAAAGGCTACTCTCCCTGATACACAAAGATCACCTAGAAATCAACAAGAAAAGACCAACACAATATAGCAAAGGATATAAACAGACAGCTTAGAGAAAAAGAGTATAAGATTAGGTTAAATCATATGAAACTAATTGTTAAAAATGTTTGAAAATTGGCAATTTCAAATGATTTAAACAAATAGCTATGAAACATACGAGAGAATGTTCAATAACACTTATAAGAAGAGAAAGGCAAATTAGAACATCACTGTTGGATTAACAAAAAAAGAATCCAAAAATTTGGAAACTCACTATGTGGTGAGCTGTGGGGAAACAGAGGCTCTCACACATCATTGGTATAAATTAACTTATCTTTGGCGGCCAATTTGGCATATCTATTGAAATTACATATATATATATAAGCTTTGGCTAAGCAATTCTACTTTGGAGAATGTATCCTGTATATATACATGAGCAAAATGATGAGTGTACAAAGTTACTCATTTCAGCCTTGTTTATAACAGCAAAAGAGTAGGAATACATAAGCAAGTGCCTAGCAATAGGGACCAGTTAAAAACATAATGAGTCATTGGTACAATGACTTTCTATACAGCTTGTAAAAAAGTAAGAAGTTTCTTATGTACAGACATATCTGTAAGATCTCCAAGAAATACTAAGTGAAAAAATTAAATACAGAACAGTGTGTGTTGTATGTTACCCTCTGTTGAAAATAAAAGGAAGAGAAATAAGTCTCTATATTCATATTTCTTCTCTATGCATAAAGAAATTCTGGAAGGATACAACATAAAAAACTAATAATACCAGTTACATAGAGAGGGAGCTGGAATGGGGAACAGAAATGGCAAACAGGCCAGGTGTGGTGGCTCAGGCCTGTAATCTCAGCACTTTGGGAGGCCAAGGTGAGTGGATTACTTGAAGTCAGGAGTTCAAGACCAGCCTGGCCAAAATAGTGAAACCCCGTCTCTACTAAAAAAAACACAAAAATTAGCTGGGCATAGTGGCATGAGCCTGTAGTCCCAGCTACTCGGGAGGCAGAGGCAGGGGAATCACTTGAACCCAGGAAGGGGAAGTTGCAGTGAGCTGAGATAACATCACTGCACTTCAGCCTGGGTGACAGAGTGAGACTCCGTCTCGAAAACAAATAAAAAATTAAAAAAGAAATGAAAAATATATTTTCTTGTCAAGCTTTTAATAATTTTAGCATTTTGAACCAGGTGAATGCATTATCTATTCAAAACAATTTTAACTTAAAAATAAATAAATGAGTCTTATGACTGATCAACAAAGGATTTGGAGTAGATGCTTGTTTATATCATTTATACACTAGATCATCTACATAAGTTGTGGGACTCTGAGAAAATTAAAATATGAGGTCTCTTGTTATAAACTTTTTAAGAACTTCAAGATGGCAGCAGCACAGCATTAAACCAATCACTGGGGCCCTTCTAAGAATGGGTCAGGCACCTGTGAAGTTAGCCCTGGTTGCACACAACTGTACTCATCAGAATATAAAATTCAGAATACTAATGTCATTCCCAAAGGGAAGCAACTGGCTTCTCAAAAACCCAGGCAGCAGAAGTCTTGGAAAAAATCATTTCCCTCGATTTCACATACACTTCATGTTCTGTTGGTTCCTAAGCAATTAACCTGAATATATACGGGTGCTGATCCCAAGGGATTAACATACACATCCTAAAACCTCAAGCTTTGGAGACTAACCATCTTCGATCACAAATTTGTGATCATGCAAAATAATAGAATCTTAAGAAATGGCCTTTGTATACATAGTCAGTTTTTTGAAATAATAAGTTTTTATTTTACTGCACTCAATTAAATTGTGAAACCCAAATAAAGTCTGGAGCCCAATGTGGTCCAATCTCAATCTACTGCTACAGTCAAAGAATCATAGCTTAGCAGCCAGAAAGTACTGAAAGAAACTTCCAAGGTTTTCTTTTTCAGCTTCTTAAGAAAATGCCAAAGAAGGAAATATATTCTTAATGCCCAGAAAAACACATTTTAAATTCTCTCTCATCACTACCTCTATTAGGCTCCTCCATAAAGCTATTAATAGTAGCTGCTTCCCAAAACTCTCTCCTCCCGTTTACACCCCACCTTCACCCACATAGATTTTCTGTTCCTTACCTCATTTCTTTCTACCTCTACTACTCTTCCCTCTTCTCACTTATTCAAATGTGAATCATCCATTTCTATTTCTTGGGTACCCCAATTAGAGTAATTGTCTGAATTATAAGGGTTGGGTTAGGGGAGGCAGAACTTTAGAGCAATGCCAGAATTGTCTTTCATGGGCAAGAGAAGGGCAACGAGTTATGCATACTCACAAATAATTTCTGTCCTTGTTACAGTTGCAGTTATCAACACTGTACTGCTAACAGAATTTCTTCCAAAATGACTGTAGCATATTCCTCAGGAAATTCATACTGACAATTGTTTTGGAATGAAGAAATGAAGCACAAGTACTCTATCAGTATCTAAAAAATGAAGCCAACATTCTAAATAATCTTGTTCAATTAACATATGGTATTTATTAGCTTTATCTCCAAAAGATAAAGGCTATCTTCTTATGAAAAACCTTTTTCCCATCTCTTCTAGAATCAGGAAGTTCAGACAAATTTACTTGATTTTCTGTGCTGTTCCAACTAGCCCAAGAGTTACTATCTGTGACTTTGGTACTGCTTATGTTTATCTACCATTGCTCCATTACTTCAAAAAATGCAAAACAAGACTTGAACATTTTGTAATTCAAAATAAAGACAAGAACAGCCAGATTTTCTTTTTAGCTGTCAACAGAAAAATTCCAGCAATCAGTTTGAATATCTCATATAATTAAATGTTGAGGCCGGGCACAGTGGCTCACGCCTGTAATCTCAGCACTTTGGGAGGCTGAGGCAAGAGGATCGTTTGAGCCCAGGAGTTCAAGACCAGCCTGGGCAACATAGGGAGACCCCATCTCTACAAATAACTTAAAAATAAAATAAAATAATAAATAAATACACATTGAAATCATTTTTAAAGGTAATACATATGACCCTAAAATGATCTACCCTGTGGTAAAGAGACAAT
Source organism: Homo sapiens (assembly GCF_000001405.40). NCBI lineage: Eukaryota > Metazoa > Chordata > Mammalia > Primates > Hominidae > Homo > Homo sapiens. Next base: position 28,804,679 of record NC_000021.9, read on the forward strand.
GGCACTTGGTAGGCTGATGGATCATAAACCAAAATCCTATCCAAAAGCTTCATCACTCAGAACACTTGATAATCTAACATTAGACGGGCCACATGGCATGTGCACATTTCTTTCATTCCTGCACACACAATATCAAAAGGGCTGGGAAGAAAAGCAGCATTCATTGAGTGACAATTACACTACATACCCTATTCTAGACACTTTGCATACTGTTTGTAATTCATGTTTCTCAAAGTACCCTGAGAGTTTCTTAAATCTACAGAAACCTGGGTTGTCATTAAATATACAGCTTACCAGGCCCCACCCCTGAAAATTCTGATTCAGTTGGGCTAGATTGGGGCCCAGGAATCTGTGTTTTAACAAAATGTACTCTTCATTGCAATGTTGTAAAATTATTTTCCTTGTTTCTGTCTTGCAGAAGCAAGGCAACTGTGAGAATTAAACAATTTATCAGGGCACCCAGATGACACAGGGAGAGCTGGATATTCAATCTCAAGTAGGTTGGCTATAAAGCCGACTTTATCACTGGGCCATGCCAAATCCCAGTAAAACTCCATTTGCACTCTGACTGAAATAGTGGCTTCAGTTCCCCATCTATAGCAGTTCTAGCTTCTCACTGCCTGTTTTCCCTCCCACCACCCGCCCATAAAATCCAGCACTGTATAGGCTCTTGAATTATATTATTGGTTATTATATGATAAAATTTTGCATTGCAACTTGAGCAGGAAGACAAACTAATGAGAATCACATCCTATTTTCTAATTGTCTCAAACCATACCTCTATAAAGTAAAAAGAGTTGATTGAAACCAAAATGTTTGGGAATTACAACAAGCTATTCCTAATCGACACAACTTGTCAGAAATTTGGAGGCTGCCGTCAGCTCAGTAGCTTCTCAAACAAAGCAGTATCAGAGTATGTTTTGAGTCCCTGATTCTTTCAACTGGGTAGATGCTTCTGTACGACTTTACATTGTTTTATTTAAAAGCTGTGCTTTTTTTTTCTCCGAAACTAGTGTATTTATAGGTGCTACATGCTTTAAAAGTCTCTGACTTTGAATCCCTGATTCTTTCGGCTGGGTAGATGCTTCTGTACGACTTTACATTGTTTTATTTAAAAGTTCTGCTTTCTTTTCTCTGAAACTAATGTATTTATAGGTGCTACATGTTTTAAAAGTCTACAACTGTGAAAAATGATGTAACACTGAAACAAGCAAAACCTTGAAGGAAAGTTGAAATTGAGATTGTCCAAAAACTCAGCCAGTACATAGTGTTTCCGCCTACTCTGATTTTTCAGCAGTTTTGTGATTTCTTTTCCCTTGTTTGTTTTTGAGTACACTCATCAGTATGTCCCATGGCATAGTGTCTGTTTTCCAAAAATCCAGAAACATGAGTCAGCTGTTCAACTATTATATACAAATTTGGTAAAGTACCGTATTCATGGAATCTGAGTGTGTTTTCCAGGAATTACGTCTCCAGTGCCCCCACATGACTGCCTGATCAGCCTGTGATGCCTCTGAAGTGTTCTGCACCTACTTTCTAAGGGAAATGTTGTCACGACAGATAATTATGGAATTGTGGGCTTTTAGTTATTCAGAATAAATCTACAAGGCAATAGTTTAATGAATTTAATATGCTGGTTCATGTAAAATGTCATATGCCATATGTAACATGACTGTAACTTAAGGATATTCTTTTAACTCAGTAAACTTGGTAGAAAATCCTTGTATGAACCTGATACGGATTAAACTGTGCTCTCTCAAAAAAAATATGTTGAAATCCTAACCTCCAGTAACTCAGAATGCCACCTTATTTAGAAATAGGGTAATTATAGATGAAATTAGTTAAGATGAGGTCATGAATGAATTCTAATCCAATATGACTGGTGGACTTGTAAAAAGGAGGTATTGGGCAGTCCCACAGAGGCTGGACTGCCTGGCTGGTGCATCTTTCCTGGTCTGCAAAAGACAAGAAAATAAAATTAAAAAGGGAAAATGGGACAGACATAGACATGCAGAGAGAAAAGGTTATGTGAAGAGACATCCAGGGAGAAGATGGACGAATGAAAATGGAAGAAGAGATTCAAATTATGCTGCCACGCACCAAAGAATGCCTGGGTTCACCAAAAGCTAGGAAAGGACAAGGAAGGATGCTACCCAGATGCTTCAGAGTGACCATGGCCTTACTAACCCCTTGATTTCAGACCTCTAGCCTCCATAACTGTGAGACTAAATTTCTGCTGTTCTTAAGCAACTCAGTTTGTGGCACTTCTTTATGGCAGCTCTAGGAAACAAATATAGAGCCCTTGAAGGTACTTTCAGCTGGAAAATGTCAGAGGCAGGCACAACTAAACTGAGGTTCCTGCTTAAGTGAATTTATTCAGCACAGGACTTTAAATGCCATTTATATCATATGACTTCCAAAGGTATTATCTACCATCATTACCACTTCCCGAGCTCCAGAATCAAATCTGCAACCACCCGATGGGTAGCTTCTCTTGCCTAATAGCATCTGAAAATTAGCACAACCAAAGCAGGACTTTGAATTCATTGCCTGCCCATACTTCCCCTAGTCTACTGCATCTAAGTAAAGACATCACCATCTACTAAGTTATTTAAAGAAAAACCCGGGAGTCATCCTAATTCCTTCCTGCCTACCCACCATATCCAATCCATCTGTGTGTCCTCTAAATTCTACGTCCAGGTCAGTTTCCTGGGAGACACATTCTGAGGTGGAGATTAGCATGCAGAATTGTTATCAGGGATTGCCCTCAGAATCAACATCCACAGACAGAGGGAGAAGCTGAACTGCAATGCAGTCACCATAGGGACCTCAGTTCATCCTACAAAGAACTCTGGAGCTGTGAGGGCCCCTATCTTGAGTCATCTTTACCCCCACTCCACTGACCAGTTAGTGAGTGCAGGTCATCCCTGATAAGGGAATGTGGCCTTGGCTGACATGGTTCTTTTTGGCAGAGAGCAATTCCTGGAGAGAGTCCTTAGTGGAGAGCCATCAGCCTCCAAATTTTTCAACAGCTAAGGTAATAAGTACCTTGGTTCAGAAAAAAGATCTGGATGGCATACCACAGCATCTGCTATACTAGAAGAGAAAGAAGAAATATCCTGACCAGCTAAATCCTGTAAAACTAAATACCTGTGAAAATTCAGGAAAACTAATGATTAATTTTTTTCCCATCCATCCCCTCCATTTTCCCACTCAGCCAGTCTTTCTGTGTTCTTAATTACAGGAGGTGATGTGAAAGAGTCTTCTAGAATGAATTTCCATCAGCTGGGTCTTTCTGGGATGCTAAGAAAAGTTTAGGTTTATAAAGAATGTTTGAGAGAAACAGAGAGCTAGAGCAAGTGCCTCCCCCAAAACCTTGAAACAAGATTGCCCCCAAGATGAAGAGAGAGGAGACACAAGGAAGATGATGACAGCAGAGAAGTCATGGGCCCCAACAAAAGGGCAGAATCTAAATTGGGCTGCATGGACAGGGACAAGGGCAAACATCTCAACAAAAACTCCCATGAGGAGTACTGTTCCAGTGATGTTTGATTTTCAAACTCATTTCAGGACCACATTACCTTGCTTGCTCCAACTTTATAGTAAGTCTTGAAGTCAGGTAATGTAATGTAATTCATCCAACTTTCTTCTTCTTTTCCAATATTTTTGAAATGTTCTAGATCCCTTGCATTTCCATATATTTTTTAATTCCTTTGTCAAATTCTACCCTTCCAAAAAAAAAAAAAAGCCTACTGGAAACATGACGAGGATTGCATTGAATCAGTAGATCAATTTGATGAGAAATAACATCTCAACAATATTGAATGTTTCAATCCATGAACATGGTATATCTCCTTTTATTTGGGTCTTGTTTAATTTCCCTTGGCATTGCTTTGTGGTTTTCAGTGTAGAGAGCTTATATATTTATTTATAAATACATTATATCTTTATGTTATTATAAATGCAGTTGTTTTTATTTCATTTTTCAATTATGTACTGCTAGTATATGAAATAAAATTGATCTTTTACATTAACCTTGTATACCGTGATTTTGCTAAATTCACTTATGAGTTCTAGTGGTTGTAGAACTCTTAGAACTATTTATGTAAACAACCATGTCATTTGCTAATAAAGACAATTTTACTTTTTCCTGTCTGCTCTTTATATTAGTATTTAACAAAATGCATTTCAACTTATTCAAATTTAATAGTTTTAATTAAGAGAATGGTATTATTAATGTTCATCAAGATAACTCATTTTTCAAAGCACTCAAGAACAACAGATTAAAACTGTCATTTCAGTCATCAAATTTTACTTTTGCTAGTTTGTGCAAAAAGAGTGGCAATAAAGCAAAATAAAATTTTGTCTTTAATGAATTGTGCTAGAGAAATTCACAATTGCTCTATAGAGGTGACATATTCATCATAATTTCAAATAATGAGAGGGATTGCTGATTAGTAGTATAAACTGAAGAAAACTTTTGGAGATCAAGATATCTAAGCTAGCCTTTGAAGAAAGTTTAGACAGTCAAATTAGTGGTAGGAAAGATAGAGGCATAAAGTAAGCAAAGGTAGAGGGAGAAATTAACAAAACAAGTTCCAAATATAGAGGCAGAGAACAAATCATATTGTTATGTATCAGTAACATAATAACAGAAGGTCTCAAATGATCGGCTACTGAGTTTGGATTTTATGGTCTACTTATGTAAAGGTTTTTAAGTAGTGAAGAATTACAAGAGGAAATCTTCCAACTAGACCATAGCCAAAGAAAGGTTGAGCTCTGAGAGGAGATAATATGTATAAATACTTGTACAGCTAACAGTTCATGTAAGAGCTGAACAGTTTTCCCATATCAGTGTTTTTGCAAAGCCAAATAAATAATTAATGTTCTTGAGGACAGGCTACTAACTTCATTTAAAATGCAACAGCTGGAAGTTCCCATGTCTAATCCTATAAGAATGGCTTAATATAAGGCTGATACATAGTTAACATTCAGAAATGAGGAAGCAATTTCTGCTATGTGGATGAAATGTTCCAAGATAAAAAAAATCTTGAATTCTAATGCTTTTTAAAATGCTTTGATATATAGTGCTAAAAACTCACAATAAATATATTAATTACAGAGTAGAATTCATAGACAGTTGTATCTATCTTGATGCCATCCAAAGGGAGTATCACCTTTAAAATACACAAGGAAATGCTTCAAGGAATGAGTAGCAGTTGATCCAAACCTTGTAAGGTTATCCATTTCTGGGCACAAATTTCCTTGTATTCTCTCACTGCCTTACTCTGCTATATAATGTCATGGTCTACAAGGCTATTGAAATAGTATAAAACAAAACCATACTAGTCTGAATGCCTGGAGCCTCCATGGCCATGGAGTATCCGTAGATTCCCTCAGCCCAGTGCTAATACACTGCTCTACCAGAAATGTGCTTCTCTCCATTAAGCAGTATCCATGTCTTCAGCTCTTGGGGAAACTATCTCTGGTACAGTGCTAGATTAGGTCCCCCCAATAGGACACAAATTTTTCCCACCCATTCAAGAAGCAGTCATTTCCATTTGGTCACTCAGCTTTCCATCAGGAAAACTGAAGCCACTCTAGGTATTTCAACCAGTAATAATTTAATAGACGGACTCAGGGACTTACAAAACTGTTAAAAAGACTGAGAGAGCAACAGTCATGGAAGCTTTCATTTACAGTCAATAAATCAAAAAGGGCATGAATTTAAAGAAATATCCGCTAGTACCAGAGGGGCTGACTCTCAGGAGCTCACCCAGCAACCATTTGCAAACCTCACTTCTGTCACCTGCCTGCTGGTGCAACTAAAGATCAGAGGCCCTCCTTTTCTGTTTTTCCACATTCACATATGTGCCTCACATTGGGATAATCTAAACTGGATCTTGCTGATGAGGTAAACTGGGAATGTAATTTTTAGCATTCCAGCCCTACAATGTAGGGTGGGACTTAGACGGGCAAGGATATTGCTGAAAACTAATAGACAATATCGAGCACATCTTTCTTTACCTCATAACCCATAGCCAAAACCACTCCCCAAAAATACTCATTCTTCCACAGTATTCTCACTGTGGTGATTTCCCTTCAGAGGCGCAGTTCAGTCTTCTTTCTTTTGCATTCTGTGTTCTGCCAGTCCTTCTTATAAGCATGTCTGCTCCCCAATGGAAACCAGCATCCTCTACATCTGATCTTCCAAAGGGCTACTTTTCCAGAGTTTGAATAACAAGTGTATGCATTATTGCAGGTTCAAAGATGGAGAAGGAATCATGTGGCGAGACTTTCACTAAGCCAAAGATTAAGTCCCTAACATGAAAAGGCTAAGTTGTGCAATACACACTGAACAGTGTTTCAGTGAACCAGCCTATGCACAGAAAACCAACTATGTACAGAAAATCCAGACATAGGCCAGGCACAATGGCTCATGCCTGTAATCCCAGCACTTTAGGAGGCCAAGGCAGGAGGATTTCTTGAGACCAGGAATTCAAGATTAGCCAACAAATTGAGATCTCATCTCTAAAGAGAGAAAGAGGGAAAGAGATAAACAGAGAAAGAGGAAAGAAAGAAAGAAAGAAAGAGAAAGAAAGAAAAGAAAAGAAGAAAGGGAAGGGAAGGGGAGGGGAGGGGAGGAAGGAAGGAAGGAGAAAGAAAGGAAGGAAGGAAGGGAGGGAGGAAGGAAGGAAAGGAAGGAAGGAAGGAGAAACAGAGAAGGAAGGAAGGAAGGAAGGAAGGAGGGAGAGAGGGACGGACGCAGGGAGGGAGGGAGGGAGAGGGAGGGAAAGAAAGAAAAGAAAGAAAGCCAAGAAGGCTGATATATATTTAACATTCTTATTATGAATAATAATCTTAACATTCATATTTAACATACTTTGGCATATTCCAACCCAAAGAGAATCCACAGAGCAGATAGATTTGGGAGTAGCTTATCCTCACTATTCCCACTCATCCTCCCCTACCCTTTGAACGTACCAGCTTTACAATAATTCTGTATGTGTCTGAATATTCATGTGTCTGACTCTCTCACTAGGTTGTAGGTACTTTGCTAAGCTTTGTATCTTTGCTACATAATATGATGCCAATTATATAGCAGGATTTCCATGAATAAATGGAACGGTAAGATGGAGCTTGAAAAGTTTTCCACCACATCTCCAACTGGTTGCTTAATGTTCCTGTGAATATATTGCTTAGCCATTCAGACACCACATATCTAAAATAAAATTCATCCGTTCTTTAAAACTTTCTTCCCTTAAGGGGTTAGTAGTGGTTTTTAACAATGTGGTTCATCAGAAAGGTGGAAAAATCCTAAGGTCCAGATGTGTTATGGATCCACGTGACTATTGAAAACATTTAGGAAGAGATGTGGAGATAAAAACAGTAGAAGTAAATATTTTTAGGAAGATAGAAACGAAAATTGCTGGGCATTAGCTAGCAAGTATTTGTGGTCTAGCCAGAAGTATTAATGGCATTTTTAAAGTATTTGAATATCTGATGCTATTGAATGATAGTATAATGGCATTCCCAGAGTTATTTAATATTGATATAAAATTCCAGCTTTTGCCCATTTAGTATGATATTGGCTGTGGGTTGGTCATAAATTGCTCTTATTATTTTGAGATACATTCCATCAATACCTAGTTTATTGAAAGTTTTTAGCATGAAGGGGTATTGAATTTTATTGAAGGCCTTTCCTGCATCTATTGAGATAATCATGTGGTTTTTGTCATTGGTTCTGTTTATGTGATGGATTACATTTATTTGGTATGTTGAACCAGCCTTGCATCCCAGGGATGAAGCCAACTTGATCGTGGTGGATAACCTTTTTGATGTGCTGCTAGATTCGGTTTGCCAGTATTTTATTGAGGATTTTCACATTGATGTTCATCAGGGATATTGGCCTGAAAATTTTGTTTTGGTTGTGTCTCTGCCAGGTTTTGGTATCAGGATTATGCTGGACTCATAAAATGAGTTAGGGAGGAGTCCCTCTTTTTCTATTGTTTGAAATAGTTTCAGAAGGAATGGTACCAGCTCCTCTTTGTACCTCTGGTAGAATTCAGCTGTGACTGTCTGGTCCTGAGCTTTTTTTAGTTGGTAGGCTATTAATTACTGCCTCAGTTTCATAACTTGTTATTGGTCTATTTAGGGATTAGATTTCTTCCTGGTTTAGTCTTGGGAGGGAGTATGTGTCCAGGAATTTATCCATTTCTTCTAGATTTTCTAGTTTATTTGCACAGAGGTGTTTATAGTACTCTCTGATGGTAGTTTGTATTTCTGGGGGATCAGTGGTGATATCCCCTTTATCATTTTTTATTGTGTCTGTTTGATTCTTCTCTCTTTTTGAAAACCCGCACAAGACAAGGATGCCCTCTCTCACCACTCCTATTCAACACAGTATTGGAAGTTCCAGCCAGGGCAATCAGGCAAGAGAAAGAAATAAAATGTATTCAAATAGGAACAGAGGAGGTCAAATTGTCTCTCTTTGCAGATGACATGATTGTATATTTAGAAAACCCTATCGTCTCAGCCCCAAATCTCCTTAAGCTGATAAGCAATTTCAGCAAAGTCTCAGGATACAAAATCAATGTGCAAAAATCACAAGCATTCCTATACACCAATAATAGTCAAACAGAGAGTAAAATCATGAGTGAATTCCCATTCACAATTGCTACAAAGAGAATAAAATACCTAGGAATACAACTTACAAGGGATGTGAACCAATGCTCAAGGAAGTAAGAGAGGACACAAACAAATGGAAAAACATTCCATGTTCACGGATAGGAAGAATCAATATCGTGAAAATGGCCATACTGCCTGAAGTAATTTATAGATTCAATGCTATCCCCATCAAACTACCACTGACTTTCTTCACAGAATAAGAAAAAAACTACTTAACATTTCATATGGAACCAAAAAAGAGCCCATATAGCCAAGATAATCGTAAGCAAAAGAACAAAGCTGGAGGCATCACATTACCTGACTTCAAACTATACTACAAGGCTACATTAACCAAAACAGCAGGTACTGGTACCAAAACAGATCTACAGACCAATGGAACAGAACAGAGGCCTCAGAAATAACGCCACACATCTACAATTATCTGATCTTTGACAAACCTGACAAAAACAAGCAATAGGAAAAGGATTCCCTATTTAACAAAGGGTGTTCAGAAAACTGGCTAGCCATATACAGAAAACTGAAACTGGACCCCTTCCTTACACCTTAAACAAAAATTAACACAAGATGGATTAAAGACTTAAACATGGGCTGGGTGTGGTGGCTCACACTTGTCTTAATCACAGCACTTTGGGCGGCTGAGGTGAGCGGATCACGAGGTCAGGAGATTGAGACCATCCTGGCCAACATGGTGAAACCCCATCTCTAATAAAAATACAAAAAATTAGCTGGGCATGGTGGTGCACGCCTGTAGTCCCAGCTACTTGAGAGGCTGAGGCAGGAGAATATCTTGAACCTGGGAGGCAGAGGTTGCAGTGAGCCGAGATCATGCCACTGCACTCTAGCCTGGGCGACAGAGCGAGACTCCATCTCAAAAAAAACACTTGAATGTAAGACCTAAAACCATAAAAACCCTAGAAGAAAACCTAGGCAATACCATTCAGGACATAGGCATGAGCAAGGGACTTCATGTCTAAAACACCAAAAGCAATGGCAACAAAAGACAAAATTGACAAACGGGATCTAATTAAACTAAAGAGCTTCTGCACAGCAAAAGAAACTACCATCAGAGTGAACAGGCAACCTACAGAATGGGAGAAAATTTTTGCAACCTACTCATCTGACAAAGGGCTAATATCCAGAATCTACAATGAACTCAAACAAATTTACAAGAAAAAAAAAAAACCCCATCAAAAAGTGGGCGAAGGATATGAACAGACACTTCTCAAAAGAAGACATTTATGCAGCCAAAAAACACATGAAAAAATGCTCATCATCACTGGCCATCAGAGAAATGCAAATCAAAACCACAACGAGATACCATCTCACACCAGTTAGAATGGCTATCATTAAAAAATCAGGAAACAACAGGTGCTGGAGAGGATGTGGAGAAATAGGAACACTTTTACACTGTTGGTGGGACTGTAAACTAGTTCAACCATGTGGAAGTCGGTGTGGCGATTCCTCAGGGATCTAGAACTAGAAATTCCATTTGACCCAGCAATCCCATTACTGGGTATATACCCAAAAGATTATAAATCATGCTGCTATAAAAACACATGCACACGTATGTTTACAGCGGCACTATTCACAATAGCAAAGACTTGGAACCAACCCAAATGTCCAACAATGATAGACTGGATTAAGAAAATGTGGCACATATACACCATGGAATACTATGCAGTCATAAAAAATGATGAGTTCATGTCCTTTGTAGGGACATGGATGAAGCTGGAAACCATCATTCTCAGCAAACTATCGCAAGGACAAAAAACCACACACCGCATGTTCTCACTCCTAGGTGGGAACTGAACAATGAGAACACATGGACACAGGAAGGGGAACATCATACACTGGGGACTGTTGTGGGGTGGGGGGAGGGGGAAGGGATAGCATTAGGGGAGATACCTAATGCTAAATGACGAGTTAATGGGTGCAGCACACTAACATGGCACATGTATGCAACAAACCTGCACGTTGTGCACATGTACCCTAAAACTTGAAGCATAATAATAATTAAAAAAAAAAGAAAAAAAGATAGGGAAGGGTCTGAAGGCAGCCTTGAAGATGCTAAGCTGGTTAGTCTCTCCCACATCCTACTAAACAGCTGCCAGGAAAAAATGGCAATTGGAGTAAAGCACCAATATCAGCTCCATGGCCCCCAAAACACAGTGGTGTCCAGGTAAAAACTGACCCAGGGAGGAACAGGGTGCCACCTTACATAGCACCTTTCACCAACAGGACATTCCATGCCTCCAACACATTCACTGAAGGACAGCTACAGTTATCACAATCAGCATCTTCAAGCAGGTGACAAAGACAAAGATGAGCAAAACAAAAATGAAAATTACCAAATATTTGAGTAAAAGCAACAGCATCAAAAAATGGCACCAAGTCCAACCAACTAAATAACTAACATCTGAGAAAACAGAATTCATAGAAGAATTGAGGGAGGAAGGTCTTTACAGTAAACCATACATATAGTTGTTATGGACTGCATTATTATGGCCCCCTGAATTTATATATTGAAGCTGTAACCCCTAGTACCTCAAAAATGTGATTGTATTTTGAAATGGGGCCTTTAAAGAGGTTAAGTAAGGTAAAATGAGGCTGTTAGTGTGGGCTGTAACACAATCTGAATGAAGATTAGGGCACACAAAGAGACACCAGACAAGTGCACACCCAGAGGGAAGATCAAGTGAAGAGGCAGCAAGAGATGGCATCTGAAGACAAGAAGAGAGGCCTCAGAGGAAATTAACTGTGCTGGCACCTTGATCTTGGGCTTCCAGCCTTCTGAACTGTGAGAAAATAAATTTCTGTTATTTCAGCCACCCAGCCTGTGATACTTTGTTCCTAGCAAACTAATACAATAGTGATATTCTCAGAAAGAAGTCATGAGAATATTAACTACCAGGAAAAACAAACTAAATAGTTTGGAAATTTAGAATGTCAGTGTTAAAATTAATTTGTGTCAAGATCTATATCCCAGGGAAATAAAAAATAATAATTTTTTAAAAGTTATCCAGCTGGGCACAGTGGCTCATGCCTGTAATCCCAGAACTTTGAAAGGCTGAAGTTGGAAGATCATTTGAAGCCAGAAATTCAAGAGCAGCCTGGGCCACAAAGCAAGACACTGTCTCTACAAAAAATAAAAATGAAAATGAAAAATTACCCAGGCATGGTGGCATACGCTTGTAGTCCCAGCTGCTTGGGAGGCTGAGACAGTAGGATCGCTTGAGCCCAGGAGTTGGAGCCCGCACTGAAATATAAGCACACCACTGCACTACAGCCTAAGAGTCAGAGTGAGCCCTGTCTCTTAAAAAAATTAAAATTTACCTAAGAGAAGAGATACAGCTGAAGAATGAATTAGTGAGCTGGGAGATCAAGCTAAGCAATTCTCCTAAAATGCTGCGCAAAGAAAAGTGAAGAAAGCACGAAGGAAGAGCTAGAAGGCATGAACGGTGCATCCAGGAGCTTCAGCAGCTGCCTGGTAAGTGCTCCAGACTGAAAGCAGAGAAAATAGAAGACATGAGATGATAACTTAGAAGTCACTGAAGAAATTTCCTCAGAGCTGAAGAAACACATGAATCTTTTCATTCAAATGGACCATTATATGTCATGCAGAGTGAATAAAAGAAGCACAGTAAAACACATCCACGTGAAACTTCAAAATCCAGTGAAAAAGAAAATGCTAAACACTTCCAGTTGGGCAGGGGGTGGGGTGGCAATTATAAACTGATGAATGAAAATTAGATTACTGTCTGTAATCACAACAGCAACACTGGGTGCTAAGAAATGTTGGAATATTATATTCAAAATTCTCAAGAAAAATTCACATTGAACCTAGAATCCCATTTCCAGCCCAATTTCAAACACAAAATAAAGACATTTTCAGATATGCAAGGACTCAGAAAGCTTATTTGTTTACCCTTTCTGAAATAGTTTCTCAAGGATGTATTCCAAAAAAATTAAAGATAATGTATAATGAAGAGGAAGATATAGAATACAATAAATTGTAGAAAACAAAGAAAAAAGTAGCTATTTCAAAAGTTATTGATGTATTATTTTTATTTAATTACCTTTTATAAACAAAATTACAAGTGATCTCTCCATGATAGGTGTAGGGTTGGGCAAAGAGGACAAAAATGGGAACACTCTTCTCTTATTTGGGGATCCTGTTTACTAACTCTAGATTTCAACTGAAAAACATAAGCTTAAGTATTCATTTTTGAGAAATATATACACTTTGAAAGTCACTAAGAAAGGAAGATGAAGGATTTCCTTGAGAGTAGTAATTATACCATGTAACTGCTAATAAATGTCTGATGGAGTGAAGAAAATTTGTCTATAAAAGTAGCAGGGAACACTGACCCTTCTCAATTGTGCCTTCTATCCCTTGGCCATTAGTGTTGGGAGACAGTGCAGTAATCAAAAACACAGATGGGGCTCAGGTCCCAGCTTCCCATTCACTAGCTGTATGTCCTTACTCATGACAGTTACTATCTCGGAGCTCTGGTGTGTCCATTGTTAAAATGGAATTAATAAAATCTTGTAAAATTGCCATGTAGATAAATAAGTCAACCCTCCCTTGGTGACCAACCATCTGCACATACAGATAGTGTGATGGTTAATACTGAGTGTCAACTTAACAGGATTGAAGCATGCAAAGTATTGTTCCTAGGTGTGTCTGTGAGGGTGTTGCCAAAGGAGATTAACATTTGAGTCAGTAGACTTGGGAAAGGGAGATCCACCCTCAATCTGGGTGAGCACAATCTAATCAGCAGCCATGTGACCAGAATAAAAAGCAGGCAGAAGAACGTGAAAGGACTAGACTGGCTGAGTCTTCTGGTCTCCATCTTTCTCCCGTGCTGGATGCTTCTTACCCTCAAACATGGAACTCCAAGTTTTTCCGCTTTGGGACTCTTGGACCTTTGACCACAGACTGAAGGCTGCACTGTTGGCTTCCCTACTTTTGAGGTTTTGGGACTTGGACTAGCTTCCTTGCTCCTCAGCTTGCAGATGGCCTATTGTGGGACCTCACCTTATGATTGTGTAAGTTAACACTCATTAATAAACTCATATATATATGTATATATGTATAACCTATTAGTTCTGTCCCTCTAGAGAACCCTGACTAATACAGACAGGAATATAGAGCAATGTCTAGACAGAGCCTGAGACCCTCCTCACCTCCAAAGCACCTTGTGTTTTTCTCTCCTTCCCCTTCTTTGCCCACCCTCTCCTTAGGAATTTTCAGCAAATCCATATCTTAGAAAGCTGCAGGGAGGAGTTGGCCTGATGGGCTTGCCACACTTGGGCCCCACTGCAGTTTCCCTGGAGCCTCACAGGGACTGCATCACAGTCCGTGGGGCTCAATAATAAGCTCTTTCAGCATCAGCCTAGCTTCACCATTAATTGCTACCACATTGAGGCAAAGAACTGTGGTTTTCATGGCCTCCCCAAATCATGTCGGATCATTCCTACAAAAAAGTGGACCAGAAAGAAAGAAACTAGGATTTATTTCTTAGTGCCAGAAGTAACATAATTACAGAGGAATGTTCTGGCTAATGTAAAAGTTGCTCTTTGGTATGTTGACCTAAGACCTATATTTGCTGTTTTGTTTTCAATGTTCTTCCTCACATGTCCTGTCTTTACCATTTCCAAGCCTAAGAACTGTGGGTTATCTATAATCAGTCATTAATGTTTTCGTTACCCTCAGTTAGTGAATACTCAAAGAAGCTGGAAATTCTCAAAGCTCTGGTAGTTGCTCAAGGAAAAGCCAACAAATAATAGGGTATAGAAAAGCCTCAAGTAAAACTAGATGGGTATTGTTGGATACCCATGACGTAAGGATACATAAAGTCTTTCATTTTGCTGAGTCAAAATGTGCCATCTAAACTACACAGCAACCATGCAGTTTATTAGCTCAAAAAAAAAAAAAAAGGCCCTGGTCATTTAAATCTATGCCATTCATGTGTTTATACATATTTTTATATGCTTTATATAGGAAGTCTTTTAACTTTTTTTTATTTAAGCATAGGTAAAAGTTATATAACCAAAAAATTCGATTAACTCAAATACATGAGAATATTTGGGCAATCTTTTGGCTTACTGATTTTTCTAGTTAGTGGAGGATTTACCAAAGAGTTCTTTCAGCTTTCCACCTTTATTTTTCTTTTCCTTTTTTTTTTTTTTTTTTTCAGACAGAGTCTTAATCTGTCGCCAGGCTGGAGTGTGCAGTGGCGCGATCTCGGCTCACTGCAACCTCTGCCTCCCAGGTTCAAGCGATTCTCCTGCCTCAGCCTCCCAAGTAGCTAGGACTACAGGCGCGGGTGCCACCATGCCTGGCTAATTTTTTGTATTTTTAGTAGAGACGGAATTTCACCATGTTGGCCAGGATGGTCTCGATCTTTTGACCCCATGATCCACCCACCTCGGCCTCCCAAAGTGCTGGGATTACAGGCATGAGCCACTGCGCCTGGCTCCACCTTTATTTTCTAACGATTTCTTTACCAAGTCTTCCCAGGTCCTTTACTTAGTACTTTTATCTCACCTAAGGTACATGACTTTTTAACCAATGAGTTCTTATTGTAAAAATGCCTCAGAAATATCATTCTGGCTGTCAATTTATTAAGTGATATGAATTCATGGGTTAACAATTTATGTCTTTTTCATAGAAAGCTAAATGTACAAGAAAATCTCCAGATTTCATCATGATATACAAATGCTTTAAAGTGAAGGAGTTCAGGGAACTTGACCCCAAAATATGGCTCCCTAGTATAATGAGTATTTTGAACTAAAGGCCTTTAGAGATCAACAGATTTTAGAAGATACTTTTTCCCTATCTACATAAAGACCAGAGAGACCCATAAAGAGAGGAATTGTTTTCCTCCCCTACCTCTTGCCTCTCAATCCTCTGCCTCTCCCAAACACAAGCTGAAGTTCCCTCATCTGCCTAAAGTCTGGACCTACCAAAGAAGAAAACAATGACCTCTGGTCCCTTCCCTGAGTTTTCATTAACTGAACCCATATTGCAAGAAGGAAGACTAAAGTCTGTCAACAGACCTCGACAGACTTTTGTCACAAAACCTTGACTGCTCTGTGGGCCCAAGAGACCACTGTATGTTCTTCAAGCCCACTGATTTCCCCTAAAAATCATTTATTATCCCCCTAAAATTATCCACACTTCCCCATCTCCATTCCCCCTAAGAAATAGAGTATATAAACACCTGTATCCCATTGGAATATTGGACAATCACTCTGAGATTCCCTACATGCACATAATAGTAATAAATCTGTGTGCCTTTTCTTTTATTAATCTAAATTTTTGTGAGTTGATTTTTCAGCAAACCTTCCAAGCTTTCCCTTCACCCATACAAAAAGTGTGTAACTTTTGGGTTACTATATTTCTGGCTCTTATTTTTTGAATGTCTTCCATAGGGGGTTTTCTTTGTCTTATAAAAATGTGGGGAAGCTGAAATGCAGGGAATCTGAAGCAATCATATGTTTTTGTTTTACCTCCTATGTGAAATACACAAGTAAAGTGGTTTCTCGACACGTACATCAAGGGCTGAATTCCAAAGGTATCCCAGTTGTCTGAGCATTCTCCCCTACCTATCAGTGTATTCCTTTCCTCTTCTTACTTTTCCATAAACCAAATGTTTTCATTTCTTATATTTATACTTCTGTGACTCTTAATAAAGATAGTAAAGCATAAACAATAAATGCCTGAAATGCAGTTTTTGTCTGACTTTGGACTTACTCTGTTGTTCAGTTTTTTTTGAAGATTTTTCCTGCCAACCTTCCACTCCACCCACCATCACCCGACCCCGGCCCCCTCCATTTGGTTCACTGACACCTTCCAAAACCTATTCCATTGTCTAGCACTAATTACACTGCACCACAGAGGGAGAGGCTGTGGGCTCCAGAATCGGCAACCTCAATCTGAATCTCCGCTGCCCCACTGCGGGATTCTTAACCTCTCTGAGCCTCTATTCCTTTATCTGTAAAAGTGGAGATAATAGCAAAACTGGGTAATTTGCTGGAAATATTTAAATGAGTTGACCTATGTGAAAGAAACTGACTTTCAATAGATACTTAGTAAATTCTAGTTTCTCTTCCCTAGTTTGAGGAATTTGGAAGGAGGAATAACAATGACTGTGTCTATAAACTCATACCACTTTTCCACCGCACCCCTTTATCTTAACAATCTAAATGAAAGTTCAATGGCAGAGTACCAAAGAAAAGAAGCTAAAATGTTTATCTGAAAAAATCAGTAGACTTCTGCCAAATTTCCAGTCTCACAAAACCCAAGAATACTCTTCCCAAGAATTTCCAGTGCCCCTCCCCCAATCGCTAATAATAAAAACAACAATTCTGACATCTGTTTGCTGCTAGAATATACTGGTGGCTCAATCTTCAAAGAAAAATGTAATATAATCAAATATATTCAAATTAAAGTATAATTTAGAAGGTTTTTTTACACATCAGAAGGTATTTCAAGACCTTGCCCTTTCTCCATTTGTTAGTGGCAACACTTACTAGTTCTGGTTATTTTCACTGTCCACCGCTTTGGATCTGGATACTGGAAGTTTACCTCAGTAATACCTCCTGGAGGACCAAAAAGTGAGATAAACACAAATATCAGTATAATTGAATGAGGCAATATGGACAAACAACTGCAAAGAAGAGAGATACTCTATCATGTAGAATATTACATTCTCTGCTTCCCTTTTATGGACATTTTATTCTGCTACAGAATTCCAATCACTAGTTTAGCCACACTCTGAAAAGTCATTTTCCTTTTTGACTTGTAGTGGAGCCAATCAGTTTAGAAGCACTCAGGGAGGTATCTTATATACCATCTGGGACAAAGAAAATAAAGTATTTTTTCATTTCCTTAGCAGTTACAAATTTACCTAATGATATCATTCCAAATTGAGCAGAATATAAGGTTTGACTATTTTAATCATTTGGCAATTGTGGTCCAAGTCCTATTACAATATTAAGATACCCACAATTTAAATCACACATCATATGAAATAGTAATTTGCTTTAAAAATGCTGAATTTCTTGGCTCATGTTCTAAAAAGATATAGGAGACCAATTGCAACAAAAAAAATTATAGAACATGTGTGGAATAAAATATGTAAGGAATTTCCCTAGTTTATTTCCTTAAATGAGCCACACCATAAAAGTGGCTACAATGCATATATATATATATATATACACATATATATATCCCTGAGCCCTCGTAATTGTTAGATTGCTAGACTAGCTTTGCTATGAAAAAGCTGAGGAACTCCAGCTGGAGCCATTCCTTTCCCCAGTTATTACTGAAGGTTATATTTAATTATCTAGCTGAGCTGCTGTAATTAGCATCAACAAAGCTCTGTGCCATAATGACTTGATATATAAACTTTTGGGAAGCCCATTACAATTCAGATGGACCTTCTGAAATGTAGCATTCCACCTGATGGCTAATCCCAGATATTAACGTCCATTACTCCATTCGATTTCCATTCACCCCTTCTAATGTGTTTGTGTACTGCTTGCTGACAACTGTAGTATGTTTGTAGTACAAACAGTACTTTGCATTTTTGAATTTGGGGTTTAAATCTGTTCAGGCTCTCTCATGTGGCTGGAATGTTGGCATGGCTCAGAAAACAAAAGTCAACTTAAAAAAAAGTTGGTTCCTCCAGGAAGAGAGATGGCTATCAAGCTTGACAAATGCACTGTAATGTGAACAGGGCAGCAGGGTTAATTCTGTTAAGTGATTGCTATAGGCCTTTGCTTGTCTTGGACTTTTGGCCTTTTGCTGCAAACAGGGTGGGCCTTGTTAAACTGCCAAGTTGACAATTTTATATCCAAAGGCTTTTGACAGTTTTATATCCAAGGCTTTGCTTTTCTGTTGTGATTTTTCAACAGGAAAGCTCAAAGTGCTCTGGGGATTTTCATCTCTGAGTCCATGATAACACTTAGAAAACTCAATAGATCGTTGTTTGTTGAATCTGAGCATAAAAATTAGGTTCTAAGAGAAAGAAAAATCATTTTATAAAAACATAGATTTGGATATCACAGTGTGCTCTGCTAATTTCTTTTGGCTGGTGCTTTTTGTTGTTGTTGTTTAAAGTTTACATGGAATCTCTGTTTCCACTGAACCATCTCAGACACTGAAACACAAAGCTGGGTTACAACCTAATCCGCAATGTGGGGTTATCTTCCTACTGTTGGGGCATTTTCCAACTGGGTAAGGATCTGAGCACTATAGAGATGTATACTGAGCTCTTATATTACCTTGTCTGTATCAGACTTAACTGAGACACAGATAAGTTAAAAAGTAGCCCGCAAATCCTAGGACCTAGCACCCTACAATCTAAGAGCTAAAATCATTGTCTCTTGGACATAAATCAGCAAACTTCATTCAGCACATGTTAAGTACCTGCCATATGTTAACCCTCTACTAACCATGTGTTACATACTGTGAAAAAAAAAAGAAGTCACAGTTGAAGGTTTCTAGAAGGTTTCTAAAAGTTACCTGATCTGCCAATCATCTCCATCAGAACCCTCAGGTAAGCTTGTGTATTAAGCAGATTCCTGAATCCCACCCCAGATCTACTTGATTGGAGGAGGGGGCTAAATTTGCATTTTTTTATAAGCTTCTCCCAAATGATGCTTATGAGTAATGTTTGAGAACTATTCTAGACTCAGGATTCTCAAACCTGGCTGCACATTTGAATCACCTAGTGAATTTAAGACCACCAATGACCTAGTACCACAGCAGACCAATTAAATCAGACCCTCTGGGGTAAGGGGGAGCCTGAGCATCAGTCATTGTTGTTGTTGTTGCTGCTGTTGTTGTTGTCGTTGTTAAGTCCACATGTAACTCTAATGGGCATCCAAGGCTGTGAACCATGGTTCTAGACTTTAGGTTCTATCAGAATTTACGACAGGAAGAAATCACTCCTATCTGAAGTGGTCAGATACTACCTTTGATTTCCTCTCATATCTTGCAAAAGACTTCATGTTCTCTTTGAAAAGTGTGTGTGTATGAGTTTGTTATTGTTTTAAAAATTACATATTTATATAGCACCCATGCAAGAAACAGTTTTTACAGATAGCACATAATTTCATTTGTCTTCAATTCATCTACTGTAATGTAATTAGAAGAAAAACGTATTAGTATTCCAATTATAGATAAAGCAAAAGATTAGTACTCCGCCTGAGATCACACAACAAATTCATTCTAAAATTCTGACTTCACTGGAGTTGCTTCCCAGAAATAAAAAAAGAGAGAGAGAGATAGAGAGTCTTTGAACAGTCCTAGTTGAAATGTAGCCTATTCAATACTAAAAATTATTCAAATAAGTAGTCCATCCACACTCCATAATGGACAGTCTTCCTCTTGGCTTTTTTGTTGTTGTTATTATAAAGAAGGGAATATCCTAAAGGGTCAATAATCCTCCTTCTATTTCTCCATTTTTCTGTCTCCATAAGGCAACATCACTGAATGTATTAATGGGCTTGCTCAGTTAGGGTTTTTAATCCCTCCCAGTTTGCCCAGAATGTTCTCAGTTTTAGTACTGAAAGTCCTGTGCCCAGTTAACCCGTCTTGGGCAAACCTGGACAGTCCCTATCAGCAGTGGAAATAAACACTGCTTTGAAGATCTATGCAGGAATGGGAGTTTAAGGTTAGTTAGGAAGATCAGCCAGGCCAGCAATGGGCAGGGAGTGGGACAATCTAAAGATCCATGAAGGTGGGCAGACTTGGCTTCAGGCTTTGAAGTCTAGCTGGGAAGGCACAGTGCATGACCCAGGGAAGGGGCTCTCAAACTTGAGTGTGTATTACAACCCCCTGGAGGGCTTGTTAGAACACAAATTGCTGGGCACCACCTCCAGAGTTCCTGATTCAGTAGGTCTGGAGAGGGGCCTAGAATTTGCATTTCTAACACATTCCCATGTAATGCTGATGCTGTTGGTCCCAGGATCACGCCTTGAGAACCACTGCTCTAGGTGCTAGTCTAGACTTTCAGCTGAGCATAAGTAATAGGTGTGAAGGTGATGTCTTGGCACTAGGGAGCTAGCAGGCCACATTAGGCAGAGATATGAGCTAGGGACCAAAGGCAGGACTCAAAGCACTGAGCAAATGTGAGCTAACATGGCAGGACCAGGCTAAGAGGATCTGGAGTACTAGGCAGATAAACAAAACAGGAGCTCCATCTTAAAGAAGTATGACCAAGATCTTTCTACTGGATGTGGGTGCAAGGTGTGGTGTTGGCCTTAGGAACAAGGCAAAATTCAATGCGTAAGCAATCATTGAGGAGCACAGACTTAATGGTCAGTCACTGGAGTTCCTGAATTAGGAATTTTAAAGATCCCCTGACAACCATAAAAGTTGGGTGACCAACTATTCTAGTTTTCCCAGGAATTTCCCTACTTCAGCACTGAAAGTGCAGGGCCTAGAAACCCCTCAGTCCTAAGACATCTGGTCACCCTAATTGTGCTCTTAGAAGACTACAGCCTAGATCCACCTACATCTCTGGGTCAGTTGGCTCCAGCCATAAGGAAAGAAAGCACACATGAGAAGAGGAGGAGCCAGCTGGAAAACGAGGCAGAGAGCCAGGATGCTCATTGCAACCTATAGCCTTCAAGAGAGGATAAAAGGGCACCCAGAAATATTGTCTATAAATGCTGAAATGCATTTGCTTTAAATGGGCAAAACACGTTAAATGACTCCTCAGGCCTGCAGCTTTTCTAAACTCATGAAAGTGGAAAAGTTCAGCACAAACAGAACCATCCAGACACCCCGTAGATGGAAGTCTCTCTCACTGCCTTTTGACAGTCATCACACACACTTAAGATCTCATTGTAAGTATAGCCTTAAAGAGCCCTGATAAGTACACATCAGTAGGGGAACTAAAACCCATCTGTAAATATTAGCAGAGTCTCCCATGTTCTTTTGGTTTCCTTCACACACAAAAATAAGCTAAGTGGAATGAACACACAGTTCAAAATGACTAAAACACTAAAGGACATTTAAATCTGGGGAAAGAATCTCTCTGTTGGGAATATGGATTTCACCTAAGATCCTTAGTGTCATTCCCAGCATGCCAGAGTTATTTCAAATCTCTTTCATAACCAAATATTAATATTCCACCAGAATGGGGAGCATGAGGGCCACTATTGACAGGAACACAGCCTACTAATCATGAGAGATGTTTAAGATGTTCTTCACTAACGTTATCCACAGACTGTATAAAAATAATAACAGAAAACGTTTAACAGTAACAAGGATCATCACCAGGGAAAGTACCTAAACCATCACAAAATCCGAAAGCAAACACTGAACTAATCCATCCTCCCAGCAACTAACTCCTGCAAAATGCTGCTTATGTAGAAATAATCTTCTCAATCACACTTAAAATATTCACTATGATAATGAACTTTAGCCGCAGTGAATTGAGTGTCCCAATGTGCTGAGTCTTCATGATCAAGGAGAACCTGGCATAACCAGCATCTTCAAAATGCAAGTACCCTATGTCCTTCTGGAATGAGCCATGTCATCCAGTAAGTAGGCTGAAACAGAGGGATCCGACGAGGAGACTCTCCCAGAGCTGAAGTGGGAGTTCAGAGCAGAGTGGAGAAGATTGAAAATCTCCCAGATAACCTGGGAGAAAATGCCAGAAGAAACAGGAATTTGCCCATCCATTCAATCTTTCATTCAACAGATAGTTATGATGTGCCATCTCAATGCCAGACCCCATGCTAGGCAGAAAGGCTACAAAGTCTAATGGAACTGCTTTATAGGTATTTGTAATCAAATAGAACAAGCAGACAAATTAACAAGTAATTGCAGTACCTCTAAGACGTTTTATAATAAAAGGATATATGCAACCTCAGAGAAGCACAGATGAGAGAGAATTTTCCCCAGCCTTGTATTATTCTCAGTGCAACTAACTGTCTTTGATACCACAGTTAAGTCCTTCCTTCTCAGAAGCTTCTTCTTTGAGTCACTTTTGGGAAAAAAATAATTATTGCTTTTCTGAGAGATCAGAGTCTCATCAAATGTTATTGTGATTCTAAGACTGTCAACAGCTACCATTTAGTGATACCTACTATGTGCCAGGCACTACACTGAGTGTTTTGCACACATTACTCCACTCAATCCTCAGCCCTGCGTAACAAGCAGCATGCTCTCTCCACTTTAGAAATCAAGGGGAAATGAATCACAGTGGGATTAACTAGTTTACCCTCAGTCTGTCAATGATGGGGCAAGAAGTGAACACAGACAGTCCACTTCATGTTCAAGATCTTAACCACTATGTTGAAATCACTTATGTAGTGAACTATTAGAATGTCTATATTGATTATTTGTATTCTACTGTTATAATTGCATGCATCTAGTTTTTGCTTTGATGAGTTCTTACAAGAAATTGCATGCTGCTTTTAATACTTCCTTATTTGAGTTGATAATTTGCAACCATTTTATTTGAACCTATCTCTGTGGGACTTAACCACAACAGCTGCAATTTATTGAAAACTTGCTCTGAGCCAGTATATATCATCTCTGTCAATTCCCATAGTTCTCTGAGGGGTATGTATGTAGGTATGTGCATATACTTATATTCTTATATATGTATATGTAATGTAGAGTATCAGGTAACTTACCCCTTGTAGCTTAGGCTACAAGTCCTCCACTAGCATAGGCTTTTCTAAGGTTCCAGAAAGGGTTCTTAGAAACATGTTTGCATGTTCATACATTTTCTTATCTATTTTTGAAAGAGTATTTCGAAACTGATATAAGCGTAAGACCCACAAAGCCTGCAGACTACAGGTGATGGAAACAGGATTTGTGTGCAGATGTGCCCAACTCCAAGGGTTTAAAACCCCGTGACACAGTAAGTAAGGAGGAAGGGGTGGAGCAGTGGGATTTAGATGCACATGTTGGGCTTATCATGAGAGATTTCAAGCTAAGGAAAGAGGGGAGTTGATTTGAGGGGCTTTTCTCCTCTAAAGTGACCTTGAAGCCCTCATTTTAATGCTTCATGTGCCAACAAGAAGTAGAGAATGTAGGTAACTCTAATACGAATGAGGCTCTAAGAACTACTAGGTGAACACTCATAATAGTGGCACCAGTTCCGAACAACACATTTGTAAATAAATTGAAGCAGCCTTCAGTTTTTTCTAAACTAAGAAGCTACTAGACACTAAGCAGGTCAAACAGACCAAAGGCACTTTGGTGACACTTAGCTTAGGTAGCCCTTCGACTGCCAATCCATCATTATCTGAAAGTTCTGCATTGACCAACTGCTGTCAGAAAATGTTCCCTTTCTTCCAGAAATTCCATGCCAGCTCACCTTCCAAAAGTTTCCAGTGGGCTTGTTGATCTTTCACCCAAATAGCCACCTAACACTTTACGAATATCCATCTCTGTGAAGAAACCGACTCAGCTGCAACAACCTGTTTTTTTTAATTCATTAAGCCTTAGAATAGCATCTTTCTTAGTAAAATATAAATGCAATATTTAATAAAACTATATATACAGTGATTATTATAAGCAGGGAGAGGACAGGCTGAAAATGAGTGATTTTAACAAGAGCTTTAACAATTTTTAATAGACCTGCATTCCTTTACATTCCTGGTGTTTCTCAAACTTTAGTGGGTTTAAAGTTCATCTGGGGATTTATAAAAATTGCTGACTTCAAGAGCTCCTCTTAAAATTTCTAATTCTGAAGGCCTGGAGGGATCCTCAACAATCTTCATTTTTAACGATTTTGATGAAGATGGACTGCAGCTGTCTCTTGAGAAATGCTTCTTTAGAACAAGTGAAATTGCTAATTACACAGTAAGCACTTAGTCATCTACCATTACCCAAGTCTTGTTAGTTGTGAGTTGCCCCTTGGTATCTGCTAAGGTTTGAATGTGTCCCTCAGAAAGCATATGTTGGAAACTTAACCTTTAATGCAACAGTGTTTGTTGGGAGGTAGGTTCCAATGAGAGGTAATTAGAACATGAGGGCTCTGCATTTATGAATAGATGAATGTGTGGAAGTAGGTTCCTTATAAAATAAGGTCAGTCACCTTTCCTCTCTCCCATCCTCTTTTTGCCCTCTGACATCCTATGCCTTTCACCATGAGATGACACAGCAAGAAGGTCCCTGATAGATACCAGTGCTTCAATCTTGGACTTCCCAACTAAAGAACTATGAACCAATAAATTTCTGTTCATTACAAATTATCCAGTCTCAGGTATTCTGTTACAGCTGCACAAAACAGACTAAGGCAGTATCCCATTCTCAGCTGCAGCAATTCTTTTTAAGACAAAACTCCATGGATTTTAAGACATCTGAGTAGGGAGAGTTAATTATGTCCTCTCAAAGAGGTATTTTCCCTAGACCAATTAGTTTACAAGAACATACACTCTGTTTCTAAAACTTTGGAAAACAAAGATGTGGTTCATATCAGAGTGAAAATTTCATTGATACCCATTATAATGAACGTGTTTCATTTTGGCAAACTGTCATGAAATGTCCTGTTCATTTGGAGAAAATTCCTGGAAAGATGGTAGGCAGAGGTCCCAACTCCCAATACGGAATCCTAAGAGGGAGAAGATCTGTCTGCTCCCAGTCAGAGAAGGGTGGGCTCTTCCTACACTAAGATCTTAGCCACATTTTGTCTCCCTGAATTCTTGCCAGAGACTAGTCCTCCAGGCTGAGAGTATATCTTATATCTGTATAATTAGATAACAATTATGTTATCTAAAACTGAGAACCCTGGGTATGGTACATCCAGACACTTACGGCAGAAAATATTTGATATGGTTTGGCTCTGTGTCCCCACTCAAATCTCATGTCAAACTGTAATTCCCAATGTTGGGGGAGGGATCTGGTGGGAGGTAATTGGATCATGGGGGCAGATTTCTCCCTTGCTCTTGCGATAGTAAGTTCTCACGAGATCTGATAAATGTTTAAAGGTGTGTGGCACTTCCCCCCCTTCACTCTCTCTCTCTTTCTACCATGGTGAGACGTGCTTGCTTCCCCTTCACCTTCTGCCATGACGGTAAGTTTCCTGAGACCTTCCAGCCATGCTTCCTGTACAGCCTATGGAACTGTGAGTCAATTAAACCTCTTTCTTCATAAATTATCCAGGTCAGGTAGTTCTTTATAGCAGTGTGAGAACAGACTCTACAATATCTTCAAAATGTTGTTTATTTTTTAAAAAAATGTATGGATGGAGGCCAGGCGCGTGGCTCACGCCTGTAATCCCAGCACTTTGGGAGACCAAGGTGGGCAGATCATGAGGTCAAGAGATCAAGACCATTCTGGCTAACATGGTGAAACACTGTCTCTACTAAAAATACAAAAAATTAGCCGGGCATGGTGGCAGGCGCATGCAATCCCAGCTACTTGGGAGGCTGAGGCAGGAGAATCGCTTGAACCCAGGAGGAGGAAGTTGCAGTGAGCCAAGTTCGTGCCACTGCACTCCAGCCTGGGTGACAGAGCAAGACTCCATCTTTAAAAAAAAAAAAAAAAAAGAATGGTATCAGAAAGAATAGAAGGTGAAAGGAAGAAAGGAAATGGAAAATTAGTATTCTATCCATCTGTAGAAAATTTTTTAAAATATGTATTGTCTTTTATTCTGATTTCTTCTGGATTCCACTTTGTAGATTTATGAGCCCAGGACCACTGGTATTCAGTAAAGGAGTAGAAATCAATTTGTAGGGGCAGGAGGGATGCCATGTGTCATAGCTACGCAAACAGAAGAAACTTAGTGATTAAAACTCACAAAAAAGAACAGTATTAGCTGGGAGCTATGGCTCATGCTTATAATCCCAGCACTTTGGGAGGCCGAGGTGGGTGGATCACTTGAGGTCAGCAGTTCAAGACCAGCCTGGCCAAGATGGCGAAACCCCCGTCTCTACTAAAAATACAAAAATTAGCTGGGCGTGGTAGCGGGCGCCTGTAATCCCAGCTACTCAGGAGGCTGAGGCAGGAGAATCACTTGAACCTGGGAGGCAGAGTTGCAGGGAGCCAAGAACATGCCACTGTACTCCAGCCTGGGTGACAGAGCGAGACTCTATCTCAAAAAGAAAGAAAAGAACGAAAGAAAGAAAGAAAGAAAGAAAGAAAGAAAGAAAGAAAGAAAGAAAGAAAGAAAGAAAGAAGGAAAGAAGGAAAGAAGGAAAGAAGGAAAGAAGGAAAGAAGGAAAGAAAGAAAGAAGGAAAGAAGGAAAGAAGGAAAGAAGGAAAGAAGGAAAGAAGGAAAGAAGGAAGGAAAGAAAGAAAGAAAGAAAGAAAGAAAGAAAGAAAGAAAGAAAGAAAGAAGGAAGGAAGGAAGGAAGGAAGGAAGGAAGGAAGGAAGGAAGGAAGGAAGGAAAGAAAGAAAGAAAGAAAGAAAGAAAGAAAGAAAGAAACAGTATCACCTTTCAAACAGTGATGGGTCCCTAATACCTATATGCTGAGTATTGTCACACTCATGTTCCATAGCTGTTTGTATTCTGTGTCATTTTTACTATACGTACACAAGACAGAAAACAAAAAACACTGTTTAATTCAGATTTTGTAAGGTATATAGTATAACTGTTTACTAAAATATCATATTTGTAGGAGGTGAAAGTTAATATACTAGCAAACTGCTAAAGAGAATTAACTATTTTTTTAACAAGGAATGTATATTTATGTAGCACTCTCAGACTTTAAAAGCACCATTACTGTACATAAAGCTTTTGATTTGCAGTTTTTCATCATAAACCCAACAGAGCAGAGCCCAGACACCAGGCATTTTTCCCTGGAGTCACTCTGCCTTATTATCAGGACTGGACTTAAGTATCCTTCCCTGGAAAGGGCAAAAGATCTCACATTGTAGGGCAAATATGCTTGAGGCAGTACAAAGAGGCACAGTCATGTTTCAGGATGTGGTTTTAGCCAAAGGTGATACAATCACAAAGCTGGGTTGAGAGAGGAAATAACAATCAGGAGCAGTCTTGAGTGTGTCTCTGTTACCTGGAGTCTTCTTGTTCTTCTCTCTACCTCTCCAAGAGTCTCCATTACCATTGATGTAAATAATTAGTAATAAGAGCCGGAAGCAAAAATGTTGAAATACTTTAACTCTTTTGAACACAAATTTAATAGCAGTAGTAAACTAACAAATGAATCATTGAATTGAGGGTGGATTCTGCTGCAACAAAGAACTTGTATTATGATATAAATTGAGAAGATTGTTCTGATCTAGCTCCTCCTGTATTCAGAGTTAAAACTCTCTCTAAACATCATGTTCCACCTAAGAACCATTAACTCTCCCATTCTCACAACCTGTGTGACAAATACTCATACTCTAAATATTTGGCTTATCTCACTTATCCATTGCTAGAGGATTTAACATACAAGTGTTGCCCTACATACAGACTACTAAGTTAACCATAACCATTCGTGTATTGATACGTATGTTCAAACAGCAATGATGAACTGAGTGCCTGCTCTGAAGGAACTCAAATTCAGATTCAGCTAATATTTCTGGAGTAACACCCATGCACTAGGTATTGAGCTAAAGACTTTGTCTTATTTAGGTGCCTATCATGTGCTAGGTGTTGAACTAGTTACTTTAACACATTATCTCATTTGGTCTTCATAACAACCTAGTAGGTCGGCATTTTTTATTTTATAGATAGGAGACTAACACTCAGAAAAGGTGAGTGACTTGCCTGAAGTCATAAAATTAGTCAAGACTTAAAACTGGCTTTTTGGTCCTGAGTCTTCTCTCTGGCTCTTTCTAATTGGTAGTATTGTCTGTCTTAGGTCCACGCTTTTACTATCCTCTTCTATGCAAAAGAATATCTGATCAGAAAGAAACAAAGCCACTTATAGTTTGATTAGAAAGAAATAAAACCGCACAGAATTTTAGCCACCTTTGTCTATGGGCTGATAGCTTTGTGCACACAAGGCCAAGCAACCACAGGCTCCAGAGATGTGATGTGGAGATGTGCCAAGTGGCAGGTGACATCACATCTTTACATTCCTAGAAGTACTGTGCCCTAATAATTTTACAGCAGAGACATAAACAGATGGATGTGACAAATCCAGTAATGGCAGTTACATAATCTCAAGATCTTTCTCAATGACTCTAAGAACATGTCCAAGACCAAGAATGACTTACCAGGTACATGCCAGTGCTTTAACTAAACAGAAACTATTTTTCAACTAAACAAACATAAATTACATTATCCCTCCTTTTTGGCTCTACCATTTTGAAATTTCTAACTTTGTGAGGTTTTTAACTTAAAAATGTTTTTCCAAATTTATGGAAAGAGGCCACATATGCCCACGTTTAGGGAAAAGTATGGACTTCAGAGTTACAAGCTCAGGTTTGGACAAGGCCAGGCAAGGTTGGACTGAATCCTGCCTCTATCGTTTTCTCACTACATTTGCAGTGAGTCACTAAATTTTTTTAAGTCTCTGCTTCCTCATCTGTAAAATGGGTATAGCAACGATATCTACCTGTGCAGAAAAGAGTTAACTCAGCAGGGCTGAATTGTTCAAACCTTGCACATTCCCAAGAAAGGCCTGTTTTCATGACTGCTCTTTGACCAGCTTCTGGGAATTAAACTGTTAGAATGTTCCAAGAACTAAGAGTATTTTTCTCACATGGGTTCTTGAGCCATACTATACCAGTTTGTCTGCATACGTGTGCAACGTGGTTTATGCTTGCTTCTGGGAGCCTGGAGCTTCAATGGCACAAGTCATGTGCCTATGTGAATGATCCCCAACAAAAACCCTAGACTCGCTCAATCATGGCAGATGGGAGGTAGGACTAGATTGCAACTCCAGACAGAGCAGTGTGCAAGGTCTTGCATTGTGAATTTTAGCTCCAGATCAACTGCAAGAACAAACCAGCAATCCTGAGAGGACCCACAGACCCTCTGAAGGAAGCAGACAGCTCCTACAGGACCTGGGAGACCCCCCAAAACTGTGAGTGCCCCAACCTTGGAAGCAGAAAATGGAGACCCTCCTTTCCTGAACTCACACTCCCACTGGAGAAGCTGAAGGTCTGTTTGCAGGAGAATTTTCTTACTTTACCTGAAGCTGAGTCAATCTAGAGAGCTGAGTGAAATTCAGGGGCAGAGGAAGTGGCAGAAAGGCTCTGGGAACTCACTGGCTCCCCTAGCAGGCCATTCCTGCCTGTCACCACAGGGATCCAACAGGAGAGGAGCAGGGGATAAAACTACACAAGGAGAAGGAAATCTCTAGCTGAACTATGTAACAATTAGAACGGGGGTTGAAGCCTCCTGGCCAGAACTCAGGGGAGGGCACAAATCCGGCATGCAGACTCCAAAGGCAAGGGAAGACCCAAGCCCCTTTCTTTTGTAGCGTGGAGGTGGGTAGACTGAGGCAGGTTTTCAAACCCATATTGCTCTCCACCTGGAAATGAATGGGGATCTGGTGGTGGGGGCATGGTGGGAGTGAGATGGGCCCTTCAGTTCGCACGGGAGCTGGGTGAGGCCTGTAACTGCTGGCTTTCCCCTACTTCCTAGACAACCTGCATGACTCAGCAGAGGCAGCCATAATCCTCCTAGGTACACAACTCCAGTGGCCTGGGAATCTCACCCCCATCCCCCACAGTAGCTGCAGCAAGACCCACCCAAGGAGAGCCTGAATTCAGACAGGCCTAGCCCAGCTCCCACCTGATGGTCCTTCCCTATCCACCCTGGTCACGGAAGACAAAGGGCATATAATCTTGAGAGTTCTAGGGCCCCACCCACCACCAGTTCCTCCCCATACTACTACAGCTAATGCTGTCTGGAAAATGCCACCTCCTGGCAGAAGGTCAACCAGCACAAAAACAGCATTGAACCACCAAAGCAAAGGACCCTCATGGAGTCCATTGCACCCCACGCCCCCTCCACCAGAACAGGCACTGGTATCCATGGCTGAGAGACACATAGATGGTTCACGTAACAGGACACTGTGCAGAAAACCCCCAGTACCAGCCCAGAACTGCGTAGACTCACTGGGTGGCTAGACCCAGAAGACAGACAAAAATCACTGCAGTTCATCTCACAGGAAGTCACATCCATAGGAAAAGGGGGAGAGTACTACATCAAGGGAACAACCCGTGGGAGAACCTGAACAATAGCCTTCAGTCCTAGACCTTCCCTTTGACAGAGCCTACCCAAATGAGAAGGAACCAGAAAACCAACCCAGGTAATACTACAAAACAAGGCTCTTCAACACCCCCAAAAAACCACATTAGTTCACCAGCAATGGATCCAAACCAAGAAGAAATCCCTGATTTACCTGAAAAAGAATTCAGGAGGTTAGTTATTAAGCTAATAAGGGAGGGACCAGAGAAAGGCAAAGTTCAATGCAAGGAAATCCAAAAAATGATACAGGAAGTAAAGGGAGAAATATTCAAGGAAATAGACGGCTTAAAGAAAAACAATCAAAAATTCAGGAAATTTTGGACCACTTTTAGAAATGCAAAATGCTGTGGAAAATCTCAGCAATAGAATTGAACAAGTAGAAGAAAGAAATTCAGAGCTCAATGACATGGTCGTCAAATTAACCCAGTCCAACAAAGACAAAGAAAAAAAAAATGAGAAAATATGAACAAAGCCTCCAAGAAGTCTGGGATTATGCTAAACAACCAAACGTAATAATCAGTGTTCTTGAGAAAAAAGACAATTCTAAAAGCTTGGGAAACATATTTTGGGGAATAATTGAGGAAAACTTCCTCAGCCTTGCTAGAGACATAGACATGTAAATACAAGAAGCACAAAGAACACCTGGGAAATTCATCGCAAAAAGATCTTCACCTAGGCACATTGTCATCAGCTTATCCAAAGTTAAGACGAAGGAAAGAATCTTAAGAGCTGTGAGACAGAAGCACTAGGTAACCTAGCAAGCAAAACCTATCAGATTAACAGCAGATTTCTCAACAGAAACCCTACAAGCTAGAAGGGATTGGGGCCCTATCTTCAGCCTCCTCAAACAAAACAATTATTAGCCAAGAATTCTGTATCCAGAAAAACTAAGCATCATATATGAAGGAAAGATAGTCTTTTTTAGACAAACAAATGCTAAGAGAATTCGCCATTACCAAGCCACCACTACAAGAACTGCTAAAAGGAGCTCTAAATCTTGAAAAAAAATCCTGGAGGAAACACATCAAAACAGAACCTTTTTAAAGCATAAATCACACAGGACCTATAAAACAAAAATACAAGCTAAAAAGCAAAAACAAAAAACAAAAACAAAGTATACAGGCAACAAAGAGCACAATGAATGCAATGGTACCTCACATTTCAATACTAACATTGAATGTAAATGATGTAAATGCTCCACTTAAAAGATACTGAACCACAGAATGGATAAGAACTCACCAACCAACCATCTGCTGCCTTCAGGGGACTCAGCTAACACATAAGGACTCACATAAACTTAAAGTAAAGCGGTTAAAAAAAAAAAGGCATTTCATGCAAATGGAAACCAAAAGTAAGCAGGTGTAAATATTCTTACATCAGACAAAACAAACTTTAAAGTAACAGCAGTTAAAAGAGACAAAGAGAAACATTATATAATGGTAAAAGGCCTTGTCCAACAGGAAAATATCACAATCCTAAACCCTAAATACCACAATCATAAATCTGAAAATATATGCACCTAACACTGGAGCTCTGAAATTTATAAAACAATTACTAATAGACCTAAGAAATGAGATAGACAGCAACACAATAATAGTGGGGGACGTCAGCATTCCACTGACAGCACTAGACAGCTCATTAAGACAGAAAGTCAACAAAGAAACAATGGATTTAAACTATACTTTGGAACAAATGGACTTAACAGATATATACGGAACAGTTCATCCAACAACTGCAGAATACACATTCTATTCAACAACACATAGAACTTTCTCCAAGACAGACCATATAATAGGTCATAAAATGAGCCTTAATAAATTTAAGAAAATTAAAATTATATCAAGCACTCTCTCAGACAACACTGGAATAAAACTGGAAATCAACTCCAAAAGGAATCTTCAAAGCCAGCAAACACATGGAAATTAAATAGCCTGCTCCTTAATGAGCAATGGGTCAAAAATGATATTAAGATGGAAATTTAAAAATTCTTTGAACTGAATGACAATAATGATACCACTTATCAAAACCTCTGGGATACAGCAAAGGCAGTGCTGAGTGGAAAGTTCACATCCCTAAACACGTACATCAAAAAGACTGAAAGAGCACAAACTGACACTCTAAGGTCACACCTAAAGAAACTAGAGAAACAGAACAAACCAAACTCAAACCCAGCAAAGAAAGGAAATAACCAAGATCAGAGCAGAACTAAAGGAAACTGAAACAAAAAAAATACAAAAGATAAATGAACAAAAAGCTGGCTCTTTGAAAAGATAAATAAAATTGATAGACTATTAGCAAGATTAACCAAGAAAAGAAGAAAGAAAATCCAAATAACCTCACTAAGAAATAAAACAGGAGATATTACAACTGACATCACTGAAATATAAAAGATAGTTCAAGGCCACTATGAACACCTTTACACACATAAACTAGAAAACCCAGAATAGATGCATACATTTCTGGAAAAACAAAACCCTCCTAGCTTAAATTAGGAAGAATTAGATACCCTGAACAAAACAATAACAAGCAGCGAGATTGAAATGGCAATTTTAAAACTGCCAACAAAAAAATAGCCCAGGACCTGACAGATTCACAGCAGAATTCTACCAGACATTTAAAGAAAAATTGGTACCAATCCTTTTGACACTATTTCACAAGATAAAGAAAGAAGGAACCATCCCTAATTTGTTCTATAAAGGCAGCATTACCCTAATGCCAAAACCAGGAAAGGACATAACCAAAAAAGAAAACTACAGGACGGGTGCGGTGGCTCACACCTGTAATCCCAGCACTTTGGGAGGCCAAGGTAGGTGGATCACGAGGTCAGGAGATTGAGACCATCCTGGCTAACAAGGTGAAACCCCGTCTCTACTAAAAATACAAAAAATTAGCCGGGCATGGTGGCAGGCGCCTATAGTCCCAGCTACTCTGGAGGCTGAGGCAGGAGAATGGCATGAACCCAGGAGGTGGAGCTTGCAGTGAGCTGAAATAGCGCCACTGCACTCCAGCCTGGGCGACAGAGTGAGACTCTGTCTCAAAATAAAAAAAAAAAGGAAGAAAGAAAACTACATACAGACCAACATCCTTGATGAACACAGATGCTAAAATCCTTAACAAAATACGAACTAACTGAATCCAACAATATATAAAAAAGATCTAGGGCCAGGCACAGTGGCTCACACCTGAAATCCCAGCACTTTGGGAGGCCGAGGCAGGCAGATCACCTGAAGTCGGTAGTTCGAGACCAGCCTGACCAACATGGAGAAACCGTGTCTCTACTAAAAATACAAAATTAGCTGAGCGTGTTGGCGCATGCCTGTAATCCCAGCTACTCGGGAGGCTGAGGCAGAAGAATCGCTTGAACCTGGGAGGCAGAGGTTGTGGTGAGCCGAAATCATGCCATTGCACTCTAGCCTGGGCAACAAGAGCGAAACTCTGAAACTCCGCCTCAAAAAAAAAAAAAAAAAAAAAAAAAATATATATATATATATATATATATATATACATATATATACACAATCTGCCATGATAAAGTGGGTTTCATACCAGGGATTCAGGGATGGTTTAACATATGTGAGTCAATAAATGTGATACAACAGATAAACAGAATTAAAAACGAAAATCACATGATCATTTCAATAGATGCAGAAAAAGCATTCAACAACATCTAGCATCCCTTTATAGTTAAAACTCTCAACAAAATCAGCATACAAGGGACATACCTTAATGTAATAAAAGCCATCTACAACAAACTCACAGCCAACTTAATACTGAATGGTAAAAGTTGAAAGCATTCCCTCTGAGAACAGGAACAAGGCAAGGATGCCCACTCTCACCACTCCTCTTCAACATAGTACTGGATGTCCTGACCAGAGCCATCAGACAAGAGAAAGAAATAAAGCGCATTCAAATCAGTAAAGAGGAAGTCAAACTGTCACTGATTGCTAACAATATGATTGATTACCTTGAAAACCCTAAGGACTCCTCCAGAAAGCTCCTAGAACTGATAAAAGAATTCAGCAAAGTTTCCAGATACAAGATTAATGTACACAAATCAGTGGCTCTTCCATACACCAAGAGCAACCAAGCAGACAATCAAATCAAGAACACAACCCCTTTTACAATAGCTGCAAAAATAAAATACTTAGGAATATACTAACAAAGGAGTCAAAAGACCTCTACAAGGAAAACTATAAAACACTGCTGAAAGAAATCATAGACAACATCAACAAATGGAAACATATCCCATGCTCATGGATAGGCAGAATCAATATTGTGAAAATGACCATACTGCCAAGAGCAATCTACAAATTCAATGCAATCCCCATCAAAATACCACCACCATTCTTCACAGAATTAGAAAAACAATTCCAAAATTCATACAGAACGAAAAAAGAGCCTGCAGAGCCAAAGCAAGACCAAGCAAAAAGAACAAATCTGGAGGCATCACACTATCTGATTTCAAACTATACTATAAGGCCATAGTTACCAAAACAACATGGTACTGGCACAAAAATAGGCACAAAGACCAATGGAACAGAAGAGAGAACCCAGAAATAAACCCAGATACTTACAGCCAAATGATCTTTGACAAAGTAAACAAAAACATAAAGTGGGGAAACGACATTCTTTCAACAAATGGTGCTGGGATAATTGCCTAGCCACATGTAGGAGAATTAAACTGGATCCTCATCTCTCACCTTATGCAAAATCAACTTAAGTTGGATTAAGTCCTTAAACCTAAGACCTGAAACTATAAAAATTCTAGAAGATAACATTGGAAAAACCCTTCTAGACATTGGCTTAGGCAAGGATTTCATAACCAAGAACCCAAAAGCAAATGCAATAAAAACAAACATAAATAGCTGGGACCTAATTAAACTAAAGAGCTTTTGCATTGCAAACGGAACAGTCAGCAGAGTAAGCAGACAACTCACAAGTGGGAGAAAATCTTCACAATCGATACATCTGACAAAGGACTAATATCCAGAATCTACAATGAACTCAAATCACTAAGAAAAACAATCTTATCAAAAAGTGGGATAAAGACATGAATAGACAATTCTCAAAAGAAGATACACAAATGGCCAACAAACGTGAAAAATGCTCAACATTAATGATCAGGGAAATGCAAATCAAAACCACAACGCAATACTACCTCACTCCTGCAAGAATGGCCATAATCAAAAAATCAAAAACAGTAGATACTAGAATGGATGCAGTGAACAGGGAACATTTCTACACTGTTGGTGGGAATGTAAACTAGTACAGCTGCTATGGAAAACAGTATGGAGATTCCTTAAGGAACTAAAAGTAGAAATACCATTTGATCCAGCAATCCCACTACTGAGTATCTACCCAGAGGAAAAGAAGTCATTATTCAAAAAAGACACTTGCACAAGCATGTTTATAGCAGCACAATTTACAATTGCAAAATCGTGGAACTAACCCAAATGCCCATCAATCAATGGATGGATAAAGACACTGTGATAGATACATATATATATTATATATATAATATATAAATAAATATTATATATTATATATAAATAAATATTATATATAAATAAATATTATATATTATATATTATATATATTATATATTATATAATAAATATTATATATAATATATAATATATAATTTATATAATTATAATTTATATATAATATATAATATATAAATATATATTATAATATATATATTATATAATATATTATATATATTATATATTATATATATTTATATATATAATATATTATATATAATATATATTATATATTATATATAATATATATTATATATTATATATAATATATAATATATATTATATATAAATATATATTATATATATAAATATTATATATTATATAAAATATTATATATAATATATAAAATATTATATATATAATATATATATTATATATATAAAATATATATATTATATATAAAATATTATATATAATATATATGATGGAATACTACATAGCCATAAAAATGAATGAATTAACAGCATCTGCAGTGACCTGGATGAGACTGGAGACTGTTATTCTAAGTGAAGTAACTCAGGAATTGAAAATCAAGCATCGTATGTTCTCACTGATATGTGGGAGCTAAGCTATGAGGACACAAAGGCATAAGAATTATACGATGGACTTTAGGGAGTTGCGGGGAAGAGTGGGAGGGGATGAGGGATAAATAACTACAAATATGGTGCAGTGTATACTGCTCAGGTGCACCAAAATCTCACAAAATCACCACTAAAGAACTTACTCATGTAACCAAATACCACCTGTACCCCAATAATTTATGGAAAAATAAAAAATAAAAACAAAAACCCTTAGACTCCTAGGCTAGGAGAGCCCTGCTGAAAGACAACATTTCACACTTGTCTCAACTAATTGCTGGAGGAATTAGGCACATTCTGTGCAACTCCACTGGGAGAGACTCTTGGAAGCTTGAGGCTGCTTTCCTTTGGATTTAGTCACATGTGCCTATTCCCTTTGCTGATTTTGCTGTATATCTTTTCACTACGATAAACTGTAACTGTAACTATTACAACTTTTGAGTTCTATGAGTCCTTCTAGAAAGTCACTGAACCTGGGGTGGTCTTAGGGATAGATGCCTGACACACTATCCCAAAGGATAATTGTGAAGATTAAACAGCAACATGCATATCAAGCACTTGACATAATGGCTAGCCTAAAGTGTTCCATGGGTGTTATTGGCATCATTATTATATATTACATTATTTATTCATATAAAATTATATCTTATTATATCACATGTATAACTACATAACTCAGTTTTCTATACACTATTAATAAAAGATTGAGATAATTCTTTCTTGTCTTATTTTTCCTTAAACATTTACCTCTCTCACCCTTTGTTGATTTAGCTGTATTTCTACTGAACACATGAACTAATATCCTAACTTCTCAGACTATCAACAGATGCCATGAAATAATTGGATGCTTGTTAGCAACTGGCCTGATAGTATTTGATTGTGCTTTCTACTGTTCCTTCCTGATGACTCGTAGAGGGTAGACCCAGACGATACCTGGAAATTATTTGCTCATGTGGCAGTCACTGTTGATTGCCTACCCAAAGCCATTACTCCTTCTCCCCACCTAACAGAAGCCGAGTTTTGTTCAGCAACAACGTGCCCAGTCACAGAGGATAAATCTTGGCTAGTCTAAGCTAGTGCTAGTAGTCGCATTTCCTTTTGCCAATGATTTATTTCAGGTGATCATGGGACCTCGTTATGAATGATGAGACAAAGGTAGAATATCCCAGTAAGCAACTGGGAAGATTTCCTCCTCTGATTGTATACAGAGAATCAGGTAGATATTAGTTAGGAGGGTCCCTTTGCCTAACTTTGGAGATGGATATGTAAAAACCTGCTGCTAAGTGTGCAGTTGTTATCCCAAGTCTACAATGGGAGATAGCATCAAATTACTGGAGATGGAAGAATGGGAAGATAGACAGTTTGGTCTTGATAAAATTGTTGAACTGTAACTTTGTAACTACTTATATTTAGACTTCCTTTAAATAAGAAAAGTAAATGTTCATTTTGTCTAGTCACTATTGGCTGAGTCTTCTCTTACATGAGACTAATAGTATCCTCATGAACTTGAAACACATGTGGTTTCAACACGCGTTTTGTAAAGACAAATTATGCACAGCCCTGTATTAGTCCATTTTCACACTGCTATAAAGATAGTACCTGAGACTAGGCAATTTGTAAAGGAAAAAGGTTTACTTGACTCACAGTTCTGCATGGCTGAGGAGGCCTGAGGAAACTTACAATCATGGCAAAGGCGAAGGGGAAGAAAGGCAATCATGAGAACTCACTTGCTATCCTAGAACAGCATGGGGGAAACAACCCCCATGATCCAATTACCTCCCACGAGGTCCCTCCCTTGACATGTGGTGATTACAATTTGGATTACAATCCAAAACCATATTAAGTCCTTATCCGGGAATTCTGAAAAGGTAGCACATGTGCAATTCAAACTTAATGATCTTCTTCCAAAAAAGACATACTCAGTAATAACAAACTTCAATCAGAACCCAATTATTTTTGCAAAGAAAGGTAGGAAGATAGAACCAGAAAATTCTTTAGTCTTTTAAAGCATGTCATGGTCTCCTTTCAGCTTAAAGACCTTCTTGATTAAACATGAAATTTTCTGTGCAGATAAGCCAGTTCTGTGGATGTGAAGTCTGAGGAGTATATTTTATGTTTATAATGTGGATATTACTATTCATGGTTGGGAAATGAGAAATGAACAGTATTTTACATGCCATTATCCTTTGCCAATTTCTCTGAAGGGCATCCAGCTTCACATAGTAGTAAAATGTGTAATTCAGGACTGGGAAGCCGTATAATAT
Organism: Homo sapiens; assembly: GCF_000001405.40. Lineage (NCBI taxonomy): Eukaryota > Metazoa > Chordata > Mammalia > Primates > Hominidae > Homo > Homo sapiens. The sequence continues at coordinate 28,843,887 of NC_000021.9, forward strand.
GAAATTAGTGTTTTTAAGAAATTTTAAGGGAATCTGAATTTTAAAATGCTCAAAAATAAAACATATATTTATATGCACTATTAGAGCACATTATAAGTGTGACTGTTTTTAAGTCAAAGTTTTAATAATCTATTGCTTATTTAGGGATTATATAATACCTACTTCCAATATGTGAAGCAATAAGAGAAATGACAAAGGAATTATATATATATACACATTTAAACGTAATACATATACACAAATTTCAAGCATATATATCCTCCATAGTGGTCAATTTGGTAAGCTTTAATTGTTTGAATTTCTCATTAGGAATTTTATTAACAGTCAATACCATCTGATTTTAAATATCCTCAACAGTGGCTGATGGTCATTCTTTCAAAGCAGAGAAGCTATCCATCTGCTTTTTTCTCCACTCTTCATATTAGCCTAATTCCATACTTCTCTCCCTGACCATGCAATCCTATACAGAAATGTGATGTAAGTCTACATATATAAGTATTATTGTTTATTCTACAAAAAGGGATCCTACAATTTCTATATCTTGTCTCCTCAAACTTTTGTGTGGAATACCTTGTGGAAATCACTACAGGTCAATAGGTATAGCACTAATCATTATTTTTAATGACATTTTTGCCACTACAAACACATGGCCTTACATGTGAATATCTTTCTATGGAATAGAGTCCAAGAACTGGAATTGCTGGGCCAAGAAGCACACATATATTTTTAAATTTAATAGATGTTGGCAAATGGCTTTCCCAAAACCTATAACACCTCATATTTTTCCCAGCCATGAGACTAATCCCTTCCCTAAATCACCACCAGTAGTATTTATTATAACTCTTCAATTTTTGTCATCTGATTGATGTAAAATTACACTTTCTTTTACTTTAATTTGCATTTTCCTTATTATAACAAACTTGAGAATCCTTCTATATATTTTTTGGACATATGGATTCATAATTCTTTGCCCATTTTTTAATTGGATTGTGTTACTTTTGGCCAAATGTTCAGCTATTTGAAAAAATCAGTTACAAATATTTGTTGAAAATTGAATGTCTGTCTATTGTTTTATTTATGATATCCTTTGTGACATCAAGGTTCAAATATGTCTATCTTTTATAGCTTCTGGAAAAGATGCTCTCAGTTCATACATTTTTCTACATTCAATTTTCTAGATCTTCTTGCAAGGCTTTTACAATTTTATTTTGACCATGTAAGCTTCTTAGCCATCTGGAATTTATATTTAAAGGTAGAATAAAATGGTGATCCTCTTTTCTTTTCTTCCAGATGGATAATCAATTGTCCAAACATCATTTATCAAACAATTGATTCATTTCACACTAAAATGAACTACTACTTTGGAAATATATTAAACTCATCTATACTGGCTTCTATTTCTGCAATTTTTATTCCTTTCCCAACCACATGATTATGATGCAGTAGTTTTATTATTTATACTAATATCCAGTAAGACAAGACCTCTCACTATTCCCCCTTTGCATATTTTCTTAGCTATTCTGAAGCATTTATTCTTCAGTATAAACTTTAACCTTCTTTGGCCAATCATACCTCCAAAGAATGCCAATTCTAATTTTACTGCCTTATGTTTATACACTCACTAGGTGTGTGTATTTAATGCTTCTCTTCTTAAGTATTTCTATTCAATGTGATATGCCTTTCCATTTGTTCAAATCTTATTTTCTTTCAGTAAGATTTTCTATTTTTCTTTATGCAGTTTCTTTTCTTGTTTGATTTATTCCTAAGTATTTTATATTTTTCCAATAATTGTAAGTAGAAATTTTTTTCTCACTTCTATTTCTAAGTATTTTGTTAACACAGAGATAAACTAATGCTTTTTAAAAATTTATCTTCTATTCATCTCCTTACCAAATTCTCTTTTTTTTCTTTAAAGTTTTTATTTTAAGTTCAAGGGGTACGTGTGCAGATTTGTTACATGGGTAAATTGTGTGTCATGGGGGTTTCATGTATAGATAATTTTGTCACCCAGATAGTCAGCATAATACCCAATAGGTAGTTTTAGAATCCAAACCCTCGTCCCACCCTCTGCCCTCAAGTAGGCCCAGTGTTTATTGTTCCCTTCTTTGTGTCCATATGTACTCAGTGTTTAGCTCCCACTTATAAGTGAGAATATGTGGTATTTAGTTTTCTGTCCTTACATTAGTTTGCTTCAGAGAATGGCCTCCAGCTCCATCCATGCTGCTGCAAAGAACATAATCTTATTCTTTTTTATGGCCGCACAGTATTCCATGGTGTACATGTGCCACATTTTCTTTATCCAGTCTACCACTGATGGGCGTCTAGGTTGATTCCATGTCTTTGCTATTGTGAAAAGTGCTGCAATGAACATATGCATTCATGTGCCTTTATGGTAGAAATGATTTCTATTCCTTTGGATATATACCCAGTAATGGGATTGCTGGGTCAACTGGTGCTTCTGCTTTAAATTCTTTGAGAAATCTCCACATTGCTTTCCACAATAGCTGAACTAATTTACATTCCCACCAGCAATATATAAGTGTTCCTTTTCTCTGTAACCTTGCCAGCATCTATTGTTTTTTGACTTTTTAACAATAGCCATTCTAACTAGTATCTTGGAATGGTATCTTGTTGGGGTTTCAATTCGCATCTCCCTAATGATTAGTAATATTGAGTATTTTTTCATATGTTTGTTGGCCACATGTATGTATTCTTTTAAGAAGTGTCCGTTCATGCCCTTTGTCAATTTTTTTTAACCTTTATTTTAGGTTCAGGGGTACATGTGCAGATTTGGTATATAGGTAAATTGTGTGTTGCAGGAGTTTGGTATACAGATTATTTCATAACCCAGTGATAAGCATAGTATCTGATAGGTAATTTTTCAATCCTTGGCCTCCTCCCACCATCTACCCTCAAGTAAGCTCCAGTGTCTGTTGTTTCCATCTTTGTGTCCATGTGTACTCAATGTTAGCTCCCACTTATAAGCAAGAGTATGTGGCATTTGTTTTTCTGTTCCTGCATTAGTTCGCTTAGAATAATGGCCTCCAACTCCATGCATGTTACTGCAAAGAACATTATCTTGTTCTTTTTTATGGCTGTGTAGTATTCTGTGGTATATATGTACCATATTTTCTTCATCAGCTCCACCACTGACTGGCATCTAGGTTGATTCCATGTCTTTGCTATTGTGAATAATGCTGTGATGAATATATGTATGCATGTATTTTTAAGGCTAAACAATTTATATTACTTTAGGTATATAACCAGGAATGGGATTGGTATTTCTGTTTAAGTTCTTTGAGAAATCTTCAGACCGCTTTCCACGGTGGCTGAATTAATTTATATTCCCACCAGCAATGTATAAGCATTCCCTTTTCTCTGCAACCTCACCAGCATCATTTATTTCTTGACATTTAATAATAGCCATTCTGCCTGATGCAAGATGGCATGTCATCGTGATTTTGATTTGCATTTCCCTAATGATTAGCAATGTTGAGCATATTTTCATATGCGTTTTGGCCATGGTTACATCTTCTTCTGAAAAGTGTCTGTTCATGTTCTTTATCCACCTTTTAACAAAGTTATTTGCTTTTTGCTTGTTAATTTAATTTCCTTATAAATTCTGGATATTAGATATTTTTCAGATGCATAGTTTGCAAATATTTTCTCCTATTCAGTAGGTTGTTTGTTTACTCTGTTAATAGTTTCTTTTGCTGTGCAGAAGCTCTTTCATTTAATTATGTCCCATTTATCAATTTTTGTTTTTGTTGCAATTGCTTTTGGCATCTTCATCATGAAGACTTTGCCATGGCCAATGTGCAAAATGCTATTTCCTAGATTTTCTTCTAGGATTTTTATAGTTTTAGGTTTTACATTTAAGTCTTTAATCCACCTTGACTTGATTTTTGTGTATGGTAAAAGGTAGGAGTCCAGTTTCAGTTTTCTGTATGTGGCTAGCCAGTTATCCCAGCACCATTTACAGAAGAGAGAGAGTCTTTCCCCATTGCTTGCTACTGTTGACTTTGTCAAAGACCAGATAGTCGTAGATGCGAAACTTTATTTCTGGGTTCTCTAACCTGTTCCATTGGTCTGTCTGTATGCTTTTGTACTAGTACCATGCTGTCTCAGTTACTGTAGCCTTATAGTACAGTTTGAAGTCAGGTAGTGTGATGCCTCCAGCTTTGTTCTTTTTGCTTAGGATTGCTTTGGCTATTCGAGCTCTTTTTTGGTTCCAAATGAATTTTAGAACAGTCTTTTCCAATTCTGTGGAAAATGTCATTGACAGTTTGACAGGAATAGCATTCATTCTATAAATTGCTTTCAGTATTATGGCCATTTTAACAATATTGATTCTTCCTATCCATGAGCATGGAATGTTTTTTCATTTGTTCATGTGGTCTCTGATTTCTTTCAGCCATGTTTTGTAATTCTAACTGTAGAAAATTCTTATTTTTAAATCTAGTAATATTTACTACGGTTTCTTGAATTTTCTAGGCATACAATATTATCAACAAAAAGAGATCATTTGATCTCTTTTTTGTAAGTTTATATCGGTTTTTTAAATTTTCTTATCTTACTACATTCAGTAGCCCTTCTGAGGTAATGTTAAATAGAATGATAATGAGTGTCCTCCTCTAGTAACTAATTTAATTAAAATAGTTTTAGCATTTTAAAATTTAAAGAATTTTCTGAATGGCTTTATGTTTTCTAATTTTAATACATTCTCTTTTACTTAGCAATGTTATTAGAAACAATTCATTTCTTTCAAACTCCTTTAGGCATCTATTGATAAAACTATAGTTTTCCTTTAATGTGTTGTTATAACAGATTATGTTTATAAAATTTCCTAATATTCAACAACTGAAAATCTAAAAAACCCACTGTGTGAAATGCATTTTTCCACCCACTGCTGTGCCACCACCACCAACTATGAATACACACATGGAGGCCAGCAGTCTTACACCCATCAGTATCCCACCCCAGTCACTGCCAGTGTGAGTGCAAGCACAGACACCAGCAACCCTGCCCCTGCCTGCGCTCTGCCACTGGTATGAGTGCACGCAGGAACTCTGCAGCCCCACTCCCGCCAGTACCCCACCCCAGCTGACACGCATACACCCCACTGTGCTGCCCCAGCTGCTGGCATGTGTGAGTTAGCACAGATCCTACAGCCACCACCCTGACAACATGCTTTGGCTACGACCACCCATCAGAGTGTTGTGGCCAGTGGACTGGGAAGACCTCAGCCCCTCCGGTACAGAAGGTTCCTAACTTTGAGGGGCCAGAGAACAAAAGCCAGGGGCCCAGTACCAGCCCCCCAGAGTTATAGTATGCAGACCAGGAGTGCCGAGCTGAGGTTTGGCTCCCTGGTATCTTCCAGCAAAGAAAAAAACCCAGTCAGCTGAACCCACATTATACTACAATCAAACTCCCAGAGCATCAAAAAAGATAAAAGCAAAAAAACAACAACAACAAAAAAAAACCCATCCAAAGGACATCAACTTCAAAGACTGAAGGAACATCAGGCCACACAGATGAGAAAGAACCAGAGCAAGAACTCAGGAAACTCAAAAAGCCAGAGTGTCTTCTCACCTCCAAATGTCTGCACTAGTTCCCTAGCAGTGATTCTTAACCAGGCTTAAATGGTTGACAGAAATATAATTCAAAATATGGTTAGGAACAAAGATCATCGACATCCAAGAGACAGTCAAAACCCAATCCAAGGAATCTGAGGAATTCAATAAAATGATATGAGAGGTAAAACACGAAATCGCCATTTTAAGAAAAAAAGAAACGGATCTGATACAGCTGAAAAACTCACTTCAAGAATGTCATAATACAATAGTAAGTACTGACAGCAGAATAAAACAAGCTGATGAAAGAATCTCAGATATTGAAGACCAGTTCTCCAAAATTACTTAGACAAAAATAAAGAAATAATAAAGAAGAATGAATAAAACCTCCAACAAATATGGGATTATGTAAAGGGACCAAATCTATGACTCATTGGCATCCCTGAGAAAGAGAGAAAGCAAGCAACTTGGAAAACATATTTGAGGATATCATCCATGAAAATTCTCCTAACCTAACTAGAGAGGAAACATTCAAATTAAGGAAAGGCACAGAACCCCTGTGAGATACTATGCAAGACAATGATCTCCAGGACATGTAGTCACCAAATTCCTCAAGGTCAAAATGAAAGAAAAAATGTTAAAGACAGCTACAGAGAAGGGGCAGGTCACCTACAAAGGAAATCCTGTCAGATGAACAGCCAGCTTTTCAGCAGAAACCCCACAAGCCAGAAGAGACAGAATACCTACATTCAGCATTCTTTTTTTTTTTTTTTTTTTTTTTTTGAGACGGAGTCTCTCTCTGTCGCCCAGGCTGGAGTGCAGTGGCGCAATCTCGGCTCACTGCAAGCTCCACCTCCCAGGCTCACGCCATTCTCCTGCCTCAGCCTCCCGAGTAGCTGGGACTACAGGCGCCCGCCACCACGCCCGGCTAATTTTTTGTATTTTTAGTAGAGACGGGGTTTCACCGTGTTAGCCAGGATGGTCTCGATCTCCTGACCTCGTGATCCGCCTGCCTCGGCCTCCCAAAGTGCTGGGATTACAGGTGTGATCAGCATTCTTATGGAAAAGAAATTCCAACCAAGAATTTTACATGGAGCCAAACTAAGCTTCATAAGTGAAGGGGAAATAAACTCTTTTTCAAATAAGCAAATGCTAAGGTGATTTCTTACCACCAGACCTGCCTTACAAAAGGTCCTTAAGGGAGTGCTAAATATTGGAACAAAAGACCATTACTGGCCACCACAAAAACACACTTAAGTACAGAAACCATTGTGTTAGTCAGGGTTCTCTAGAGGGACAGAACTAATAGGATAGATGTGCATATAAAAGGGAGTTTACTAAGGGGAGTTTATTAACCAGGCCCTTGTCTTCTCTTCCTCTATCGATTGATTATAGTGAACTCCCCAAGAAGCTATCAGTGCAGGCTGGGGAAGAGAAGGGGAGAGAAGGAAGGGTGGCAGGAGTGGAGACCATGGGCATTTGAGCCACTTCCTCCTGTAACTTACTTGTGCCCAGATGCATATATACCACTTCCATCTGATAACGGAATGATGCTGTGCACACCCCACCTATGGCTAGATGGGTCAGAAAACACCCAGTTCTTGATAGGCAGTTCAGGTCGCATGGTGACTTGATGACCCATAATCTAACATTCAGTTTCTACCAAAGCCCAGTAACAGGCCAAGAACTGTTTCTCAAAAGGAGAGTAGTTATCTGCAGAAGATGGCAGGGCCTTACTCCAAATCCTAGAGGCTGCCACTGTGTTTCACCTACAGGGGCCTGCCAAAGGCTCCAAACGGCATCCCTATCTGCCACCGACACCTCAAGCACCATTGGATCTGATGGGTCATATGGCCCAAGTGTAAGAACAGCTTGCACAGCAGCCTGGACCTGTTGCAGAACCTTCTCTTGTTCTGGACCCCACTGAAAAATGGCAGCCTGTCAGGTCACTGGATAAATCGGCCAGAGTAACACACTTAAATGAGGGATGTGTTGCCTTCAAAATCCAAATAGGCCCACTAGGAGTTGTGCCTTTTTCTTGGTTGTCGGAGGGGCCAAATGCAGCAACTTATCTTTTACCTTAGAAGGAATATCTCGACAGGCCCCACATCACTGAACCATTAGAAATTTTGCTGAGGTAGAAAGTCCCTAAATTTTAGTTGGATTTATTTTCCATCCTCTGGCATGCAAATGTCTCACCAATAAGTCCAGTGTGTTCACTACTTCTCACTCACTGGATCCAATCAGTATAATGTCATCAATGTAATAGACCAGTGTTATATCTTATGGAAGGGAAAAGTGATCAAGGTCTCTCCAAATAAGACAATGACACAAAGTCAGAGAGCTAATACACCCTGATGTAGGACAGTAAAGGTATACTGCTAGCCTTGCCAGCTGAAGGGAAATTGCTTCTGGTTGGCCTTATGGACAGGAATGGAGAAAAAGTTATTTGCCAAGTACCTGGTACATACCAGGTACCAGGAGATGTGTTAATTTGCTCAAGCAATGAAACCACATCTGGTACAGCAGCTGCACTTGTAGTCACCTCTTAGTTAAGCTTACGATAATCCACTATCATTGTCCAAGATCCATCTGTCTTCTGTACAGTCCAAACGGGAGAGTTGAAAGGGGATGTGGTGGCGATCACCATCCCTGCATCTTTCAAGTACTTGATGGTGGCACTAATCTCTGCAATCCCTCCAGGGATGAGATATTGTTTTTGATTTACTATTTTTCTAGGTAGAGGCAGCTCTAATGACTTCCATTTGACCTTTTCCACCATAATAGCCCTCACCCTATCAGTCAGGGAGCCAATGTGTGGGTTCTGCCAGCTGCTAAGTATGTCTATGCCAATTATGCATTCTGGCACCGGGGAAGTGACCACAGGATGAGTCCCGGGACACACTGGACCCACTTTAAGTCAGACCTGGGCTAAAACTTCATTAATTACCTGACCTCCATAAGCCCCTACTTTAACTGGAGAACGACAATGACATTTTGTGTCCCCTGGAGTCAATGTCAGCTCAGAGCCAGTGTCCAGTAGTCCCTGAAATGTCTGATCATTTCCATTTCCCCAATCCACAGTTGCCCTGGTAGAAGCTAGAGGTGTCCTTGGGAAATGATTGGAGAAAGAATTAACAGCATAAATTGTCAGTAGTGTAGTGGGGTCCTTACACAAAAAGACCCGACCTCTCCTTCATTCAAGGGGTTATAGGTCTGTAAACTGGTTCAAGTACTGAAATTGATTGACGGGCCATGATTCCCTGTATTTGTAATTCAGATTAGTCTTTTGTTTACTCGATCTGAAAGTTCTCTGCTTATATAAATTAAGTAAGAATGCAGTAGGCTTCGTATCAATTTAACTTCTAGGAACACCATGATTAATTAGCCAATGTCAGAGCTCAACATAAGTCACACTATTCTGATTGCGACTTTGCATCTGCTGTCCATTCTGGTAGCTACACCCACCTTGCCTTTGATGGTTGAGTGCTGCCACCTGGCCCCTGCCACCTCGGGATCTAATTTTTCCCATTGCATTTAAATTTTGCAGTTGAATGGCTGCAGTTTCCACTGTTAGATCTGGCATATAGAGAAGAGCAATCACAGAGCTCTTCAAAGATGGCAGGTCCACCCTCACAAATCTATTTCACAAAGTATTGGTCAAGGATATATCTTCTGGACCCTCCCAGCTGGGATGAGTAAGTCTAAAGTGACTAATCCACTCCAGCATCCCAATCTCCCTAAGCCTTTGGATCCCTTTCTTTACATTAAACCAAGGAAGATCAGGCATTTCCAGCTCGCTCACAGTGGGCCATCTTTTAATCCACATTTCAGCTAACCAAGCAAATAAACTATTAGAACCTCTTTTAACTCCCCAAGCTACAACATTAAATGCAGAGTCCCTGTTTAGTGGGCCCAAATCAATAAATTCAGCCTGATCCAACTATGTTTTTTCCACAATTATCCCACACCCTTAATGTCCATTCCCATGACTGTTGTTCAGATTTCTGTTTATATAAATTAGAAAACTCAAGCAGTTATTTTCAGGTGTAGCACACCCCCTCATGGGTCACACTCTCATCCTCACCTCTAAGGGCCTACTGGGACTTTAGACTAGTTATAGGTCTAGAAGCAAACAGGAGTGTTGGGGGTGGCTCCTAAGGAGAATCAACATTATCTTGCCTGGAAACTGCCTCAGGGGAGGCCATCACTGTTGCCTCAGGCAATGTAGGGTTTATCTCCTCAGACAAAGGTGGAAAGGCTGAGAGCAGCATGGGTTGGGGAGGGGATGTTGCCACTATTGGAGTTGAGGAAGGTATTTCTTCAGGCAAAAAAAGGTTTATCAGAGTTTACACGCTCAATGTCCCCAGCTTCATCAGGGTCCTCTCACACATCCCCATTTCAAGTTGCAGGGTACCATTCTTTTCCAATCAAGGCCCTCACTTTAACAGTAGACACCTGGTGAGGTTGTACATGCACCTTTCACTGCAGGTCAGCCATATACACGATAAGAGCTTGTGTCTGTTTTTCCACAATTTCAGCTCTTTCTCGACAGGAGATAAGACTCTCACTCAGGGCTATCTTAGCAGATTTGAGGCTCAGTATCTGCTTCTGAAGCCAGGAGACAGAATCCCTGAGTTCATTATATATTTTCATCATTTTGTCCACCAAACTTAGGAGCAACCAACAAGCTTCATTATTTTCCTTGGTTCCCCACATATGATCAAAGGTATTAAGTATACAGTTGCTAAGTTCCTTGCCTCTAATCACCAATGCATCAGGAATGTCAAATGCATTTATTTTGCATAACTTTCTATACAGTTCATGCCAAGGATTATAAGTGTTCTCCACACTATTAGAAGTAGAGTCCTTAACATTTTTGGGTCTAATCATATTAAGCAGCCAAGTCCAGAAACCCTAAAACCAATGAAAGAACTCCAACCTTAATATTTTGTTCCTCTAGAACCACTCCTGGTACCAAAATCTGTATTAGTCAGGTTCTCTAGAGGGACAGAATGGAATAGATATATCTATATATCTATATCTATAGATATACATAGAGATAGAGATAGAGATATATAAAGGGGATTTACTAAGTATTAACTCACAATCATAAGGTCCCACAATACGCCATCTGCAGGCTGAGGAGCAAGGAGAGCCAGTCCGAGTTCCAAAACTGAAGAACTTGGAGTCCAATGTTGGAGGGCAGGAAGCATCCAGCACAGGAGAAAGATGCAGGCTGGGAGGCTAGGCCAGTTTCTCTTTTCACATTTTTCTGCCTACATATATTCTAGTCACACTGGCAGGTGATTAGATTGTGCCCATCCAGATTGGGGTTGGGCCTGCCTTTCTCAGTCCACTGACTGAAATGTTAATCTCCTTTGGCAACACCCTCACAGACACACCCAGAAATAATACTTTGTATCCTTCAATCCAATCAAGTTGACACTCAATATTAACCATTACAATCATTGACACTATAAAGCAGCCACACCATCAAGTCTGCGTAATAACTAGCTAACAACATTATGACAGCAACAAATTCACACATACCAACACCAACCTTGAATGTAAATGGGCTAAATGCCTCAATTAAAAGGCATAAAGTGGCAAGATGAATAAAGAAGCAGACCCAACTGTATGCTGTCTTCCAGAGACTATTTCTTATATAATGACACCTGTAGGCTCAAAGTAAAGAGATGGAGAAAAATATACCAAGCAAACAGTAAAAAAAAAAGCAGGGGTTGCTATTCTAATTTCAGACAAAACAGTCTTTAAACCAACAACATTCGAAAGAGACAAAGGAAAGAATTACATAAGGGTAAAGGATTGAAGTCAACAAGAAGAGCTAACTGTCCTAAATATACATGCATTCAACACAGGAGCACACAGATTATAAAGCAAGTTCTTAGAGACCTTCAAAGAGACTTAGACTCCCACACAATAATAGTGGTAGACTTCTATACCCTACCGACAGTATTAGCCAGACCATTAAGGTAGAAAACTAACAAAGATATTAATTATAAGTGTTGGGACCTGAACTCAACACTTGACCAAATGGGCCTAATAGAACTCTTCCACCCTAAAACAACAGAATATACATTCTTCTCATTTGCACATGGCACATACTCTAAAATAAACCACACAATCAGAAAACAACTCTCAGCAAATTCAAAAAATGGAAAATAAAATTACATCAAACACACTCTCAGACCACAGTCCAATGAAAATGGAAATCAATACTAAGAAAATCATATAAAACCATGCAATTACATGGAAATTAAACAATCTGCTTCTGAATGACTTTTGGGTAAGCAATGAAATTAAGGCAGAAATCAAGAAATTCTTTGAAACTAATGAGAACAAACATACAATATAGCAGAATCTCTGGGACACAGCTAAAGCAGTGTTAAGAGGGAGGTTGACAATGCTAACCACCCACATCAAGAAATTAGAAAGATCTCAAATTAACAACCTAACATTACATCTAGAGAAGCTAGAGAAACAAGACCGAACCAAACTAGCAGAAGACAAAAAATAATATGTTTTTTAAATACATTGCAGATATTATTAGGTAAAATGTATTCAGAATTATTCTCTATATTCCTTTGTTAGAGTGATATATTATTTTATTTGTTGGGCACCTTTGGCAGCTTTTTTACAAGTTATTTTGGGCTGGGCACAGTGGCTTATGCCTGTAATCCCAGCACTTTAGGAGGCCAAGGAGGGTGGATCACTTGAGGGCAGAAGTTTGAGACCAGCCTGGCAAACATGGTGAAACCCTAACTCTACTAAAATTACAAAAATTAGCCAGGAGTGGTGGCAGGTTCCTGTAATCCCAGCTACTTGGGAGGCTGAAGCAGGAGAATTGTTTCAACCTGGGAGGTGGAGGTTGCAGTGAGCTGAGATCGTGCCACTGCACTCCAGCCTGGATTGACAGAGCAAGACTCCATCTCAAAAAAAAAAAAAGAATAATAATAATTAAGGTTATTTTGGCTTGATAAAATCCATGTAATGAATGAAAAATCTGGTGGTCCAAGATGGCCAATTAGAAGCAGCTGCAGTCTGCACCTCTCACAGAGAAGAATGAAAGTATCGAGTAAATTCTGTACCTTCAATTGAGGTATCCAGGTATCCAGGTTGTCACATTGTGACTGACTAGGCAATTGGTGCAACCCACAAAGAGTGAGGAAAAGCAGGGTCAGGCGACAGTCCACCCAGGAGCAGCACAGAGCCAGGGATCCCCCACCCCTAGCCAAGGGATACAATGAGTGATTGTGCAACCCTGCCAAGGAAAGTGTACTTTTCCCATGGATCTATGCAACCTGCGTATCAGGAGATCCCCTCGTGGGCCCATGCTACCAGGGTTTTGGGTCTGAAGCACTGAGCTGTGCGGACTCCCAGCAGCTGCTCAGGCATGCATGGAGACACAGGAGTTTTTGCATACTCCAGCCCCGGGAATTCCAGTAAGGCAGGAGATCTGTTCATTCCCCTAGGAAAGTGGCTGAAGCCAGGGAGCCAAGTGGCATCATTCACTGGGCCCCACTCCCACAGCACCTCACAAGTTAAGACCCACTGGCTTGGAATTCTAGCCAGCCAGCAGCAGCAGCAGGCTGGAGATTGCCCAAGATGACCATGTGTTTTACACAGAGTTTATAGTTTCCCTTTTAAATTTGTTTTGATTGAAGAGTTACCCAGAAGTATGCTTATTAATTTCCAAGGAGATTAAACTTTTTAGCAAACTTTGTATAAAGTTCTTTATTTTATTGAATTTGTTATTTAATTTTATTGAATTTGATTAAAAAAAAACACAAACTACAAAATTTCTACCTTAAAATTGTAGAGGTTTTCCTGAAACCAAGCACCATACAAGCACAAAACGTATTTTGTAAATGTTCAATGAACATATACAAGAAAGATTCTTCGTTGAAAGGATGTAAGTTTTAATGTACATTTATTAAAGTTTATTGATTGTATGATTCTTTTCTGTATAACTTTTTTTTGCTTGTTTTTAACTAGACCTGTGTAATTCTGAAAGAGAAATAATTTGTCTCTCATGATAGTTTTATTTTCCCAAATTTTTTCCTCATGTAGTTAGCTGCTGTATCATTTAATACAGATTTATAAATGTAATATACTCTTCATAAACTGTTCCTTTCATTATTATATAACATGCCTCTTCAGTGCATTTAACCTTACATTTAACCTTGTCTGTTATTAATATTGCCATTTGTTATGTAAAATTAATTGCAATCCTGCCAGAACATAGATGTTCTGGGTCTTATTAAGAATAACCAAAGATTTCCCTCCTTTAGGGAAAGAGATTATATGAGCTACTCTCTATGTTAAATCTACTCTCTATGTTAAATCTTTCTACTGTTTAACACTTACGTCACAAAGCTATATATGTTCTAAGAACAGGGTCCACACAGTCCACTGTTCATACAAACAGTATCCAGATTGTGTCAGGTGTTAAGGTTGGCTTTGACTTTTCAACAGGAACAGGCCTCTTGTTTCATAGGTCATGCTGACCCACTTAGCCTACAATCCTACAATAAAGATCTTCTATCCTTGGTCTTATCTTTATGCGACTGAACAACAAAACAGCTGCAAGGTTCTACCACATGCTCCTTTCTTTTTATTTGAATATGTCTCTTATCTCTTCACTCAATTCTCAATTTAAGCTGTTAACACTGCTTAAGCGGGGTTTATTTTCTTGTACATAGCAAATAGCTATGATTTGTTTGTACCCTAGTCTACAATCTGTCAACTATGTCCCTAACCACTCTTTTCCCCCATCAGTATGCCCTACTTCACCTCTACTTCTTCCTTAACCCCAATAAGTTGAAGCCCATAGACTACCTTCACTTCTCCTTTCTCCTCCCCAACTTCATTCTCTGCACCAGTTATAACCTTGGGAAGCTTCTACTTTCCATTGTTACCACAATCACCAGCTCCTAAGTTTTCTGAATTTGGGTAGTACATTTTAGAAATGTCTTATCCTTCCCGTTTCAGGAGACTTGCTTATAGATCACATTTTGAGATACTATGTTGTTATTCAGATAGATGTATAGATGAAAACAGGAAGGAGGGAGGGAGGAAAGGAGGAAGGGAGGGAGGAAGGAAGGAAGGAGGGAGGGACGCAGGGAGGGAAGTGGGGAAAGGAGGGAAGGAAGGAGGGAAGGACAAGTATTGCTGCTCACCACTGTGGCCTTGTTGCCTTGCCTCTTTATTTTCTCCATCCTAAGGTTTCTGCTCTGGTTCATTTATTGCTCAGTTAGAGTATTTTCTCAAGAAATTTTTTAAAAGGGACCATGCCAGGAGTTCAATGTCACAGGGAGCTATGATCGCACCACTGACTCCAGCCTGGGTGTCTGAGCAACTCTCTAAAACATAACAACAAAACAAAATAAAATAAAAGGGGTACATGGCTGATATACTCTGAATTTTTATTTATCCTCACATATCTCTCTGTCACTCTGACAGGTCAATTATCTTATTTGAGAAGACTCTGGGTTCCAATTCTTTAATTGATGCTATTTCACTATCAGCCAGCTTTCAGTAAATTAATTAAAAAATAACAGAGGATTCCATTGCCCAAAGCTTTGTTCATATTTCCCTTTGTTGGTTGTTTGTTATTTCTACCTAGAAGCCTATAATATTATCTTCATTATTAAAGTTCCAGGATTCACTCAGGACATACCTGGTGTGTATCTCGTCTCATCAGTAAAGCCCGCAACTTGGAAAGCTCTTACACTCTAGTCTCAAAACTGTATTTACCTTAGATAAATTGTTTTTTAGTATTTGTTTAATGATTGCCTATCTTCCATCTGCTCTTTTTTTTCCTTAAGAATCTCCAATTATTTTTATGGTAGGGATCCTCAAATCTTGCATTCAAGTTGCCTACAATTTTCATTTGTGCTTTGACGTTTTCCCTGCACCTGGTCATCCAGTTTACCAATTCAGATGTCAATAATCACCATCCTTATCTTAAATGTATCTACTGAGTTATTTGAGAAATCATGGCATTAAAGTCAAAGAAGTCTTTTAACCACTGCCTTAAGTGTGGTTACTTTTTTTCAATTCAGCCATTCTTCTGCTCTTCTAACAATTCTCTTCTACTGGGTTTGTGCTCTAATTTTTGTCTGATATTTTCATCTCTCATCTATGGTACCCTCACATTTGTGGTTATTTATCTCTGATAGTTATGGGGACCTCAGGTGTACTGTGGAGAATTCTGAATGGCTGGACTCCCATGGATGCTGGAAGGAGAAGCAGCAGCTGCCCTCACCACCCCAGACCTGAGTGTGGAAACCTCAGGCTCACATCCCCCTCCCCCAGCTCTCCATATAGAAAAAAAGTAACCAAATTTAGGTCACTATGTCCCCAAAAATGATACTGTTCATCCTTTTCCCCAATATTTGTCTTTAATTAGTGAATAAATGAACTATCTGAGCTTCATCGTTGGAAACAAGATATACTGAGTGTGATGGTTAATATGGCGTGTCAACTTGATTGGACCTTATTATTGTCTTTATTTGAAGATAATGCATGATCTCAGCACATGTGTATAGGCTCAAGTTGACAAGGGGTGGACTTGCGATGGTTAATACTGAGTGTCAACTTGTTTGGATTGAAGGATACAAAGGATTGATCCTGGATGTATCTCTGAGAGTGTTGCTAAAGGAGATTAAAATTTGAGTCACTGGGCTGGGAAAGGTAGACCCACCCTTAATCTGGGTGGGCACAATCTACTCAGCTCCCAGCGTGCCTAGAAAAGAAGCAGGCAGAAAAATAAAAGGAGAGACTGGCCTAGCCTCCCAGCCTACATCTTTCTCCCCTGCTGGATGCTTCCTGTCCTGGAACACTGGACTCCACGTTCTTCAGTTTTGGAACTCAGACTTGGCTCTCCTTGCCCCTCAGCCTACAGACAGCCTATGAAGGGACCTTGTGATTGTGTGAGTTAAACTTAATAAACTCCCCTTTATATATACAAAATATATATATATAACATATATAATACATATATAAATATATGTATATATAGAACAAAATGAACCTAGTTGGTTGCTCCTAAGTTCACTGAACAAAGAAATTTTAAAAAATTATGAACTCAAGGATTCTATCTCCTGGCTTCAGAAGCAGATACTGAGCCTCAAATCTGCTAAGATTGCCCTGAGTGACAGTCTTATCTACTGTCGAGAAAGAGCTGAAACTGAAAAAACAGACACAAGAATTGCTTGAGTTTTCTAATTTATATAAACAGAAATCTGGAGAACAGCCATGGGAATGGATATTAAAAGTGTGGGATAGTGGTGGAAGGAACATGGAGTTGGATCAGGCTGAATTTATTGATTTGGGCCCACCAAGTAGGGACTCTGCATTTAATGTTGCAGCTCAGGGAGTTAAAAAAGGTTCTAATAGTTTATTTGCTTGATTAGCTGAAATATGGATTAAAAGATGGCCCACTGTGAATGAGCTGGAAATGCCTGATCTTCCTTGGTTTAATGTAGAAAAAGGGATCCAAAGGCTTAGGGAAATTGGCATGGTGGAATGAATTAGACACTTTAGACCTATTCGTCCCAGCTGGGAGGGTGCAGAAGATATACCCTTGACCAATGTCTTGCGAAACAGATTCGTGAAGGCAGCACCTGCATCTTTGAAGAGTCTTGTAATTGCTCTTGTCTGCATGTCAGATCTAACAGTGAGAACTGCAGACACTCGACTACAAAATTAAAATACAATGGGAGTAACTGGATCACAAGATGGCAGGGGCCAAGTGGTGGCACTCAACTATCAAAGGCAAGGTGGGCATACCTGCTGTAATAAACAGCAGAGGCAAAGCAGCAATCAGAATAGTCTGACTCATGTAGAGCTCTGGCATTGGCTAATTAATCATGGTGCTCCTAGAAGTGAAATTGATAGGAAGCCTACTGCATTCTTAATTTATATAAGCAGAAAACTTCTAGGTCAAATGGACAAAAGACTAATTTGAATTACAAATACAGAGAATCACGGCCCCTCAATCAATTTCCAGACTTGAGCCAGTTTACGGTTTACTTCCCCTTGAGGAAGGACCCCACCATATTACCAACACTTTATGCAGTGATTCTCCCATCCTTCCCCAAGGAGACGTCATGGTCATGGAAATCACTGGTCTTACCATGTTCCCCATCATCCTGAAGCAGCTGTATTGATAGAATGGTGGATTAGCCTTTCAAAGTCACAATTCCAATGCCAACTAGGTGACAATACTTTGCAGGGCTGGGGCAAAGTTCTCCAGAAGGCCATGTATGCTGTGAATCAGTGTCCAATATACGGTACTGTTTCTCTCACAGCCAGGATTCACAGGTCCAGGAATCAAGGGGTGGAAGTGGAAGTGGCACCACTCACCATCACCTTTAGTAATCAGCTACCAAATTTTTTGCTTCCTGTTCCCGCCACATTACGTTGTGCTGGCCTAGAGGTCTTAATTGCAGAGGGAGGAATGCTGCCACCAGGAGACACAACAATTCCATTAAACTGGAAGTTAAGATTGCCACCTGGACACTTTGGGCTCCTCCTACCTTTAAGTCAACACACTAAGAAGGGAGTTACAGTGTTGGTTGGGGTTACTGACCTGGACTTTCAAGATGAAATCAGTCTACTACTTCACAAAGGAGGTAAGGAAGAGTTTGCATAGAATACAGGAGATTAATTAGGGTGTCTCTTAGTATTACCATGCCCTGTGATTAAGGTCAGTAGGAAACTACAAGAGCCCAATCCAGGCAGGACTACAAATGACCCAGACCCTTCAGGAATAAAGGTTTGGGTCACTCCACTAGGAAAAAAACCACGACCTGCTGAGATGCTTGCTGAAGGCAAAAGGAATACAGAATGAGTAGTAGAAGAAAGTAGTCGCCGGGCGCGGTGGGTCATGCCTGTAATCCCAGCACTTTGGGAGGCCGAGGCGGGTGGATCATGAGGTCAGGAGATCAAGACCATCCTGGCTAACAAGGTGAAACCCCGTCTCTACTAAAAATACAAAAAATTAGCCTGGCGCGGTGGCGGGCGCCTGTAGTCCCAGCTACTCGGGAGGCTGAGGCAGGAGAATGGCGTGAACCCGGGAAGCGGAGCTTGCAGTGAGCTGAGATTGCGCCACTGCAGTCCGCAGTCCGGCCTGGGCGACAGAGCGAGACTCCGTCTCAAAAAAAAAAAAAGAAAGTAGTCATCAGTACCAGCTACGACCATGTGACCAACTGCAGAAAGAAGGACTGTAATTGTCATGAGTATTTCCTCCTTTTGTTAAAAACATGTTTTTGCATGCATACACTTGTACTAAGAAAATATCTTCATTTTATTTCCTTTCTCCTTTATCATGTGACATAAGATTTATTGACTTCACATCAGCATTTAAGTACTGTTAACTTTATGTATTTGGGTCGGGGATTGGTGCGTTTCTGGTTGTACGAAGGATAGTTGAATTATGTTACGTGTCATTATGACCTTATTATTGCCTTTATTTGAAGATTATGTGTGATCTCAGCAGATGTGTATAGGCTCAAGTTGACAAGGGGTGGATTTGCGATGGTTAATACTGAGTGTCAACTTGTTTGGATTGAAGGATACAAAGGATTGATCCTGGGTGTGTCTCTGAGGGTGTTGCCAAAGGAGATTAACATTTGAGTCAGTGGGCTGGGAAAGGCAGATCCACCTTTAATCTGGGTGAGCACAATCCAATCAGCTGCCAGCATGGCTAGAATATAAGCAGGCAGAAAAATGTAAAAAGAGAGACTGGCCTAGCCTTCCAGCCTATATCTTTCTCCCATGCTGGATGCTTCCTGCCCGTGAACGCGGGACTCCTAGTTCCTCAGTTTTGGAACTTGGACTGGCTCTCCTTGCTCCTCAGCCTGCAGACGGCTTATTGTAGGACCTTGTGATTGTGTGAGTTAATACTTAATAAACTCCCTTTTATATATATATATATATATATATATATATATATATATATATATATATATATATATATATACTTCATTAGTTCTGTCCCTCTAGAGAACGCTAATAAACCAAGGTTCCGTTTTACTGTATTCTACTACAAGGCTTTGAGAAAATGGTAAGTGGTGTTAACTTACAGGAGATCACAGAC
Organism: Homo sapiens; assembly: GCF_000001405.40. Taxonomy (NCBI): domain Eukaryota; kingdom Metazoa; phylum Chordata; class Mammalia; order Primates; family Hominidae; genus Homo; species Homo sapiens. Next base: position 28,863,588 of record NC_000021.9, read on the forward strand.
ACTGGTGAAAACCTAAACAAAGCTAGACATACTTTCTCTAGAAGGAAAAAGCCCTTACGTATACACAGAGGGTGGCCAGGTTTCTGGAAGTCCATAAACTTCAGATTAAGAGACCACCAAGGAGAGACTGTCTGTCATTTCTCTGTTTTTCAGAGTAAGATTATCAGGACCGTAGAAACTGTTCTTATTCCTTGGCCTCACTGAACACTTGCTGCTCTGGCACCAGAAACAGTCTTTTCTATAATTTATTTATTTTTTGAGACAGAGTCTTGCTCTGTCGCCCAGGCCGGAGTGCAGTGGCACGATCTTGGCTCACTGCAACCTCCACCTCCCAGATTCAAGCAATTCTCCTGCCTCAGCCTCCCAAGTAGCTGGGACTACAGGTGTGTACCACCACGCCTGGCTAATTTTTTGTATTTTTTTAGTAGAGGCAGGGTTTCACCATGTTGGCCAGGGTAGTCTAGAGCTTCTGACCTGAAGTGATCCACCCACCTTGGCCTCCCAAAGTGCTGGGGTTACAGGCATGAGCCACTGTGCCTGGCCCCCAGAAACAGTCTTAATGTTCCTTTTGAACAGAATCCTCCCCTTGGCTGGATGAAAGGATTATAAGTTATAGCAACATAAGAGCTGGCATTCCCAACCTAGAACTTTAACCACCCACCTCCTTTTGCATAAATCTAGAGATGAGAGAGAGAGAGCTATAAAACCAAAGGCCTTCTAAAGCAAAAGACACCTTTGGTAAATAGCTAAAAAGATTTCTACAGCTTCAAATATTAGACACTTTAAAAAGTGTATTAATTTGACCCCTATGGGTCTTACATTAGCATTTAAGATGTATGTCCAAAAGAGCATTGCACCAGCTTAATCTTTCCTGAAAACTTGTTGTCCCATGAAGACTGTCCTTTGATGAGCTCATTCAATCACATGACTTCAAACGCTCCTCATATGATAATAGCTCCTATTTCAATAACTCTAGTTCATTTCCTCTCTCCTCAACCCGGACCCATATGCATAAACATTTGGACACGTCCACTTAAAAAGTTTCACTTCAATCCTAACTTGCCCCCATGTTGTCCTTATCATCTTCCCCCTATTCCATTTTACTCTCCCTCCACAAAGCTTGCTCCTTCTGGTTTTCCATTCCTGGGAATGGCACTATTATTCTCTCAGCTGCCCAAGTTAAAAACCCACAAGTCACCTCGACTCCTACCTCTCTCTGAAAGACAGACAGACAGATAGATAGATAGATAGATAGATAGATAGATAGATAGATAGATAGATGGATGATAGGTAGATATAGATGATAGATAGATATAGATAGATGATATAGATAGATAGACAGACAGACAGACAGAATCTATAGATACAGGTATTCAATCAGTTACCAAGCGTCGTCCCTTCCTTACCCTATGCAGATATGTTCCCCCTTCCCATTCCCACAGCCTTAACCTCAGTTCAGGCCACTACCATCTCTTCATTTAACCACAGCAGTCTCAAGAGGGTCCTCCATCTCCTGATTAACCTGCCTCTAGTCCATTCCCCACAGCCAGAGTGATCTTTTAGTTTTTCTTTTGTTTTGTTTTTGTTTTTGTTTTCAAGATGGAATTTTGCTCTCTTGCCCAGGCTGGAGTGCAGTGGCACAATCTCCACTCACTGCAACCTCCGCCTCCTGGGTTCAAGTGATTCTCCTCCCTCAGCCTCCCGAGTAGCTGAGATTACAGGTGCACACCAGAATGCCTGGCTAATTTTTGTATTTTTAGTAGAGATGTGGATTCACCCTATTGGCCAGGCTGGGTCTCGGACTCCTGGCCTCAAGTGATCTGCTCACCTTGGCCTCCCAGCATGCTGGGATTACAGGCGTGAGCCACCACGCCCAGCCTAGAATGATCTTTTGAAAGCACGTTTGATTTTGTTGACTCCTCGCTTCTAGAAGCACATCTTCAGAATAAAGACTACATCCTTTCCCATAATTTGTGAGCACTGAATGCTGTTTCCTGCTCTATCCTAGACTCCTCTTTGACTAGTCCTCCACCTGAACCCTGGACCTAGCCAGACTGAGCTACTTGCAACTCCCTGAATATGCTGGACTCTGACTCTGAAGTCTCTAGGCCTTTCCATGCACTCTTCCCTCTGCTGAATGCCCTCTCACCTCTTTTGCACTTGCCTGAATCCCATTCTCCTTTCTAGACTCAATTTAGCCATTATCAATTCTAGGATGTATTATATACTTCACAGTCTCCAAAACTCTCTGTGCGTTCCTCTATCATCAAACTGTAGCCACATATCCCCACTGTTTCAGGCTTCCAAAATTCTAAAGTTGCCCTTTTCTTTTCTTTTTTGAAACACGGTCTCACTCTGTCACCCGGGCTAGACAGCAGTGACACAATCAAAGTTCACTGTCCTTTTATTGGCCAATAAGAATAGTATAAGTTTTGGCAGGCACAGTGACTCATGCCTGTACTTCCAGCACTTTGGGAGGCTAAGGCAGGGGTGGATCACTTGAGTCCAGGAATTGGAGACCAGCCTGGGCAACATGGTATGGCAAAAGCCTGTCTCTACAGAAAAAACAAAAACAAACAAAAAAAAAAACACACACACACAAAATTAGCCAGGCATAGTGGCCCGTACCTGTAATCCCAGCTACTAGGGAAACTGAGGTGAGAGGATCACTTGAGCTTGAGAGGTCAAGTCTGCAGACAGCCGAGATCACAATACTGCACTCCAGCCTGGGCAACAGAGCGATCCTAGCTACTCGGGAGGCTGAGTCAGGAGAATTGCTTAAACCCAGGAGGCAGAGGCTGCAGTGAGCCAAGATCATGTCACTGCACTCCAGCCTTGGTAACAGAGTGAGACTCCATCTCAAAAAATAAATAAAGAGCACACATTCTTCTCTACAGTCTAATAAGCATTAGTTTCACATGGTGAAACTCCCCTCTCTACTCAAAATACACGAATTAGCCAGTTGTGATGGTGCACATCTGTGGTCCCAGCTACTCCAGAGGCTTGTGTGATGGCACATGCCTATAATCCAGCTACTTGGGAGGCTGAGGCATGAGAATTGCTTGAAACCCGGAGGCAGAGGTTGCAGTGAGCCAAAATTGCGCTACTGCACTCCAGCCTGGGTGACAAAACAAGATGCTGTCTCAAAAAACAAAAAAAGGAAAGAAAGAAAATTGACACGATTGAGTAGAAAATGTTTGCAAAATGTAGAGATTAGTAGCCAGAATATATGAATAATTAGTTCTTACAGATCAACAAGTAAAAAGACAACAGAAATCTGATACAAAATGCTTAAATGACAATAAAGCAAAAATACCTAATGGCTAATAAACATATGAAAATTTCAACCATATTATTCATTAGGAAAATATAAATCAATACTATATTAGACCTACTAGATTGGCAAAATCTAAGAAGTCTAACAGTCCCAAATATTGGTGAAGATATGGCGCTACAGAAACTCATATACACTACTGGCAAGTAAACTGGCATCTTTCTGGAAAACAATTTGGCATTATCAGGTAAAATGAAACATAATTGTACCGTATGATTTAGAAATTCCACTTCTAGGTATTGACTAGAGTACCAACAGACATGTACAGAGATGTTTATAGCAACATTATTCATAATAGTGAAAACTGGAAACAACCTAAAATTCAATGACCAAAGTATGAATAAATGAATAGTGGAATATATTGGTGAAAATGAGTGAATAACTCTTCAACATGGAGAAGTTGCACAAAAATATTAAGCAGAAAACTCAATTTGAGACATTTATAAAAATCTTTTTATAATCTATAAAAAAATCCCAATGTGCCATCACCAAGGGCAAGTGAAAAATTGTTGACTCCAGTGAGGCAGAACTAAAGGAAGTTCTAACAAGGGAAAATTGCAGCACACTGCACTGTCGAGAAATGTAAAGGATCTGAGATTTTACTCCACTTGCAACCCAAATTAGTCTGCCACAGTTTCACTGTTGGCAGAAAAAAACAAGGCTTTTGGGTCAGAGACAAGGAACTTTATTACTCATAGTATTCATACAACAATTAGCATGAGCAACAGCATGTTTCATCAGTTTCCCCTTGCCTCAAGTCTTATGGGGGTAACATGGATGGGCCCAGATGGATCTGACCTCCTTGGCCTCCCACAGTGCAGGGATTACATCACGTCCAGCCTCAATTTTCTTTATAATGCCTTTTGACGAACAAAACCCTTTACTGCAACTGGATTTATCAGTCTTTTAGGGTCTGTGATTCTTTTTTATTTTATAGATACTCTTTCCCATTCCATTGTCATAAAAATATTCTCCTATATTTTTTCCAAATTTAAAATTCAACCTTTTTATTTACAACTTAATCAATTTTAGTGGACTTTTGTATATGGTGTGAGGTAAGAATCTAATTTCATTGTTTCCCTTTGTGTATAATCACTTATACAGTACTATTCCATTTGTTCTGCAGTTCCATTTCATCATATACACATTTCTATATATGTACATGTTTCTTTATGGACTTTCCATTCTGTTTCAGTTTATTTATCTTTGGGTCAATATAAAACTATCTTAATTACTGTTGTTTAATAATAAGTATTTGGCATCTGAGTAGCTCAAGCTCTCTCATGCTCCTCCTATTATCTAGGAGTGTCTAGGCTGTTCTTGGTCATTTGTTCCGGTTTTATGAAAAACACTTTTGAGATTTTGACTGGAATTTTACTGTAAGTATAGGAACAATTGGTATCTTTATAACAGTGAATCTTCCTAGTCATAAACATAAAATAACTTTCCATTTACTTAGGTATTTAAAATATCTTTTAGGCTGTGCATGGTGGCTCATGCCTGTAATCTCACCACTTTGGGAGGCCGAGGTGGAAGGATCGCTTGAGCTCAGGCGTTCAAGACCAGCCTGGGCAACATGGTGAGACCCCCGTCTCTACTAAAAATACAAAAAATTAGCTGGTTGTGGTGGTGCACACCTGTGGTCCCAGAAACTCAAGAGGCTGAGGTGAGAGGATTGCCTAAGCTTGTGGGGTGGAGGTTGCCGTGAGCCAAGTTCACGCCACTGCACTCCAGCCTGGGTGACAGAGCAAGACCTTGTCTCAAAAAACAAAAAAGTATTTTAATCAAATTGCATGTTAGTCCTGTACACGTTATATTTATTCCATGATGCCTTATTTATCATTTTTAGTCGTATTATTAAAATACATTTTCCTGCTTTGGGGGACTAACGCATAGAAATACAAATGATTTCTGAATATTGTTATTACAGGCAACCACTTTCCTAAGCCCTCTTATTATAATAAGTCAGTGGTTTTTTAAATATTTTCTTGGTAAATAATATCATCTGTTAGTGATGACAATTTTGTTCGTATTTTCCTATCCTTTTCCCTTTCATTTTTTTTTTTCTTTATTTTGCTGGCTAGGACTTCCAGTGAAAATGTTGAATAGGAGTGGTAATAGGTGGCAATTTTCTCGTTTCTGATTCTTATAGGGAATGCTTCCAGTATTTCTACTTTCAGAATATTTGCCACAGTTTTTTGTATACAGACCATGTTGGGTTAAGAAAGTTCCTTCTCTTCCTAGTTTGCCAAGTGTATTGAATTTCAACAAACGTATATCCACATCTGTTGAGGTGATAATGTGTTATTTTTCTTCCCTTTAACCTATTAGAATGATAAATGGAATTTATAGATTTTTCTATTAAACCGTGGTTACATTCCTGGGATAAACTCAACTTGGTCACAGTGTATCATCTGTTTTATATATACTGCTAGATTTAGTTTGTTGAAGTTTTCTTCTTTTTTCCTCTATGTGAATGTGGTTGGCCTGTCACTTTCCTTTCTTATATAACCCTTATCTGGTTTTGTTATCAAGGTTTTTGTCTAACACAATTATTTAGGGGAAAGAATTATAAGAACCACTTCTTCTTCTTGGGCATACAGTTCAACTATATTGGAACCACCTGAATGAGCCCTGGCCACTGGAATTTGAAGTCACTTATGCTACTTCCAGGACTGGCTCGAAAATCTCTCATGCATAATCTTCCTCTTTTTTCCATATCCACGCTGACTTAGAGGTTACAGGCTGACTGTGATGGTGGCACAAAACAGAGGGATCCTCAGTCTCCGAATGACTAAATGGAATAGAACACTTTCTATGCTCTGGACAAAGCACATTAGATTATAAAATGCATAAGCAATAAATTTTTAGTGTGTCACTAATAAAGAACTTGGTACATCAGTTGAACCTCTGCACATGAGAATAACATAGACTGTAAGATCGTGGCCCAGTTCACATGAATTTAAAATAATAAAATGTATACCCAAGAAACTCTCTGGCCAACTTCAGAACTGGAACACTGCCAGTCCCTTTATGCTGTTTATCTGGGTGCCTGGTTCTCCTCTAGCCTTTCTCCCAGTCATCCTTACCTCCTCTCATCCAACCGGTTAGCACTAGCCTGAATTTTTTGTTTATCATTATGTTGTTGCCTTTTTGTTTGCTTTGTTTTGGTTTTCTCTTATACTAAAAGACTTTTCAAATATATTTTAGAACAGTTTTAGCTTTACAGGAAAACTGATAAGGAAGTACAGAGAGTTTTGTTGTAGACACAGGTTAAAAAACAAAAAAAAGTATGGACTTTACACAAACCTCCTCTCCCTGACTGCACAAACACAAGCACAGTTCCCCCCAATTATTTGCATCTTGCATTAGTGTGGTATATCTGTTACAACTGATGAACCAATATTGATACACTATTACTAACTAAAGTTCACAGTTTATATTAGGGTTCACCCTCTGTTCAGTTAATTTTCAAAATGTCATTTCTTTTTTTTTTGAGACGGAGTCTTGCTCTTGTTGCCCAGGCTGGAGGTGCAATGGCATGATCTCAGCTCACTGCCATATCCGCCTCTGAAGCTCAAACAATGCTCCTGCCTCAACCTCCCGAGTAGATGGGATTACAGGTGCATACCACCACACTCGCTAATTTTTTTATTTTCAGTAAAGATGGGGTTTCATCCTGTTGGCCATGCTGGTCCCAAACTCCTGACCTCAGGTGATCTGCCTGCCTCAGCCTCCCAAAGTGGTGGGATTACATCGCACCCAGCCTAAAATGTCATTATTTCTTCCTTGACATATGAATTGTTTAGAAGCATGTTTTAAATTTTGTAAATGTATGGGGACTTTAAAATTTTATTTTTGTTATTAATTTATAACCTAAACACTTTATAGTCAGAGAAGATTAGCTATATCATATTGATTCTTTGAATTTTACAGGGACTTACTTTTGGTCTAATACGTAATTATGTTTGTAAACATCCCATGGGTGCTTGAGAAAGAATATGCATTCCCTGATTGTTAGTTTCAGAGTTCTATATTAGTCTATTATATCAAATTCACTGCTATTGTTCAAATCTCCTCTTTGCCTTTTTGGTCTCCTTGATGTAGTACTAATTGAGACAGACAATTTGAAATCCTCCTGTATGATCAATTTGCAAATTTATACTTGTATTTTTCTTTATTTTACATAGTATGAAGCAATTTTCCTGGACACAATTTTAGTAAAGTGTAAACCTTTATCATTCTTTAGTGTCTGTATTAGTCTGTTCTCGCATTGCTATAAAGAATTACCTGAGACTGGGTAAAGAAAAGAAGTTTAATTGGCTCACGGTTCCACAGGCCGTACAGGAAGCATGGCTGGGGAGGCCTCAGGAAGCTTAAAATCAGGGCACAAGGTGAAGAGGAAGGAGGCACGTCCACATGGTTGGAGCAGGAGGAAGAGAGCGAAGAGGGAGTGCTACACACTTTTAAACAACCAGATCTCGCTAAGAACTCACTATCACGACAACAGCAAGGAGCAAGTCTGCCCCCATGATCCAATCACCTCTCACCATGCACCTCCTCCAATACTAGGGGATTAAAATTCAACATGAGATTTGAGTGGGGACACAAATCCAAACCATATCAGTGTCCATGTCTATTCCTAATTAGCTTTTAACTTTGTACTCAGCGTATTAATTTCTGAGAGCTACTGTAACAGTGTCACCAACTGGGTAACTGTTTGTTGTAAAACAAACACATCCTCTCACAGTTTTACAACTGTTTGTTGTAAAACCAATGCATTCTCTCACAGTTCTTGAGGCTAGGTGTCTGAAATAAAGGTGTGGGCTGGACCATGCTCCCTCTGAAGCCTTGAAGGAAGAATCCTTGCCTGCCTCTTCCAGCCTCTGGCAGTTGCTAGCAACCCCTGGCATTCCTTTACTCATTGACTCATCACTCCAACCTCTGCCTCTGTCTTCATATGGCCCTATGTCTCTGTTTCTGTGTTCAGATTTTCCTGTTCTTACAAGGACACAAGAGATATTGGATTTAGGGCCCATCCTAATCAAGTACAACCTTGTCTTAACTTGATTACATCTGCAAAGTCCCTAATTCCAAATAGGAGCATATTCACAGGTTTCAGTTGGACACGAATTTTGTTGGGGGGACACTACTCAATCTAGTACAATCAGCTATTAATGTAGCTGATGCAGGATTTTTTGCTCCTTAGTTCAGTTAAATTTGGGTTATCACATGACCAGAAAAAATTAGGCACGCGTACACACTGAAAGGCGAGGAGGGCAGAATTTATTAGGCAAAAGGAAAGCTCTCCACAAAAAGAGGGGTCCTTCATGCAGGTTTTACACCTCACAAATTGAATGCCAGGCCACCACACACGAGCTGAAGAGGCACGGCTTCTCCCCTGCATAAGGAGCAAACTCCTCGTGGCTCCACCCCATGTGTGGGCGCTTAGTCTGAGCCACATTGATTTATTTCCCTTACTGCACATGTGTTGAGAAATGGAATCTTTCACAGTGGGCATGTTCATTCAGGCAAGCCACGTGTGCACAATGACCTAGGCAAGTCAGAGGCTCTCCAGGAACCCTTCTCTATTTGCCTAGGCTTGTGCCTGTCACCTTTCTCTTTCATAGCTAGCTGTTTTATAGATTGGTCTAATATATCTTTTACCAGTACTACAAGAAAGTGGCTTACATGATTATGGAGGCTAAGAGGTCCCATGATCTGTCATCTATAAGCTGGAGACCCAGGAAGGCCTGTGGTATAATTCAGTCTGAATCCAAAGGCTTGAGAACCAGGGAAGCCAGTGATGTAAATCCATCTGAGGACAGAAGATGAGATGTCACAGCTCAAACAATGAGGCAGGAAAAAAAAGGGGGGGGAATTCTTCCTTCCTCTGCCTTTTATTTTATTTACGCCCTCAACAAACTGGATGATGTCCACCCACCTTGGGGATGGCTATCTCCTTTACTGAGTCCCCCAGTTCAAATGCAAATCTTGTCTGTAAACACACTCAAGACACTTCAGAATAATGTTTAAACAGATATTTGGCACCCTGTGGCCTATTCAAGTTGACATATAAAATTAACCATCACAAGTTTACCCTTGTCAACTTGGCACCCATAAACATCTCTTTAAACCATACTTAACTGCCACATAAAGACAACAACAAGGTCATAATTCCATCTAACACGATTAACAATCCAGCATTCCACCAGAAACACTCTAACCCGTTTCCCAGAAGAGGTGGTAAAGTCTTCATGTGATGTTTACTCTCTCCTTGATATCCCATAACTTAAATACTATGATGTAAAATTAATCAAGGTTGAACACTGGAGCCAGTTAAAAAAATTAACAATATTTAAACACTATGCTATAAAATCAATGCATCTTATGTTACAGAATAAGGAAATGAGAAGAAAACAAAGCTACACACACACAAAATGTAGTTATAGCAAAATATGGAGGACATACTTATGACAATCACAGTCTGTGTTTCTGTAACTGGTCATATGATCAAAGCTAGTATTTATTCCACCATTTATTCTGTATTCCCTTTGCCTTCAGCAAGCACTTCATCTGGTCATGGTACTTACCTGGTGGTGACCCAAACCTTCATTCCTGAAAGGTCTGGATCATTAGTGGTCCTGTCTGAATTAGGCTGTAGTTTTCCATTGACCTTAATCACAGGGCATGATAACACTAAGAGATGCCCTAAGGAATCCTGTGTATTCCCAACATACTTTACCTTACCACCATTCGGGGTAGTCCAGTTTCTACTTGGTAGTCAGGAACAATCACCCAGCCAGCACTGTAACTCATTTGTCTATTGAGTTAGAGGCATAAGAAGCCCCAAATGGCTGAGGAGCAGTCTTAAACTTCCAGTTCAATTAAATCATGATTGCGTCTCTCAGTGGAAAATATTCCACCCTATGTAAGACCTCTAGGCCAGCAGTGCATAAGTCATGGGAACAGGAAGCAAAAATTTTGCTAGTGGGTCACCAGGGCTAATAGCGAATGGTGTCCTTCCTATTCTGACCCCTTGATTCCTGGACCTGTGAATCCCAGTCATAAGAGAAATGCACCATATACTGGATGTTGATTCAGAGCATAGACAGTCTTCTAGAGAACCTTGTCCCAGCCCTACAAGGCACTGCTATATAGCTGGTGTTATTACTGTCTTCAAAATGCCATTCCACTGCTCTATGTAGCCAGTTGATTCAAGATAGTAGGGAACATGGTAAGAAAATTCCATGATCATGGGCCCACTGCCACACTTTTGCTGTGAACTGAGTTTCTTGTAATGCTGTGTGGAATACCATGGTCATAGATGAGACATTCTGTAAGTCCACGGATGGTAGTTTTAGCAGACACCCTGCGCGAAGGGAAAGTGAATCTGTATCCAGAGTAAGATCTATTTCAGTAAGGATAAAACACTATCCCTTCAATGATAGAGGTGGATCAATGTAATGAACCTGCCACTAGGCAACTGACTGATGACCCTGGGGAATGGTGTCATATCAGGGGCTCAGTGTTGGTCTCTGTTGCTGGCAGACTGGGCACTCAGAGATAGCCTTGGCCAGGTCAGCCTTGGTGAGTAGAAGTCCACGTTGCTGAGCCCATGCATAACCTCTATTCTTGTCACCATGGCTACTTTGCTCATGAAACAATTGGGTGATGACAGGTGTGGCTGGAGAAAGAGGCCTACTAGTATCCACAGAACAGGTTATCTTGTCCACTTTATTAAAATCCTTTTTTGCTAACCCTTTGGTGAGCATTCACATGGGGCACAAATATCTTCACCCTTTTTGCCCATTCAGTGTCTATCCACATACTTCATCTCCAAATTTCTTTGTCACCAATTTTCCAGTTATATTGAACTCCCTGACCATCCAGCCAAACCACTGGCCACGGCCTATGAATTGGCATATAATTGAATATCTGGCTATTTTTCCTTCTAAGCAAAGTCAACAGGGGGACTGCTCAAAGTTGTGTCCACCAGGAGGATTTCCCTTCACCACTGTCCTTCAAGGTAGCCCAGAGGTGAGATGTAGTGCTGCAGCTATCCACTTTAGGGTGGTACCTGCATATCATACAGAACACTCTGTAAACCAGGCCTAAGTCTTCTCTTTCTCTGTCAGCTGATCACAGGGAAGTCCCCATGAAGCCACCGATGCAGGCTGGAAGAGAGAAGGCAGGTAGCAGAAGTGGGGACTACGGAAATTTGGCCTACTTCTTCATGTAACTTCCTTGTGCCTTCAGGGCCTCTCAGGCCCAATCATGTGTATACCACTTCCATCTGATGACAGAGTGTTGCTGTGCATATCCAACTTTGTGCGTTGGTGGCTCAGATAACATCCAGTTCATGATGGGAAGCTCAGGTTGCACGGTAACTTGGTGACTCATTAAGTATCAGTCTCTACTAAGGCCCAGTAGCAGGCCAAGAGCTGTTTCTCAAAAAGAGACTAGTTATTTGTTGGTAATGGCACGGCTTTGCTCTAAAATCCTAAACCAAGATTCACCTATAGGGACCTGCCAGAAGCTTCAAACAGCATCCCTATCTGCCACTGCCACTGAAACACCACTGGATCTGCTGGATCATATGACCCAAGTGGCAGAGCAGCTTGCACAGCAGCCTGGACCTGTTGCAGACTCTTTTCTTGTTCTGGGCCCTACTCAAAACTAGCAGCTTTTTGAGTCAATTGGTAAACAGGCTGGTATAACATAATGAAATTGGAAAATGTTGCCTCCAAAACCCAAAGAGGCCCACTAAGTATTGTGCCTCTTTCTTGGTTTTAAGAGCAGCAAGATGCAAGTACTTATCCTTCACCGTAGAAGAAATATCCTAACATGCCCCATGTCACTGGATCCCTACCAATTTCACTAAGGTAGAAGGCCCTTGAATTGTAGTCATATTTATTTCCTACCCTCTGATGCAAATGTCTTTCCACTAAGTCTAATGTAGTTCCTACTTCTTGCTCACTAGGTCAAATCAGCATAATGTCATCGATATAACCAATCAGTGTAATATTTTGTGGAAGGGAAAGGTAATCAAGATCCCCATGAACTGAATTATGACATAGAGTTGGAGAGCTGATACACACCGGAGATACGACAATGAAGGTGTGTTGCTGGCCCTGCCATCTGAAAGCAAACTGCCTTTATGGACTGGTATGAAAAAAAAGACATTTGCCAGATCAATTCCATTGCCTTACCACATAATGCTGAAATAAATATTTCATACATAATTTTTATATTTAAAATGCAAACTATAAATATAATACACATATTTACTTGTACTTGTGCAAATAATTCTATAGGCCTGACTGAAAGGGAATGTTCCACCTTTCTACCTTTTTTTAATGACAAATTTCTGATAAAATTCCTTGTTACCTAATGAATGACTTCAGTTTCAAAATATGCTAAATGCATTCAGTTTCCAGTAGTTCTGGGCACACACTGTATGCTAAGACTTGGTGAACTTGAGGACTGAAAGAGTTTCTTGGCCTGCTTGTCTGGAAAGTGCAGTGGTTCCTTGCAGACCTTTTGTCTTCATTATTTTCAAAATTTCTTCTAAAATAAAAATCAAAAGGTAAAATCCATTAAGCCATTTGGTAGTGTGCATGATCAATAAGCAATTTAATAAGTTAAACACAGATGATTTATAAATTGTATTCATCTGACAAAACAATGTATATCAAATAAATGTCTACTAAAGTGAACTTGGTCTTCAGCTAAATGGGAGCACTTGGTATTTTCAAAGTGTTGCTGGTGAGTCTAATCAGAATAAATGGCTTGCTTTGCAGTCACAGCCTACTTTTGACTCAGCAGAAACATTAATTGTCATTGTTATTATAGCAAGTGATCAGTTTTTTAGTTGATTGGCTCCAATCTCTGCCCTATGTCTTTCTCTTTGGATGACAAAAGCCAATGAAGGTGTGGACAAACTGAATAGTGACATTGCACAGTGAGAGTGAAAGAAGTAGCTTATTTCTTTCAGGCATATTGAAAAAAGAAAACCTTCCTTATAAATAAATAAAACTAAGAAGACTGAACTAAGACAATGGAGGGAGGGAGGGAGGGAGGGAGGAAGGAAGGAAGGAAGGAAGGAAGGAAGGAGGGAGGGAGGGAGGGAGGGAGGGAAGGAGGGAGGGAAGGGAAGGGAAGGGAGGGAAAGGAAAGGACGCATGGATGGACAGAAGGAAGAAAAAAAGAGAAGAGAAGAGAGAGAGAGAAAGAAAGAGAAAGAAAGAAAGAAAGAGAGGGAGGGAGGAAGGAAGGGAGGGAAGGGAGAGAAAGGAAGGGAAGGAAGGAAAGGAAGGGAAGGGAAGGGAAGAGAAGGGAAGGAAGGAAGGAAGGAAGGAAGGAAGGAAGGAAGGAAGAGAGAGAGAAAGAGAGAAAGAAAGAAAAAGAAAGAAGGAAGGAAGGAAAGAAAAAAAAGAAAGAAGAGAAGGGAAGGGAAGAAAGAAGGAAGGAAGGGAAGAAAAAAAAGAAGGAAGGAAAGAAAGAGAGAGAGAAGGAAGGACAGATGGACAGAAGGAAGGAAAAAAAGAAGAGAAGAGAAAGAGAAAGAAAAAGAGACAAAGATGGACAGAAGGAAAAAAGAAAAGAGAAGAGAAGAGAGAGAGATAAAGAAAAAGAAAAGGAAAGGAAAGAAGAAAGGAAGAAAGAAAGATGGAGAGAAGGAAGGAAAAAAAGAGAAAAGAGAGAAATAGGAAGGAAGGAAGGGAGAAAGACAAGAGAAAACTAGCAATCATGTGATTTGAAGGGCTGAGGACTTTTAGTATAAGCTGAAAATCAAACTTGAAGTGTACAGAAAAAGAGAGGAAAGATTATGGTCAATTTAGTTATAAAGCAATCTGAAAACAAAGATATAAAAATCTATACAATTAAATAGCTTTCATGATAAAACTCCTAACGAACTAAAGAGTACAGCACAATTGTCAAGGGCATGAAGACTAGAGGGTAGAGAGAAAATTCATAATACTGAGAGTGAGGTGTTAGAAAAAAACATTAGAGATTTTTATACTTGAATATTAGGTTATAAACGGGGAAAAGAGAAGATAATACTTTTTAAAATCAGAAAAATTTACCTCTGAAAACCTCTTTTCTCTTTCAACATAAATTTATGCCTGTATTAGCTACTGTCAGTGATTAACTGTTTTAAGTGATTCATTAACATGCCAGGTTATCTTATAAATTAAAGCATTTTACATTATTAACTTTTGATTTCAGCAACATAAATGCTTAAACAATAAATTGGTCTGTATTACCTGGGTTGTTTTCTTTAATGGTAACTAAATAGAATAATCCTCTTGGTGAAAGGAGATCTGGAACCAGGGGAAAAAACCTGTCCATGACTTCCCGACCATTTCTGCCACCAGCCCAAGCTGCCTCTATTCCGTGACTTCCTACCTGTGAACAATTAGAAAGAATGTTTTCTTTTAACTCAAGTTTGATTTAGATCACAAACTGAATCTTTTTGACAAGTAATATCACCAAAAAAGTATATATTTTGCATTTTACTGCTGACGAAGGAGCAGTCAAGTTGAATCTAAGTTTCATCATTTTCTAGTGTGTAACCTTGGATAAATTAGTAATCCTGTTTGTGAATTACTTTCCTCTTTTATCTGTAAAATTAGAAAAAGAATAGTTCCATATGTACAATTAGAAAAATAATAAGTGGATAAAAAATGTTTTTATTAATAAAAAAATATTTTTATCCACTGTTAGGAATAAATAAGGAAGTATATTTAAAGTTTTGAGAACATTGCCCTGCGTATATCAAGGGCTTAATAAGTTATTACTATTAATACAATGCTTAACATTGAGAGACATGGGTAGCTTTTGTACTTAACACAGAAAGAAGCTAGAAGGAACAGCTTGTTTTATAAGAGACCTACTGTACAGAAACAAAGTTTCAAAATGTCCCAATGCATCTGGCCCTCTTGTAGTTTAAAGTGTGAAACACATAGATCTTTTCTAAGGAATGCATTTATTTATTATATTTATATATTATTAAATATATATATTTATTATATATTATATAAAGGCACACTGAAGCATGTTTCCTCTAACAATCTAATTATATTTTAGAAATAATATCCAGGAGTTTATATAATATTAAAAAATCTTTAGATCCTTATCATTGTAGATTGTTTCTTTTTTTTTTTTTTTTTTTTTAGAGACAGGGTCTTGCTCTGTCACCTAGACTGGAGTACAGTGGTGTAATCATGGCTCACTGCAGCTTCCACCTTGTGGGCTCAGGTGATCCTCCCACTTCAGCTTCCCAAGTATGTAGGACTACAGGCGCAAGCCACCATGCCTGGCTAATTTTTTTTTGAGACAGAGTCTCGCACTATCGTCCAGGCTGGAGTGCAGTGGCTTGATCTCAGCTCACTGCAAGCTCCGCCTCCAGGGTTAACGCCATTCTCCTGCCTCAGTCTCCAAATAGCTGGGATTACAGGTGTGTGCCACCAGGCCCGGCTAATTTTTGTATTTTCAGTAGAGATGGGGTTTCACCATGTTGGCCAGGCTGGTCTTGAACCCTTGACCTCAGGTAATCTGCCGCCTCGGCCTCCCAAAGTACAGGATTACAGGCGTGGGCCATTGCACTCGGCCAGTTAAAACCTTTTGTTTTGCAAATTTTTTATTCATGATAAAGGATACATGTAATATATATGTACATTTATATTTGAATATATGAATATAAATACCATGGCCTGATATGAATGTGATTTTTAGGGATAGATATGTGTCACAGTTTGTATTTCCATCATTTAAGGTTCCTTTCCTAGGTCTTTTAATAGGACTCAATTACTGACAATTAGGAGTAAAATCAGAGTAGTCTGTGATAGCAGCAGCTGACTGATGTCATAGGATGACATTCATTTGATTTTACAAACAAAATAATTGAAAATATTAATAATTAAATTTTGTTGTATGTTTTACCTCTTGAGGTGGAGTCACTACATAGGGGGGATTAAACACCAGAAGATCAACTTTTTCGGTCAATCTTGGTAGCAAGCCTTTGACCTAAATGTATTCAACAACAGTAAGAATTTTACATTAAACTCTGAATTAAATAACTGACAAATTAATCTTTAAAAATAATCTCCCATGTTTTTGGGAAAATAATGTGTTACGGGCTACGCTTGTAGACAGAAATGAAGTATTTTTATGTTTTCATTCAGAAAAATAATACATGCAATTAAATAAAAATAAGGAAATTAAACTATCAGAATGAATATTAAAAAGCCTATACTCCTCAACAGCACATATATTTATATTCTGGGTTCACTTTTAGAAAATGAAATAAGAAAGCAAACTCTAATTCTGTATAATCTGTATAGACTTGGATATAAGTTTACAACTATATATGCTAACATTTTCACAATTTTTCCGATATCTGTACAGATACCTACCATTATTTACTGGATACTGTTCTATAGTCTCTTCTATCTCTGGTGTTTCACCATTCTATCAAAAACACTTACTTATACTAATTATGGAAACATTAAAGAAATTTTTAGGCCAGGCACACTGGCTCATGCCTGTAATCCCAGCACTTTAGGAGGCCGAGGCGGGCGGATCATCCGAGCTCAGGAGTTCGAGACCAGCCTCGCCAACCCATGGCCAACATGATGAAACCCAGTCTCTACTAAAAATACAAAAACTAGTCGGGCACAGTGGTGGGTGCCTGTAATCCCAGCTACTGGGGAGGCTGAGGCAGGATAATTGCTTGAACCCAGAAGGCGGAGTCTGCAGTGAGCCAAGATTGCGCCACTACACTCCAGCCTGGGCGACAGAGTGAGACTGTGTCTCAAAAAAAAAAAGAAAGAAAGAAATTTTTTAAATAAAAAAAAAAATCACCACGTTGATCTCATGTAAATCACTGGAGTACCTTTCTTGATATTCTAGCTTTTATTAGCAGTAACAACTTCTAATAATATGAAAATAATTTCTTATCTCTTTGGCTTAATTCCTTCTAAGCTACAAAATCATTTATTTAAAAAAAAAAAAAAAAAAAAAAAACCGGAAAGCTACCTACCCTCGTCATTGTAAGAAAAGTGCAAGTTAAGGAGCACAGAAGTATTTTGCCTTTCATATGTCTACCTGGTGCATGCTATTATTATTTTTGCCTATAAAAAGGTATTTGACATATATAAATTAAAAACCTACAAATTTAAAACTGCCACTTGAAAATGTGTGCTGTTAACTTCTTAAAACAATGGTTGTGCAGTTGTCATTTGTTGTTTTTACCTACTGAGGACCCACTGCCCCTTTCTTCTGATTTAATTTCCTTGACTTTTGTTAGGGAAGCTCTACCTCCCATCATTCTCAATCTAAGTGGCCTGAGTAGGGTTTATCCCAATCCAGCTCCTGGGATGGAACTATGAGGCATTTTGAAGCCAATCATCTCCACATTCAAATCTCCTTTGGCCACAGCAAAAGGTTGAGAGATAGGCACATAACCCAAGTTGATCCAGATAACACTCATTCTGGGGCCTCTTCTAGAGTAACTGAATAGAAAGGGCCTCTTTCCTTGGGAAGGTGTTCAGAAATAAGATACAGATATGCAAACATCTTGTTACCATGAAGGGAAGACTGCCTAGGAATAGAGCCACCAGAGAGAAGTTCAGAGATAAGAAAAAGATGTCTATAGCATTCTTAGAGTTCCTGGAAGTAGCTGTGCTGAAGCCATCAATTTTTTTTTTTTTTTTTTTTTTTTGAGACAGGGCTTTGTTCTGTTCCACAGGCTGGAGTGCAGTGGCACGATCATGGCTCAAGGCAGCCTCAACCTCCCAGGGTCAAGTGATCCTCGCATCTCAGCCTCCCAAGTAGCTGGCACGACAGGTGCGCACAACCATGTCCAGCTATTTTTTTAATTTTTATTTTTTGTAGAGACGAGTTCTCACTATATTGTACAAGCTGGTCTTGAACTCCTGGGCTCAAGCAATCATCCCACCTCAGCATCCCAGAGTACTGGGATTAAAGGCGTGAGCCTTTGTACCCGGACTAATTTTTTAAATTTAAGCCAGTTTGAACTGGGTTCACTATCACTTCTGACTGAAAGAGGCCTGAATTGTGGAAAAGGTGGATTACATCAACAAAGAATTTACTTTGTACATGGTATACTGCTTAGTGGGTCAAAAGTTAATTACTTACCAAAGTTTCTTTGACCTAAAGCATCTTAACTTTATTTGAAAAGAAAATTATTACTGGACAAAGATTATCTTACCAAATCTGTAATAACTGGTTGAATGTGAACTTTGTTACAGCGTGCTGTCTCTAGGGTACAAGCTGCTGCCTCAGGGTTGATATCAGTGCACCTATAAACAGAAATGGAAGGAAACTATATCCTATGTCCATAAGGCAAATCTGTTACTGAGTAATATCAAGGTATGTTCCATTAATTCTACACAGAACAGATTTAGAAAAAAAAAAATTAGAACGTATTCAATAATGGCAAAGAAAAAGAGAACAAGGATTTGTTCTATTGATGAAAAAGACTGTTATATTGATACAATGTCCAAGAGTAGAAGAATACACATACATGCACAGACATCTGAAGGAATTTATGAATTATACATCCAATGAAGGAGTACTATGCAGCCACCAAAAATGAAATTTAAAAGGAATTTTTGATAGGAAAATGTTTATGAGACGAAATTAAATTAAAAACACAGGAAATGAAAAAAAACAGAAGGAAACACAGTTGGACCATGTATGGTAAAATTTATAGGTGATTTTAATTTTCTTCTTTATACTTTTCTACATTCCCAATCTTCTATAAATTTAAGCAACTTTAAATGTCTTATGATATCAAATTACTTAGCTAAGAAATCAAATTTAGAGATGATCTAAAATTATGCTGCTTCTACAATTACGTAGTATGATGGAGCAGTTTGAACATGAATAATTTTTAGGGAAGCATAGTTTGTAATCTGAGTTTTTGCTATGCTTAAATACTATAAGATACATACTGTCTCTTTAAAAATTATTTCATTAGAGTTATCATAGTTAACCTGTCAGTGGAAGATCTAGATGAATATGATATACTTACATGTACAAAGCCTGAGGGCCTATCATAGAGGCTAGGAATGCAGATACTACACCAGACCCTGACCCTACTTCCAGGCATATTTCCACTCTGAAAAAAAAATAAATAAATATTAGTATAGTAGAATCAAAATACTCTTCACAGAAAACTCTCATGCTAGTGTTATTTCTAGCATATATATTTCTCTAGCATCATCACTCACCTGCAAATATATGAAAATAGAAATTTATAATTTCTGACAACTACTTTGTACTTAATATTGCATAACTCAAAATTACTAATATTTTGGGTACGTAATATAAGTCCATAAAAGTTATCTATTACCAAACATGGCTTTCAGTTAATTTCAACAAACCATTACATTAAAAAGTATGGAAAAATGTTAATCTAGGGTTGGAAATATTAATGTGAAAGACATCATTCCTTCGCACAAGGAGCTCCTAGCTTAGTATTTCCTAAAATAAAGTTTGTATTATTACAAAATTTATTTTTGAAAAAAGTTCCTCTATCATTTTTAATACCTAACATTCATAGAGCCATCAGTATATCCTAGAGAATTAAAAGGTCCCCCAATAATAGAGCAGGACAAAAATTCTTTTTCTGGACAGCTATATGCTAATTGGGAAAATAGTATCTGATCTTTGAATGTTAACCATCTTAGAATGCTGTTAACTATAAAATCTTCATTCTACTGTACTTTATCTTTCCATTAAATTTATTTTCTTGCCTATAATCTTGGAAGTTGCTTCTTTTTTAGAGACAGGCTCTTGCTCTGTCACCTAGGCTAGAGTGCAGTGGTGCCATCACAGCTCACTGCTGCCTTTAACTCCTGGGCTTGCTCAAGTGATCCTCCCACCTCAGCCTCCCAAGTAGTTAGGACTATAGGCACGAACCACAGTGCCAGCCCTCTATAATGTTATACATGCATCAAAAGCATAAATCATCCCCATTAAAAAGATCAGCTTGATGGCATTTAGGGAAATTTTTAGCACTGAACTCCCAAAACAACTACCCAGTGACAAGCTCCAGAGGTTTTAAACTTTTGGAACCAGTCTACACATCTGACAAGTCTTTATTAGGTGGTAGTAAGGTCTGAGAATCTCACCAGGTGGCTTCTCTTTGAAAATAACTATCATGGTCTCATAAATAATTAGAATTCCAAACTAGAAATAACCCAAGACTTTATAACAAAATCAGCTCCTTTTACAGCATACTTTGCAGTGCAATTTGTGCTTGTAAATCTTTCTGGGCTATCTTGAGAAGAAAAGACAAGTTATAAAACAGTACTGTTCCACTGTATATTCCAGTAGATCCAAAAGTTCCATCATCTACAATGAAAGACTAGTTTAATAAGAGCTGGGACATTTTATACTGGAGAAATATGACCAAGTTTAAGAGGGATAAATAAATACAATATAGATCTTTGAAACCTGAAAGCTGTTTGTTCCATCCTGAGAAAACCCAGTTCATCTTATCTTCAAACAAATCTAACAACCCAAATTCCTTACATTTAAAAATCACAATGTCAGTATTCATTCCTTCTGCTATTAATTTAAAATTGATGGCGATCACTTCAATAAATCCATTTAAATAAAGTGCTAGGGTAGACTATTGTCTGCTAGCTGCATGTAACTTTTTTTTGGTAACAATTAAATGAAAAATTCAGTTCCTCAATAGCACTAGCCACATTTCAAGCGCTCTGTAGCCACATGTGAGGACTGGCTGGTGCTAGAGTATGCTATTCAGTGGGTTTAAAAATATTTCCCCACTCCAGTAACACAACTTTCTTTCATGTTTGTTAAGGGTGCTTTCTATGTGCTGAGTAAATCAAATAATACCATGCAATTTTAATATGTAATACTTTAAAAATATTAATAAGCAATGTTTCCGGAATATTTTGTTTCCAAACGTGTTATACTATCGCTTCTCTCAGGGACATGTGTTCTTCAGATTAACAGGCGACAGGAAAAGATACGCCTTTGCATGGTAAGCAGTCAGGGAGCTCATGAGACAGAGCAGCCCCCTGGCAAAGGAGATGCGTCCCCGGCACACTCATTACTTGTAGCTACAGGAAAATTCTCAATTACGGCGTCCTGGCTGTCAATCATCTGCAAGTGGACCCCGCCTGCTCCGGCTCAGGGCGGTGATAGTCACCGTTCCGGCCCTCCTCCACCGCACTTCTTCAGAAAGCCGCAACCCTTTCCCGTCAGAGCCCCTCCCCTCCTCGCACCCTGCCAGTTCGGCAGCCGCTGCCTCCAGCGCGTCCAAAAGCAGAAACGTGTCCTCCGCGGGCTCGTACACGTCGCTGAAGGCGCCGCGGCCCACGTGCCCGTGGAACGGCGTAGCGAAGTTCTCCCCTGCCATAGTCCTTCGCTGCGTTCCATGCGCGTGCGCAGGGCGTGCGCATGCGCATGCGCATGCCCTCACCCTCATGCGCAGGCCTAGGAGTGGGGCTGGCGTCCCGGGCGACCAGTGTGTTGTTGTTGGGTCTTAATTCTAAATTTGTCAGTGGCTCTCCTTGAAATTGCTAAGTAGACAGTTGTATAATCCGTGACTATTGACATTTGCTTTCTTCTTTGGAACATTTAAATTTTATTCTGTGAACTAGAACCTGATAGTGGGCATTCTGAGTTGTTTTTGACTAAGGTGAATGTTCTTTCTTCATTCTAATGATATTTGGAAATTCTGTTTTATTCCTAGTTTGCAAGGATTTGAAAAAATACATAATAAATTTTACTGTTTTTTTGTCAGCTGAACTTTAAGCTTTACGCTATAAAGATGAAGACTTTCCTCGTTTTTTTACTGTACTTTATAAATTGCCTTCCTGATGAATCATGAATGCACTCTTTTTATAAACCTTAAGCAAGATGATGCGGTTTAATACACTGCTGAATTGGGGAGGCTAATAATCTGGCTCCGTTTTTTTTTACCAAGATTACGCTACCCTCGTTATGTGAGTTAGGACACTGTTTCTGGAACATTAGGTAGAAAGCCTTAAAACTGGCTGGGCTTGGTGCCTTTTTGAGTGAATGGATCTTTGATGTTTTGGAACATCTGTAAGTTATTAGACTATTCAAGTATTTGCATTCTTTTTGAGTCAATTTCTGAAATTTGTTTCGCAATGAAACATTTTTACAGCTCGTTTTTTAAATTTGAGAAATAAAAATACAGAAAAGTATTTGAGGTACAAATTTTATTTTATTTTATTTCTACTTATGTATTTTTTTTTTTTGGAGACAGAGTCTCGCTGTATCCCCCAGGCTGGAGTGCAGTGGCGCGAGCTAGGCTCACTGCAACCTCTGCCTCCCAGGTTCAAGCGGTTCTCCTGCCTCAGCCTCCGGAGTAGCTGGGATTACAGGCGCCTGCAGCCACGGCTGCCTAATTTTTGTATTTTTAGTAGAGACGGATTTTCCCCATGTTGGCCAGGCTGGTCTCAAACTGCTGACTTCAGGTGATCCACCCGCCTTGGGCTCTCAAAGTGCTGAGATTACAGGTGTGAGCCTTTAACGCACCCGGCTGGGTTACAAATTTCAAAACCCCAAGTTTTAAACCCAGAAATGACAGTATTTTCTCATGTTTCCTTAAAATATTTTTTAAATACAAGAACTAAAATATTACAAATAAGATGGATGTTCTTTCTCTATTTGCCTTCAGTTTAATTGTGTAACATTCTCTCCAAGGCTCTTATGGATTTAGTGTATGTCCATCTAATCCATGTAAAAACATGGATCTTGTATTTATACGTTTATAAACATTCATATCTTTATAAGCAACATACGGTGTATTTTAAAATTTACATAACTGGTACTAGGTTGGACATATTTTTCAAATTTCTTTTTCAGTCAACATTATATGAGATTTATGTTTTGATATATGGTTAGGTTACTCCTCTTAACTGCCATATAGAATTTTATTATGTAAAAATATGAAAAATATATATATATAGAAAGAGTTGTACTTGATCTCCTGGGTTCAAGCGATCCTCCTCCCTCAGCCTCCTGAGTAGCTGGAACTGGAACCATAGGTGCTCTCGCACCCAGTATTAGGAATATACAAATGTCTTTTTATCCAAAAATACAAAATAAATTATCTGTAGGCATGGACAGTGACAGCAGTAAAACATTATATATTTTGTCACTTGAAACCAGTAACTGATTGTTATAGTGATTTCCTAAACATCTGCTAGCCTTTTCTTCAGTCGTTTTCTCCAGCTGACTTCTCTGAAGTTATTGGTGAGGAATACTGCCTTGGGCTTCCTGCCACAGTTCATTAATTAAAGTAAAACGCTATTCTAATCATTAGAACTTGCCATTTCCCATAACACCTCCCGTTCCACCCATTGCACCCAATACAGGGTCCTTCTCTTTTTTTAGGAATTTCTTTGACTACAACTTCTGCTGTAGTTAACAGGCCACCCCAGCAGCATCCAGTAAAGCACTTCTCACAACCTTTGTTTTGTCAATAATTCCTTTTTTCCACCATATTCACAAAATCTGACCGTGGCATCACAACCAGCTTCTCAGGAACTGCATAATTTTCTGGACTATCAAAGATCCTTCAACACCCGCATTTTTAGCAATAGTCATTGCAGGAATTTTGAGTGTTTTCTTAATAGTTTCTGTACCAATTTTTTGATCTTCATTAGCTGGAGTCAATGAGTCCAAGGCACCAATTCATCGAAGTAGGGTACAACCCCCTCCCAGAACAATGCCTTCTTCAACAGCAGCTCTTGTAGCATTAAGGGCATCTGTAACTCTGTTTTTCTTTTCATTCACTTCAACGTGACTTGTCCCACTAACCTTCAGCACAGCTACTCCATCTGAAAGTTTTGCCAGCTGTTCATTCAGTTTTTCCTTTTCATATTCACTAGTTGTGACATCCAACTGCTCAATGATTTCTTGAATACGTTTTTAAATTTGAGCCTTGTCACCTTTTCCTTTTAAGAGCATAGCATCATCTTTGATCACAGTGACCTCTCCAACTTCTCCTAAGTCATGAGGCTGAACATCTTCAAGATTTGAGGTCAACTCCTCTTCTCCAAACACTGCACCACCAGTAGCAATTGTCATACCTTTAAGGTGGTTCTTTCTATTGTCACCAAACCCTGGAGCTTTGACTGCTACAACCTGAAGACCAAGTTTTCGCCTATTCAAAATGAGTGTACTTAGAGTTTCTCCATCAACATTTTCAGCAATTATGACCAAAAGCTTACGGTGAGCATTGGCAATTTCAAGATCAGGTACAATGGACTGGACACTAGAAATTTTCTTGGAATTCACATTTCCGACCTTTTGATGTATTAATAAAGTATGGAGAAATATATCCTCAAACTTTCATGCCTTCAATAATTTCTTTTTTTTTTTTCTTTTTTTTTAGATGGAGTCTCACTCTGTCACCCAGGCTGGAGTGCAGTGGCACAATCTCGGCTCACTGCAACCTCCACCTCCTGGGTTCAAGCAATTCTCCTGCCTCAGCCTCCTGAGTAGCTGGGACTACAGGTGCATGCCACCACACCCGGCTAATTTTTTGTATTTTTAGTAGAGACGGGGTTTCACCGTGTTAGCCAGGATGGTCTCAATCTCCTGACCTCGTGATCCGCCCACCTCCGCCTCCCAAAGTGCTGGGATTATAGGCGTGAGCCACCACACCTGGCCTCATGCCTTCAATAATTTCTAATTCATCGGTAGCGTTTTTCCATCTTTACTGTGGTGAAACCCTTTCTTCTGACCTTTTTCATTGCATCGGAAATTAGGTTGCCAATTTCTTTGTCTCCATTTGCAGAAATTGTAGCAACCTGAGCAATTTCTTCAGGGGTGGTCACAGGTTTAGACTGCTTTTTAAGTTCAGCAATTACAGCATCAACAGCTAACATCACACTTCTCTTGATTTCCACTGGATTAGCACCTTTGCTAAACTTCTTGAAGACTTCCTTGGCAACAGTAGCAGTGGTAGTGCCATCCCCAGCCTCTTCATTTGTGTTATTGGCAACATCTTGAACAAGTTTAGCCGCAATATTTTTATATTTATCCTTTAAGTCAATGGACCTTGCAACAGTCACACCATCTTTTGTTACTTTGGGACTTCCCCAGTTCTGCTCAGTAATCACTGTTTTTCCCTTTGGCCCCATTGTAATGGCTACAGCAGTGAGTAAAAGGTCTACACCTTGAAGCATTAAGACTCAGGCATCTGAACCAAAAATTGTACATCTTTGGCATAAACCCGAGTGAGATGAGGAGCCAGGACCCTCGACACTGGTGTCATCTGACTTAAGACTGTGGGTAATTGAATCATTTCTGCGGGGCAGTGGCAGGGCTTGCGCACGCTGACCGCAGGCTGTCGGTGATGAGTGAGGGGGCTTGTTCTAATTCTTAAAGGAAAGGCTTTCAGCTTTTCCTCGTTGAGTATGATGTTAGCTGTGGATTTGTCATATATACCCAGTTTGCGTGTATTTTTTTACCCACAACATGTTCAACATTTTTATCATAAAGGAACACTGAATTTTATTGAATGCTTTTTCAGCATCTATTGAAATGATTACATGGCTTTTGTTCTTGGTTCTGTTGACATGATGTATCACACTTGTTATTGATTTGTGCATGCTGAACCATCCTTGTATCCCTGGGATGAATCCCACTTGATCATGGTGAATGACCTTTTTAATGTGTTGTTGCACTCAGTTTGCTAATATTGCATTGAGGATTTTTGCATCTATGTTCATCAAGGATATTGGCTTGTAGTTTTCTTTTTTTATTGTGTCCTTGTCTGGTTTTGGTATGTCAGGTTTGTGTGTGTGTGTGTGTGTGTGTGTGTGTGTTTTAACATTAGTGACTCCATTTTGATTCTGACAACTTTCACAGTAGTTAGTGAAATAATAATCTAAGATAGATAATTTTTTTCATTATTTTTATTTTTTCTTTTGAGACAGGGTCTCATTCTGTCACCTAGGCTGGAGTGCAGTGGTGCCATCATGGCTCGCTCCAGCCTTGACCTCCTGGGCTCAAGCAATCCTCCCATCTCAGCTTCTCAAGTAGCTGGGACTACCGCACATGCCACTGCACCTGGTTAATTTTTAATTTTTTTGTAGAGATGGAGTCTCTCTATGTTGCCCAGGCTGATTTCAAACTCCTGGGCTCAAGCAGTTCTCCCGTCTTGGCCTCCAAAGGTGCTAGCATTACAGATGTGAGCCATTGCACCCAGCCAATAGATCATTTTAAATGCATCTTCAAGAATGGTTCTAAAGCTTTAGAACCATATAATTTGTTCAAATTGTTTTTTGTTGCTATAAAGCCTCAAGGTTGACCAACACTTAAAACACTATGATACAGAGTAGGAGAAAATATTTGCAAAAGACATATCTGATAAAGGACAGCTATCCAAAATATGCAGAGTATTAGAACTCAAGAATAAGAAAAGGAACAACCTGGACAGACACCTCACCAAAAAGAAAAGACCCGGACAGACACCTCACCAAAGAAGACATGTGGACGGCAAATATGCATGTGTAAGGATCCTGAAAATGATATGGCATTAGGAAATTGCAAATTAAAGCCACAATGAGATACTGTTACACACTTATTATAATGGCCAAAATCTAAAACACTGACAACAAATGCTGAAGAGAATGTGCAACAATAGGAACTTTCATTCATTGCTGGTGGGAATGCAAAATGGTACAGCTACTTTGGAAGACAGCTGGGCAATTTCTTACAAAACTAAACATACTTTTACCATACACTCCAACAATAGTGCTCTTTGGTATTTACTCAAATGAGTTGAAAACCTGTGTCTACACAAAAACCTGCACACTGATATTTATAACAGCTTTGTTCATAATTGCCAAAATTTAGAAGCAATCAAGATGTCTTTCTCTAGGTGAATGGGTAAATAAACTGTGGTACATCCAGAAAACAGAATATTATTCAAAACTAAAATGAAATGAACTATCAAGCCATGAAAAGACATGGGGAAAACTTAAATGCATATTGCTAAGTGAAAGAAGCCAATCTTAAAAGGCTATATACTGTATGATTCTAACTATATGACATTCTGCAAAACACAGAACTATAGAGGTAGTAAAAAGAACAGTACTTGCCAGGGGTTAAGGAGGAGTGAGAGATAAGTAGATGGAACACAGAGGATTTTTTAGAACAGTGAAACTATTGTTTATGATACTATAATTGTGGATACATGTCATTATACATTTGTCCAAAGCCATAGAATATACAACATCAAGAATGAACTCTAATGTAAGCTATGGATTTGGGGTCATAAATGTGTATAAATGTAGGTTTGTTGATTGTAACAAATGTACCACTCTCTTGTATGAGGCTGATAGTCGGGGAGGCTATGTGTGTGTGTCAGGGGGTGCAGAGTATAGATGGGAACACCCTCTACTTTGTACTCAATTTTGCTGTGAACCTAAAACTTCTCTGAAAGATAAATTTTATTTTGAAAAACACTATGGGCCGGGCGCGGTGGCTCACGCCTGTAATCCCAGCACTTTGGGAGGCCGAGGCGGGCGGATCGCGAGGTCAGGAGATCGAGACCATCCTGGCTAACACAGTGAAACCCCGTCTCTACTAAAAATACAAAAAATTAGCCGGGCGTGGTAGCGGGCGCCTGTATTCCCAGCTACTCGGGAGGCTGAGGCAGGAAAATGGCGTGAACCCGGGAGGCGGAGCTTGCAGTGAGCCGAGATCGCGCCACTGCACTCCAGCCTGGGCGACAGAGCGAGACTCCGTCTCAAAAAAAAAAAAAAAAAAAAAAAAAAAAAAAAAAAAAGAATGAACTCTAATGTAAGCTATGGATTTGGGGTCATAAATGTGTATAAATGTAGGTTTGTTGATTGTAACAAATGTACCACTCTCTTGTATGAGGCTGATAGTCGGGGAGGCTATGTGTGTGTGTCAGGGGGTGCAGAGTATAGATGGGAACACCCTCTACTTTGTACTCAATTTTGCTGTGAACCTAAAACTTCTCTGAAAGATAAATTTTATTTTGAAAAACACTATGATACACTAAAACTTCTTTTGTCCTTATTTGGTAATACTTAGAAATATAATTTTATTAAGATTATATTTAAAAGTAGAGTCAAAAGATATGCATGTTTTAGTGAAATATCTTCTATTGTTATTACTATCATCATAGTTATTATTATTTGACTTAGAAATCCTCAGTAGACATTATGAAATTAGAGATCAGTAATGTTCTAGTTGAAAAAGACATATACTTGATAAAATTGCTTCTTATTCTTTTGGCGTTACTGTGGTTAAGAGTCTTGTGCTGTAATGATCTCAGTTAAAAATAGTAAAAAGAATCTCTTGAATATTGTGGTGGACTCTGCACAGTTCATGCAACAAGAGGCATGGTTACCTGCCCATATAGCTTTGTTTGTATCAGCCAGTTGAAATGTCAACATGGTTCCTTATCCACTGAATAATTTCACAACCCTCCTCTTAATTTGGTTGCTTTGGACACATTCTATCCTGGAAACAAAATCTAGGCTTCATAATACATTCGGAAATAATAGATTCATGTTCTTTTTTTCCAGCTGGTACTGGTAGAGTTTACACATTTACTCCTGCACCATAGGAACAGCTGCTTAAAAAGCTGAAGTGTGTATTTGATTCCATTACATTGGCACAATAGAAAGTCATGTAAAAGAGGGAGACTCTCTCAGCTTCTCCATATTTGGAAAATTAATTCTTTTAAGTGCTTTAAAAAAAATCTCTACAGGTGGTCAGACTCTATGAACTTAGGACCAGAAATGACCTCATCACCTTCAGCTGGTCTAAAGTTGTCTTTGGCTGCTGCACACTTCACAAAATCTTGTTAATTATGATTGTTTTTCCTAGTTATAAGTCCTTCTGGATACATTTTTATAGCATTTATTTTTATCGCTTACATAACTACATAAAATATTTTCATTGGTGTCAAAATGTCATGTTATTGCCAAATAGATTCCATTTCAATTTCTAGAAATTATTGGAAAGTTAATACCCACATTTTAATGGCACCCTTGCTGTGGTATTAAATCATGTTTTATTGAAATTCACAAGAATCAAAATTACGCTGCGTTTATCCAGAATAAAGCACTAGAACAGTTACTTTTTGGCCGTCTTGCCCATTAATTTCTATGCTTGCACTTTCTCTTTAGACAAACAATGAATGAAATTTAGTGTCTTTCTAGAATTGAATTCTCATGAAAGTGATTGTCATATACACACTCATCATCTACTTCTCTTTTCAGCTCAGTGATATTTAGTTCAAGAATTGGTAGGTGAATCTTTTCCCTGGCTTATAAAACTTCACCCTATTTATTTCTATTTCAAGAAAAGTAAAAATATTTTAAAAAGTAAAATTAGGCAAGAAAGTCATCTTGCTAGCTAGGCATTTGGTTTCTCCTTAGAGGTGTTATTTAAGAAAACTCAGTCCCCTAGACATCATTTCAAGAACATAATTGTTTAGCTGCAAAGCTACAGTTTTGGGTAGAAAATTCCCTTTGAGGGTTGCACATTGAACCCATATTTAGAGAACCTGAGAAATGAGCTTTCAGCAGCAATCCCATTTACTCTTCTCCCCACAGCCTGGGGCATCTGGAAGAAGCCACCAGGAAAGCTGGAGGATGACTAAAGGGCTGAGTTTGATCCAGTTTGCCAGATTAGGTCCATCGCCCTGAGGCCCTTTTTTGCCTAGGTCCTGCATATTCCATGCTATAGACTGAATTACGTCCCTGTAAAATTCGTATTTTGAAGCCTTAACCCCCAATGTCACAGTATTTGGAGATGGGGTCTTTGGGACATAATTAAGTTTAGATGAGGTCATGAGGCCATGGGATTAATACTCTTAAAAGAAGTGGCATCAGAGAGCTTGCTGTGTCTCTTTCTGCCACTATGAGGACACAGTGAGAAGGCAGACATCTGCAAGCCAGAAAGAGGGATCTAGCTCCAACCATGCTGGTGCATGAAGACTTCCAGCCTCCATAACTGTGGAAATAAATGTCTGTCGTTAAGCCACTCAGTCTATGGTATTTTGTTATTGCAGCATGAGCTGAGGAATAGAAATGGTCCCCAACCTAACAATGGTTCCACTTAATGCTTTTTTGACTTTATGATGGTGCAAAAGTGAAAAGCATTCAGTAGAAATTGTAATTGGAGCATCCATACAGTCATCCTGGTTTTTACTTTCAGTATAGTATTCAAAAAATTACATGAGATATTCCACACTTTATAAAATAGGCTTTGTTGTTAGATGATGTTGCCCATCTGTAGGCTAATGTAAGTATTCTGAGCATGTTTCAAGAAGGTTAGGCTGGCTGGGCGCGGTGGCTCACGCCTGTAATCCCAGCACTTTGGGAGGCCGAGGCGGGTGGATCACAAGGTCAGGGGATCGAGACCATCTTGGCTAACACGGTGAAACCCCGTCTCTACTAAAAATACAAAAAATTAGCCGGGCACGGTGGTGGGCGCCTGTAGTCCCAGCTACTCGGGAGGCTGAGGCAGGAGAATGGCGTGAACCTGGGAGGCGGAGCTTGCAGTGAGCCGAGATTGTGTGCCACTGCACTCCAGCCTGGGCTAAAGAGCGGGACTCCGTCTCAAAAAAAAAAAGAAGAAAAAAAAAAGAAGGTTAGGCTAAGCTACAATATTCTGTAGATTCGGTGTATTAAATGCATTTTAAACTTAAGATATTTTCCATTTATGATTAGTTTATTGTGACATAACCCCATCACAAGTCAAGGTGTATCTGTCCATCCCCCAAGGACAAGAGACTTGGAGCCTGAGCACACAGGGATGGTGCAAACTCAGATGTTGGTCCAGACAGTTCAGGAACACATGTTTTAAAATTGGAATTGTTGCCTCAATTTTCTCTTTCAGTGTGTAAATGGAACCTCCAAATAAGATTAAATTGAAGAGAAAGCATTAAAGGGCAGTATTCCAGTGGAATCCATGAACAGTTTGTAAGTAAAATTACTTGTTTGTTTGCACTGATTTGCTAAGGAAGGAAAATTTTAAAAGTAGTCGTTGTTCTTAAGAAAGTTAAATTTATAGTTTAAGTTATGGTATATTTTATACTGGGCACTGTGCCTTCCTCATAATATTCTTATTAAATATTTGTTGATTTAAGATGTTTTTTACTTCATCACATGTATTTAGCAGAGTAAATTCTTATAAAAGAATTTTATCACATTCTTGTGACAAAGTATACTCCATGCTAAATGTGGTACTAATTACTTGAGTGTGAAGGTGAAGATTTTTCCTGGCAAATTTGGAACAGCAGCTTAAAAAATAGGTAATACACAGCTGAAGAGTCTTTCTTTCCAGATTCAACTCATATACCTACTATCTTGACTTTCTCTAAGCCTATATATTTAAATTCTAGAAACCACCACATTCACTTATTAAACACAAATGCCAAGCATGCATCTAATATTTATTACATTACATTTTTATTTTTATGAAATACTGATTGAAACAAATAGTCACCCAGGACAGGGGTCCCGAACCCCTGGACCACGGACTGGTATTAGTCTGTGGCCTGTTCGTAACTGGGCTGCACAGCAGGAGGTGAGTGGCAGGTAAATGAGCATTACTGCCTGATCTCCGCCTCCTGTGAGATCAGCGGCGGTGTTAGATTCTCATAAGAGCACAAATCCTATGGTGAACTGCGCATGTGAGGGATGTAGGCGGTGTGCTTCTTATGAGATTTTAATTAATGCCTGATGATTTGAGGTGGAACAGTTTTATCCTGAAACTATCCCCTCTGCCTCCTGGCCATGGAAAAATTGTCTTTCACGAAACTGGTCCTTGGTGCTAAAAAGGCTGGGGACCACTGATCTAGGGCATAGCTAGTTTTTGCCATAGCTATGTCATAACTAGATGTGTTGTGATAAAATCTCACCTGTAGATCTGAGTTGAGCATATCAGCCTATTTCACTGTGGTAGACAATTCTGTCTGCCGTGGTCCTCCAAAGATATTCACATCCTAATCCCCAGAACCTGTGAATATGATGCTTTACATGGCAAAAGGGAGTTTGCACACATGATTAAGTTAAGGATCTTGATGTGGGGAGACTGTCTTGGATTAACCAGGTGGGTTCAATGTCATCAGAAGGCTCCTCCTATGAGGAAGGAAGAGAGTCAGAAATAAGAGTAGGATATATGATGTTCAAGCAGAGGAGAGAGAAAGAGAGAGAGAGATTTGAAGATGATATGCTGCTGGTTTTGTTTTGAAGATGGACGAAGGGGCCCTGAGCCAAGGAAAGCAGGCCACCTCTAGAAGCTGGAAAAGGCAAGGAAATGAAATCCCCCAAGAGCCTCCAGAAGGAACACAACCATGCCAACCTGTTTTAGACTTCTGATCTCCTGAACTGTAAAATAATAAATATGTGTTGTTTTAAGGCAATAAATTTGTGATAATCTGTTATAGTAGCAATAGGAGAAGAATACAGCAAATCAACACTGATTTTATTTTCTTAACATGGTGCAACTAATACCAACTTAAAAGCAATTTAAACTTTACACACTAGTTGTCAAATTCTCTAAAGAGACAAACCTAAATGAATATGAGACTAATTTAACCTTCTGACATCTATGGGCACACTGAAGACTGGGAGAACTGGTAGTGTTCACGTGGTGTTTGTCCAACCCTTTAACCCAGCACCCTCTAGACCTGCACTGTCCACCCCACCTGGAGCTACTGTGCCCTGGAAATGTATCTAGAATGTAATGGGATGTGCAGGAAGTCTAAGATACACTGTGGATTTTGTAAAGAAGAGTGCAAAATACCTTGATAATTTTTGTTTTGTTTCGTTTTTGAGACAATCTTGTTCTGTCATCCAGGCTGGAGTGCAGTGACACAATGTCAGCTCACTGCAACCTCCTCCTGGGTTTAAGTAATTCTCCTGCCTCAGTCTCCCAAAAGTAGCTGGGACTACAGGCACGCGCCACCATGCCTGGCTAATTTTTGTGTTTTTAGTAGAGACAGGGTTTCACTATGTTGCCCAGGCTGATACAAACTCCTGACCTCAAGTGATCCACCTGCCTCAGCCTCCCAAAGTGCTGGAATTACAGGTGTGAGCCACTGCACCTGGCAATAATTTTAAAATATTGATCACATGTTGAAATGATACTAGTTTGGATATATTGGGTTAAATAAAATATATTACTAATTTTAATTTTAACTTGTTTTAACTTTATGAATGCTGTTACAGGAAAGCTTAAATTACATATATAAGTCATATTTTATTTCTATTGGACAGTTGCTCTAAACAGATGAATTCTATGTAATGATGTAATTAATATAATGTAGGTTACTTATGTCAATTGATAGATTATTGATTAATCATTAGACTGCTGCAGTTGAGAGAGTTAATGGATTTTATATATATTTATGCAGTTTAAAACTAGCATCTCCATTTTTTGTAGTCATATTTTGCCAGAGTCTGACCTCTACAAATCTCAAATTAAATTGTGGTGAGTTAAGTCAGACTTTGAAAAAAATATCTGGACGAATGCCTAAGGAATAGTGAGAAATCCTGTTGGCAGCTCAAAGGTGGCATTTTTGGATGGCGGGAGGTAGGGTTTTCTGTGGTGGGTGAAAGTGACCTTTGTGGATGTTTTGTTGCTTTTTTTTTTAAAGGAAGGAAAAGTAGTCCATACCTATGAAGACATTGTTACTATAAAAACCTTAATTTAGGTAATTTTTTTTGGTAAAATGAAAAACATATTTTTTCCTTTTAGTGTAGGAATACTTACAGGGAAGACACAGAATTAAAAAGAGGAGGCAGCTTGCTGGGATGAAAATCACCCAGTTGAAGACATTAGGAAAGACCTAAACCTTGTGGCTTCATTAACACATGTGTGTCTGGTTAGGAATAGAATATGCTACCAATAGAATGATTAGGTTAGAGCTTCCTAGACCATTGGCAAACTAATTTTTTTTGGGGGGGGAACAAATTTATTTTGATTTTTCTGAAAATATCAGGAACTATGAAAAACAAGGTTGATATTTGGCTGTACCAAAAGCAAAGTACAAGTAAAAATAACATTTGAAAACCATGTTTAACCTTAGAGAAACATGTTTTAAAATACAAAGTTTAACATTCTTTTCTCTACAGATTTAAACAAGTTTTCTAAACCACAAGACTGCAGGTTTTTTTTTTTAACTGACATAATTTTTTAGAAGAAAAAACTAAAGGGGAATAAAAAGCACTTACCTCCTACCCTGGAATCTCATTATTTATAAAATAACATGCTCAAATATCAGTGAAAATAAACAGTTGATAAACCTGAAAAATCTTTTAATGAGTTCAGGTTACAACCGAACGCAGGATTTTGTAGCTGGGAAAGAACAGCTTGTATAACAACCAAGCCTTACCAAATACAAATAGAGATAAAAGGCAATTAAAAGCAAATTATAAAATCAAAATATTTCCGTAGAGTGGCAGCCTTCACAAAGTAAAAACAACTTCGTTCCACAGAATTGTATGTTCTGTAGGCATATGGTCAATTCTTTTCCGAGTCCTTTTGTCTTGCACTATCAAAATAAAAGAATCTTTGTCTTGGAGCAAGTCTGCTAAAGAAGGCACCAAAATTCTATCCTCCCTATTCCCCTAAATAATATTAATAAACCTCTTATCAATCCTTTCAAGGTAACTTCAACGCCATTAAGAATTAATATTCTAAATATGTAAAGCTATAGAAGGAAGGTCCTGCCTATTCTCTTTGCCCCTCTCAAATCATTCTAGTCTGGTTTACCAAACAGAACCACTAGCTAAGAGGATAGAAATATGTTCCCGTGTTCACTAGCCATTAAATAAACATAGCCACTTGTGCAGGAAGCCTAACGTTTTTACTACTTCCTAACTTTTTAAAACTTAAGGATAAGCCCATTTCCACAAGCTAACTTTACAGCTCCTTAATATTCTTAATCTGGATGGTTTACTTTGCAGACTTTGTTGGTGTCTGCCTTTTTCAATTATTTTACCCAAAAATAGGCCTTGAAAAAACTTTCAAATTCAGGAAACCCCTGCAGGGAACCCTCATGGTGTGTGAGTGTGAGCACTAAGTTGAAGAATACTCTTATTTCACAGAAATGTAGGACTGTCAGACTAGGGCTGAGTTCATTCTCTTCCTTCAGAGACAAAATTTCAAGCTGAGCAGATTTGGAGAAAGGGTTCCCCATACAGTCATATACTAGTGCTGGGAAAAGGAGAGAAAATACTACTTAATTGTGTTTTGTGGTTCCTCCAGGTGGGTTATAGCAAGATTTGAGAGTTGTACTCTTCATTTTCAAGTCCAAGTGGCTGCAGAAACATTTCAATAATTCCCCTGGCAAGGTAGCAAATCAGTTTCCTTTTTGATCTAAGACTCTTGTCACTTTAAGAAAAAAAATTTTCTCCAGGACCTTTCAGAGACTTGTTCATTTGTTCATGTGATGAAAATCGTCTGCTAAATCGGCTAGTTTCTGTAGCTATTTTTCATTTCCAAAGCATTCAGCAAAAGCTGGCTATTTTCTTGTAAGTACTCTGGCAATTCACCTTTCAACTCAAAAGTCCTGTAGAGAACTCTTCCTCTGAAAAGCCACTGGATATCTGTATGGTACAGGAGGTTTATGCGCTGTTTGTCCAGGTTTTTGTTTTGGGTGTTTTTATTTTTTTAACATTTTTGCATAAATGGGTCTTTGATACAGGTAACCAGTTTTGTAGCATTATTCAGAATGTCATTGTATCTTCAAGTTTTTGATATCAGCATCTCTGTGAAGAAAGCAGTGTGCTATAGCGTCAACATCAGGATTTCTTTCTTCTTTTTTTTAATGATGCAAAATGACTTATGGAGACAACCACTGATGGGGCACCAGGAGTGTAGATAACAGACCTCTGGTTATCAGATATGATATCACAACATTGTATATTGGCCTTTGTTTTGGCAGGCTCCTAGCAATAGAAAAAGTTTTCTTTGAATTTCATCACTTACAAATCTTACAAATGCTACAGCATGACAAATATTAGTGAAACCCGTTGACTCATCATCCTGGATAGAGAAGCTGCTGCTTTTCTCTTTTTTTGAGACGGAGTCTTGCTCTGTCATCAGGCTGGAGCACAGTGGCGTATCTCAGCTCACTGCAACCTCCGCCTCCTGGGTTCAAGCAGTTCTCCTGCCTCAGCCTCCCGAGTAGGTGCGACTACAGGCACACGCCACCACGCCCAGCTAATTTTTGTATTTTTAGTAGAGACAGGGTTTCACCATGTTGGCCAGGATGGTCTCCATCTCTTGACCTTGTGATCCTCCTGCCTCGGCCTCCCAAATTGCTGGGATTACAGGCGTGAGCCACTGCACCCGGCCTGAAGTTGCTGCTCTTCAGTTAATGACACAAAACCTTTGTAGCATCGTATGAGATATCATCAGTAAATCAACTTACTGAGAATAAAGTCTTTTCAATTTTGTACTGCATCCTGCCCCAGCATTTTAATGTTATTAGATTCTCATCAACTATGCATATTTTTCTTTCCTGAGATAAGTTCTGCTAGTAAATAATTTGCTTTCAAAACA
This sequence comes from Homo sapiens, assembly GCF_000001405.40. NCBI lineage: Eukaryota > Metazoa > Chordata > Mammalia > Primates > Hominidae > Homo > Homo sapiens. The sequence continues at coordinate 28,900,531 of NC_000021.9, forward strand.
TTTTGACTAAACGTGATTTTTGAACAGAAGCCGTACTGTTTTGATGGTCCAAAAGCCAACTGAAGATAATGAATATCCTTTCTTGTCAAGTGCCTGTGATTTATAGTTACAATTTTTAGTTTTGTAAGTTGCATGCCACAGACAATGCACAGTGGGACAGGACAGCTTGGACTGAGTCCATATTAAACCCTTAAGGAGCAGCTTTCATTATAAAGACAGAATCTCTTTGTGTCCCTTGTTGTACTAGAATACTGAAGTATACTCAGAAGACCAAAATTCTTCATCACCAACCTTTTCAGAAATGTCTGTAGCTCTGTGCCTAAAATGCCTCTCTTCTTTCTCACATCTTACCTTCCAAAATTGCAGCACTGAACTGTCAGCTTTGTTACACACAAATGTTAATATAATATAAAAACAGGCCAGGCGTGGTGGCTCACGCCTGTAATCCCAGCACTTTGGGAGGCCGAGGCAGGTGGATCACGAGGTCAGATCGAGACCATCCTAGCCAACACGGTGAAACCCCGTCTCTACTAAAAAAAAAAAGCAAAAAATTAGCCGGGCGCGGTGGCGGGCGCCTGTAGTCCCAGCTACTCGGGAGGCTGAGGCAGGAGAATGGCGTGAACCCGGGAGGCGGAGCTTGCAGTGAGCCGAGATCGTGCCACTGCACTCCAGCCTGAGTGACAGAGCGAGACTCTGTCTCAAGAAAAAAAAGAAAAGAAAAGAAAAAATATATATATATATATGTATATATACACACAGACATAACCAAACAAGAAAATCACAAAGTACAAAAACTTCACCAAACAATTCAATTCTAACCTACATGATCCACACTTTTGCAATGTTTACAACAAAGTGGCAGGGGGACAGCTGAGCTGTGGCATGTAAACCTCCTTCCTTCAAATGAAAACTCCCCTCTGATTTCCTACTTTACAGTCAGTTCACTACAGTAAGTCAGCTGGCACCACATAAGAGGAGCCTGGGAGAGGCCAACGTCCCCCTCTCCTCCCATCCTCCCCTCTTTGCAATAGTGTGGCACATGGGTCTGCCTCTACATAATACCATAAGGGCTGAAAGTTCCCTAACAAAATGATTAACAGGGCTGTGCAATCATTGTTCACTACTGCGAGAATAGCATAATGCAGCACACAAATAAAAAACTGTTTTTAGTCACAATTTAAGGTGGAACCCCAGCAACATCTCATAGAGACCCAGTTGAGAAACCCACCTCCAGCACGAAATGGCCTCCTATGACAGATCATTTTCATTTGATTTGGACCCTTCTGTGGCTTGACTTGCAAGTTCAGGTTTGGCTCCTCCCTCATTTATCACCTGCGGATTAGACGTTCTTTTCCGCCCTAGCTCTTCAGTATTCTCTGGTACCTGCTGGTTATTTTTCCCTTCTGCTGTATTGTTTTGATCTGATTTGTCAGCAGCTTCCAGTTTACCTTCCTTCCCATTTCTCTGCTTTGAATTAAGCTGTGATGGACCCTTAGAGCTCTTTATCACCTCCTGGAGATTGAATTTTTTTTTTTCCTTTTTTTTTTTCCTAATGCTCTGTTGCCAGGCTGGAGTGCAATGGCACCATCTCGCCATCTCAGCTCACTGCAACCTCCGCCTCCGGGTTCAAGCGATTCTCCTGCCTCAGCCTCCTCCTGAAGAGGTGGAACTACAGGCCCACACCACCACCTCCAGCTAATTTTTGTATTTTTAGTGGAGATGGGGTTTCACCCTGTTGCCCAGGATGGTCTTGATCTCTTGGCCTCATGATCTGCCTGCCTCCTTGGCCTCCCGAAGTGCTGGGATTACAGGCATGAGCCTCCACGCCCAGTCGGAAACTATTTTCTAAACTACATGTAATCTTTCAGGACACTCAGGCAACATAATTTCTACTATCACCGTGTACTGTGGATTGCTGAGAGCCACTTTACTTTCTGAATTGAGGGTGCACACTATTCCTGCCAATTTTTTGATAACTTCTCTATTCATGTGACTGTGTCCGCAGTTGGTTCCTTTCAGTGGGTTCATAGTCTCACTGACTTAAAGAATGAAGACGTGGACCTTCGCGGTAAGTGTTACAGCCCTTAAAGGTGGCACAGACCCAAAGAGTGAGCAGCAGCAAGATTTGTTGTGAAGTGCAAAAGAACAAAGCTTCCACAGCATGTAAGGGTACCAAGCAGGTTGCCGCTGCTGGTTGGGGGTGGCCAGCTTTTATTCCCTTATTTGTCCCCGCCCATGTCCTATTTCTGCCCTATCAGAATGCCCTTTTCTCAATCCTCCCTGTGATTGGTTACTTTTAGAATCCTGCTGATTTGTCCATTTTACAGAGGCTGATTGGTCCATTTTACAGAGCTCTGATTGGTCCATTTTACAAACCTCATGCTAGCTACAGAGCACTGATTGATGCATTTTTACAGAGTGCTGATTGGTGCATTTTACAAACCTCTTGCTAGCTACAGAGCGCTGATTGGTGCATTTTACAATCCCCTTATAAGACAGAACAGTTCTCCAAGTCCCCACTCCACCAGGAAGTCCAGCTGGCTTCACCTCTCATGACTGCTATTTCAAGATTTGTACACAATCTGAAATGTCCCTTTGTTTGGAGCTTTAAACCAGGGTTCCAAAAATGTTTCTGCATATTTTTTCATATCTTTTAAAAAAGCTTTGCATGTGCCTGAGATGGGTAACATTCGTAGAATAACTTGAGTCTTCTTGGTTTTGTACTCATCCTGGAGAATATGATGCACCAGTTTCTCAGGTTCTTTCCCAAGTGTCCTGATGAAGGCGACGTTATTTGCTCCACTTTCCACTGACTGGAATCCTCTTAGGCTCATCTCTGTAGATGCCTCAATGTCACCAACTTCTTTCTTCAAGACAGCCTCCACATCATCATCTTCTCCCTCACTTCCAGAGGGCTGCTGATCCTTGTCTGTAAACTTTTCTGGCCCATACATGTCATCGCCATATTCGTTGAGCAGGGTGTAAGCCTCCTCCACACACTTGGCGCTGGTTCATGTTGCAGGTGATGAGGATGCCCGTAGCCCGGGCTCTGGCTGACTGGGCCCGCCAGATTCGCAGTGCCGAGCTCGCTTGACCAGCACATACTGAGCCTTGCCTCTGTGCTTCCCGCCGCCAGGCTGAGGAGGCTGCTGGGCAGCAGCCGCCATGATGTGTGCAAGCTGAGAGGAAAGAGAAACGTTTCTCCACTGCAGTTGGCGTCCTCACCTCCCGGCGAACTTCTCCACGGTTTACGGGTGTGAATAGAAGAAGTATGATGGCTTCAACATTTGGCATACATATGCCTTTTTACCTGCAGACCATGAGTAGTTTTGAATCACTTCAGTGTTTTTTGTCTTCTCACAGAGTCTTCATGGACACATCTTTCTCTTTCCGAAGAAACAAATTTCTTTTGAAATCCTGTTAGTGTTTCATGAAGGCATCTAGCTAGTGCAGCTTCCTGGACCAGAGTTATGTTTGTATGATCAAGAAATCTTAGGAAACTAAACAGGATCCGAAAGCAATTATGTTTTGTGTGGCGACCACCTTAGAGTTCAGTGTTGAAAAAAACATATATGTATATTAGGCGTGTGTATATATGTATGCAAAGCAAAGTGATGTATATTTGGCAAAAGACAAAACATTTGCCTTCTGGGCACTCCATACCATTTTGCGAATGCTAAATATCACCTAGGACATGAGGCTCATGGTTTGACACTCAGCATGAAAAAATATATATTAAGAAAATTTAGGCTGGGCGTGGTGGTTTACAACTGTAATATTAGCACTTTGGGAGATTGAGATGGGCGAGGCTAGAGGCAAGCAGTTCAAGACCAGCCTGGCCAACATGGCGAAACCCTGTCTCTACTAAAACTGCAAAAATGAGCTGGGTGTGGTAGTGCATGCCTGCAATCCCAACTACTTGGGAGGCTGAGGTAGGAGGATTACTTGAGCCCAGGAGACAAAAGGGTTCAGTGAGCTGAGATGGTGCCACTGCACTCTAGCCTGGGAGATAGAGCAAGACTTTGTCTCCAAAAAAAGAAAAGAAAAAGAAAAACAGAAAATTTGCACAAACTTTATAATTTCAATAAGTAAATAAGTGGCATAAATGATTATTAGTGGAAGGATTTCTCTTTAAATTACTTGGATCATCCCTCCCCCAACCCATCACCAGTTTTTTACTTTATTTTGTAGGGGCTGCCACACTCATCTAGGGGCTGCATCTACTAATTGATGTAAGTATTGACCACTTGCGGTGTTTTAATGAAATAGTAACCTCTGAAAAGTTTCCCCACTTCCTGACAAATCCGTGTACACTTATCATTGTGGTATAAGTGTACCACATGCACCAGAATCTGGTGCATGTGTTTATCTCAAATCCAGGACTGTTTTTATGTTTACAGACCATGCACTGCAAGTCTAAGTGTTCTCAGGTAAAGCTGTCAAGGCAGGAGGCTGAGTGAGGACACACCAGCTTTACCTGCCTTGGGGCACTCCTGGGATTGATTGGTTTCCCCAGAGCCATAAAATTTTTTATTATTCTTCTGCATATATCAGGCCACGGAACTGTGTGGCCTTCTGGGACTTCTGCTGCTTGTAAAATGGCACAACATTTTTGTTGGCTGAAGTGCAGGGTGAGAATTGCTCATCACCCTTGCAGAGCAACTGGAGACCTCTTTTAGGGTCATTGGTTAACCTGCACCAGAGGGCAGTTAATGAGCCAATGAAGGAAATGCTAACATTAAATTAAATATGTGAAGAAGGATTCCTCCAGGCATCAGATGAGCTAGATGGGGTAGGAACATTGAGAGTGAAAATCTGGGAAATAACCAAGTGCTTTGTTCTTTTCTAAGGCATGCAGAACTCATTACTGTTGATGGAAGCAAAAACAACAAGGCTGAGTGCCTTGACTAAGTCAGAGGTTAGAAACCCTCTGGCTCAACTTTATTGGCCAATCTTCATTAGGTGAGCAAAGAAGCCTCTAAAGAGAAGAAGCTTGTTTGCCCTACTGGAAGAGCAGTCATTGCTTTTATAAATAATCAATACCACATATCTTTACATAGAGTTTCATCATACTTAAAATATTTCAGCTTCTTCCTGGTGTAGAAGTTATAGATGGATTAAAACCAAATGCTTAAAATTCACCCCCCAGAGAATAGGGAATTGGTCTTAGAAAATGGTAGTCTTTGAGCTGAGAGGTAAGTTGCATACTAGATATCTCTTACTGGAAAGTCCTACTGAATTCTTCTGACCTAAATGAGTACGATTGAGCCAATTGCAGTAGCAAAAAGAATTTCAGATGGTATAATGCAGCAATTATATATAAATCAGGCCTTGGAACTGACAGACCAGGTGCCAAATCCCTACTAATTTCAGTGTTATTTAACAGAGTAGAATTACAGTATATAGTTTAACAAAATAGTTGTACAGAGCTTTATTCAGTTCTTTTGGTTTTAAAGAATAGAGAGTCACCTGTTCCAACAATTAAAAGAATTTTAATGTATCAGTATGATATATATGTATAGATAAATGCACACACACACACATATATATATATTTGAGAAAGATCATCTCTTAGAAATCCAAGAACAGGATTTGTAATAGAATAATTTCTAGGGGAAGTGATTTGGAACCCAAGACAAGTCTGGGATCCTCAGAAGCAGAAGTCCATTAATTTCACTCTGAGTGCCCCATGTTAATGTGAAGACACTATGCATCTGTTGTCTTCTCTGTGCTCCCCTGTCCACCAAAGGGCTTGTGTTTTCTGTATTTCACAATTCAGGCTCTCGAAACAGGCATTCTGGCCTGTTTGAGCACAGACTTATTGGCCAGGTCACATTTTAGCCCAACTGCTAGTTTATGGATTGGCTGGTGATGGGACAGACAGGCCTTTACTCCTAATCCAATTAAAGATGTTCATTAAGAAGGCTGCCCTTCATTGAGGGGAATGGGTGGACAACTTCCTTTTGCTAGGGTGTGACTGGCATAATGAATGATATGCCTGACAGTCCTTGAGAGTTGGTTATGGGTAAGTTAGATCTGCATGCCATCTTACTTTCTGATTACACTTCTTCACAATCATTGGAACACAAGTGGAAAGAAGATAAAGATCCCCTTTATTTGAGAGCAAATCTTCTGAATATCCATTCAATGAAACTCAGATACCCTCTCTAGGTAAGACTTAACTTTGTAACCTATTCACCACAGAAATGTAAACATAAAAAAATTGTCCTATAGTTAAGTGACAGAGCAGAGTGAATCTTAAGCAGAAGGGTCAAGTAGGCAATGAGATTTTTTTTGTCAGAGTCATTCTTTCTTTTCAAACCCAGAGCTATTTCATATACTAGCAAATTAAAGGCAGCTGTACTTTGGGAGGAAGAGGATGTGATTTAGTTGGCAGATAACCTTAAATCACACCTTTGCCCCATAGCCTATGGCCTTGGGTAAATAAATGAGCTTCTTTGAGCTTTAATCTCCTCAGTGTCAAATGTAACTATCTGCTATGGTCTGAATGTGTTCCCCCAAATTCATGTATTGAAAACTTAATCCCAAATGCAACAGTGCTGAAAGGTGAGTCCCTTTGGGAGGTGTTTAGGTCATGAGGGCTCTGCCTTTATAAATAGATTAATGCCATCAAACTAGGACTTGATGGAGGGAGTTAGTTTCTCTTGACCGTCTAACGTTCCCCATATAAGGACACAGCAAAAAAGCCCTGCCAGACACCAAATGCTGGTGCCTTGATCTTGGATTCCCAGTCCCTAGAACTGTGAGAAAATAAAATTCTCTTCTTTATAAATTACCCAGTTTCAGGTATTTTGTTGTACTAGAACAAAACAGACTAAGACACTATCGTACAAAGTCGTTGTTCTAAACATTGTATGAAAGAGGTGGGTATATGATGGATAATTATTTCATAAGTACTTAAAAAAACAATGGAAGGGACACCTAAGAACTCTCATTTTACAGATGTGGGAACTGGGGCTTGAGAATTATTTCCGTTGTTTAAGTTCAGTCAGCTTACTTAGTCAAAACTAGAACTCAGATCTCTTGACTTCCTAGGCCAGTGTTTTTTCAAGCTACCTCTAAGTTATTCTACAATTCTAAAAACTTGCTCTTAAGACTATGGATGTAGGTAAAGTTATAGCTTCCAGTTGCCTACAATGAACAAGGGAAACTATTTTTATTATTAGGCTGAATTTATTTATTTATTTATTTATTTTTTGAGATGGAGTCTCACTCTGTCGCCCAGGCTAGAGAGCAGTGGTGCGATCTCAGCTCACTGCAACCTCAGCCTCCTGGGTTCAAGCTATTCTCCTGTCTCAGCCTCCTGGGTAGCTGGGACTATAGGCATGTGCCACAACACCTGGCTAATTTTTTTTTTTTTAAACTAGAGGCAGGGTTTCACTATGTTAGTCAGGCTGGTCTCAAACTCCTGACCTCAAGTGATCCACCCGTCTTGGCCTCCCAAAGTGCTGGGATTGCAGGCGTGAACCACCGTGCCTGGCCAAAGTTCTTTTTTTTTTTAAAAAAAGAGAATATATCTGGTCCTTATTTCTGTGAAGACTGAATAACTGTTAATAGCACAAATTACTAACTGTCCTAGAGGAATGTGTTTTTGTTTGTTGTTGTTGTTGTTGAGACGAAGTTTCGCTCTTGTTGCCCAGGCTGGAGTGCAATGGTGCAATCTTGGCTCACCACAACTCCTGCCTCCCAGGTTCAAGCGATTCTCCTGCCTCAGCCTCCCGAGTAGGTGGGATTACAGGGATGTGCCACCAAGCCTGGCTAATTTTGTATTTTTAGTAGAGATGGTGTTTCTCCATGTTGGTCAGGCTGGTCTTGAACTCTCGACCTCAGGTGATCCGCCCACCTCAGCCTCCTGAAGTGCTGGGATTACAGGTGTGAGCCACCATGCCTGGCATTTGAGGAATGTGTTTTAATAGTAACCCAAGTCTTAAAGAAGTGAAACTCTTTAGCCAGGCACCCCTGAGCCTCCCTGGCCTCCCGCAGTCACCCTGGCCACATGGCTAACCTCCTGTAGCTCTAAGATCAAGGAGCCAATCCAAGGCTTCCAACTGGCAATCAAGCTCCAGACTGAAAGGCCATGAAACACAAGTAACCTGAGCTCACCTGGCTGAGCATCATAGTCCAGAAATATTTTTCATGCCATGCACTTCTCCGCCACGCGAGCAAAGTGTGGCGCGGTGCAGTGGAAATTTTGTGTAATCCATCCTATTTTAAATTACCAAGGAGTTGAATTTTATGAAATATTAAAGGACTAGATTCTAGAAGACCTTCATAGAATACAGATGGTTTGTTCACATAATTTTTTTCTTTGTGCAGGAGTGCAAGATTTTCCAAGCACGTCTTCCTTCTTCCACTTAGAATTCCTTCACAGACTCTTGTTGTCTATTTTGTGTAAAGCACCATAGGAAATACAAAATGATATTTTATATGCTGTCTTTCCCCATAGAGCTTGTTTTCTGGTTGACATATGAATGGAGACTCCATGAGGTCTGGAACTTTGTCTGTTTTACCCACTGTTAGGATCTAGTGCCTAGAACAGCATCTTGCAGAGAAAAGGCACCCAAGGAACATTTGTGGAATGCATAGATGAACATTAGTCATAACCAACAAACATTTATATGTCTAATATTTATTCCCCCCACCTCATTTTTTCTTTAGAGATGGGGTCTTGCTGTGTTGCTCAGGTTGGACTCGAACTCCTGGGCTAAGCTGATCTTCCCGCCTTGGCCTTCCAAGTAAGTGGGATTACAGGCTTGTGCCACAGTGGTTGACTGTGCCCCCTAGTGTTTTTTATTTTTTATTTTTTTAGACAGAGCCTCGCTCTGTTGCCCAGGCTGGAGTGCAGTGGTGCGACCACAGCTCACTGCAACCTCCGCCTCCCAGGTTCAAGTGATTCTCCTGCCTCAGCCACCTGAGTAACTGGGATTACAAGTGTGCACCACCACACCCAGATAATTTTTGTATTTTTAGTAGAGATGGGGTTTCACCATATTGGCCAGGCTGGTCTTGAACTCCTGACCTCAAGTGATCTGCTCACCTCAGCCTCCCATAGTGCTGAGATTACAGGTGTGAGCCACCACGCCCAACCTGCCCCCTAGTATTTTAAGTACAGTTGCTGCCTCATTTGATTCTCACAATTCCATGAGGTAGGAACTATTAATATTTCCATTTTGAAGATGGGGAAACTGAGGCTTAGAAAGATTTAAGTAACTTTTCCAGTGTTCCCCAGTGGTGATCCTGGGATTTGTAGCAAAGTCAGCTGGCCCTGAAATCTGTTCTCTTGACCACTTTGTTCTGTTGCCTCTGCATACTAAGCTGTCTTCTCCCTCAGAGTAAAATACACTCTTTTCCTGTTTTTATAACCCAAATCAAGAGGTGCTTATAATGGCCTCACATCTGTGATATAAACAACAACGGGCTGGAAAGTTTTGGAGAGTCTGAACCAGATGTGGGACTAACGCTGCCCTTGAGGGATAGGAAGGATTTGAACAGGTGAGAGGTAGAGCTCCTCTCACTTAGACTTCTGGGAGAAGATGGCTTGAAAATCCTCTCCATAATATTGTTATATTATAATCTCATAAAATATTATAGTTATTGTCGTTCATCTTTAACCCAGCTTCATCATCTTAAACAGCTTGTGAGGGTGAGCATACAGACTTGTTCATATTTCTACACAAGCTCAGCACATAGCATGGCACCTTCTCTTTGATTTGATTGAAATTGAATTATCATTGATGGTAAGCTGGATGGGCTTGGGAAAGTATTCTTGCCAAACCTTGAATTCCGATAAGCTTTTCTTTTTCATGTTTTTCTCCAGCCCTTCCTCTGCTTTTGAAGAAGTCCTAAAGAAAAAAAGAACACAACTCTTCATGTGAAATCATTTTTGACGTCTTTGGAGATTTCTCTAGGTTCTGGCCCAAGCCTGACTGTTGTTCTGTTCCACCTACATTCTTCCTACACTTGAGGGATTTGAAAAAATGTACTTAATGATTTGGACTTATTTTAATTTTCTCTAACTTATTTATTTTCTCTGAGGTTAAGAACATTTTGTAAATTCACTAACCAAAGATATTTTGCACACGATGAAAGAGCTTTTAAAAAACATTGGATCGGAGTTAGCATATTTCCCCAAGGAAAGGAAATACACAAACTAGTCACATGATTGATTGAAAAAAACAAAGCAAGAGAACTAAAATATCCTCCTGAACTAGTTCCTAAGGTACACTCTTTTTCCATTCTGACACAACAACTAGTCTGCACTGTTTGTTTTTTGAAGTGAAACTTTGGTGGGAAAATTTATAACCAAAATTTCTGTATATTTCACACTAACATTCTTTCTCTTGCCAGACATTTTGCTGTGAACTCAGGCATTTATCCCCATATGTTTTCCAGCCTGTTCAGGTGTTCATCTCTCTTGTTCTCAGTAAATACTAAATTTTCAAGTCAAGCTTCTGGAAAGGTAGTTTGGTCACCATGTTTTTGTAGAGAGTGATTATAATGCACATTTTCTTTCATTTGTTCATAATAATGAACACAAACCCCTGGTGTGAATTTCACTTTATTAGTAGAGTCTTTACAGTCTGAGGATCTGATATTAGTAAAGAAGTCAATTTTGAAAATGTTGGCTATCTGAAGAAGAGTGACAAATCATGAATGACCTAATTGATATTGACAAAGCTATTGAAATTGTTAAACTGACAGACCAAAATTGACAGATAGACCAAAATTGATAAATTGATAAACATATTTTTGAGCAGTGACTATATATATGCAAAGCCAAACTTCCATTTGAAATTTGCTCTCTACTAAACAGAAGCAAAGATGTAGGGGCTTGGAGTAGGCACCTAGTTAGCGATATCATTCCTTATTCCCGCCAGTAAATCACTGACAAGAATAAACTCTTCCCATCCGTTTCCTCTTTCTAACTTACTGTAACTGGGCAGTACTGTAACTGGACTGATCTCACACCCAGATCAGTCAATTTTTATAACTGACATTTTCTAATGCATTCAGCTCCATTACCAGTGCCACCAACTATTACTTCTGATTTACTTTGGAATTAATTCAAACTTTTTTCTCCAGATTTCATCATGCTAAGAAACACTTCTCATGCCTGCAACACCTAGTATCTATTTCCGTAAGTCAAATTTAAAAATATTCATAGACTTATCTTTGCCCCAATGTCAGTAGCTGTCAGGGACTCAGGAGACTCTAAAGATTCATGAATAATAGTAGTAGAAGTAGCAATCGTAATAGTAAAAGTAGTAAAAATAGCAGAAATTATATTATTTACTGGATGCTTTCTACCCAGGCACTGTGCTAAGCACTTTATTTTCAGTTACGATTTCATTTTACAGAAGAAGAAACCAAGGCTCAGAGAGGTGAAATAACCTTATACAGTCCAAGTGGTAGAGCCAGAAAATTCATTGTTTTTTAAAAGTTTAATAGAACTCACCAATGAAACCATCTGGGTGGGCTTTTTTTGAGAGGGGAAGTTTTTGACTATAATTTCAATTTCCCACTTTTAGTTGAATAGTTTGAAATTTTTTCTCTGGGCTTATTTATTTTTGAGATGGAGTCTCACATGGTTGCCCAGGCTGTAGTGCAGTGGTGTGATCTTGGCTAACTGCAACCTCCACCTACCGGGGTCGGGCGATTCTCCTGCCTCTTTTTGTATTTTTAGTAGAGGCAGAGTTTTGTCGTGTTGACCAGGCTGGTCGTGAACTCCTGACCTTAGGTGATCCACTGGCCTCTTCCTCCCAAAGTGCTGGAATTACAGGCGTGAGCCACTATGCCTGGCCATATTTATTTGCTTCTATTGAGTTCTTATATTTTCAATGCCCTTATTTCCCCTGAACTAAATAATTTAGTGGGCTTTATGTCACTTTGTTCTCTTTCCCACTGCTATCTCACATCTTTTGCTTATACTGATAGGCTTATCTTTGCCCCAATGTCAGTAGCTGTAGGGGCATATATTATCTTTATTTGGTAAGAAACTCACTGGTGAGTCCTACTAAACTTTTAAGAAACAGTGAATTTTCTGGCTCTACCACTTGGACGGTGTAAGGTTATTTCACCTCTCTGAGCCTTGGTTTCTCCTTCTGTCAAATGAAATTGTAACTGAAAATAAAGACAATATATGCCCCTATAGCTACTGCCGCTATAATATAAACGGACATGTATTATCTTTTTCTTTGTCTTGGTCCTAGCCCTTTAAAGATGACTTTCACATTGTTTGAAATGTCTATGCCCTTACTTATCTATTTTTGTCTGCTTGTTCCATCAGTTACAGAGAGAGGTGTGTTGAAGTCTCCCGCTATGATTGTGGATAATTCTATTTTTTTTAGCTGTTTCAATTTTTGCATCATAGAATTCAAACTTATGCTAGTAGGTGACCAAATTTAGAATAATTATATCTTCCTGGTGAACTGAATTTTTATCATTGTGGAAATGTTCCTTTTTATCTTTAGTAAAGCTTTTTACCTGAACACCTATTTTGTCTGACATTAGTATAGGTATAGTAGGTGTCTGAGTCAGTTTGCTCTGCTATAACAAAGGACCATAGACTGAGTGGCCTCTAAGCAACAGAAATTTACTCTTTATAGTTCTGGAGGCTGGAAGTCTGAGTTCAGGGTGCCAGCATGATTGGGTTGGAGTGAGGGCTCTCTTCCAGGTTACAGGCTACCATCTTCCCATTGTATCCTCACATGACAGAAAGAGAGCTGGAGAGCTCTCTTGGATCCCTTTATAAAGGCATGCATTCTATTCATGAGGATTCCACCTTGATGTGCTAAATTACCTACGAAAGATCCCACCTCCTAATACCATCACATTGGGGGCTAGGATTTCAACGTATGAATTTTGCATGGACAAATTCAGTCCATAACACTAGGTTTTTTTGGATTTATATTTAGCATATTTTAGCTTTTTCCATCATTTTACTTTCAGTCTTTAAAAAAATTAAGTTGTGTGTTATGAACTGAATGTATCCCTCCAAAATTCATACCCAGAAGCCCTAACACCTTCAATGTGTCTATATTTGGAGATGGGCCTCTAAGGAAGTAATTAAGCTTAAATGAGATCATAACCACTTACCTCCTAAAAGGTAAGAGCCAAAATAAATGACCATTTGATCTCAATTTCTATTTTTTTCAGAATATTCTACCCCTAAATGCAAATAAATTTACACAGAGCCCATTAATTTTATATGAAGTAGGTGTTATTCTTATTTTGATAATTACACAAAGATAAATGGGAGCTAGAAGCAATTTTCAAAACAAAATAAGCAGGAGGGAAGACAGTTCTGTTTTCCCAGCCTCTGTTCCTGGTCTCTCATTTCTGGCTCAAGGACTACCACACTCTGGAGCCCTGAGAATCAGCTTTCTGGAGTTTTGGGGTATGCTGCGTGCTCCTGACAAGCTAATTGCATGGACAAGGAAAATGGGATAAAAGTTGGGAAAATGGGGATTGGCTAAGGGAATAAATAATAGATAAAAGTGATAAAGGAGAGATAAAGGAAGGCAGTATGATGATGAGAAAGAGATCAGAAAGTAGTATTTTGTGGAAAGAAACATGTGATGACCCCACATAAAGTAGGCAGTATGCTCCATTAAAAACACCATCATATTAAATTCTGTTAAGAGGGCATTTCAGGAATATCAGGTTCTAGAATGATGAGAGGTACAAATGCTTTAACTCGTTTGCTTTATTGGTTAAATTTTATTTATTATCTTATTTAATATTTTAAATGGTATACGATGTGATATTTTGGTATATGTATACATTGTGAAATTATTGAATCGAACATATCTGTCACTTCACAGTTATTTTATGTGTGTGGTGAGAACACTTATCTACTGTCTTAGCAAGTTTCAAGTCTACAATACATCATGACTGACTGTAATCACCATGCTGTTGAATAGATATCCAGAACTTACTCATACTATCTGAATGAAACTTTGTACCCTTTGTTTTTGTTTTTTGGGGGGTTTTTTTGTTTTGTTTTGTTTTTTGAGACAGGGTCTTGCTCTGTTGCCCAGTGTTGCCCAGGCTGGAGTACAGTGGCACCGTCACAGCTCACTGAAGCCCCGACCTCCTGTGCTCAATCAATCCGCTTGCTTCAGCTTCCCGAGTAAACGGTACTACAGGCACGCATCACCATGTTGGGCTAATTTTTAATATTTTTTGTAGAGATAAGGTCTCACTGTGTTGCCCAGACTGATCTTGAACTTCTGAGTTGAAGCGATCCTCCTGCCTCAGCCTCTCAATGTGCTGGAATTACAGGCGTGAGCTACCATGCCTGGCCCTTTGACTTGGTTTGATCTTTAAGGGCATGAGTTATCAGATAAGAATCTACCTCTTCCTAGCTCTGTGGCCTTAACCTTTTTTTTTTTTTTGACAGGATCTTACTCTTACCCAGGCTGAAGTGCAGTGGCTTGATCATAGCTCACCCCAGCCTTGAACTCCTGGGCTCAGGCATCCTCACACCTCAGCCTCCAGAGTAGCTGGGACTATAGACAAGCCACTGCCATGTCCAGCTAATTTAAAAATTTTTTGTAGAGACAAAGCCTCACTATGTTGCCCAAGCTGGTCTCAAATTCCTGGACTTGGGCGATCCTCTGCCTCAGCCTTCCAAAATGCTGGAATTACAGGTGAGCCACCATGCCCAGCCCTTAACGTCTTTAAACTGTCATTTTCTCATTTGTTGAATGAATATCACAATAGTACCCACCTCATAGGGTAGTTCTGGGGATTAAATAAAATATTTAGTTAAAATCTTGGCACATTGTAAGCACTCCATAAGTGTTACCTACTTTTGGTATTATCATTGTTGTTATAACGATTATTATTATTGGCGTATAGGTTGGCAATAGAAAATTATAACCCTCATGCTTAATTCAGCCCTAATTAGAAATTATAACTGAATCTAGCAGCTGCGAGCGGCAGCAGTTTAATGAAGAACGAGTTGTCATAAAATTTAAATTATATCTATCCATAGCTAGTTTCTATTTGTAATTGAGTTTTTTCCAAGTTTGTTTGTTACAAATGGAAAAGAGCTTTGCTGTAATCATAAGAGATTTGATTTAACAGTTCTAAAGCCCGCTGACCTGATTGTGGAGGTTCTGACTTTAAATATGTAAAGCAGCCTGTGTGCTTGCCATCCTTGTTTGTTGCTTAAAAAAAATTATATTTTCTTATTATGTTGGTTAAGGAAAATTATATTTGTTAGAATATGTTTGTTGTAGAAATTAAACTTACCCATCAAGCCTTATGCTGTACACCCCAGCACTCCAACCATTAACTTGCTATCCGCAGTTTTTGATTTGCATCTGTGACTTCACTAGAATCTTAGTGGCCTTTGTCTCTACCAGTGTATTTGTAATAAACTAAATTATCCTCAGAGACTTAATTGGTAACATAAGTGCAAGACTTTGCCTCTGAAAATACAGCTTTTAGAAATAACATTATGCCTTTATAAGGTGTATTCCAAGGAAGACAAATATGTAAACATTCTTCATGTCATCAGAGTTTATAGTATTTTTCTGGAGTGGAAGGTTATTATTCCTATTTTCCCAAAAAGTACCAGGGGGTCAGTGACTTCTTCCAGGTCAATAGCTTCTGTCTGGAATTACCAAGACCATAACTTGAATCACCTATTGCAAATTCCCTTTCTAGTCCATAACATTGTTGTGCAAAATTGAAATACTTATGTGACACCAAAACAAAAACGAAAACCAAACAAACCCAAAAACCAAAATCCCAAAACCCCCCAAAAAACTAACACAAAAAACTAAACTAAAAAACCTAATAAATCCTAAGTCAGGTGGAAACACTTCAAATAGTTTCTGGATGTGAGAGCTTCTCAGAAGCTAATAAAGATTCCTGGCTCTATTGGATGGAATGCTAAGAAGCTATTTTGGTTGGATTGGGAACATTTATTAATGTCTTCATGTGAGCAGCAGTAAAAGTGTACTACCTATTAAAAGTTACCTATTTGCTTATTTTGCCCACCATTTTCAGATATGAGCTTCTGACATTTCAACAAAACTAATGACCAGCTTGTTTTGGGTAACCAGTTTCTTGCAGTTGATTATTATCCCCCAGAAATCCCTCTGTGCCAAGTCTTGTAGCCAAAACAGTTATTTAACCCAAGTACAGTCATGTGCCGAATAATGATGTTTCAGCCAACAATGACCGCATTTAAGACAGTGGTCCCATAAGATTATAACAGAACATAAACAGAAACCTGATATGTAACACTTGATATTGGCACTGCAGATTAAGCAGGGGAAATGACCGATAATTCAGTTAAGGTTCTGAGACATTTGGTTTTCCATATGAAAAATATGTATAAATTAAATATATATGTATACATATACCATCAATGTTTGTGTAAGTATACTCTGATATTTGCACAATGACAAAATGGTCTAATGTCACATTTCTCAGAACATATCTCCATCATTAAGCAACATATGCCAGGAATAATTATGAATAGGTATAATAACTGCAAAAAGTCATGTAAAATAGATGGAACTGCCAGTGCTGAACAAATGAAGAGGATAAATGAATGGTTTCTATGTAAAAGGTAAATGAATGTCAGTAAGAAATAGCACTCTCATGCTTCCATTTGCCAGAAGTATCACCTTTGGTTGGTTGTGGGTAATGTCAATTATTGAAATAATTAAGTGAATATGGAATCCAGAGACTAAAATACTGAGCGATCAATCAGTGTGTATGACAAACCCTTCTGTGTATAGAAACATAGATTCTATGGGAGGTGAAGGCATGTCTGAGGCACAGCTATGGTTTCAAAAGACTTTATAGTTTGATTTATAAAGCAATATTTGATACAGAAATACCAGAACTTTAGAGCTGGAATAAAATAGAGGAAGTTTCTGTTTTTGTTTTGTTTTTTGACATGGAGTCGTCTCACTCTGTCACCCAGGCTGGATGGAGTGCAGTGGCGTGAACTCGGCTCACTGCAACCTCTGAGTTCAAATGATTCTCCTGCCTTAGCCACACGAGTAGCTGGAATTATAGGGGTGTGCCACCATGCGGGGCTTTTATTCTTTGTATTTTTAGTAGAGATGGGGTTTCACTATGTTGGTCAGGCTGGTCTTGCACTCCTGACCTCAAGTGATCCCCCACCTAGGCCTACCAAAGTAGGGATTACAGGCATGAACTATCGCGCCTGGCCTAAAATAAAAAGAAATTGTAAAACTAGAAGAGAACTTAGAGATCACCTAGCCCGAGAAATTGTAAAACTAGAAGAGAACTTAGAGATCACCTAGCCCGAGAAATTGTAAAACTAGAAGAGAACTTAGAGATCACCTAGCCTAATACTCATGGTTAAAGAGGTAATTTAGTGAGAACTTAAAATGCAAGCTATAATTTTAGCTTATATCACAGGCCCATTCCTTCTCTTATATATTTTTTATTTTCCGCCTTCATATTGAGCATGTGCCAGTTCATTGATGTTACCACTTCTCAAGCTAAAAGTATCATCTGCATGTCACCCAGTGATGGCAATGGACCCGGTCACAGTGATTCAAGGGTCCCCAAAAAGGGTGCTGTCCTTGTCCATTGATGACTGAGGAAGGGGTGCTTCTTTTCTGCCTATTCTGACACCATATTATCTGTGGTGGTACCAAAGCTACTGGACACTCCTGATGGCAAGAGGTGTAAACCCAAATGCAGATGAATGAAGGAAGAAAAAAGACAATCAAAGCTGTGCTGTAAAGGAGACAGACAGCCCCCAACCCCCTGCCCTGAAAAGGAGAGCTATATTGTCAGCCACCCGAAAAAAGGCATGACCAGTGGACTTCAGGATCAATGTGGTCAGATGTCTTTTTTTTTTTTTAAGAGATGGAATCTTGCTGTATTGCCCCGGTTGGAGTGCAGTGGCTATTCACAGGCACTATTATAGCACACTATAGCCTTGATCTCCTGGTCTCAAGTTGCCCTCCTGCCTTAACCTCCTGGGTAGCTGGAACTACAGGCACATGCCACCACACCCGACCAGAATTTTTTTTTTTAACAGAGTCTCACCTTGTTGCCCAGGCTAGAGTGCAGCTTGTTTTAAGTGTTCTATAGCTCCATTAGTATGAAATATCTGTGTGTAAATTGATAACGACAAAGCTATTTTGATTGACAAAGTATCAGACTTTGGATAAAATCATAAATTATATAGATATCGCAATCAATTTCAAATTCATTTTGGCATCATAACTTTCTTAAGTTAGAAAGAACACCATATTTAGCATATAATCTATACATGCATTACCTGCATTGTGGGGATTTTAAGCATGTCCATACATTCTTTGACACCTCTCTGTCCAAAATGTGAAGTCTACTTCTCTAGCACCTGAGTGTGAGATAGACTTAGTGGTTCATTTCCAAGGAATAGAGTATGGAAGGGAGAAAACAATAACCACATGAAGTACATGTAGACATTTATTTCAAAAAATAAAAACAAAATGACAAAAAACAAAAAATTATGAATATAATTGAAAATTAATCTCACTTATGAATATACAGAACAAGAAAAATTATAGTTTATTTGTAAATGAAGATTCAAAATTTGAAAAATAAAATATTTTAAATCTACAAGTATATTATTAGTAATACTACTGATCATGACCAATTTGGGTTTATCCCAGAATGCAAGGGTGGTTCAAAATTATGTAATCCACCGTAATAGAGAGGAGGGGAGGGGGGAAACACTTGCCATCTTAATAGAAGTAGGAAAAGCATTTTATAAAACTCATCATCCACTCAGGACTTAAAAATATAAGCAAATAGAAACTTCCTAACCTAATATATTGGAAGTAGCTCAAAGCTGGGGTACATCACATTTAATGACTTAAAATATTCCATTTTAAAGTCAATCAAAAGACAAAGGTAACTGCTTACTAAGAAGTCTTCCCAGCTAAGACAAGAAAACAAAATAAGATGTGAAATTTATAGGCACTGTCTTCAAAACTACTGTCAAGCAGACTATGACAAAGCTCATGTTATGCAGGCATGAGAGGGAGTACGTATTGGGATAAGGGGATGTTAAATGAAGGGAAGTGCTTTCCAAAAATGTAACTACTTAATTATAATCTTGTGACAAACAGCTACAAAACCACTTTTAATAATACATTCTTTCTGTGATAGAAAATGTAATCTTTTCACTTTGTAAAAGCTGTCAGTTCTATTACTAGGGAAGAATTAGGCTTTGATTACATACAATTTCTATTTCATTTCTCCCTTTTTTCCAGCAGTGGCTAGATTCCTAGCAACAGAGTCTCTGGAAGATCTCACCCAAGGAGTAAGGCAGTTTTTTCAACATTTCTAGCATTAGGACTTGGTTGGCTCACCTGCAAGACAGTGTGAGATTCTATTCATGATAGATTCCCTAACACCAAATCTAAAGTTGAGAGATATTTTTAAATTTCTATAAGATAGTCAATAAAGATCTGCTGGTGTGTTTAACTCTGGTCTGGGAACCTGCTAAACTTTCACTTACCATATTTGCCAGAAGAGTATCTTCAAACTTTATCACCTACATACCTCTAAATAAAATTTAAGAATGTACACTTTCATGTATTTTTAAGTTGATAACTAACATTTATCATCATAAATTTAAGTAAGTGCAAATAAGATAATTTCAAGTGGCATACTGTAAATATTTACATTTTCAAAAATAAAAACTTTTGTCATTCTTTTAAATGTATCTAATAGAATCTAAGTACCATAGCAATTTGATTCCCACCATTATCAACATAATACATAAACAAGCTCTTCAATAGTGAGACATTAAACATCATTCACTGGATCTTTGTTTATATTTTGCTTTCCTCACAGAATTATAGTATATTTTACTGCTTAAAATATTTATCTCCTAAGGTACTTCTCTGAAACGAATATAAATTGAAATTTAAAAAATTTCCTATAACTAAAAGGCTATAAGTATTAAAAATAACTTTTTTCTAAATTATTACAGTAACTATTAGAATGCAGTAGATAATATCACAAACATGAATATTTTTACACACAAGTATTACACATAAAACATTAAAAATCTTACTGGAAATTCATCTGAGAATCAAGACCAATTTGTAGTGTTTTTTTTAGTTCATCTTTCCGTGGGTATATATGATTTATAACTAGCATGACATAGCAGTCAACATAAATTACATTCCCATTTTTCCTATCTATAGATGAGATCATTTTTAATGTAAAACAAATAGATGAGAATGTAGTTTTGTTCCGTTTTTGTTTTAACTTTTAATTTTCATGGGTACATGGGTGTATATATTTATGGGGTACATGAGATTTTTGATACAGGCAAGCAGTGTGTAATAATCATATCATGTAAAATGGGGTAGCCATCCCCACAAGCATTTATCCTTTGTGTTACAAACAATACAATTATATTCCTCTAGTTATTCTAACTTGTAAATTAAATTATTATTGACTATAGTCACCTTGTTGTGCTATCAAATACTAGGTATTATTCATTCTATTTTTTTGTACCTATTAACCATCCCCACCTCCAACCCCCACCCCACCCCCTGTGTCATTACCCTTCTCAGTCTCTGGTAACCATCCTTCTACTCCCTATGTCCATGAGTTCAATTGTTTTGATTTTTAGATCCCACAAATAAGTGAGAACATGCAATGTTTGCCTTCCTATGCCTGGCTTAAGTCACTTAGCGTAATAACGTCCAGTTCCATCCATGTTGTTGCAAATGACAGAATCTCATTCTTTTTTATGGCTGAATAGCACTCCACTATGTAGTACATTTTCTTTATCCAGAGAATGGAGATTTGTAATAATTCAATTCTTTGTCACTCAGTGCCACTGCATCCATCAATTTTTTTAGTAATACGTCAAAAATGAAATAAATTTTAATGATTTAATGGCTGACAGCCTGCCTAGGCTTTTGTTTAATTTTATTGAAAGCAAATAACTGAAAACCAGTGAGTTGCAAAAAAGGGTTAGCCATTATTGGAGTCTCTTTCTCAACACATTTTCAAATGACCTGTATAGACTGGAAGGGTTTTTTGTTTGTTTGTTTTGCTTTTCCCACCTTGACAATGGTGAAACTGAGAAAGATGGGTGAAAATTATGCCTTTCTTTTAAAAAAGGACATATGTGAAAGGGGCAGGTGGGAAAAGAGAACCAGTCTGAGACAGGTATATAAATGGGAAGATCAAATTTTGGAAAGAGTATCGAGGAAGTGGAGGAAATGAAAATGGATTAAAATTCTCCTTGCACAAGTACCTCTTGAAATGTCTTGGTGTGCACTATTGTGCTAACCTCTCTTTTAGATATAAGGGTACATACTGCATCTAGGATTTAAGAATAAATGTGTATCAATTAGTATTTCTGCTAATTAATTAAGGTGCATTCACTTGTGTATATTGGATGAAGTTAAACTGATGAACTTATCTGGAGAGTGGAGGGGTGTACAGTGAAGTGAAAGGCAATCGTTACTTAGTCAGGAAGCCCTTTTAAAGGGTGTCCTAGTCTTAATAAAGACAATGGTGACGATTTGGCCAAAGAAAAACTTTAGCCCACGGATTGACTTGTTTATGTTTTCTTACCCTGCAATAAATTGAGTATTATAATGTCTCTTAAGGTGAGTCTCTTTTGTGAATTAAAATAGTCATAAAGTCAGCCAAAGTATCGAAGGTTAAAAAAAAAAAAAAGTTAAATTCAAACTAAAGTATACAGTGAAAGTTTCTGAACCAAGCCAGATGGTATCCTGGTTTGAAGAGATCAGATAGAAAGGGCATGTGCGATCCACAGCTGACTTAACCAGTGCTTTCACATCCCAGCCTCTGTGTAGCTAAGCTTGAGTTGGTGACTGCATATAAAAGCTTGTGAAAGTAAAATAAATCTAGGGACCCCAAAATCACTAAGCTAATGGGAAGAGTCAAGCTGGGAGCTGCTTAGGGCAAACCTGCCTCCCCTTCTATTCAAAGTCATCCGTCTGAGGCTCACCTGAAACAAACGCATATCTGATTGCTTCCTCTCTCCTATTGTTTCTGTGAAAATGCAGATCCACTGAACCAGACTAAATTGTGTATTCAGTGGAAGGCTGATCTACGACTTAAAAGAATGCAACCTTTTGCGTCTTACCTACTTCTAACGGGGCCACTTCGAGTTGTCCTGCCTTACCGGACTGAACTAATGTACATCTTACACATAGCTGTCTCATGTCTCCCTAAAATGTATAAAAGCAAACTGTACCCCCAAACACCTTGGGCACGTGTCTCAGGACTTCCTGAAGCTATGCCATGGGCACATCCTTAACTTTGGCAAAATAAACTTCCTAAATTGACTGAGACCTGTCTCACATATTTTGTGTTCACAAGCTCTACATGGATTTAAGGCACAGATGGTAAAGGTTTTCCAAAAGTGCTCAAGCAGGGATACCAAAACATTGTATGTGCATATATGACTGCTATAAAGGTTATACATTATCCACAAAAAGCAAAGAGAAAGAATGGAATTGACATTCTAAGACTTATCTAGGTAACTGCTTCTCTCTAGTGGAGCTTTTGTCATTAAACAAATTGTGGGGACTTCTCTTATTTTGGCTAGAATATACTTTTGTCAGGCCAGTGACTCTACTCAAAAATGAGATACACTTACAGATACAGAAACATAGATGAGGATATCCGCTTAAACAAGAGAGCCACCAAGGTAGTAAGAAATTGAAGGGTCAAGACCGTGTCCAAAAGGGAAGTGCAAAGGTGAGAATGACATTTAGCACCTGTTTTCCCCTTGAGGCAACTGCCAATTCATAAGCAGTAGCCTAAGGCTAAGAAGCTAAATAGTGGGAAATAATGAGCAGAAAACAGAGGACCAGAGGTTGAAAAGGTGAGCAGAATTTTAGGCTGTCTTACATGTCTGGGAATACAAAAACAAGTTCAGGATCAATCAAGGTGAAAGAACCTTGAATGAGCAGAAAACAGAGGACCAGAGGTTGAAAAGGTGAGCAGAATTTTAGGCTGTCTTACATGTCTGGGAATACAAAAACAAGTTCAGGATCAATCAAGGTGAAAGAACCTTGAATGAAAAGTAAATATACCAACCCTCAAAAGGACTAAAGCTCAGCTGTTTCATCAGCTAATTGCCACACTGATCTGCTCTTATCCAAACTGTTTGCTAGAAGCAAAAAGAAAACTGTCTGTGAAAAAAAGATAGTATCAAGAGTTAATGTCATCAACTCAATAATTTTTCATTCACATGTCAGGCATTCAGACAAAAATTATTGACCATGCTAAAAGATAAGACCAAATGACTGAAAATAGAAAAGTGGAAACTGTATTAAGAATTATCAAGCATGGGCTTCCAAATTACTTGTAAGTAACTGTAATTAATATGCTCTAGAAAATATACAAGATGATGAATTTCAGCAGAGGGTCCAAATCAGTAAAAATAATTAAATGGAACTTGTAGAAATTAAAAATAATAGAACTGAAATTAAGAACGCAGTAAATGAGTTAAATGACAGCTTAGACATAGCTGAAGACAAGTTCAGTGAATTACAAAATAGGTCAATAAAAATCCAGAATGAGCATGAAGAGAAAAAACGAATAAAACAACAAAACAGAAAAGAATCTAACACACGTATGGCTAATGGTGAAAAGCCCTGAGTAGGCGAGGAAAGAGACAATTGGGGCAAAAGTGATAGAAGAAGAGATTATGCCTGAGAATTTTCCAAAAATAATGAAAGACACCAAATCACAGATTCACCTAGAGACATCATAGTAAAACTGTTTAAAACCCAAAACAAAGGGAAAATAAAAGCAGCTGGGGGTAGAGTGGGGTAGGGTACACATTTTCTTAAAAGGAATAAGATTCACAGATGACTTTGCAACAGAAACAGTAGAACTCCAAAAGAAAAGTAATACTGCCAAGATGATGAAAGAATTACCAGATGCAAAATGGAATGAAGAAATATACAAAGGGGTAAATGTGAAGAAAAATATAAATGAATATATAGATTCATAAAACAATAATAATGTCCTGTGGTGTTTAAACAACAGTATAAAAAATCATAGTACTGGAGCGGGCATCATGATTCATGCCTGTAATCCCAGAACTTTCGGAGGCCAAGGCAGGATGATCACTTGAGGTCAGGAGTTCGAGACCAGCCTGGCCAACATCGCGAAACCCTGTCTCTACTAAAAATACAAAATTTAGCCAGGCATGGTAGCACACGCCTGTAATCCCAGCTACTTGGGAGGCTGAGGCAAGAGAATCACTTGAACCTAGGAAGTGGAGGTTGCAGTGAGCCAAGTTCACCCCACTGCACTCCAGCCTAGGTGACAGAGTGAGACTTGATCACAAAATATGATAATAATAATAATAATAGTACTGAAGTTATTCTAAGGTCCCTGAATTTTTTGTTTTTGAGACAGGGTCTCCCACTGTCACCCAGGCTGGAGTGCAGTGGCATGATCTCATCTTACTGCAGCCTTGACCTCCCAGACTCAAGCAATCCTCCCATCTCAGCCTCCCAAGTAGCTGGGACTACAGGTGCACACCACCATGCCTGGCTAATTTTTGCATTTTCTTTTGTAGAGATGGGGTTTCGCCACATTGCCCGACCTGGTCTTGAACTCTTGTGCTCAAGTGATCCTCCTGCCTTGGTCTCCCAAAGTGCTGGGATGAAGGGTGTGTACTTTGAATTTTCCAGGAAGTGACAAAAAGAATTTATATGAGATGTTGATAAGTCAGGTATTAATGTTGGAATCTCTAGGATAACCTTAAATAATATATTCTATGATGTGAAAGAAAAGAAACTAATAGGAGGGGAAAATAGAAATAAAAAAGAGAAATGGAATACAAAACAGATGGAAAAATTAGAAAACGAATTATAAACTATCTTAGTAATTACATTATATAAATGAATTAAATGTTACAATTAAGAAGAAAAATTATCACACTGGATAGAAATGATTGTACATCTTAAAGGCATACTTTAGAAAATTGTGGTCTTCAATGGAACAGAACAGAGACCTCAGAAATAACACCACACATCTATAACCATCTGATCTTCGACAAACAGAACAAAGACAAGCAATGGGGAAAGGATTCCCTATTTAATAAATAGTGCTGGGAGAATTGGCTAGCCATATGCAGAAAACTGAAACTGGATCCCTTCCTTACACCTTATACAAAAATTAACTCAAGATAGATTAAAGATTTAAATGTAAAACCCAAAACCATAAAAACCCTAGAAGAAAACCGAGGAATACCATTCAGGACATAGGCATGCATAAAGACTTCATGACGAAAACACCAAAAGCAACTGCAACAAAAGCCAACATTGACAAACGGGATCTAGTTAAATCAAAGAGCTTCTGCACGCAAAAGAAACTGTCATCAGAGTTAACAGGCAACCTACAGAACGGAAGAAAATTTTTGCAATCTATCCATCTGATAAAGCTCTAGTACCTAGAATCTACAAGGAACTTAAATTTACAAGAAAAAACAATCCCATCAAAAAGTGGGCAAAGGATATGAACAGACACTTCTCAAAAGAAGACATTTATGTGGCCAAAAACATTTGAAAAAAAGCTCAACATCACTGATCATTAGAGAAATGCAAATCAAAACCACAATGAGATACCATCTCATGCCAGTCCGATGGCGATTATTAAAAAGTCAAGAAACAAGAGGCTAGCAAGGCTGTGGAGAAATAGGAACGCTTTTACACTGTTGGTGGGAATGTAAATTAGCTCAATCACTGTGGAAAACAGTGTGGCGATTCCTCAAGGATGTAGAACCCAAAATACCATTTGACCCAGCAATCCCATTACTTGGTATATACCCAAAGGATTATAAATCATTCTACTATAAAGACACATGCACATGTATGTTTACTGCAGCACTATTTACAACAGCAAAGACTTGGAACCAACCCTAATGCCCATCAATGATAGACTGTATAAAGAAAATGTGGTACATATACACCACGGAATACAATGCAGCCATAAAAAAGAATGAGTTTGTGTCCTTTGCAGACATGGATGAAGCTGGAAGCCACCATTCTCAGCAAACTAACACAGGAACAGAAAACCACCGCATGTTCTCACTCATAAGTGGGAGTTGAACAATGAGAAGACATGGACACAGGGAGGGGAACATCACACATTGGGGCCTGTTGGGGGTGGGGGGCAAGGGGAGGGACAGCATTAGGACAAATACCTAATGCATGTGGGGCTTAAAACCTAGATGACGGATAGACAGGTGCAGCAAACCACCATGGCACATGTATGCCTATGTAACAAACCTGCACATCTGCACATGTATCCCAGAACTTAAAGTAAAATTAAAAAAAAAAAAAGTTAATGCCAGGTAAATTAGGCACATTTTGAAATTTAAAACTTTTAACAAAATATAACGGAATTTTTTAAACCTCAGTTAAATAAAATTTTAAAACCTAACATAAAAAAGGCTCAATCATAAAAGAAAAAAAAAAAGGTCTGATTAAATTTAACCGAAAAATTCTGTGAGATTAAAGATAGTCACAGAAAATGTTAAAGACAAGCCACATATTAGAAGTCCTATGAGCTAAAGCATTATGATCAGTAAGAATACAAGTAACCTAGCAGAAAAATAGGTATAGATTATGGACAAAAATCTGTCAAATAATGACCAATATATGAAATGAAGCTAGGCTTCTTAAGGAAATATAAGTTAAAACAAAGAGCTACTATCTCATAGCTTTCAGACTGCAGAACTTAAAAATTCTGATAAGACTACGTGTTGGTGACAAGATAGGAAAACCAGAATTCTCTTAAACTGCAGCTGGGAGAGCAAACTTGCATATCACTTTGGAGGGCAATTTGAAGACATCTAAAGTGACAGAGTATACACATCCTACTACCTGGAAATCCATTTTTATTTATTTTATATATATATATATATATATATAAAATTTTTTTTTTTTTTTTTTTTTTTTTTTCAGACTGAGTCTTGATTGCTCTGTTGCCCAAGCTGCAGTGCAGTGCCACGATCTGGGCTCACTGCAACCTCCCTAAGTAGCTGGGATTACAGGTGCACACCACCATGCCTGGCTAATTTTTTTTTTACTTCTACTAGAGACGGGGTTTCACCATGTTGGCCAGGCTGGTCTCAAACTCCTGACCTCAGGTGATCCTCCCACCTCGGCCTCCTAAAGTGCTGGGATTACAGGCGTGAGCCACCGTGCCGGGCTGAAATTCCATTTTTAGACATATGTCTAGAATATCTAGCACATCTGCATGAGGTGACATGATCAAGAATGTACACTTGCAGCACTGTTCAAAATGGCAAAAAAATAACAATTTAAACAATCTTTAGTAAGGGAACTGGTAAGTAAACTGATATGACACTAAACAGCATTATGTTGAGTGGAAAATCAGGTTACAAAAGATTACATACATAAAACATCATTAACATAATTTTTGTTAACTATTATACATTGTTTCTGGATAAAAACACATGGTAAAGTATAAAATCTTAAACAGGAAGGAGTCACACCAACTTCAGAATTAGTACGTTAGCTCTAGGGAAAGAAGGAGGAGAATGGCGCCAGGGAGAAGTACAAAAGAGTAACATTTTATTTATTTAAAAATCAGAAGCAAATATGGCAAAATAGTATGTGAAGGGTACAAGGGCATTTATATTATTATTTTTCTGCATATTTGAAATATTTTTAATTAAAAAGAATTTTAATGGGCACATATGGTATAACAATCAAATAATAACATTAATTACTTGCACCACAAAAATGTATCAAATAACAACATATTATTTAAGCCACAGACACTTATGTACATACATTGGAGCATGTGATAAAAGAGTCAAAAATAAATTTTAAAATTTGCAATTTACTTTGGGGTTTTAAATTAATAATTTTGCTAATCTCATGCAATTTTAAAATGTCCTTAAGCTAAAATTTTAAGGGCTGTAATCCTTTTAGTTAGAGTTGTCAACGCTGTACAGATGTGGTATTCTGAATTTCAGTCTTATCTTGTAAAGCTTTTTCTTTAGTATATAAACAGTTAACAAGCTTTACAATTATACTTACAAGTCTTAAAGAAATGTATTAAGAGTCCTAAGTATGAAGAACAGTTATTTAATTATAACTACTTAATTATAGTGTTTCACCAAGAATCTGATGCCCTAATACTAATGTGGAAAAACAATGCTCCATTATTCCATTTTCTTTTCTGCTTGGGGTTTGGGCCAGAAGCCAAGATGTACCAATACTGGAAAGGTTTTAAACAGTCTTATTATAAAACCATTTTTAAAGGAAAAGTAATAACTTTCACGGGGAGTAACACAATCCTTTGGGATTACTATGTCAGAAAGAGACATAGAAAGATAGAGAATATTTTAAGAAAAGGGTTAACGAGGTAGTAAAATTTTGCTATCTGTACTTCACTTACTGACCCTCAGAGGCTCAAGGCTAGAAGACAATAAATATTTTACAGTAAAATGTAGGAGGCAAACAAAACTGGGCAGGACACTGCATCTATAAATATAATTCGAGAGATCTATAACTCACACATAGTACTTCACTCTCAACTATAATCCTCTGACCACATTCATACTATTTCAATAGTCATTTTACCCAGTAGATGGAAAGCAGTAATTTTATTTATCATGAATTGCTTTTTGCCAATTAAACATGTGCAACAGAGATGATTAGCTGGTCTCTCAAGTAACCTAGATATTAGATATGCTATTTCCATGTAATGGAAGACTGCAATAAAATTATTCCAAGTTCTAAAGTTCCACACTTTTATATTTTGGGCACAATTTTTAAGAGTGGCAAAAGGCAGGTTTTCACTTACTCCACTTCAGCCTATTATACTGAATTTTACCTAGTGCTAAAATCCTTAACTTTCATTTCTGAAGGCTGAAAAACATTTGCTCCCCCAAGTCTCTTATTTAGTATAACTTTGGCTGGTAAGAATAGCTCAGTTTGCTTCCAAAATTGAAAGTCTCCTACAACATTTTTAAATGTTTTTTTTTTCCACTGATCTTTAAGTTTCAGTAATACTCATTTATTTCTTCCCTCTCAATAGAAGGATAACTACCACTCCGCTTCATGAATGAAATAATCAAATTACTATTTCTCTCAAATTCTCACCCTCTAGAGACTCGCTCAGAGTGATAAATTCACTGACAAGTTTACAATTCAAATTTCACTAATATATAGAAATAATTCTCCCACAAGCAAAAAGGTCAGCATCAAGAATTTAATTTTCTGAGTTTCATAACCCTTGATAAATGGAGGCACCTTAAAGTTCAGTTTAAACTCTTTTATATAGGATTTCAGAGCATGCCTCCAGATATCTTAAGACAAGCCGTATTAATAGCTTAGTGTCATTTTTATCATTAAAATAATCTACAAATATCAGAATACTAATTTATTGTCATAACTAATAAATAAGGCTTAAAATATCTATAGATGTAAATCAGCTCTCTCAGTTCGTTTTGCTTCACTTGGACTATTCTAAAACACAGATCAACAAACGGAATGGGTTTATCAATAATATAGTTGTGCAATCTTTTCACAAATTCCAATTCTGTAATTTAGGGGTTTTTCATATTTATTTTTAAATATACAAAGAAATTAAACCATTAATAGAAATATTTTCTCTCAAATATGTAATATTCTTTTGTAAAAGAAAGTTTCCAAACATTTACAAAGCAATCTAAAGTTAAGTAAACCTGATTTTAGGATTATTACATTAACCAAAATAATTTTCCAGAGAAGGTCCTATTTAAAAGTAATGCTCACTGGCTTCCCCACATCCACACTTTCAGACGGATCCAAATCCAATGCCTTTGTTTGATGTACTTCAGGGATCCCTTCCAGTGAAAAAAATCTCAGAAAAACGTCTCACGACACAGTGGACAAGTGGATTTGTTGCTAGATGTAAACCATTTGTACTGAAAAAGAAAAGGTTTTAAATACTAAAAGAACTTTTAAAGTTCTCCTCTAACATACATCATAAAGTACACATACATCTATAGTAACCTTCAAATGATAAAGTGAAAAGGGAAGAACAATAAAATTTTTGCTCTTTCTGTTATCTCCAAAATTAACACAAATTGAGTATTACTTCCGATGGCTACACTAAGTTCTTCCTACTTAGGCTCATGCACACAATCACTAAGATATAAGAAATCTCCTGTGAAACAAATGAACAAATGGCAACTTCTTTTTCAGTATGTTTAAAAAGAGCACAGGGCTCTGATGCCAGATGGCTTCCAGTACCAACTCCTGTACTCTCCTTCATGGTCTAGATCTCAGAAGACCTTCTACTTCTTGAGTGGTAAAAGGTCACTGGAAACACCCATTTATTAGAGGGCCTTGATTCTACCAGTCTCAGTAAACTGCTAATTATCTTTGGCAGATTTTAAAAAATCACTTTTTAATATATCTCCCATTAGCTACAATTAAGTTTAACACACATTTTCTCTTCCGAAGTTAGACATTGTGTAGGTGTGTGTGTGTGTGTGTGTGTGTGTGTGTGTGTTTATGTGTATAAAATACATAAAATATAAGTAAGTTAATTTCTCTTTAGACTTACCAAGCAGGCTGAATGGAATTTTTTCTTGCATGTTCTACAGGCTTTTTTGGGAAGGGAATAGTTGAAACCGTGAATGACTGAGAAACAGATCATGCAATCTTCAACACCCTCAAAACGTTTGTCTACGTTATTTTTCCATAAAGCTAAGCCTTCCATAATACTTCCATTCTGTTAACAAGAAGAAAAATAAGTCACTACACACTGATAACCACCAATTTTATTTTTATTCAATTTCACAAATTTTAAAGTTGAATTACAATTCTGAAAGAAGAGAATCTGCTTGGCTATGTTCATGTCTCCCAACTTATGAATGTTGGTTTTTAAAATAACCTCCCAAGTTTTTGGAACCAGATGTAATTTTTCTCCATTAAAGACATACTTTAAAGGCTTCTGGACCAATACTTAAAGTGTTATAGTCTAAGCTTGTTGCTTGATAAAACTCTCTTAATAATTAAATCATTTAGGTTAGTTCTAATGTTTAACTGAAAATGATGAAATTATCTCAAATGATTTGTTCCAGCTCTACAATATTGGTGAGCATATTTGTTTTAAAATAGTTTTTCTTGGCCGGGAGCGGTAGCTCAAGCCTGTAATCCCAGCACTTTGGGAGGCTAAGGTGGGTAGATCACTTGAGGTCAGGAGTTCGTTGACCACCATGGCCAACATAGTGAAACCCCATCTCTACTAAAAATACAAACAATTAGCCAGGTGTGGTGGCGGGTGCCTGTAATCCCAGCTACTCTGGAAGCTGAGGCAGCAGAATCGCTTGAACTGGGAGGCAGAGGTTGCAGTGAGCTGAGATCATGCCATTGCACTTCAGCCTGGGCAACAAGAGCAAAAACTCTTAAAAAAAAAAAGTTTTTCTTTATTGTAGAATGCCTGAGATACACAATGTGCACACAGAACTGAAGATTTAAAATGTGTTTAGAGGTCAAAGGTCTTTGAGGGTCCTGGGACTTCTCTAACCAAAGAGGAGTTGAAATGTAAGAATAAAAGTGAAAGTAGCTCAGAAGGCATTCATCTGTCCAGTATCTTTCAAAACATCCTCTCCGAAACAATTTTGTTAATACACCTTCTACAGTGTTAATGAAATAAAGTCAATCCCTCTCAAACACCAGAAAATAAATTACAGAACCTTAACAATTAAAACAGAAAGGCAGGTTTAATCCATTTAGGCATATCTCTGTATTTATCCAAGGAAGTTTAATATCTACTTTTATCTTAAGCAGAAAAGATATATTTTATGTTTAAATGCCCTTTTAAATAGATCATCTTTTCCAAGTTTGTAAAGCCAAATGTGTAAACAGAAACTTACCTGATGGGTGAGGTAAGTGCTTAACTGCAGCATCCAGTTCCGCCACTGCTGAACAGCTACTCCTACTCTTTTCCCACTTTCTACTATTATTGAACCCAGTGGATAATTTGAAGGCAGTTGTATTATAAGTTCAATAACTATGTCCTCAATAGTATAAGTAGCCATTACCTCTCGAGTAGTAGCTCGAGCTTTAACCTGCAATACAACAAAGGATATTTTGTTTGCCAAATTTCTGTCTTTCAACCAGAAAACATTTTGATAGGTTGACTATTAAAAGCTAAAGACTTCATTCAAGGACAGTGCAGGTAAATACATTCACTTATCTGACATGAGATAATTAAGAAATACGTTTAAATACCTGCCTGGTATATTTTTACAGTGATTTTGTGATATTCAAAGTTTGTTTTAAAAGAAATTAATTGCTCATAAAAAAGGTTTTATTATATTAGGCTTGTCACATAATAGTTCAATAAACCTTGAATAGATAAGTGACAGAATGGGTTATTATGCTTCTCTTCCACACCCAGAGTATCGAATGTCACTTCTACATCTAACAATTCTTCCTCTACCATATTATCCTCCTGAGCTTTGGAGCCAACTATCAACTGTCAGAACATTTATAGTTATTTGTTTGGTTTTCAAACCAACATTGCAAACTCAACATAAAACGCACACATTATTATCCTTTACAAACTTCATCTTCTGAATTTCCTACTTCCAGGCTAAAAAATCATGATAGCTCATTTTAAATTTCTGCTTCTACCTCATCCTAGATATTAACTAAATCACTAGCACAAAATCTCTCACATCCCTACTTTTATATTCCCACTGTTACTGCCTCACCCATGCCCTAGTCCTTTGCTCATGTCTACCCCAATAGTCTCCTCTACCATTCATTTGAATCCAAACTGTTTGCCAACAGATCATGCTATAGATTGTGGTCAGAGCAATTTCAAAGATTTTAACTCTGATCATGCTACTGCCTGAATGAAAAATGTTCAGTGGCTGAATTGTACCACTTTAGACCGTTATTTGAGGCCCTTCCCAACATACCTCTTATTCACCGTTGATTCTATTCACCCTTGGGACTCCTACGCATTATTTGGGTTGGAGTACTGCATTATTTATCATTTCCTGGGCAACGACTGAAATGACATTCTCACTTCTATGCTTTTTGCTTTTGCAATACTATTCTCTCTCTCTCTCTCTTTTTTTTTTTTTTTTGAGATGGAGTTTCACTCTTGTTGCCCAGGCTGGAGTGCAATGGCGTGATCTCGGCTCACCACAACCTCCGCCTCCCGGGTTCAAAAAATTCTCCTACCTCAGCCTCCCGAGTAGCTGGGATTACAGGCACGTGCCACCACACCTGGCTAATTTTGTATTTTTAGTAGAGATGGGGTTTCTCCATGTTGGCCAGGCTGGTCTTGAGCTCCCGAGCTCAGGTGGTCTGCCCGCCTCGGCCTCCCAAAGTGTTGGGATTACAGGCGTGAGCCACCACACTCGGCCTATTTTCTTTATAGTAAATGCCATTCCCTTCATTTTCCCCATAACAAAATCCTGCCCACCTCCAAGTGATTTTCTTCCATAAAATCTCACTTAATCCCCTCAGCCAGATGAATCTTTCCCACTCAGATCACAAGGCACTCTTTCTCTTAATATGCTACTTTCCAATGCAAAAATAATTATCAGTCTCGCTCTTTTCCCTTTATTAGACTGTATGTTATTACAGGACAAGAATCTGGTCCTACTAAACTGTTCATATCCTTGGTGACTGGGACACAGTGCTTGGCATCTGTAAGTATTCCAGTACAGATTTTGAATGAACTAATGAATGCTCAAAAACTATTTGGTGGGTGAAATGGTTTGGATCTGTATCCCCGCTCAAATCTCATGCTGAATTGTAATCCCAAATGTTGGAAGTGGGGCCTGGTGGGAAGTGATTGGATCATGGGGATGGATTTCCCACGGGTGCTAGTCTCGTGATAGTGAGTGAGCTGTCATGAGATCTGGTTGTTTAAAATTGTGTGACACCTCCCCGCCTCTCTCCCTCCTGCTCTGGCCATGTGAAGTGCTGACTCCCATTTGCCTTCCGCCATGATTGTAAGTTTCTGAGTAGCTGGGATTACTGGCGCCCGCCACCACGCATGGCTAATTTTTATATTTTTTTAGTAGAGATGGGGTTTCACCATGTTGCCCAGGCTGGTTTCAAATTCCTGACCTCAAGTGATCCACCCACCTCGGCCTCCCAAAATGCTGGGATTACAGGCATGAGCCACTGCACCCGGCCTAAACCTCTTTTCTTTATAAATTACCCAGTTTCAGGCATTTATAGCAATCTGAGAATAGACTAATACAGTGTGTGAATGAAATTATACCACTGTTTCAATCCACGCATGAAGTAATGTTGAGATTTGACACACAAATTAGAAAATAAAATAGGCTGGTCTTGAACTCCTGGGCTCAAGTGATCCTCCCACCTTGGCCTCCCAAAGCGTTGGGATTAAGGCATGAGCCACGACTCCTGGCCACCAGTTTCTATAAATTCTGAGTTAAGAGCTACAGTCTGTTATGATATTAACAATGACAGACATACCCAATATTAAAACAACTTTTCTAGAGAAAGTCAAGACAATACTAACCGTCATGCCATTAAATAGTTGTGTACTTGTTTGTACAGAAGATATTTCTTGAAAAGAAAGAACACTGCTGACATACTTGCTTGTAAATCTATCCACAATATTGAAAACACGCTTCTCACTGCTATTCCACCACAACCTAACCATGGCAGGCAAGTCTTTTAATGTCATATGATAGACTGAACAAGCCAAGTGTGGAATGTGGTATGGAAGCATTGTTGTTTCTGAGGAAAAAACAAATTATTGATTAGTAACATATATTTCTTATATAGAATAACAGACTAATATTAGTATTTTCTTTAGAAAGTGATCCTTAATTTCTCAACAATAGTGCTATAGCTCATAAAAACAAACATACCAGAGAAACCAGAACTCTGGAGTATGAGCATCTTTCCACACATTCAAAATGAACCATAAGAATGGCAAAAGAATTTTTTTTTAAAGTGAAAATCCCGCCGGGCGCAGTGGCTCACGCCTGTAATCCCAGCACTTTGGGAGGCCGAGGTGGGTGGATCACGAGATCAGGAGATCAAGACCATCCTGGCTAAAACGGTGAAACCCCGTCTCTACTAAAAATACAAAAAATTAGGTGGGCGTGGTGATGGGTGCCTGTAGTCCCAGCTACTCCGGAGGCTGAGGCAGGAGAATGGCATGAACCCGGAAGGCGGAGCTTGCAGTGAGCCGAGATCACGCCACTGCACTCCGGCCTGGGCGACAGAGCGAGACTCCGTCTCAAAAAAAAAAAAAAAAAAAGTGAAAATCCCAATTGACACTGAAAAATCTACCTAGAAACAGATTTCTGTATTTAACATGAAGACCACAAATAAAATAGAATACACATATTTTAAAAAGAAGGAAAAATTAAAGATGCTTGCTGTTATAAATTATGAAAAGGAGTTTGGCCTCCTTTACTTTCCCCAGAGCTTGCTGAACTGCTGTGCAGAAGTCTTGGAATACCCAACTCAATACTCACAAGATGCAGTCCATCCTCAGATCTCCAAGGCATTTAAAAAACTCATATTCTTAGTAAATTGTTTCCAATACTGTAGTACAACCAGATACATGCATATCTGTCCTCTCAGCTCACATGTGAGCTCCCAGAATGAAATGTTATTCAACTTTATTTCCCCTGATTTATATGCCTATAAAATGTTATCACGTAAGAAATATTTGTTTACAGAGTCAAAAGTTAATAGTCTCACCACACTAAGCTTCAAAAATGTATTAAATTCCTCACAGTCTTATGGGTAAAAACTAATTATTCATCCTATTTAGAGAAATATGGAAAATGGTCAATTTCAACATTCTCATAGCCAGGACCCACCTTTGGGGTTATTCTCCACATTCTCAGGGAAAAGTTTAATTCAACCTAGTCTGAATCTAGTGTCCAAGAAAGAACATAAACACATATCTTACTGACCTCTAATACTCAGCTGGAGCTCCTCAGTAAAGAATGTTTTAGGGTCCTTATTTGGGACCTCAACTGCTGTCTCTGCATAGGTTGGATTTTCTGGCATAAGCCTGAACAGGTGATAGAGCAATTTATTCAAACTCTTTGTTTTCCGAAGATACATGGAATACAAAGCCCGAAGCTGGTGGAGAGCAAAGAATTTGTTAGTAAACCAAATACACCAAGACAATTGGTATAAAAGAACAACTCAAAGTGTAACAAATTTCCTTTCCTCATAAACTAGCAGACATTCTATCCCCTCATTATTGTAACACATTTCTAATATCTTTCTCAAATTGTCTTCCTGTATTACAATGCACTCACCTTGGCTTAGAATGTCTGAGACAAGAAAATCTATTCACCATTCCCACAGATGACTCCCTCACTCTCCTCCCAAGTCTTCCATACATTCCTTCCACACCATTGCCCTTAACCTTTCAAATTCCTGCTTAAAACTAATCCCATTTTTATGGCTGACCTCACCCTGTATCAAAAACTCCGACATCCCTTTACGACAGAGAGCACAAACTAGTGGTCCAAAATGTCATGGGGGTCTTCTCAGAGTTGTTTTTTCAATCAGGAAATTTCACATAAAAATATGGATTTCTGATTTCTCTTTTAAAAACAGAAAAACGAGCCACCAGTGGGAGCACTGCAGGTATCTGTGTGAGACCTGTACTTCACAACTCCTGCTTTCCCTCCATAAAGTAGCTTGCATTTTCCACATTGACTTTGCAGTTCTTTGGTATCTGTATTGGTTTTAAGATAATTTCTACTATATCACATATCTCCTCACAGTACAAAGATATCATTTTCTTTCCCTTTTCTTTTTAAAAAATTTGTATTTTTAATTTTTGTGGGTACACAGTAGATATTTATGGGGCATATGAGGTATTTTATAGGCATATAATATGTACTAGGGTAAGTGGGGTATTCATCACCTCAAGCATTTATCCTTTCTTTGTGTAAAATATAGCATTTTCTGAACACTATGAATACTTAAGTACAAGGATCAAGTCATAGGATTTGGAATTGATTTTTAAAATATGTTGACCAAAGTGCTCTTATCATCAAACTTAACATCACTAATGAAGGATGAACATCCCAAATCTGAAAATCCAAAATCCAAAATGCTCCATAATCTAAAACTTGTTGAGCACCAACATGATGCTTAAAGGAAATGCTCCTGGAGCATTTCAGATTTTCGGATCTGGGATGCTCAACCAGTAAGTGTAACAAAAATATTCCAGAATCTGAAAAAATCTGAAATCAGAAACACTACTGGTCCCAGGCATTTTGGATAAGGGATACTCAACCTGTAAAAGAACACAATGACATTATATGGCTCCTGAGGTAAGACACTGAGAACACATAACAACTTGTGCAGTAAGTACTATTGCTAAAAATTAACCACAATCTAATGAGGAAACGATCAGACAAATTCACATTGTATGACAGGCTAAAAACAGCTGGC
Source organism: Homo sapiens (assembly GCF_000001405.40). Classification (NCBI taxonomy): domain Eukaryota; kingdom Metazoa; phylum Chordata; class Mammalia; order Primates; family Hominidae; genus Homo; species Homo sapiens. Next base: position 28,938,030 of record NC_000021.9, read on the forward strand.
CAAAACAATGACAAGAAAGAAAAGAAAGGTATAGAAATTATAGGTTAAAGAAACTAAAGAAATATGACAAGCAAATACAAACATGATTCTTGATTGGATCTTCAATAGAGAAGAAAATAAAACTATAGAGATATTACTGGGACAACTGAAAGTATCTAAATAAAAATTAGATATTATTGCATCAAAATTAAATTTCTTGAGTATAAAAATTATATTATGCTTATGTAGAAACATGTCCGTGATCTTAGGAGATATATGCTTAAATACTTTTGGTAAAGCATCAAAATATCTGCAACTTACTTTCAAGTAGATCAGCAGAAAAAAAGTAAATACAGAGAAAGTATGTGCAAATGTAGCAATATGTTAAAAGATGTATGTAACTTTTTTATCTAAAAGAGTATGTGATTTTCCATTGAATTATTCTTCCAACTTCATTGTTTAATTTTTCAAAACAAAAAGTTAGAGATTTTTAAAAAATTAATCACCAATATCAATGGACTTTTAAAAACACACATATACGACCCAGCAATCCCACTCCAAGGTATACAACACAAGTGAAAACATATTTCAACACAAAAGCTCGTACACGAATGTTCACAGCAGCTTTATTTTCAATAGCCAAAAAAAAGGAAACAACCTAAATGCCCATTAATGGATAAACAGATAGATAAACAAAATGTGATAGATCTACAAAATGGAGTATTATTCAGCCACAAAAATAAATGCAATACTTATGATACATGCTTCAATTTGATAATCTTGAAAATAATATACTAAAATAAAAGCCAGACACAAAAGACCAGATATGTGAAATGTCCAGAACAGGCAGATGCATAGAGACAGAACACAGTTTAATGGCTGTCAGGAGCTGCGGGGTTTGAGAGGAAATGGGAAGTGATTGCTATCAATTACAATGGGATGTTGAAAAGGTTCTAAAATTATATAGTGGTTAACAGTTGCACAACTCTGTGAATACAGTCAGCCCTCCACTTCCATGGGTTCCACATCTGAGAATTCAACCAATCGCAGATTGAAAACATTTGAGGGGCAAAAAAAGTGATTTAAAAAAACCAATACAACAATAAAAATACTAAAAACTTTAATACAGTATAGCAACTATTTCAATAGCATTTACACTGTATCAGTGATAACTAATCTAGAGATGATTTTAAGTAGTATACAGGAAGATGTGCATAGGTTAGATGCAGATACTATATGCCATTTTATATAAGGAACTTGAGTATTCGCTGGGGTGGGGGTCATGGGAGGGAGCCTGGAAACAATCCCCAGCAGATATCAAGGGATGACTATATACTAAAAACACCAAACTGTGTATGCTAAGTGGGTAAATTTTATGGTATGTGCAATATCTCAGTAAAGCTTTATAAAACAGACACAAAAACATACACATGTACATATACAACTTTTTCCAGTTCAATCTGATTTGCTAGTTTTTTTGAGAAAAAAGTTAACCCATGATTTAGGAACATTTAAAGTTTTCCGAAGAAAAATTCTGTTTATTTCAGGATTCATCTAATTAGTATTACTTAGTGGGTTATTCTGGTTTATCTGCCCACAGCTCAGTTCAAGTTTCAGACTCAATAATAATAAATGCTGCCGTATAATTTTGCACCCTAACCCAATCCCAGCTTAATGAAAAAGGTGACACATGGCCATTTTCCTAATTTCTGAATATAAAATGAGAACAAAACTCTTATACACAAATGCCTCAATCTGCTGCTATTTTTTAAAGATCAACAATATTTTAAGAAATTGATGTAAAAGCCAAATAAGGAGCTCTTGAAATATATCATCAGCAAATAAAACTAGCTTAAGTCACAAAAATAAGTGACAGGCCTAAAGAGAAAACTAATCTATTTAACAGCTAGATCAATGCTGCTTCTGTGATTTGACTTTTCCCCACAGATATACAAATGCAAAGATGCAAAAATTGATATCTTTGTACCAGGGTATAGGGTATGAGCAACAACATAAATTATAATTTAAAAATTCCAAAAAGTCACATTGGAAATGAATGCCATGAATACTTAATCACACTAAATGATAAACTAAATCTTTTTGTATTGACCTGTCAAAAGAAGGCACATATTTTATTAGGCTAATTCAATCAAAGATTGACAGAGATTTGGATCTTCCTTGTTCTTTTTGAGACAGGGTCTGGCTCTGTCGCCCAGGCTTGAGTGCAGTGGCATGATCTCAGCTCACTGCAACCTCCACTTCCCCGGCTCAAACTATCTTCAAGTGGGGATCCTTCTAACAGAAAAACTAGAGAGATCTTTCCAGTTTCTTCTTGGACAAGGTCTTACTTCCTAAACATGAGACAACAGAGACATCTAGTGGCTGCTAGAATAATTTGGACAAAATATTTCAGATATTTTCACCACTTAGGTAACAGTTTGAATTATTACATAGGTAATGTTTCACAGATCTCTCTCCAAACAGTGATTTTCAAGTAAGGTAAATTTCCAATGATGTATTAAGTTATATCTCCACAACAGAGTGACAAACTGACTCCCTCCGAAAAAAAAACAAAAAACACAAGATCCAATTCTTTTGAAATCATTACTATGATAGTACAAAATTAAATTATATAAATATTATTTCCTGAAATAAAAGAACCTGGTGACTACATTCAGTTAGAAAAAAGTTGATCTGGCCACCTATCAGAGTAATTACTTTTGCTTGGAAGGTAAGGTATAAGGGACAGGAGTAAACTTATTAAGCAGATGGAAGTTAGTTGGATAAAATGAGATTAGGCTGGGCGCAGTGGCTCATGCCTGTAATCCCAGCATTTTGGGAGGCCAAGGTGGGTGGATCGCTTGAGCTCAGGAGTTTGAGACCAGTCTGGGCAACACGGTGAAACCCCATCTCTACAAAAATATAAAAATTAGCCAGGCATGGTGGCTTGCACCTGTAGTCCCAGCTACTTAGTGAGAAGATCGGTTGAGCCTAGGAGGCAGAGGTTGCAGTGAGCCGAGATTGTGCCACTGCATTCCAGCACAGGCAACAGAGTGAGACCCTGTCTCAAATAAACAAAATAAAATAAATTTTAAAAGATGAGATTAAAACATAAGGATTTTCCTTTTATTAAACTGAAAGGAAGGTATTTAGAACAGTATCAGAAGCATATTAGGACAGAACTATCGAAAGTTGTCACATATTTATTTACCTGTGATGATGCAGCTTTGAAGAAAGTTAGTATTAATTTCCAAGTGAGAAGGTATCCCAGAACATAACAGAAGTCTTCACTCAGTGGTTTAATAGTAACTATCTGTCCAACAGGAATACACCCCAAAACATTTTCTAGTAAGTCCTCTTGAATGCTAAGAAGAGACATCAGTGCTGCTGGTGGTGACCTAAGAATCAATGATTAAACACCACAAGTTTTCTTTATAATTCATTCCTTAACAAATTGACAGTACTTGTAAACTTCAAGCATTTTAGAAAAATTTCTCTGTTTTCCAAAAAACGTTTTAAAAATTCCCCTCTATTGAGCCAATTTTAACTCCTAATCTCACATAACAGTAAAATAAAAAAGACATATTATAGCACTTGAAGGAAAGACATTTTTAGAAAACGTCTCTTTCAATTTTCTAAGTGAAAAAAAATCACACACCCAGAGAAGCCAAATGATGAGTCCAACGTCTTTCAGTTAGTAGGGGAAACTGTTAGGGATTCTAAATCCTACCCGGCCTTTTATCATCTTATAAAAGACAAAGTGAAGATTAAGACTTCGAACTTTGTCACTTCATTCTAGTTTCTATTTTATTGCATATTATCTACTTAGTACTATTAAGAAATATCACAATGATACTATTAATCGGATAAACACAGAAAATAATTATGTGCCTGTTTAAAAAATCATGATTGTAATCTTTTTAGGAAAATAAATGTACCATTCAGATTAATTCACAACAATGTAAGTTAATTTTCTTCTTTATTGAACTACTCTACTCATTTATACTTTCAGGTGAACTTATGAGATTCTCAAAAAGTAAAATACTTAACTCTCTTCTCCATGATACTCTAGCCTGGTTCTCTCCTTTCACTTCTGTGATCGTTCTTCCCTTGTGGCTTCCTTCTCCCAGCCCACAAGTACAGGCCTTCTCCAAACTTCTGCTCTTAGGTCTTTTCCTTCAACACCTCCATCTCATGTACCCAGCCTTCTATATTCCATACTGATAGTCACTAGATCTTATAAAATACCAGCTCCAAAATCTCTCCACTTTTCACATTGCCCTCCATGCATTGTTATTTAACTTCTGCAATCAGCTCCACCTCTGCTTGCTTCTTTTTACAATTCATGTTTCACATTAGTGTCAGAATCGGCTGGTGGCGCCCTATCTCCTACCAAGTAATGACCAAATCCCCCCAAAAAAGTCATTTTTAAGGCCATTTATTATAGGCCAGGAAGCATTCTGGCCTACAGCATTCTAGCCTATTTCTCTCTCAGAAATAAGAGAGAGAAATTCCTGCCCTCACAGAACTTACATTCCAGTAAAGAAAGATATTATCAATAAAACTATACATTAAGTGGTAACTACTCAATATTCCCCAAGCACATCCTCACATTCATGACTCAGTGCCTTTGTACATGATGTTCTCTTAACTTATGTTGTCTTTCCTGTCCTGCAGAAATGCTACCTAACCTTAAAGGTCCAGTTTAAATGCCTCTTCCTCAAAAGAAAGTCTTCCCTTCCTGATGTACATTAATTGTGCCCTCATACATGCTATCTTATATAGGCCTAACTGACCTTTAAAAAAAAGTTATCTATCCTTTTTCTTAGCACTTATCATATACTATATTTTCCATAACGCTACAGTATCATCTGTATCAGATAAATTCCTTAAGGAAAAGAAAGTGCTCACTAAACACTGCATATTCCCCTCAGCATTTAATTAATACTCTGCACAAAGTGGATGCTCAATAGATACTTGAACCGATACACTCTTTCCACAGCCACCATATGGCCAAAGATAGTTTTACTGAACAGTAGCAAACGGAAAATGTGATTTAAGAACAATTAAGAGAGTGACACAATCTTTTGGGTGAAATCTATATTTCATTTATATCTTACAGATAACTAAAAAGATCTATCTGTAGAATGAATATAACTCTATAGCTTCTGTGCTGCTTCAGTCCTCTAAAGACATTATAAGTGAGATGGATTATAAGAATTTAATAAAACAAATTATTTAAAAAAACCTTACAAGGCTGGCTCTTCTTCTTCATCTCCGTATGACTTTAGATTATCCTGATCATACTGTGGTAATTCAGGCATCAATCTAGAAATTAGAACATTATTTTTAAATATGTGATATTAAACTGTTTATTAAGTCGTGCTCAAGAGCAGAAAGACCAATACTTATTTTATAATGAGTAAATGTTTTAATGAGTTTTCTTTAAAATAACTACTATAGCCAGGACTATTGAAATATAAATTGTGTATAGAGAACAATAACCTAAAAGATGAGGCAACTTAGGGTCCCTATAAGTGAAGCAGTCAGATCTCCTTCTTTTAAAAATTTTACTTTAAATAATTAAAAGTAAAAACTAAGCATATATTCTATTTTTTTAGACCACTGTAACATTGATTCAATTGGATGAATTCTTACTTGTATAGCATATGATAAACAGCAATTTGCACAGGCCTAGCTCTGAAGAGGAGTAATGGGGCCAATGTATTTAACAAAGTCTGGAGATATTCTGGTAAGTTTGTTTTTTGGTCAGCAACTAATCTTGCAGGAAGTTTGTGACTCAATAGCTGTTCCTTTGAGATATACGTTAATGTTTCACACATGGGTTTCAGCATTGCATTCTGAAAGGATGTTTCAGACACATCTTTGTTTTCTCCTAATGACAAAAAGGAAAGAAACATGCACGTCTCAAAAGAAAGTTAGTATAGCTTAAATGATTCACAAACAATCAAATGTCATTTAAGAAAATGAAATAAAAACTAGACATAAACAATAAAGCAGTCTTAACTAGAAACATGAACTGAATATATATTCCAGTTAATCTCAACTGTTTTAATGACTTTTATCTGATCCAGCAAATGTTCAATAGCAAGGTTCTATTCACATCATCCATTCATGTTATCTGAAGTATTATTATTTTAATTTGCAACAGTCATTGGATACCTTGCCATTTTTCAATTTCTGTCTGTAAAGTAAAGCATAGATGATGCTTCTGAGAAGCCAAGCTTTCTCTTCTGGCTTTTTCTTTTACTATTTAGTATTATTTGATTTAAACATCAAAATTTTTGCTTTTGAATTTTTCAGTAAGTCATTTCCAATGAATCAATCTCACTATTATTCCCTTTTTCACTTGCCTGTAACAGTCACCAAAATAGGTAAAAGCAAACTGTGGATGCCTTGGGAAAAAAATTCTTTCCATTCACTGATTAGATTTACAGGAAGATTGCCAATGGTATCCAGAGTTGTGGAATCAAAGAAAGCACTGAGGTCACAGGCCAAATCACAGCTGACACAGGCAAACAGTTGCACAAGTGGAATAGAATACAATGCCTGATTCTCACTTGTTGTCTGAAAAAACAATAAAAATGAAATAGGTAAACAGACTTCTACCAGAACACTACAAATAAAGCCAATATAAAGAAAAGCCCCACTTTCATTTCTTTGAATTTTAAAACGAAAAGCAGTTGAGGTGTGTAATCTCAGGAGAAACATAAAATTTTACATCAAAATAACTTTTTTCTTCAAAATTAAATACCATGAATAGAATCATTAATAAACAATTTATTCTCAAGTACCCTTTTTAATTTCTAACCCATGGAAGGAAACACTAAGTCAGACACATTAAATACACATTTATAATCTTCTCAGTAGCCCTACAAGTTGTAAGTTATTATTTTAAAATAAGAAAATCGGCCAGGCACAGTGGCTCATGCCTGTAATCCCAACACTTTGGGAGGCTGAGGCAAGTGGATCACATGAGGGCAGGAGTTTGAGACCAGCCTGGCCAAAATGGTGAAACCGCATCTCTACCAAAAATATAAAAATTAGTCGTGCATGCTGGTGGGCATCTGTAATCCTGCTATTTGAGAGGCTGAGGCACAAGAATTGCTTGAACCCAGAAGGCGGAGGTTGCAGTGAGCCAAGATCGCACCATTGCACTCCAGCCTAAGCAACAGAGCGAGATTCTATCTCAAATTTAAAAAAAAAGAAAGAAAGAAAGAAAGAAAACTGAGTCTCAAATAGTTTAAGTTTAAAACTCTAAGTCACATAGCTAATAGCAGGCAAAGCAGAGATTCAGACCAATCCAACCCTGACTGACTTGCTGCCTTGGAGCCCACAAGTAATATACCTCTGGTTGCTTTGGGTCAAAAATTACACTAATTCCCTCTGAATCTGCTACTATTTAATGCATTACTCTCACAATATTCACACAGTATGTTTTAGAAATAATCTAATTATAACCAAAAAAGACCAAAATAATTGTCATTAACAGATAAAACCTGAAAGGGCTGTGCTGCAAATATTACAATAAGCTAATGGAGAAGGCATTTTAATAACAGGAGATTTGGTCACTGAATGATGCTGGTAGTCATTAAAAATCTATCATTTTACTATTCTGTCAAATAGTAGCTGGTAAGAAGAACATCTATAAAGTGTTTTAAATTATACAAAGGAACCAATTACAATCATCACTTAAAGAATGAGATTAGTAAATAGTTCTGATGCAAAAGTATGTACAAAAACCCACAAGAGGTGATGACATATCGGGTTAATTTACCTCCAACCAAGCCAACATGGAGCACATGATGAAGTCCCACTCACTCTCTGCCAAAGGGGATGAGCAGTATTTCAGAAATAGGGAAAGAAACCGGATTATTTCTATATTTACACCCAGTACCTCTGGACTTGCTTCTGATAGATTACTGTGATAAAGATAAAAACAAAAGACAATAAAAGATTATATTGACATTCAATTAGAAAGTATGCTACTTTAAATCTTACATACTTATTTATAACTGACTTAAATGTCTACCATAATTTCTCTACAAAATTGTGACACAGATACGTAATCTTTGTCTGAATTGTATACTGAAGGAAAAACATAGTATAAAGTATCACCTACCAACTGAAAAGAAAAATATCTTCATGCTCTTTCTTCCAGGATATTATGATTTTTAATATTCCATGTAATAGCTCTCCATCATCTATACTTTTGGTTTGCAGACAAGAATTGAAAATGGCAAGATGTCCAAAACCTCCTAAAGTAAAATTCAAAATGAAAATTAAAAATATTTAAGAACTATATCGCTACTATTAAAAAAAAGTCCACTTTGAGAAGTAAAAGACTTTCTTGAGAAGTGTTCAGGTTAAGAACTCTAATAATGACTTTTATCTAAGAGTCAACAAATGAGCTTATAAGCTCCAAAGGGCAGAGACCCTGTCTCCAAACCCAGCACCTAGCACACAATAGAGAATTTGGGGGAGGAGAAAGAGTGAATGATGCTGTAATTTAAACTGACTTATGCTGTTTTTGTTTTGGTTTCTTAAGTGCAGGACATATTCAGCAAACTCATCATTCAAATAAAAAAAACCCTACAGCTACAGAGTAGCTGGAAACAGCAAATGGAAAATAGAACATACTGTTTCATAATTTATACATTCATTCACTCAATAGCAGCTAGTACATGTGGTAAACTCTGATGTGGACTCACTCTTTAGAATCTCTACCATTCCTCAAAATCCATCCACTGGTGTATCTTAACACCCTCTGTCCCCAACCTTCTATCTTACATACCAGCCAAAATGAACAATCTGTACCCTTGTATGTTTTTGTGTACCTGGAATGCCCTTCCCCAACTATGTCCATATGGAAAACTATTTATCCTTCAACACCCAGTAGAAATATTTCTCTTTGTGAAATTGCCACTAACACCCTCAAAGCAGAGTGGAAACTCCTTCCTTTCTGCCACTTCTATACATAGCACATCTTTTTGCTACATCGGTTATCACATAATACAACTTTATGTTTGTCTTCTCTACAATAGGAACTACCATGTAGCAGGTGCTCATAAATGTTTATTAAATTAATAAACAAATGAAAAGTGCAGTGTTTTAAATACAACAGACGCTATTTTTGCCTTTATATGTTCAATCATTGATTGGCTAGGGAGAAATGAGGCACAGCTTTAAAAAGCTATAGATAGAAAAGAAATGGTTAGAAGGTATTTCTGGGCGTAAGTCTTCCCTTAAGGCCCAGCATTTTTGTACTGTAAAATGGTAACAGCCACTGTCTAACAACACTCATCCATATAATCTCAGAACAAATCAGCTGTAATTCAATTTACCTCTGCTAGATGTGGTCTTATATATTAGAAACAGTTCTTCATCTCAAGCAATAATTAAATTAATGAAATATTTATTATCAAGCAACTAACCATTAGTGCTGCAAAGATCTTTCTTAGTCCAGCCCAAAAGAGCAGGTATACATTGAGCACTAAATTCTTTCTTTTCTTCTTTTGACAAAAATGGACATAGACTTTGAATGGTATGCAAATTGCCTTCAGTTAGTGGAAAAAAACTGTTTAAAGAAAAAAAAAACACAAGTTAGATTTCTTCCAAACATACAGTTATTTTATATATTTCTTTTATTTAGACTACTGAAAAAGATAGATGAATAATTCTATCACATATAATTACATAAAAAGAAACTATGATAGATTTAACAAGTGCTGACTTGATGAAATTGGTTTTTTTTGCTCCTTTTCTCTTTTCTGCATAAATTTTTTAAATGAGCATATATAACTTTTCCCCATATATGATTTTTTAAAATTATACTAGCCACATGACATTATGTCCTCTTTTAAAAAAAAAAAAGAGTCAATTGCGGGGTGCGGTGGCTAATGCCTGTAATCCCAACACTTTGGGAGGCTGAGGAGGGCAGATCATGAGGTCAGGCGTTTGAGACCAGCCTGGCGAACATAGTGATACCCCATCTCTACTAAATATACAAAAAATCAGCCGGGTGTGGTGGCAGGCACCTGTAATCCCAGCTACTCAGGAGGCTGAGGCAGGAAAATCACTTGCCCCTGGGAGGCAAAGGTTCCAGTAGCTTGAGATTGGGCCCCTGCACTCCAGCCCTGGTGATAAAGCAAAACTCTGTTTCAAAAAAAAAAAAAAAAAAATAGAGTCAATTGATTCAACTTAAATAAATAGTACCAGTTGTGTGTCCTTTCTTTTCTTTCTTTTTTTTTTTTTTTTTGAGACGGAGTTTCACTCTTGTTGCCCAGGCTGGGGTGCAATGCACGATCTCAGCTCATTGCAACCTCTGCCTCCCAGGTGCAAGTGATTCTCCTGTCTCAGCCTCCCAAATAGCTCGGATTACAGGCATGCACCACCATGTCTGGCTAACTTTTTTTTTTCATTTAGTGGAGATGGGGTTTTACCATGTTAGTCAGGCTGGTCGCGAACTCCTGACCTCAGGTGATGCAGCCATCTTGGCCTCCCAAAGTGCTGGGATTCCAGGCCTGTGTGTCCTTTCTTTGAACTGATATTCGTATTTGTGCATATATATAGTTGGGTTTTATTCACATAAAAAGGATGACACTAAACATATTGTTCTATCATTTACCACTTACATATACTTTCTGTCAGAACATATAAATTATTCTGTTTTAAAGCTACGTAACAAAAATGAACAAAATCTACCTAACACTCCATACTATGGAGGTATCATTATTTAACTATTTCCCTATCAGTGAACATTTAGGTTTCTCCCCTCCCCAAATTTTTGCTGTCACACATAATGCTGCAATAAATATCCTTAAGAAGATACTATTCTGTGTATGTATAAACACCTCTTTAGGCTAAATTCCTAGAAGTGGAATTGAAAGCTCAAAGGATTTGAATGTATTATATGTTGGTGATCTCAAATTGCTTCTGAAAACACATAATCAACTTATACTTTCACCAAATATGCACAGGTGTGACTGTTTAGCTGCACATTTAATGAATCTTTTTGATTCTCGGCAATATAGTGGATAAAACCATTGCTCTTAATTTGTACTTCTGTCATTATTAGTAAGGCAAATCCTTTCATATTTCACATTTCAGTATTGAGCTACCTTTGACCATTTCATCTATGAATTGCCTCTTTAAGTCTTTGATAAATTTTCCAATTTGGAGGGTTTTACTGATTTATATAAACTATATGTAGATAGTTTTTTGTTGATTTGCAAATGTCATCTCCCATTTTGTCATTTGTCCCTGTAATCTTTATATTTTGTCGCAGTTTTCATCTTTCAGAAATACTATATAAAAAATTTTAACTGTCATAAAATACACATAAAATTAATGTATTAGCCATTTTAAAGTGTAGAGTTCTGCAGTGTTAAGTACATTCACACTATTGTGCAACTAATCTCCAGAACTCTTCATTCTGCAAAACTGAAACTCTACCCACTAACACGAATGCTCCATTCCTCTCTCACCCTCGGCCCCAGGCAACCACCTTCTACTTTCTATCCCTATGAATCTGACTACTCTACAGAAGGAATCATAGAGTATCTGTCTTTTTGTAACTGGCTTATTTCACTCAGCATAATGTCCTCAAGGTTCATACAGACTGTATGTAGCATGTCAGAATTTCTTTCCCTTTTAAGGCTGAATAATATCCCATTATATGGTTATACCACACTTTTATTTATCCATTTATCCACTGATGGGCACTTAGGTTGCAAGTTTTCATTTTTACAGAATCAAATATATATATATTTACATAAAATGTAAAGGAGAAGGTCTCAGTATTTTTCTTCCAAACACACAACCAATTTTCCCATCATTATTATTTACTCACCACAGTGATTTGAAATGCCACCTATATTAAAAACTAAATTCACATTTATGTGTGGATAGGTTTCTGGACTGTATCCACTGATTTGTCTACTCTTCAATTTCATACTGCTTAATTACTATAATTCAATAATATATGTTATATTTGGCATGCAGTCTCTTTCACTTTTTTCAAAAATTTCTTATTTTTGAGAACTTTTTCCTTCAAATGTATACTATGTTCAGAACAGTTTACTAAGTTTTTCAAAAACTGCTGAAATTTTGATTGAGATCGCACTGAAATTATAGATTGACACAATCATTTTTACAATTTATCTTCCCACCTTCTTTTGTGATCTTTATTCAAGTTTTATAATTGTAATTTTTTGTTAAGTTTATTTCTAAGTATTTATAGTTTTTGTTATCATTGTGAATGGAATCTTCTTTTTCTCCCATACCATTTTTTAAATTGATTACTATGGGTAAATAAGAAAGCTATTCATTTTTGTGTGGTAAATATACATCCATCTCCTTAGTAATTAGTTCCAATAGTTCTTTAGCTAATTCCGTATTACTTTTATAATCAGAAAAAAATGTTAATTATGCTAAAAAAGCTAATGTCAAAAAGTTACATACAGTATGATTCCATTTATATAATATCATTTTTTGTCTTGTTTTGAGACTGGGTCTCACTCTGTTGCCCAGGCTGGAGTGCAGTGGCGTGATCTCTGCTCACTGCAACCTCCACCTCCTGAGCTCAAGTGATCCTCCCACCTCAGCCTCCTGAGTAGCTGCAACTACAGGTGCACACCACCACACCTAGCTAATTTTTGTATTTTTTTGTAGAGATGTTTCGCCATGTTGCCCAGGCTGGTCTCGAACTCCTGGGCTCAAGCTGTCCTCTCACTTTGGCCTTCCAAAGTGCTGGGATTACAGGCATAAGCCTCCACACCTGGCAAATTCCATTTATAAAATATTCTTAAATGACATAATTACAAAGAGAGAGAACAGATTAGTGGTTGCTAGAGATTAGGACAATGGGAAGGGGAAGGGAGGTGGCTGAGGCTATATATGGATAACGCAAGGGATCCTGATAATGAAACTGTTCTGGACTTGACTGTGGTGGTGGTCACAGATGTGAGCTACACAGAACACACGCACACTCTGTCTCTCACACACACAAACATACACAAACATGTGCATGTAAACTAAGTCAACTGACTGTATCAATGCCTTTTCCTTGGTTGTAATACTATGCTAAAGTTATGCAAAACAGTACCACTGGGTAGATGTATGATTTATTCTTTGTATTACTTCTTACACATTCATGTGAATCTACAATTACCTCAAAATAAAAAGTTTTTTAAAACTTTTAAGATAAAAAACAGTCAAAATTTAATTTAGAATTCTACTATGCCAGAACATGTATCTATCATTTCAGAATTCTTCTTGGTAAATCAGTAAATTCAAAATGCCTCTTGGTAAATCTCAGCTAAGTATTAATTTGAATGCTGAGCTTCACCAGCACACCCAAACCCACAATCTACTTCTTTGTCTTAAGAACAGACACATTTGTTACATTTCTAGAATATATTTCAATAGGATGATGTTATTTAAGAGAAGAGTAACTTTCCCTATCACTTCCATATAGCAAATAAAGTGATGGAAAAAGAGTATTAGGAAAGGGCAAAAGAAAAGATTTCTATCAGAGAGATTTCTGGGGAAAAGAAAACAAGTTCATGAAATGCTGTTGGCTTAAAAAAAAAAGTACAGTATAAAATTCTACAACAAAAGGCTATAGAGTTAAAACTATTTACTTTAAAAAAAAGGTGTCGGCCAGACATGGTGGCTCACACCTGTAATTCCAGGCCTTTGGGAGGCTGAGGCAGCAGGACTGCTTGAGCCCAGGAATTCAAGACCAGCCTGGGCAACCTGGCAAGACACCATCCCTACAAAATTAAAAAATTAGCCAGGTGTGGTAGTGCACACCTGTGGTCCCAGTTACTCAGGAGGGTGTGGTGGGAGGATCACTTGACCACAGGAGGTTGAGGGTACAGTGAGCCATGTTCGCATCACTGAACTCCAGCCTGGGCAACAGAGTGAGACCCTGTCTCAAAATAAATAAATAAATAAATTCAAAGGTATGTCCCTAACCTAAAACAATTTAATTTGCCTTGAAGTCGTTAATTTCCTCATTTCCTAAACCTGTTTTCTTGATTCATTAGAAATTATTCATTAATTAGGGGTTGCCAAAGTGACCGATTACAGTAAACTACAAAGTAAAAACATTTTAAATAAGAATACCTTTCTTTTCTCTTATAATGTGGTTTTACTTCATCAGATGAAATGCTTCGGGAAAGGATCAACTTAGCAATAATAAGAGACCACAGTGTGCCATGTTCTCTGGACCTGAAAAAGGAAAGAAAAAAATTATATTCCGTTTTGAAAGCATACTGAATAAAATGTTTAAACACTGGCTAGCTGGATTCCTTTTACAGAATTAAATAAAGCACCTTGTGATGGCATCAATTCACCTAAGACTTTGCACCCAAGCAACTGCCAGTAATTATCCAAAGAGCTGAGAGTTTCGGCTTTCAACACTCCTTCAAGGCTGGTATTGAGCTCTCTCATCCCTAGGCAACTCCACAGTCTCTTCAGTCCCAATAGGGGAGATGATCTTAGAGATTAGGCTTGAAGACCAGAGGCTGTAGCTGGGAAAAAGACATCTCCCAGAGGACACCTAGGCAGGCTTAAGTTGAACAATCAAAGAGGTTCTTTGGTTCTGAGGAAAGTTGTGTCAACTAAGTAGAATGCGATTGGAAAGGAAGCCTGGGTCCTCTGATACAGCAAAGCATACTCAAAATACTATCGGCAAGTGATAAACTCCTAAAAAGAAAGCAGTTCAATACAGTAATTTCAAAAAGCTAAACATCTTACTACTACAACCTCTACAAGGACTGTTTTCATACCTGCCTTCCTAATCTAGGGGAGAGGGCTTTGTGGTCATAACATTAAGACACACCTATAACAACATGTAAGATAAAGGATGAATCTGAGAGCACTGGGAGGATGAGTCACAGATAAATCAAAACAACTTCTACAAGCTTCTACTTCTTTTTTGTCATCTGACCCTTGTATGTATTTATGGATTTAATAAGACAGGCAGAATACAAATATCTTCCCCTGAGAAGGTTAAATCAAGTATTTAGAATTCATAAACTATTTATTATTAAGAATAGGAATTATTTAGATCAATCCTCTGACTGAAACATTAGCATGCAGTAGGGTTACCTCTTACAGAAGGCAAAGCCATAAAGAAGTAGCATAGTCATTTTAAAAACAAATTGAAAGAGATTCTTACCTGTTAAATAACAGCTGCAAAAGGCCCGACGTATTACCAAGTACACGTAAGTTATCATACGTAATATTCATTTTTTGAAGTATTTCACAAAATCCAATTAGAAAAATAGGTGGGTTATCTAATTCTTCACACCACTGCAGTGAATAAAGCAGTTCTGCAACTAAAAGAAGAGACAGCACCAAATTATGAAAAGCACTCTGTGAACAAACCCTTCAATTACTTTCACTTCTCCACCTTGTTTTCTAACACTGTTGTGCCCACTCATCTCAAAACTCCTATGAACTGATTTTTCAAATCTGCTTTGAGATGTTCAAGGACAATGAAAACTGAGAATATATGTCTGATACAAAATACCACCCTTTTCCCAAATTCTACTTGGTCCTTTTTCTAATTAGTTAAGAATGTGACAAGAACCTAAGTTACTAGAGATACTGAAAGAATCTTCCTACCATTTTGGCACAATTGGTAAAAAGTTCCAGACAGGAAAAACAACTAAGGGACCCAAGACCTGAGGTGAGAAGTTCATGGCAAATGGGAGAAATGGGAGACAGTATGATACAGTAAAAGGACATGAGGCCTCAATTACAGATTGGGGTGGATTCAAATCTGCATCTCTCTCTCAAGCTATATAAATAGTTATCAATTAGGATACTACGAACTACCTCACAGGACTGCTGTGATAATTAAATGGCCAAGTATCTATCATAAAGCCTGGTATATCATAGGTTTCTAATACACAGTCACAGCTCCCTTTTATAAAGCCATGTATAGCTTTTGGAGTCAGAAGCATTGTGACCTGGTTCAAAATCTAATCCTACACTTACCAGCTAAGCAGCTCTAATCAAGTCATGGTAACAAAAACAACAATAATATCTGACTAATGAGCTCGATAAAATTAAAGAAATAATATTGCCAATTTGTAATTAGTAACACAAAAAATTATTACTCTACTTACTAGTTTTGGATTTGCACAGATTCACCCTGTGAGCAATGTTAAACTACAGGCTTGTTTCCTTTCCCTTAACTAAATGTGAAGGTGGCTGCCCAAAAGAGGTGTTTCAACTTTCTTCCACAGAGCATATATTCCCCCTTCTAGTAACTGTGTTACAGCTGAGGGCTTACAAACAAGACTGATACAGGGTTTCTGCAAATTCTCTACCTTTAATACCATCTTGTAAAAGTCACTCCACCACCTATAATTCTAAACCATTTGTTGAAACAGGGAAATTTGCTGAGGCCCTAAGTCCTCTTAGGGTTCAACATTTGAACGTCCACTTGCCAGAAAAAAAATTAGAGCCCGATGAAATACAAAAGTATTCAAAACCATTGGAATCAAAACAGCATGGTATTTGTATAAAAACAGACACACACAGACCAATGGAACAGAACTAGAGAACCCAGAAATAAATCCACATATTTGCAGGCAATTGACAAAGTCTTCAACAAAAATGCCAAGAACATATATTGGGGAAAGGACATCCTCTTCAAGAAATTGTGCTAGGAAAACTGAATATTCATATGTAGAAAAGTGAAAACAGACCTCTATCTCTCACCATCTAAAAAGATCAACTCAAAATGGATTAGAGACTTAAACCTAAGAACTGAAACTATATAAAACAACTAGAAAGCATCAAGGAACGCTATAGGACATTGGTCTAGGCAAATATTTTTATGGCTAAGACTTCAAAAGCGAAGGCAACAAAAACAGGCAAATAGGACTATGTTAAACTAAAAGCTTTCTGCACAGCAAAAGAAACAATCAACAAAGTGAAGAGACAATCTGTAGAATGGGAGAAAATATTTGCAAACTATTCATCCAACAAGGGGCTAACATAAGGAATATATAAGGAACTCAAACAACTCAACGGCAAGAAAGGAAAAAAAAATCCCATGCTCAATATTAGTAATCATCAGGGAAATGCAAATCAAAACCCCAGTTAGAATGCCTCTTGTCAAAAAGGTAAGAAATAAGCTGGGAATGGTGGCACTGCTTGTAATCGCAGCACTTTGGGAGGCTGAGGCAAGAGGATTGCTTGAGCCCAGGATAAAGACCTGTCTGGGCAACATAGTAACACCCCATCTCTAAAAAAACAAAGACAAAAAATAACAAATGCTGGCAAGAATGCAGAGAAATAGGAACTTATATACTATTGGTAGGAATGCAAATTAGTACAGCCATTTTGGAAAACGATATGGAAGTATTTCAAAAAACTAAAAATAGAACTATCACACAATCCAGCAATCCCATTGAATATTTAGAAAACCAGTATATCAAAGGTATATCTGCACCCCTATATTTGCTGCAGCACTATTCACAATAGCTGAGATATGAAATCAACCTAAGTGTCCATCAGTGAATGAATGGATATATAAAATGTGGTACATATGCACAATGGAATACTATTCAGCCATTAAAAAAAGAATGAGGCCAGGCACGGTAGCTCACTTCTATAATCCCAGCACTTTGGGAGGCTGAGACGGGCGGATCACGAGGTCAGGAGTTCAAGACCAGCCTGGCCAACATAGTGAAACCCCGTCTCTACCAAAAATACAAAAATTAGCTGGGCATGGTGGTGTGCGCCTGTAGTCCCATCTACTTGGGAGGTTGAGGCAGGAGAATCACTTGAACCTGGGAAGCAGAGGTTGTGGTGAGCCGAGATTGCGCCACTGCACTCAAGCCTGGGCAACAGAGCGAGACTCTGTCTCAAAAAAAAAAAAAAAAAAAAAAGGAATGAAATACTGTCATTTGCAGCAACATGGATGAAACTGGACATCATCATGCTAAATGAAATAAACCATGCACGGAAAGACAAACATCACATGTTCTAATTTGTATATGGGAGCTAAAAAAGTGGATCTCATGAAGATAGAATAGTATAGTAGACTGATGGTTACCCTGAGAAGGGTCAGGGAGAGCAGGGGATGAAGAGAGGTCGGTGAATGGGTACCAAAATACAGTGAGAGAGAAGATATATGACCTAGTATTCAATAACACAGTAGGATGACCATAGTTAACAATGATTTATATTGCAAAATAACTAGAAGATTTGAAATGTTCTCAACACAAAGAAATGATAAATGTTTGAGGTGATGGATATCCTGCTTAGCCTGATTTGATCACTACACATTCTATGTATATATCAAAATATCACATGTACCCCATAAATATGTAAAATTATCAGGTATCAATTTTTTTTTAATCAACAGAAAATTCTGAATCCTTGATAAAACACCAAAGCCTCACCCATTTTCTTTAGGGTATGTGCCACAGGATCTGTTTACATTGATGTCATGACAGCCTGAGTAGCTAACACCAAATTACGATCCACAGTTAACAAGATTATAGCAAGATTCCAATATATTCGTATCTAATTTGCAATTTCACATTCACCACTTAAGTAACTTCAAGGTTCTCATCATTAAAATAGGAAAAAGAAAGCTGAAGATTCTTGAATTAAAGATTTAAACTGCAGTATAATCAAGATTATTTCAAAATTATATTCATTCATGCATTATGTTATATGTAAATACTCATATATACTTACTTATTTTCTCAAGCTCATTATTTTCTAAGACTGTTTCCTTTCTCAGTGCAATTAAGACCATTTTGCTCAATAATGCTGAAGTACACAAATGGCTGGGAAGTGTCTTTATGTCCTGTTCCTTAAAATCTGTTTTGAAACATTCATAATTCAAACTCAATCTTCCCTCTAAAAGAGGTCTATGTAACCACTGTGAAAAGAATACGTTATATACAAAATTATTTATTACCTAAGCAATTGAGACTGAACAAAAATGAAGTTGTGAGAATATTTATTACCAAAACCACAGAAACCTAGAAGTTTGTTTTCTTTTACAGGAAATTATCAACATGTGTATTTCTTTAAGACTCCTTAAGTACAGAACTAGGTCCTAAGTCTTTGTACCATGCCCACTGCCACTGTCAAATGGTGTCTTGCAAAAAGCAAACATCCAGTATATGAGCATACAAAGACATCAAAGCAAAGCAAAATACTCATTTTATTTATGTTTTTCTTCCCCAAAATAAAAATATTCAAGCTTGCATGAAATCCAAACTTCAGAATGAGATATGTACTCTTCAATTTCCAAAATACCTGCATAGGAAGAGACTGCCTCATCTTTTCCCATTCACTGTCGTTCGGCATTACACTTCCAATATAAACTCCCATAAGATAAGAATCTTCACTCTCTAGAAGTGTATTTAGCAAATCATCAACAGCAGACAAGAGGACTTGGAGACTAAAAATAATGCAGAGAACTTAACTGTTGTAGTTACGCTATGACTAGTTTGAATACCCCAATACATATTAAATACCCTATAATAGCTCACCTGAACAAAAAGAAATGATGAAAATAAAAAGAGGTAAGTGACATTCCCCCACCGATGACACACCAACATAACAGTCAAACTGGGGAGGTAATCCAATATTTATCATTTGAAATCTAGTGTTGCTTCCTATCTATCTCAGAATGAAGAGGACCTGACCTATTTCAGACCAGGTATTTCAGAAATACAGCTACCTTATGAAATGCAGCACTATTTTACCTAAACCCAATATCCTCTAAATGCATTCTCTCTTCTCCTTTATTATATGGATTTAGGTATGAGAGGTAAAATATACTTGCAATTCAACATCTTAAAACACTGCCTACCTGTCCCCAAAAAATAAATAACCAAGAACAATCAGTACATGTGGTGACCATGAGAGGCTACAATGCACACCAGCCTATGACAAAGGATAGTATCACCATCACTTTACTGTCTATAAGTTATGAGTCCAGCAGGTATGTTATAGCAAATTATCCTTCAATTAACTGGCAGTTTAAATGGATGGTCATTGAAACAAAATGGTTTTGGAAAAATTCGTTTGGGTCTTTTCATAAGAGTCCTGTAGATTTGTTACCTAACAAGTCACTTTTCATTTCTCTTTTTTTTAAGAGATGGCATCTCACTATGTTGCTCAGGCTGGTCTCAAACTCCTGGAGGTCTCAACTGATCCTCCCACCTCAGCCTACTGAGTAGCTGGGATTATAGGGACGAGCCCTACAAGTCATTTTTCATAGGCACTCACACTGATCATGGAATCTAATTTAAGGACACTGTTCAAGTATAAAAGAGACACTGAAACCAAGCTCAAAAAAGGTTACCTGTTGATATCCAAAGATGAAGCCTGAACTTGGTTCTTCAGCCACAGAGCAGACAAATGTAGGAAGGTACTCTCTTTATATGAACTGTCAGTTTGATGAACCAATAAATTTACACCAGAGAGCCAAGTATTTTTCAGTTTACAGATAAGAAAATCTAAAATCAAGATGTCAACAGGAATTTGTAATCTCACTGAATTAACTCTCATCAGCACAAAATGTTTGAAACAACTCTACAGATCTGAGATTTTTTTAAATACCATTTAAAAAAGAAAAATTTTAAATTGCCATTCAAAATTCAATTGCCAAACAAAGCAACTGTGTCATAAACATGCAATCATACAAGCTAGCACGTATCATATAAATGTAAAATGGTAAGATTTTTAAAGTTACATTTTTTATGCTTGAACTTATTTACAAGAGTTGTCCTTTTGGAGACATTTTTAAAAAAATTATTACACCATTTCCAAATACAGAAGTTAGTATTTAAGAAAGGGTTGGTAGCCAATGATGGGCAGAAAAAAAAGAGAGAGAGAAAGAGGAAGGAAGAAGGAAAGAAAAAAAGAAAGGAAAGAATGAAGGGTGGGAGGAGGAGAGCTCTCTATAGATAGTATTTTTTTATGTTCCTTTCACAAATAAGTCTGAATTAGCATATAAGGCAAGAATATAGTCCTTAAAAAGATAATTTCAATTCTATTTTGATATACACCAAAGATTGAATGTTTTTACTATAATAAAGGGATATTATTATCCCCCTTTTACAAATGAGGAAACTAAGACATCAAGAAATTAAGGAACATGCCAGAACTACTGAATGGACTAAGATTCCACCTAATCAATTATGGCTCATTCCAAATTTCTTTGAATATCAAGTGAGATCTTTAGAAATAACATCTACGTACATCTTTAACTTGCTTTCTAGAGCTGAAAGTGTTTAAGACTGTAGCCCTTTACTCAAAATGCTTTAAACTTTCAAACACATTATAATTCAATTAATAAAGCCTGGGCACTTACACTCACTATGAAGGTCAGAGCCGGAGATTCCCAACAAAACATTTGAGCAGTAGGCTATTACCTGGCAAATGTGTTTTTTCTTTGCTCTGAGCACATAACTGAAAGAGAGTTAATAATAAATCTTCAGATGATGGCATTAGCAAGCATCCTTTCGCTGAGCTGAAATAGTTATAGGCCACATCACAGATAAAAGACACTGATGAGTCACTGCTTTCAGCTTCTGATAATTTCTTTGTTTTGAATAAAGTTTCATGAAGTCTAACAATGATTCTTTCAACATATACGTCTCCAATCAAGTAATCTGGAGAAAAAAAGGTTCAAACAGACAAAAAATAAAAATATTAACGTGTATTTTTAAATATCTTACTTTGGATTAATAATTCTATGGGTCTTTCCTGGATTTTAAAATGTATTAGACAAAATTTTATCAACAAATCAACACATTCTCTCACACATAAAGGCCCTCAAGTAAAAAAGGCAGTTTTAAATTAAGTAGAAAACAGAAATGGTCTACAGTTAGGGTGAGCAAGTTTGTACACTGAAAACCCTTTAAGTCATGAGTCAACTTTATGAGCTAAAAAAAAAAAACCCTTTAGGATATAGAACTAAAAATATTAAATATCTTCTAAGTCATGGTATGAAGATTAATAAACAATTAGGGTGCTTACAATATTACGATATGTAAATGAGCTGGGCGCAGCGGCTCACGCCTGTAATCCCAGCACTTTGGGAGGCTGAGGCAGACAGATCACCTGAGGTGAGGAGTTCGAGACCAGCCTGGCCAACACAGCGAAACCCCGTCTCTACTAAAAATATAAAATTTAGCCAGGCATGGTGGCATGCACCTGTAGTCCCAACTACTTGGGAAGCTGAGGCACAAGAATCACTTGAACTCAGATGTTGTAAGCCAAGATCACACCACTGCACTCCAGCCTAGACGACAGAGGGAGACTCAGTCTCAAAAAAAAAAAGAAAAAAGAAAAGAAAAGAAAAAAAAAAATTTGAATGAGTAAGTCCTGTTATTTTTAACCAATAACACATAAGCTGAGCCCCATGCAATCCCCCACAAAGGAGAAATGGACTATTCCCCATTAGAAAACAAAAGCCATATTTGTCCTACCATTTTTAACATGTTGGGATAATACCAAGCTTAGAAGAGTCCATCTTTCTGAGAAGTGAGATTCTGAAGATACCCTGGATTCCAAGTCCTCATTACAAAGACAATCTGCCAAGTTGACCAATTTCTCACCAAGGATATCGCCTTTGAGCCAAGGAGTTACTAAAGCATGTTTATCTGAACTAGGACATGCCTAAAACCATAAAATTAAAGCAAAGATTAACAGCAAGATCAAATACTCTCTCTGTCCAAAATATTACTTGTACCATATTACTATCCCTTCGTTATCATGGCTCCAATTCTATCCCCCCTCCTCCTCCTCCTGAAGTTCTAGGAAGACTGGTATCCTCCCTGTTCCCCATTAAGCCTGTATGATGTTCACTTCCACGCTTTGCTGTTACCTTCCCAGCCATAAATATTCCCCCACCCCCCCCTTTTTTTTTTAACTTAAAATCCCATCCATTCTTTGAAAATCAGTACAAATCCCACCTACTTTATGGAGTCTCCCCATCCACTCCAGCCCACAATGATCACTGCTTTTCTCTGAATTTCTAAAGCACTTACTGGATTGTATAATTATTTAAATGTTTCATCTGTGTATATCTTGTCTTTCCAATGAGATTGTAAGTTCCTTGAGAGTAGAGACTGTCTTAAACTTCTTTGATACCTGCTATCAACACTGTAGATATGTTCAATGAATAATGAATAAACTTTGAAGATAGATTTATAAATGCTCTATAAATTTTTGTTCATTAATTTTGCTAAAATTAAAGAACAATTAGTGTATAATAATGGTAAATTACTTCAATATGAACAATGGGATTTATTTCCCCAAATTCTCTGATATAGAGTTACTAGGGCCAGATATCTGACAGCAACTTATTTTCATGAGGTGGGGAAGCAAGAAAAAAAAAAGCTGTAAATCCACCCCTAAAGCATGCTGATCCATGTTCCCAGAGCTTCTTTTGCTTTAAGGGCTGAGAAGTAAGGAATTTGCAACTTGGTTCATTTCAAAGCAATCTGGAAGAAAAAAAAAAATCCAAGTGCAGATTGGGTAGTGCTTGGAAAACTTTATCCTTTTATTTAAAAATTGTAGGTAACCAGAGCTTATATTTTAGTCCAAGCTTTATCACTAACTAGCCTATGACCTTGGACAAATCTTTTAATCAGCGTGGGCCTATCTCCTAATTTGAAAGTTGGAAAGATTAACTTAGAAAATCTCTAAGGTCCTTTTCTGGTTCCAAAACTCAAATCTGTTTTTTAATTGATGGTTTTTTTAAAAGATGACTTTAAGACCAGCCTGACCAACCAACACGGTGAAACCTTGTCTCTACTAAAAATTCAAATATTAGCTGGGCATAGTGGCAGGTGCCTATAATCCCAGCTACTCGGGAGGCTGAGGCAGGAGAATCACTTGAACCCGGGAGGCAGAAGTTGCAGTGAGACGAGATGTTGCAACTGCACTCCAGCCTGCTGGGCAACACAGTGAGCCTCTGTCTCAAAAAAAAAAGATGATTTTAAGACTCTGCTCATAAAGTATTAAGGTTCCATAAAACAAGAAAAACTACTTTAGAGTTTAGATGGCTGTGATACCTGTTTTCCCAGTGTAGTTTGCCAAGTAAAACCAATCTATTCTGCAGAATCCTGGTAAACAAAATAAACTTCTGAATAAAATGCCTCTCGAGTTAGCAAGATAAGAAATTCAACATAATGTACAGGCATACCTTGTTTTATTGGGCTTAATATTTACTGGGCTTTGTAAATGCTGCAATTTTAAAAATTGAAGATTTGTGGCAACCCTGCATTGAGCAAGTTTATTGGCACCATTTTACAACAATATATGCTCATTTTGTGTCTCTGTGTCACATTTTGGTAATTCTCACAATATTTCAAACTTTTTCATTATTATGTCTGTTATAGTGATCTGCAATCAGTGACTTTTGATGTTACGATTGTAATGTTTGGGGGTGCCACAAACCATTGCCATATAAGAGGGCAAACTTAATCAACAAATATTGTGTGTGTGTTCTGACTGCCCCGCTGACCGACCATTCCCTAATCTCTCTTCTCTGTCCTTAGGCATCCCTATTCCCTTAGACACAACAATGCTGAAATTGGGCCAGTTAATTACACTACAATGGCCTCTAAATGTTCAAGTGGAAGGAAGAGTCACACATCTCTCTAAAACAAAAGCTGGAAATGATGAAGCTTAGCAAGGAAGGCATGTTGAAAGCCAAGACAGGTGGAAAACTAGGCCTCTTGTGCCAAACAGCCAAGTTGTGAATGCAAAGGAAAAGTTATTGAAGGAAATTAAAAGTGCCACTCCTGTGAGCCCAAGAGTAACAGAAAGTGACATAGACTTACTGCTGATATGGACAAAGTTTTAGTGGTCCAGACAGAAGATCAAACGAGCCACAACATTCCCTTAATCCAAAACCGAATCCAGAGCAAGGCCCTAATTCTCTTTAATTCTATGAAGGCTGAGAGGTGAGGAAGCTGCACAAGAAAAGACTGACGCTAGCAAAGGGTGGTTCATGAGGTTTAAAAGAAGAAACCATCTCCACAATACAAAAGTACAAGGTGAAGCAGCAAGTGCTGATGTAGAAGCTGCAGCATGTTATACAGAAGATCTAGCTAAGATCAATAATGAAGGTGGCTACACTAAACAGATTTTCAGTGGAGGTAAAACAGTCACATATTAGAAGAAGATGTCATCTAAGACTCTCATAGCTAGCAAGAAGTCAATGCCTGGCTTCCAAGTTTCAAAGGACTGGCTGACTCTCGTTAGGGGCTAATATAGCTGGTAACTTTAAGTTGAAGCCAATGCTCATTTCTCATTTTAAAAATCCCAGGGTTCTTAACCTTATGCTAAATCTACTTTGCCTGTGCTCTATAAGTGGAATAACAAGGACTAAATTACAGCACGTTTATAGCGTGGTTTATTCAATATCTTAAGCCCACTGTTGGAAAAACGAAGGAAAAAAAGAAAAAAATTCTACAATAAGTAGAAATATTACTACTCATTGACAATGCACCTGGGTAACCCAAGACCTCTGATGGAGATGTACAAGGAAATTAATGTTGTTTTCATGCCTGCTAACACAACATCCATTCTGCAGCCCATGAATCAGAGTAATTTTAACTTTCAAATCTTAATATTTAAGAAATACATTTCATTAAGCTATAGCAGCCATAGACAGTGATTCCTCTGATGGATCTGGGCAAAGTCCACTGAAAACCTTCTGGAAAAAACTCACCATTTTAGATGCCATTAAGACATTCATGAACCATGGGAAAAGGCTAAAATAGCAACATTAATAGGAGTTGAGAAGCTGATTCCAACCCTCATGGATGACTTTGAGAGGTTCAAGACTTTAGTGTAGGAAGCAACTGCAGATGTGGAGGAAAGAGGCAAAGAACTAGAATGAGACATGAAGCCTCAAGATGTGACTGAAATGCTGCAATATCATAATAAAATGTGGATGGATGAGGAGTTCCTTCTTACAGATAAGAAAGTGGTTTCTTGAGGTGGAATCTACTCCTGGTGAAATGCCGTGAACATTGTTGACATGACCACAAAGGATTTATAATATTACATAAACTTAGATGATACAGCAGTGGCAGGGTTTGAAAGGATTGACTCCAATTTTGAAAGAAGTTCTTCTTTGGGTAAAATGCTATCAAACAGCATCATATGCTACAGAGAAATCTTTCATGAAAGGAAGAGTCAATCAATGCAGCAAACTGCACTATTGTCCTTATTTTAAGAAATTGTCACAGCCACTCCAGCCTTCAGATACCACCACCCTGGTCAGTCAGCAGCCATGAACATTGAGGCAAGACTCTCCATCAGCAAAATGATTACAACTCGCTGAAGGCTGAGATGATCATTAGCACTGTTTAGCAATAAATTAATTTTAAATTAAGATATGTACATTGGTTTTCAGATATAATGTTATTGCACACTTAATAGACTGTAGTGTACACATAACTTTTATATGCACTGGCAATCCAAAATACTTGTGTAACTTGCTTTATTGCTGTGGTGTGGAACTGAACTTACGATGTCTCTGAGATATGCCAGTATGAACATATCTAATGAAAGAAGCTGCCTAGCTGTAAGGAGATGAGGAGGCTAGTGAGTCATGGAAGCGCAGGCAGCAAACACTGGCTAGGAACTTCCAATCACTGCTCAGGAAGAGGATTTTCTTCCACACAGATGTGAGTATTTGCACTTCACGGCAGGTACATTCCTAAGTTGGAAATGGATACATTAGTCTACTCTTATCAAATTATTTGCACCCCCTGCTCTGAATCAAGGCTTATCAAGGAGCTTTCTGATAATTTAGCTCTTCATGTAACTTGGCTACAGGGAGAGAAGGCACTAGATAAACTAAGGCAAATAGTGTGCCTGATAAGTCATATTCCTCATTGAAAAATAATAAATATTCTGTATTTATTTTGTAAAAATAAAACTATGGGGAAAATGGGGAGTTACTGTTTAATGGATACAGGGTTTCAGTTTTGCAAGATGAATTAAGTTATGGAAACTGCACAACGATGTAAATATACTTGATGCTACTGAACTGTACATTTAGAAATGGTTAAGATGGTAAATTTCATGCTATGTGTTTTTTTTACTACAATTTAAAAAATAGAAAAAAACTTGCAAATTCAAGAGTTAGCTATGAAAACAGAAAAATAATTTGAAAATGCTTTAAAAAGGAGTAAGAATTTCAGGTAGCTAGTCATAACATCTCTACAGTTGGAAAAGTGTTAGTTATAACATTTACATCCTCATTAGGAAAGAATACTTAAGCCGTTTTGAAAATTTGTAAATTGTTTATGTTCTTTCATTTCTTTTCATTATTCTTACCACTAATTTTCTTAGTCAGTGGCAATCACACAAAGACTGGAAGATTTTTATTTACCTACATAGTGTTCCAGAGTAGAGAAAACTTAATTTTCTCATGTGTTCTACCCAAAGCTAGAACCTCCAATCCATTTCTGCAGTAGAAAAAGTAACTAGAATAACAGCAGAAAGTTGTAGCTTTAATTAAAAGATAATAAAATGTTTAAATCTGCCTTTGTTACCTTCTAGGAAAGAAACACTGGATTTTCCAGAGCCTGTTCATTTTTCCCTAATATTACTAACCAGAAAAATACTACTACAGGAAAGGAAAAGAACAAATATCTTCCCACATTATAGGAAGAAAGTTACAATAATGAGGAAGTTCTCTAACACAGAACCTGACTATCTGACCATATTTATTGTGTAAATAGGACTACGGTTATAATATTTCTATTCCCATAAATACAAAAAAAAAAAGAAAAAAAAATCCCTAAGATACCTTTTCAATAATCTTAAGAAGAGAATTCCATTTCAAGTCCACCTGAAAAAAGAAAAAGAGTTAGAAACAATCTGCTAGAACAACTTTTTGTTTGAGATGGGGTTTTGTATGTTGCCCAGGCTAGTCTAGAACTCATGGGCTCAAGCCAATGTCTCACCTCAGCCTCCTGAGTAGCTGGGACTACATGCATGCGCCAACATGCCCAGCTAAAACTTTTAAAAAGTAAATGAAGTACCCATGTAACCAATACAAAACTAAAATGTTCTTATCCAACTTTTTAAATGTATAGATTAAAAGAATTCACCTTTTAATTACAAGTATTTGTCACCCTGGTACTGCTGAACATCTACCCAGCAGCCCTAGATACTTCCCAAATCATGATCAAGAATATATTGCTTGTCCTAAAATTGACACTCACAGTGAAGAAACAACCAGAAAACAATAAGCAGGCTCATTCTACTCATCTATTATTCAAATAGTTTGAAAAGATATACAACAGGAATACCTTGGTTAGATCATCCAAGACTTTTTTTCTTTCCATATCATTGTCACAGCACCGGAGAGCACTGTACAAAATGTCCACCAGGAAACCAAAATCCTTCCTTTGATCTTCATTTAGCCAACCTATCAGTTTCTGGTATAAAAACTGCACCGCAGGATTTTTTTGTACAAGCTTGGCTATTTCAAGAGGTTTGGCTTGGACAATACTCTGTTTTTCATCACCAAGTAGCATTTTAAATACTCGGCTTGAAGAAAAGGAGTCAAGCAGAGTAGAAAGAAACCTTAGATGTTGCTCTGACTTTCGTTCATTGACATAATTAATACTTATATCTGCGAGTTTACAGACTAAGTCTTCCAAAGGTTTTTTCCTTAGAGGAGACAAAAGGCCTGAAGAATTATGAGTGAGAGAAGGTTCAGTTGTTAATTCCCAGCCTTCAATCTTCTCTCCTTCTGAAGATACACATTTTTCATTCTCTTTATTGCTTTCAAGTATCTCATCAGCAAATCTAACCTTACCATTTTTTTTTTTACTTGACTTCAATGAGCTCTTCGGCTTCTGAAGCACCTGTAATAGGTTAGATACACCCAAAACGGACTCAACATCAGCTTCTGGCTCACTGATTTTCGCAACACAGATCTCTGACAGTCTTTCCCAGAAATGTATCAGTACGTTCTCCAAGTTGTGAGCTGTTTTTTCATCTTTTTCCGTGTCTGCTTTGGCTTCCCAGGAACTTAGAGTTTCTGCTAAATGGTTAAATAGCTGCCCATGTTGCAATCCTGGGTCTTTGAGAACTGCATCAATAAAAGGGATCAACTGAAAGAAAAGGTAGAATATCATAAAATATATATTTGGTCTTCAACCCCCATCTCCTGGCACACAACTCTAAAATCCTTGGAATCTCCAAAGTGATATCATTTCATAAGCTAATGGGTTGATTGATGGCTGGCAGCACCTGTATAGCAGGATGGGGGCTGATCACCAGAAAGACCAAGGCAGGATTAAAGGGCTAGAACTTTCAATACCTCCCCAACCTCCAGGGATAGAAAGGTAGCTAAAGGTTAAGCTGATCACCAGTGGCAATTACTTAATCATTCATGCCTAGTAATGAAGCCTCCATAAAAACGCAAGAAAGACAGCATTCAGGGAGCTTTCAGATAGCTGAACATGTGGAGGTTCCTGGAGAGTAGCGCACCCAGGGAGGGAGTGGAAGTTCTTCACCCCTTCCCGTATCTCACCGTGTGCATGTCTTCATTTGTATCCTTTGTAATATCATTTATAATAAACTGGTAAATTGTTTCTCTGAGTTCTGTGAGACAGTCTAGCAAATTAAGCAAACCCCAGGAGGGGGTCATGGGATCCCTGATTTAGATGTACAGCTGGTTGGTCAGAAGCCCAGGTAAAACAGCCTGGGGCTTGCGATTGGCATCAGAAGTGGGGAGCGGTCTTGTGGGACTGAGTCCTAAGCCAGTGAGATCTGACACTATCTCCAGGTAGATAGTCAGAATTGAATTGGAGGACACATAGCTGGTATCTGCTGCAGAACTGACTGCTTGCTGGGTGGGAGAAATCTCCACATATTTGGTCACAGAAGTCTTCTGTGTTGATTACTATGATGTGAGAATAGAGGAAAAATTGTTTTTTCCACTCACAGAAGGTAAAAAATTGAAAAGTTCAATTTTCAAGAGAAAATTTAAACAAAGTATTTGTAAAACACTATTTCATATTTAATAACTGAAAAACATAAATTTTCCCCTAGAACTCTGAAAAAGTTAACCTAAAGATCCCTTTCATATCATACAAGAGCTTAATGATTTCACCTCAATTATTCCTTTTTCATGATAAAATTGACTGGGATTCTTGGTCATTAACAATCTAGTTTTCTTTGCATCTTCTGGATTTAAGTGTTTTGCTTTTCTGCCTTAACTATAGGCAAATCTAAGATATGAGACTATAAGTCAACATGAAAGATACCTAGGACCCACAGAGTGCGGAATCCTATTTCCTAAATTACAAAAATAAGGGTAGAGACATCCTAAGACCTGGGCTTCTATAATCTCACTAATTTCCTACTGTAAAGAACCATATTCCATAACCTTCTCTCATCTCTGGTTCTAAAAGCCAAGCCAAACTTTCACAAAGCATAATTTGAGTATTTTAGAATTAACAAGATGATTGCTTCATGATTTATTTAAACTTACTACAAAAGATCATAAATAGCAACTTCAAAATTCTGCTTTGCATTACATCTTTCTTTTTTTTTTTCTGAGATGGAGTTTCACTCTTGTTGACCAGGCTGGAGTGCAATGGCACAATTTCGGCTCACTGCAACCTCTGCCTCCCAGGTTCAAGCAATTCTCCAGCCTCCTGAGTAGCTGGGATTACAGGCATGCACCACCACACCTGGCTAATTTTGTATTTTTAGTAGAGATGGGGTTTCTCCATGTTGGTCAGGCTGGTCTTGAACCCCCAACCTCAGGTGATCCACCCACCTCGGCCTTCCAAAGTGCTGGGATTACAGGCGTGAGCCACGACGCCCAGCCTGCACTACATCTTTCTAAAACAGGGTTTTACAGGCCGGGCGCGGTGGCTCACACCTGTAATCCCAGCACTTTGTGAAGCCGAGGCGGGTAGATCACCTGAGGTCAGCAGTTCTCGACCAGCCTGGCCAACATGGTGAAACGCCGTCTCTACTAAAAATACAAAAATTAGCTGGGTGTGGTGGCGGGTGCCTGTAATCCCAGCTACTTGGGAGGCTGAGGCAGGAGAATAGCTTGAACCCGGGAGGCAGAGGTTGCAGTGAGCTGAGATTGCGTCATTGTACTCCAGCCTGGGCAACAAAGAGCGAAACTTTGTCTCAAAAAAAAAAGGGATTTTTGCATCCAGACACTGATTAGTTTCTTAGGTATCATACCATGCTAGCAACTGAGAGTATGGAATTTTTACTTATCTGGTCAGAAATACACATCACTCAATTGGTAAATTATAAAAATAAAATTTTTACAAGGAAGGCTTATTACTGTAAATGGCAACAAGACACAATGAGCTTGATCCTACATAATCAGTATGCAAAGAGACTGACGACTTTTACATTATAGATACCTGATCATTGACGAGCATCTGTTCAATCTCTTCCTCACCTAAGTTTTGCTGCATTATAAAACGTAAGCATTCAAAAAAAGCAGATATTACTGCCGAGGACTCTAAAGAGCTGGTTTTAGTTCTCTCTGTTGACAGCCTAAGAAATAATTAATAACTGGATTACTCTTTCATGAAGAAGAAACAAGAACTCAGAATTATCAAAATAAAGACCTCAAAAAGGCATCATGACAGAAGAAACATTTTTAAAGCAGTTTCTTAAACTACAAATTAAATACCAATGAAAATACATATAGCCCAATGAGAATATGAACTTAAAAACTTTGAAAAAGTTTTTCAAAAAATGTATCAGTAAAAAATAAAAATAAGAGAATATTTCCTTTTTCTTTTTCTTCTTTTTTTTTAGAAATAGGGTCTTACTATCTTGACCAGGCTGGTCTTGAACTCCTGGCCTCAAGCAATCCTCCCACTTTGGCCTGTGCTAGGATTACAGCTGTGAGGCACCACGCCTAGCCGAGATATTAATTTTCTATTCATGGACCAATCCACCTGCAAATTCGAGATAACTTATTAACCAAATAAAGATAATGGTGTAGTAAAAAAAATCTGTAATCATTAATAAAATGATGTATCTTCTAAGTTCAACAAATGTACTGAAACAGTTTTTTTAAGTGTGAATTTAAACATCTATAGTAGTTAAAGTTGTTGATGTTTTAAAAATTTCACTGGCTAATTTTCTGCATTTAGGCATTTGTATTTATCAACATAAAAAATAAAAAATGGCTACATGTGTCTGTGGTGCAATTGGTTAGCACATTCTGCTGTTAAAAAAATGGCTAATTTGAAAAATAGCCTAGTTGACCTATTTCCAACAAGGAGCTTTACCTTATTTATCTAACTTCCTGCTGTGTGCTACCACTGAAGTCTTGAACGTACTCAAGAAAAAAATATCAATTGTAATTCTCTGAAAACTTTAAAAGTATTTAATGAATAGTAAAACAACTTGGAGAAATTTAAGTAAGAAAGAAAATGAGTATAAAAACAAGAAAATCTGTTTTGTTTTAAAAATCAAAAATTTAAATTACTTACCCAGCAACTAGAGACGTGAGGAAATTTTTGAAGAAATCCAACTTTGGATTTGTGATGGACTGAGGGAGCTTGCTGATGAATGGCAGAAGGTAAGGATATATGACAGTAGCTAGACCCCGACCACCTTCACGAATCACAGTTGATAGCTTGGGAAACACACTCTTTTTTGCATTTACATGAAGCCAACAGTCCTAACCAAACAAAAGATTATAGTAGTAATTAGAGATCATAAACATACTTTTCTCAATTAAAAGAGAAAACATATAGGCTCTCAAAAAGAAAAACCAAGTATTTTACCTAAAAAAAGCTAAAATCTTTCACCACCATTAAAAACTAAAACTGAAATTATAAATGTATTACATATAATGATCATATATTCGACATGCTTACAATAAAGTATTGATTAGAAATAATTATTTAACTTCTATTTCTATAAAAGCTGCTTTCTAAAAGGGACAATTATATTTCAATCTTAATTATATTTCATCTTAAATATAAAATTCAGTTATGGTGACTGCACTAGGACACATAAGGTTTAAAGAATAATTAATACTGGCAAAACAAAATAAAATAAAAACTCTATGCCATTTTAGTCACTTTAAGATTTATGCCAAGTTTAGATTATTTTATTTCCAAGAAAGCATTTTCCCAGTAAGTTTTGGATATTCTTATCTCATAGGTTCATTCCTCAGTGTACTAAATGTGCCTCTCTTACATACCTCAATAGTTGTAAGTGTATAGAGTACAGCTTCCCAGAGAGCTGGGCAGACAATTGGGTCACTGTCATCAATGCTAAGTAGAACTGATGGGCTCACTTTGGATGCTTCCTCTTTCATCAACTGTGGAATGCGCTGGCACAATGCAGAGACTAACTCAAAATAAGCTGAGCGAATCTAAAAGAATGCAAAGCTGAATTAAATTAAAACCTAGTAAAACTTGATAAGATTTTTAATTTATGGTAATAGTAGATTATTCACACTAACCCTCCCACTAAGAAAACTAAAATAGCTAGAAAAAATACTTTTTAAAATCTTAGAGTATGAAATGGCTGAAAAGGCATAAGGAATTACCAAGGCAAAAGTGAAGGCTGAAAGAATTAATTCAACTTTCTCTTTCTTTGACTGAAGCAAACACAAATCCTCTTTAGTAGCAGAAGCCTTCATTTGGGGCCTCCATTATAGCCAAACAAACAGAAAATAAGACACCATGAGCAACAATCAGGAGAAATAAAAGATCTGAGACTTTAAATCTTAGAATGATCAGTCACAAATTCTATAATACAATGCTTATTATATTTAAAGGAACAAAAGTTTTAAAAAACTTGTAAGAAAAAGGATCCTGGAAAAAGCAGAGCAGATCGGAAAAAGATCAAGCACAATTACTCAACTAAAAATAATTAAAACTTAAAGCTCAACTCGTAGTTTAAGAACAATGCAATGGTCTGAATGTCTCCCTCCAAAATTAGTATGTTGAAACTTAATCACCAGTGTGATAGTATTAAGAAGCGAGGACTCTAGGAGATGATTAGGTCTTGAGAGCACTACCCTCATGAATAGGATCAGAGGGCCCTTACAAAAGGGTATGAGAGACCATGTTTACTCCTTCTGCCATGTGAGGACACAGCAAAAAGTAGCCATCTTTGAAACAGAGAAAGCAACCCTCACCAGACACTGAATCTGCTGGCACCTTGATCTTGAAATTTCCAGCCTACAGAACCGTGAGAAATAAATTTTTATTATTTACAAATTACTCCATCTAAGGTACAGTTTATCCCTTGGTACCTGCAGGGGATTGGATCAAGGATATCCCACCCTCCCACCCCCACACATATACCAAATTCTCAGGAATTACATAAAATGTCCCTGACATAAAATGGCGTAATATAGTCGGCCCTCCATATCCACGGGTTCCTCATCTACAGTTGATTGAATCCACACATGCAGAACCTGCAGATATGGAAGGCTGACTGTATTTTGTTAAAGTAGCCTGAATGGACTAAGACAGCTGGAGGTTAGATACAAATAAGAGAGAATCAGTGAACTAGAAGACCGAGCAAAAGAAATTATCCGCAAAGCATCATGGAGAGACAAAAAGATGAAAAACAACAAAGAAAACGTAACAGACATAGGGGATAAAGTGAGGCTTAATATCTATTTAATCAGAATCCCAAAACAAGAGAAGAATGAGGAAGGAAATACCTAGAGATAATAGCTGAGAATTTTACAGAGCCAATGAAATACACCAAGTCAAAGATTCAAAAAGTCCAACAAATCCCAAGCAGGATACATAAAGGAAATCCACACAAAGACACATTATGCAACTGGGAAAACACAAGGAGAAAAGTAGCCCAAGGAGAAAGATAAACTACCTTCAAAAGAAGGACAATAAGACTGATAGTTAATTTTGACATCAATAATTTAATCAGAAGACATGGAATAGTATCTTCAACACAAAAATAACTACCAACATACAATCCTGTACTCAGCAAATATGTCTTTCAAGAATGAGGATGAAGGCCGGGCATGGTGGCTCACATCTGTAATCCCAGAACTTTGGGAGGCTGAGGCGGGCAGATCACTTAAAGCCAGGAGTTCAAGACTGGGGTGGCCAACATAGCAAAACCCCATCTTTACTAAAAATACAAAAATTAGCCAGGCATGGTGGCACATGCTTGTAATCCCAGGATTTGGGAGGCTGAGGCACAAAAATCACTTGAATCCGGAAGGCGGAGGTTGCAATGAGCCCAGATTGCACCACTGCACTCCAGCCTGGGTGACAAAGCAAGAATCCGTCCCAAAAAAAAAAAAAAAAAAAAAAGAATGAGGGCAAAATAAAAACACCTTCTGACACAAAGCAACAAATATATAGGCAAATGTAAACAAAGATTGAGAGTATAATATTTTGTGAGATTTAAAAATACATACATATCTAACCCCACAAAATATTTTATGTATATTTTATATAAAATATTACCAAATCAAAGTTAGCAAAGTATTTTAAAAGACATGACATTTATAAAGACAGCAAACTTCTAGCTATGCCAAGAAACTTTGATCATAAAACATCAGAAAAATCAAGAAAATTTTGCTTTGCTTAGAAATCAAGCATTCATTCATGAAAGAAACAAAAACCATAAGGACTGAGCAGATTGTAAAACATTATTCTAGAATGCAAAAGACCTAAGATAACCAAAAGAATTTTGAAAAGAACAAAGTTGGAAGTTTTCAACACAATATAAAACATTCATAATCAAGTGCATGGTATTGGGTGTAAGGATAGACATACAGATCAGTGGACAGAACAGAGTCTAAAATTAAAGTTGTACATATACGGTCAAGTGAATTCTGACAAAGATGTCAGAATAAGGATGGGATAGTCTTTCAGCAACTGAATACTCCATAACCAAAAAATTAATTTTGACTCTCACCTTCAGTTTATATGCAAAAAAAACCTCTAAATCCACTACATGGAGCTAACCTATAAAACTTCTAAAATAAAATATAGAAAATCTTTGCAAACTTGGGCAAAGATTTCTTAGATAAGACATCAATCTATTAACTGGCCATTCAAATAATAAAAATAAAAAATAAGACATCAAAAAGCACAACCATAAAAGAAAAATGATCAATTAAGCTTCATCAAAATTAAAACATCTACTCTTCAAAAACACTAATGAAATTAAAAGGCAAGCCATATACTGGAAGAAATCATTCATCATACTTTTATCTGACACATACTTCTACTCAGGATAAATACAGCACACTTGCAACTCAAAAATAACCAAACTGCAATTTTAAAATGGACCAAAAAATATGGATGAGTGAGAGCCCAATATATCAGTCCTCCTAAAAAGGAAGCTCTGTGGATAAAACACACACAAAAAACAACTACCTGAGGACTCTGGAGACTGAAATACAGATGCATTTTAGAAGAGAATCAAACTGGGAGTAAGTGATCCATGTAGATTGAGATCCCAACTTTTGCAGCTTTGCCCAAACGTGGCTGTGGTCGCCATCACAAAGGCACAGGACCAGCTACAACTTCAGTAGAAAGACTGACATCTTTCTGGCCAGAGGAACTAGAAGAACCAGGAAAGAAGGCCAGGATAATGCGGGATGACGCAGGAGAGTGATGGGGGACTCTAGAAAGGAGAGGGCCACAGAAAGGAACCCCTATATTCTGTATTTTAACAGCCTAAATCTATAGCTTATCTCTGAACCATGCATGTGCACTCCACTATGCCCAGCTAATTTTTAAAATTTTTTTAGAGATATGAGTCTAACTATGTTGTGCAGGCTGGTCTTGAATTCCTGGCCTCAAGTAAACTAGAAGCAGCTTAAAGCTAAAACAAGAAATGAACTGAGAGCTAAGCCATTTCCCACCACAGGCATAATGGTTTGGTATGGGTCTAATCAAGTTAACTGCCTCCTAACAAAAAAAAAATACCCTTTGGATAAATATAAAATAAACCAGTCTCCAAAACATAACATTCACAATGTCCAGTATACAATCTTAAATTAGTCAACATACCAAGAGCCACAAAAATGTGGTCTCATCACAAAGGATAAGACAGTTAACTGATGTCAACCCCAAGATGACCCAGACGTTATCAGACATGGATTTTAAAAAGCTATTAAAACTATACTCAATAAGGTAAAGGAAAATACGATGAGGATGAATGGGGAAAAAATAGACAATTTCATCTAAGAAACAGAAAATATAAAAAACCAAGTGGAAGTTCTAGGAATAAAAAATATATGAAATAAAAAATAAGCAAAAGATTACAACAGACACCTCCAAAAAGAAGATATACAAATGGCCCATAAACATATTAAAAGATATTCAACATCATTAGTCATCAGGGAAATGCAAATTAAAACCACAATGAGAAACCTCTATTCCAGAGGTCAGTAAACATTTTCCATAGGGAGATACAGAGTAAATATATTAGGGTTTGCAGGCCATGTCATCTCTGTTGCAACTACTTAGCTCTGCTTTGTAGAAGTAAAGTAGCCATAGATAATACATAAAACTATTTACAAAAATAGATGTTTCCCTCGTGTCCATGGGGATGAAAAAAACAAAAACAGATGTGCCAGATTTGACACACGAGCTATTGCAATGCCTGATCTCATACCCAGGAGAATGACCTAAATTAAAACGGCTGACAATATGAAACATGAGGATATGGAGCAACTAAAAATCTCACACATTGCTGGTAGGAGTACTACAACTTTAGAAAACATCTTGGTAGCTTCCTATAAACATATACTTACCATATGACATATCAATTCCTCTCCTTACTCAAGAAAGATAAAAACATATGTTCACACGAAAACTGTACAAAACTAAACAATAAAATGGACTGCTGATATATGCAACAACATGAATGAATCTTAAAACATTACACTAAGCAAAAGAAGCTAGATAGAGAGTAATGCCTAGCTCCATTTATATGACAGCATAGAAAAGACAAATCTAATCTGTAGTGATGGGAGGCAAATCAATGACTGCCTGGGATAAAGGCAGAGGATGACTTGGAAGGACAAAAGGAATGCATTTTGGGTAAAAAAAAAAAAAGTTCTATTTCTTTATTGTAGTGGTTATATAAGTATATATACATGTAGACAGGTGTACACATCTGTCAAAACTTAAACTATAAAAATGGCTGCATTTTACAGGACTGTGTGCAAATTATACTTCAAAAAAGTTGATTTTTTAAGAATTATCATAGGATATTTTAAAGTACCCAAATAACTTGAGAGAGGCCAGGCATGGTGGCTCACACCTGTATTCCCAGCACTTTGGGAGGCCAAGCCTGGTGGATCATTTGAGGTCAGGAGTTCGAGACCAGCTTGGCCAACACAGTGAGACCCTGTCTCTACTAAAAGTACAAAAATTAGCTGGGCATGGTGGCACGTGCTTGTAATTCCAGCTACTTGGGAGGCTGAGGCAGGAGAATCACTTGAACCCAAGAGGCAGAGGTTGCAGTGAGCCAAGATGACACCACGGCACTCCAGTGTGGGCAACAAAGTGAGATTCTGTCTCAAAAAAAAAAAAAAAAAATTGAAAGAGATGAGAAGTTCATGGATAGGAAGACTCAACAACATAAAGAAAGCAAGTTTCTCCATATTGGTCTATAAATTGAGTACAACCACAATTAAAATTCTAGTTAGACGTTTTTGAGAAATTCAACAAATGTACTGGAATTTGTTTTGTTGAGACAGGATCTCACTCTATTGCCTAGGCTGGAGTGCAGTGGCAGTGCAATCAAAGCTCACTGCAGCCTCAATCTCCCAGGCCCAAGTGATCCTCCCACCACAACTTCCCAAGTACTTAGGACTACTAGCACTCCCCACTGTGTCTAGCTAATTTTTTTACATTTTTTAGATGGGGTCTAACTATGTCATGCAGGCTGGTCTCAAACTCCTGGCCTCAAGTCATCCTCCCACCTTGGCCTCCCAAAGGTCTGGAGTTACAGGCATGAGCCACCACGCTCAGCCCAAATTTACTGAAATTTTTATGAAAGAATAAAGTTCTGGCCAGGTGCAGTGGTTCATGCATGTAATCCCAGCACTCTGGGAGGCCGAGGCAGGTGGATCACCTGAGGTCAGGAGTTCGAGACCAGTCTGGCCAACACGGCAAAACCCTGTCTCTACTAAAAATACAAAAATTAGCTGGGCGTGGTGGCAGGCACCTGTAATCCCAGCTACTCGAGAGGCTGAGGCAGGAGAATCGCTTGAACCCAGGAGGTGGAGGTTGCAGTGAGCTGAGATCATGACGCTGCATTCCAGCCTGGGCAACAGAGTGAGACTCCATCTCAAAAAAAAAAAAAAAAAGAATACAACCCAAAATATGTGACTAACCTGAGCAGGTATTAGGACATATCATAAGGCCAGGCACAGTGGCTCATGCCTGTAATCCCAAATGGGAGGCTGAGGCGGGCAGATCACCTGAGGTCAGGAGTTTGAGACCAGCCTGCCCAACATGGTGAAACTCCATTTCTAGTAAAAATACGTAAATTATCTGGGCATGGTGGCAGGCGCCTCTAATCCCAGCTACTCGGGAGGCTGAGGCAGGAGAACAGCTTGAACCTGGGAGGTGGAGGTTGCAGTGAGTTGAGATTGCGCCACTATACTCCAGTCCAAGTGACCGAGTGAAACTCTGTCTCAAGAAAACAGCCTGGCCAACATGACAAAACCCCGTCTCTACTAAAAAATACAAAAATTAGCCAGGCGTGGTGGTGGGCACCTGAGTGCCAAGCTACTCGGGAGGCTAAGGGAGGAGAATTGCTTGAACCTGGGAGGTAGAGGTTGCAGTGAGCTGAGATCGTGCCACTGCACTTCAGCCTAGGTGACAGAGTAAGACTCTGTCTCAAAAAAAAAAAAAGACATATCATAATGTCATACTGACAGTGGCACTGGTATAACAAGAAACAGAGACCAATGCATCAGAACATAATTTAGGGCAAATTTCTGAATGTATGATTTTTTTTTTTAATAGGTTCCTGCTCTTCCCCTAGGCTGGAGTGCAGTGGCACAATCATGGCTCGCTGCAGCCTTGACTTCCTGGGATCAAGCGATCCTCCTGCCTCAGTCTCCAAGCAGCTGGGACAATAGGGGTGTGCCACCACACCCAACTAATTTTTTAATTATTTTTTTGTAGAGACAGGGTCTTGCCATGTTGTCCAGGCTGGTTTGGAACTCATGGGCTCAAGTGACCCACCTGCCTTGGCCTCCCGAAGTTCTGGGATTACTGGCATAAGCCACTGTGCCCAGCAATATATAAGAAC
Organism: Homo sapiens; assembly: GCF_000001405.40. Classification (NCBI taxonomy): domain Eukaryota; kingdom Metazoa; phylum Chordata; class Mammalia; order Primates; family Hominidae; genus Homo; species Homo sapiens. Next base: position 28,978,344 of record NC_000021.9, read on the forward strand.
TTAATGTCTTGTAACGGCATGACCACAGATCAACAGGGAAAAAAAATAAACAGTTTACTAGGTAATGTTAGGAAAACTGACTCACCATATATGAAGAAAAATGTAACTAGATCTATACTTAACACCAAATGAAAAGGTAGATTATTGATGAAGTGAAGATTTTATATGAAAGGTAAAACTGCATATAAAGCCTACAACTATAAAGCTAAAAAATTCAAAATATAAGAATATCTTTATGACTTAAAGGTGGGAATAGCCTTCATAAGGCAAAAATCAGTGACTTTGATCACATCAAAATTTTCTTTCTGACATAAGACACATGGGAGAGATGACAGAATGGGAGCTTTTTTGCATTGCCTAAAAATGACAAAAGATAATCTGTCATGAGATTAGAATTTTTAAAAAAGACAAAAAGACTAATATTTAATTATAAAAGGGACTCCTGCATAAAAAGAAAAAGAGAACTCCAAAGAAGGAAAAATGAACAAGAAACACAAAAACAAAAACGCTAAAAATTCTTGAAGAGATGCAAAATCACCAATAAGGAAAGTAATTCCAGTTAAAGAGAGATATCACCTGAATTCCTATTAGGCTGATGAAAAATTAAGCAGCTGAATGTTGCCTACTGAAGGCTAGAATACAAGGTTATGTAGTAGCAGCTGAATGTTGCCTACTGAAGGCTAGAATATAAGGTTATGTAGTAGCAGCTAAATGCTGCCTACTGAAGGCTAGAATATAAGGTTATGTAGTAGCAGCTGAATGCTGCCTAGTGATGGCTAGAATATAAGGTTATGTAGTAGCAGCTGAATGCTGCCTAGTGATGGCTAGAATATAAGGTTATGCAGTATAAGAGTCATCACGTATTGATGGTTGAGTCTAGAGTAATGCAGCCCTTCAGGAGAGCAATCTGGCACTATTTTAGGAAATTAGGTATGCACACACTTCACTGACTCAGCAATTCAGATAATTTCTTAAGATCCAAGGACACATGAATGAAGATGTTCATTGCTGCATTACTTGTGAAGGCAAGGAGTTGGAGGCAATCAGGATCTATCACTGGAGGAATGGGCAGGTTAAATGAATAGGTAATGCAAACTTCTGAATACTACAAGGCAGTTAGAAGTCATGAATCAGATGTACATACAGGAACATGATGGATCTCTTTTGAAAAAGTAATAAATGGAATAAAATATAACAGTATCATTTATGTGAATTAAAAACTCAAGCACACACAAAAGCACGTTTTTCAAAAATACAGTCAATCCTCACAAATCCCATGTTTGCCAATTCACCTACTTGCTAAAATTAATTTGTAACCCCAAAAACAAAACTTGCGGTGTCTTAGGCCGGGCACGGTGGCTCACACCTGTAATCCCAGCACTTTGGGAGGCCGAGGTGGGTGGATCATCTGAGGTTAGGAGTTTGAGACCAGCCTGGCCAACGTGGTGAAACCCTGTCTCTACTAAAAATATTTAAAAATCAGCCGGGCGTGCTGGTGGGCACCTGTAATCCCAGCTACTTGGGAGGCTGAGGCAGGAGAATCACTCAAACCCAGGAGGCAGAGGTTGCAGTGAGTCTAGATCACGCCATTGCACTCCAACCTGGGTGACAAGAGCGAAACTCCATCTGGAAAAATAAACAAAAAACTTGCAGTGTCTTGCAGTCATTTGTGGACATGCATAGAATGGCAAAAAATCTGAGTCACCCACGTGCACATTCCCAGCTGAGGTTGAACAAGGCGACGTTCCCTTATTTCAGCTCTCATACTGTAAACAAGTGTCCTTTTCACAGTACTTTTTCAAATTTTTGTGCTTTTGATTGGTGATTTCATGTTTTAAATGGCCTCCAAGCAGCAGCACTGAAGTGCTGTCTATTGTATCTAGGCACAAGAACGCTATGATATGCCTTACAAAGAAAATATGAGTTAGATACGCTTTATCCAGGCATGAGTTTTAGTGCTGTTGGCCGTGAGTTCAATGCTAATGAATCAACAATAGCTATGAAAAAAAGGTGTCTTTATACAGAAACACACATAAAACAAGGTTATGGTGGGGTGGGGGGAGGGGGGAGGGATAGCATTAGGAGATATACCTAATGCTAAATGACGAGTTAAGGGGTGCAGCACACCAGCATGGCACATGTATACATATGTAACTAACCTGCACATTGTGCACATGTACCCTAAAACTTAAAGTATAATAATAATAATTAAAAAAAAGAACTACCAAAAAAAAAAAACAAGGTTATGTACTGGTTATGTCAGTTATCAACTGACAAAAATGCTGTGAATAGCTCACAAGAACCTAACCCTGCATTTCCCGTAAGGGCAATGCCTCAGTATTCACTAAGTCAGTATTCATGATGAGTTTATAGAAAGTAACTACTAAGAATGATAAGAATCAACTGCACAAACAAAAGCACATATATTAAACATAGTAGACCAGTCAGCCAGTGAAAGTAGAGAATGGAGAGATAGACAAAAGGGAAAAAATAAATTAATTAAATGAGAAGAGACTTGCACACACCAATTTTAAGGTGCTATGAACAAAGGAGTATGGTAATTCATACTGATAATTCTAAATCTGAGGCCCAAACTAAATAAAAAAGTAAAAACAGAGTAACATTCTAGTAAGAGAGGTAATTCAGTAAATGAATAGCCTACCACACAGATGTGCTTGCAGAGTTCTAAGTATAAACAATAAACATAAAACATAAACTAAGAAGATGGGGGTAAGGAATCAGAGAAATGTCTTAAGATAAAAAAGATTAATATACCTGAGGTACACTGTGTTTTCCATACTTCCAAAACTTATTCTGTGATAAAAGAGACTTAAATTTCTCCTCCAGAGAATCAAGCTCATTATCAGGTAAAAGGCAAAGTAATCTCTTTAATGCCAATAAGGAACAAGTTACAACCCGGTAGAATTTAGCTTCTCTTTCTTCCTCTGGAACAGTTCTTGATATAAAACAAAATAAATATATTTAAAAATTTAGAATTAGCCAAACTATATATCTGGTGGTTCTATTTAAAATGTTTTATCATTAAATATCTACCAAAGTTGCTTTATTTCTATCTTCTATTTCCCCTGTGCCAACGCCCCTCAAAATGTAAACATACAAAGAAATTTAATCACATACTTTACTACTAATACAAGGTGAAAGTAGACGAAAAGCCAAGGCTTGCAATAAGTGAGAAAGTATACCGCTCTCGGTAGCATGTACAAGGGTGATCCCAGGGAATGGATATCAAGCCATCTAAGACTATTTTCCCTCAAGGACTCTTAAAACTTTGATTAGAATATAGAAGTAAACAAAATAGTTTACTACTCTTTCAACAGAACTATTTATATTCTTCAACTATGTTCAACCAGACCTTAAAATACTTCCTCCTACAACTGTCAAAAAGTAAAGAAGGAAACATATAAAAACATCTCTTTCTAATACAACCAAATGTGTAGCTCCCAGGTAATTCAAGTTAAATAGCAGGACAACTTGCAAGTAAAAGCACTTAATACAGCATCTCACATACAGCATTATGTTATTTTCATCTCTACATATATTATTCCTTCTTTTTAAAAATGTCACACAGGGCCGGGCCCAGTGGCTCATGCTTGTAATGCCAACACTTCGGGAGGCCGAGGCGGGTGGATCACCTGAGGTCGTGAGTTCGAGACTAGCTTGACCAACATGGTGAAACCCCATCTCTATAAAAAATACAAAAAAATTAGCCAGGTGTAGTGGTGCATGCCTATAATCCCAGCTACTCGAGAGGCTTAGGCATGAGAATCATTTGAACCCAGAAGCTGGAGGTTGCAGTGAGCTGAGACTGCGCCACTGCAATCCAGCCTGGGTGACAGAGTGAGACTCTGTCTCAAAAAAAAAACAAAAACAAAAAGTCACATTGAAATCATCTGATTACTTATGAGTGAAACAAATCCTTAACATGAGTTACAATGAAACAATACAACTTACTGCGGGTCACTGAGTGTATCAGGTGTTTCTTTTATAAGATGATCCTGCAGCACCTACAAAGGGGGGAAATACCAAAGCCTTTGGTTTTACTGAACTGTCAATGGTGAACAGACAGAGCCTAGTTAAATAAAATCCACTTTTTAAAAATCCCCATAAACATCATCTTACCTAAGAGCAGAATCAAATAGCAAAACTGAAAGGTTTGAATTTTACCAATTTTCCTTTTCCTATCAATTCCCAAGGTTAGCTGCTTTAGATACTTCTTCCCCACGCACCTATAAATACTCCTGACCACTTGTTCCTCCATTTCTCTTTCACACAGCAATGAAGTGAATGTGAATCTGGGAGATAAATTAGGCTCTGCTTTCCTCTCCCCTCTTTCTGTAAGCCTGCTTGCCCACAAAGAACACCATACATTGTGCTCTGCTCCATCACAGAGGAAGGTATGAGGTTTTCAAATATACGGAAGTCTGTTTCCTCCTGGGGTGCAGTGCAAGGGAGTCCACTGTTCCAGTAACTGCTTTATCAGCAATAACAATAACTAACACTTATTGAGCTTTTGCATGTGCCAGGTATTGCTTTGAGCACATTTTAGGCATTAACTAAATCAATCCTCAGAACTCCATGAAGTACAAGTTAATTCCTGCTTTATAGATTATGAAATGAAGGCACAGAAACTTGCCCAAGGTCACACACCTAGTTGCTAGCTGATGGCAGAGTGGGACTAGAACCAATGGTGTGACCCAGAGCCCATGTCTTATAGACAGTATGATATACTATCTATAATGCTGACATTTTGATTTTCATTTGCCTAACTCCTCTCTAATACATGGGTTTGGAACTGGAGACAGTTCAATGCCAACAGCTGTAATGAACTGTAACATAGCCAACTAAAGGGAAAATAAAATGGAAGAAATAACCCAATGTTCAATGATTAGTTATCCATCCATGACAAAGCCAAGAACAAATTTATTTTCTAAAGCCTATGAAGAGCCAAACTAGTTGTCTCAAAATCCATTTCCTAAAGCTCTTAGCGTCCAAACTCATGACACTTCACTCTTGTAACGTTTATAACTTGGCATTTTAAATCAACCAATGATTCTTATGCTACAGATGGGTTAGAAAACTCCATTTGAGCATATGATTAAAGCTACAAACCCTCTCTCTAGAAAAACACGCTTGGTACACCTGAGAAATGAAGAATGGAAGAACCTAAATGAGGTACTACAATCAAGTTATGTGTTGGGGAGTGCTGGGTGAAGAGATTAGATAGGGAAGCAGGGACCAGATCATGCAGAGCCTTGTATGTCAAGACAAGAAATTTGAACTTAAAAGTGTAATGGAGAGCCACAGGAAGGATGGCTAATTGAAAGGAGGAAGGAAAGCAGGGGGAGAGGGTCAGATGGAAATGTTTAAGTAGGGTTATACACAGGGTGTTGTGGAAACACAGGAGTACTAAATAAGGGAATAAATGCAAGCATAGATTTTTTAAAAAATTATCAATTCCCTCCTCACTTCTACTTCATCTACTTTTATTTCTCAATATAATTCTAACAACTTTGTTGTCTGGTTTTTCTAGTCCATATATTGGGAATAGAAAATGAAGGGGGAAGAAATGAGACACTACTAGAAACAGACACACTGAAAGCCACAAACAGGTATGGCTGGTAACTTTTTATGAGAAAGTTATGGCAAAAGTGTTAGCCCAGTGTGGAGAAACTTTATCTGAAAATGGGAGTATAAATTTGTTTGGCCTTTTGAAGGGCCATTTATCATTATAAAAAATTTTAATGTTCTTATTCTTTGGCCCAACATATGCTTACTAGAAGTTCTAGTAAGTATCACTCCCACAAGGGTATGAAGAGATCTACTCAAGAATGTTTACTGAAATAGCATTTGTTATGATAAAAATTGGAAAAAAATCCAAATGTATATTAATCTAAAAAGTTAAATAAACTACAGTACATCCATGTATAGTAATACCAGAGAGCCAATAAAAAGAAAAAGACACTAAGTTAGATCTGTATATATATATATATTGATATGGAAACACGAGAGAAAATAATTTTAGATTTATTTTTAGATATATTACTTGTTTAGATTACATAAAACATCTACTTTTTAAAAATATAATAAAGACTTCAAAATTAAAATGGAAAATTTAAATACTGTAGAAAGATCCAATCCAAAATGTTAATCTTGTTAAAGATCCAAAATGGTTATTTAACTAAACAGAATTTTAAAAAGGCAACCTTCAGTTGGAAATACTCTACTTACTCATTCCCCTACAATCCCAAGTAAAAGAGCTGTCATTATGCTTATAACCCTTAAATACTTAAAAAAAAAAAATAGATTCAGAATGATTCCAGAACTTACACTTGTAATTTCATCCTTACAAAATGCTATGGCTTCAGGTTGCTTGCTTGGAGGAAAAGCCGCTTCAAATGCATCTTTTGCTGCAAACGCAGCTGGTGTGTAAGTATCACACTGAGCCATTAGCCAATATCCCATTAAACTTTTTAAGTAGGGAGCCAACTGTTTCTTTACTTTAAGGATAAGTTTTTCAAAAGCTTGTTGTGTGGCTTCTCGGACGCGACGGTCATGATCCTATTAAAAATATAAATGTGATTTAAAATAGCTCTAGCCCATAAAAACAATCACAGACATTTCCGGATATGCTATAATGACCCATTACCAAGAATTCACCTATGTATTAAGCTAAACTGAAATCATTTTTTTTAAATCAATAATTTGGAGGTTTTTAAATCAGAAACTATGTAAAATAATTTATTAATTTTTCTTTCTCCCCTTCTCCCAATGAGATAGGATTGTATTCAAGACAGATTCAAAGTTGGGCCTTGAGGCCGAGCCTGGTGGCTCGTGCCTATAATCTCAGTACTTTCGGTGGCCGAGGCAGGCGGATTATTGGCGGTCAGGAGTTCAAGACCAGCCTGGCCAACATGGTGAAACCCCGTCTCTACTAAAAATACAAAAAATTAGCGGGGCATGGTGGCACACACCTGTAATCCCAGTTACTCAGGAGGCTAAGGCAGGAGAATCACTTGAACCCAGGAGACAAGGTTGCAGTGAACAGAGATCGCGCCACTGCACTCCAGCCTGGGTGACAGAATGAGACTCCGTCTCAATTAAAAAAAAAAAAAAAAAAGTTGGGTCTTCAATAATTAAGCAACTCACTCTCATTCTTCTGCAGCAAATATACAGGGAATAAAATCACTATCAAAATTTATTAAAACTGGAAAGCACCTGGGTAATTCTCCAGTAACAACCTAATTTCTGAAAACAGACTTCCTAAATGTTCTTCATAACCCAACACAATCCAATCTTTTTTTTTTTTTTTTTTAAAGACATTGTCTTGTTCTATTGTCCAGGCTGGAGTGCAGTGGTGCAATCTTGGCTCACTGCAACCTCCGCCCCACCGGGTTCAAGCGATTTTCCTGCCTCAGCCTCCCAAGTAGCTGGGATTACAGGCATCCATCACCACACCCGGCTAATTTTTGTATTTTTAGTAGAGACAGGGTTTCACCATGTTGGCCAGGCTGGTCTCAAACTCCTGACCTCAAGTGATCTGCCCACCTCAGCCTCCCAAAGTGCTGGGATTACAGGCATGAGCCACCATACCAGGCCCCAATCTCTTTTTTTATTTCCACGCTCTTCTCAAGTGTTAACAATTCAATCTGCATAACAATGCTGACATAACATTTAATAACCCTCACCAAAAATCAACATTATAAATTTGAGAGTCTCCATGACTCCAACCAAAAAATATACAACAGAAATAAACTAGCAAAGTTTTAATACTTACAAGTGAAATTTTGCAAAAAATTCTTGGCCAATATGGAAGAACTCCTTTCACAGTTTCTGTGTCTCTCTCTGTACACATGGTTCCAAATTCCTGCATAGCCTAAAAGTAAGTTATTAACATCATTAGGATTAACAACCATAATAACTGGCTATAGATTATTCTGTTCTGGAAGCTTTGTCTATTTTATGTAATAGGAGAATACACTATTTCTCTTTATGCCATATGAGACTAGTTTGAAGAGCTCTTTCACAGGCTACTACGGTAGAAACTCTTCAGTTGTTTTTTTAAAAATAAAACATCTACAAACAAAAAAACCTCATTTAAAGTTACAAGGTCAAAGTTACATTCCCTAATGGGAAAAACTATACAGCCAAAATTCCAAAGCACTTTAAAAAAGTTCACTGTAACAAACTAATTTACGACCTAGAAAATAAATATCAACTAAGTTTAAGACTCTGTGTCAGAAAAAAGTACAATTATAAAAGAACTTAGCAATAAATTGTTCATTTTTCTTTACATAAAACATGCTAATGACATTTTATTTTAACAAAGGGATTTTCTTGATAATTTTTATGAAAACAAGAAAACTTGCTTTTAATTTTGTGGTGACATCTTTCTTTGAAAGTTTCCGCAGCACCATTCGGAAATCAGAATCTACAAGACTGTCAATTTCTTCAGCTCCTTGAATAGCAGGAACATAGCCTAGGTCACTCTGAGATGTTCCAAAACCAATAAATCCAGGCACTGTTCCCTGTTCTTTGGCAAGGAGTTCTGCAGCTCGGCCACTGTTTGAAGGCTGATAAGAAAATTACGGAGAAAAAAGTCAGAGTCCAGGAAGGGTTCAAAACTTAACTTTATAATTCCTTGGCTATTCCCATGGTCAGAATGAGCTTTTATTTTATTTTCTTTTTTCCTAGCCTAAAATTTCATCTATTGCAAAGTTCCCCAAAGATTAATGGTTTTGTTGCCAAGAATCCATCAATACTGATCCTAGAAATTATTCTGTTTCTTAAACATTAGAATGTTTTGTAAACCATGGATACAATCCATTAGTGGCTCATGATATCAATATAATGGACCATGACAGAATTTTAAAGAAATTGATTAAAATTTTTAAAATCAGAATGTATCACATGCAGGAAAATTTTCATAAATGCTGTTATGAATTTTTTATTTCTAACTTTCATATAAATAGTATGTATACACATATGTATACTATGTAATGATGTAAAATGAACTCATAAATAGAACCCATCCTTTCATTCACCCATTAAATGAACAAATATTTATTAAACAATCACAATGGCCCAGGTCTAATGATAGCTGCCTCTAGACTGAGAGTTCCTTGAGAGTGGATACACTCATTTCCACACACTCCAAAGCCTAGCCTAACCTCTTTGGGCTAAAATTACATTATTATAGCCATAAAAATCAATACAACAGTCAATCTATAATACAGACTCCTTTGTTTTGAATCATAGTCAGTGGTTTCTTTGACTGATACACAATATAGTAGTCTTCTACTAAAAGGAGGTGAGTTGATACAGAGAAAGAAAATATTTGAACTGCTAAAAGAAATTAACTTATTGTTATCTAAACAGAAAATGCTTCAGTTTGACCACCAAGCTGACATCACAACCCATCTAAAGTCATCTATTTCTTATTTCTCTATAAGGATGTTTGCCAACGGTTATCCAAATGTGTGATTCAAATTGCTCATACCGGCCGGGCACAGTGGCTCACGCCTGTAATCTCAGCACTTTGGAAGGCCAAGGCGGGCAGATCACGAGGTCAGGAGTTCGAGACCAGCCTGGCCAACATGGTGAAACCCCATCTCTACCAAAGATACAAAAAATTAACTGGGCGTGGTGGCGCACGCCTGTAATCCCAGCTACTCGGGAGGCTGAGGCAAGAGAATCGCTTGAACCGGAAGGCAGAGGTTGCAATGAGCCAAGATTGTGCCATTGCACTCCAGCCTGGGTGACAGGGCGAGACTCTGTCTCAAAAAAAAAAAAAAACAACAAAAAAAAACAAATTGCTCATACCGGCCAGGCAAGGTGGCTCATGCCTGTAATCCCAACACTTTGGGAGGTCAAGGCGGGTGGATCACTTGAGCCCTGAAGTTCGAAACCAGCCTCGGCAACATGGCAAAACCCTGTCTCTACCAAAAACACAAAAATTAGCCAGGCGTGGTGGCATGTGCCTGTAATCCCACCTACTCAGGAGGGTGAGTCATGAGAATTGCTTGAACCTGGGAGGCTGAGGTTGCAGTGAGTCAAGATTGTGCTACTGCACTCCACCCAGGGCAACAGAGCGAGGCTCTGTCTCAAAAAAAAAAAAAAAATTCCTAATACCTAGCAAAAGTGTGTTTGGAAAATTCATCTGACAAGGAATAATCTGGCCTACTTCCTAAACTGAACTGAGTGAACAGGAAAGAAAATGATGGCCTGCATTACATTTGTTTTCAATCTGTAGCATTTAAGACTAATTCCAAAAAAGGTTCTCTATTTTTTTTTTTAAGTGAAAGTAAGTTTATTAAGAAAATAGGTCAGGCGCGGTGGTTCACGTCTGTAATCCCAGCACTTCGGGAGGCTGAGGAGGGAGATCACCTGAGATCAGGAGTTCAAGACCAGCCTGGCCAACATGGTGAAACGCCGTCTCTACTAAAAATACAAAATTAGCCAGGCATGGTGGCACATGCCTTTAATCCCAGCTACTTGGGAGGCTGAGGCAGGAGAATTGCTTGAACCCAGGGGGCAGAGATTGCAGTGAGTCGAGATTGCGCCATTGCACTCCAGCCTGGGCAAAAAGAGCGAAACTCCATTTCAAAAAAAAAAAAGAAAAGAATAAAAGAATGGCTACTCCATAGGCAAAGCAGCTGTTCTCTATTTTTTAAGTTTATTAAAATGAATTAATATTAATTATTCAATTCACCTTTCTCAATATTGGTACATGAATAAAGAGCCACAAAGGAAGTAGTTAGTGAATTATAATTCTTAAACTAAATATGATGACTTTAGGGTATCAGAATTTTCTACAATCTCATGTGTAAACGGTTTTATTATGAAACAGAATAAAAAACTAATTATTGCTAACATCTAAAGGAGTTGAGGCTGAAATAACAGAATTAGGAGTGATAACTAGGGGCAAAAGAGAAGGTATCAAATTTCCAGTCTCCAATTTAAAAGTAACAAGTTACTTTTAAATGCACTATCTTTTTTTAATGTCTACTTTAAATTTAAAATATAGTTACTCTTATGATCTTTGTATGTTAAGTGCTATACCCATAGTTCAATAAAAATTAAGAAACAATTCTATTTATGGCACTTATTTTTTTTTTTGTACTATGCCTACTTCTGTCTACACTCTTTCATGCCTAGCTTCTAGAGTTATTTGTGGTGGCAATCCTGAGTCTACAAAGACCAAACCAAGGAAGACTTACAAGACCTTTCACCATCTAACCTCAACTTTTCCCAGTCTTATCTCCTGCCACTCTTTCCTTCCCTTGCCCCACTTCCTTCTCCCTTCTTCAAATTATGCTGCCATCATTCATGCCCTAGTAGCAAACTGAATTCGAAGTTCTCTGAGGCAGGGCATGGTGGCTCACACCTGTAATCCCAGCACTTTAGGAGGCTGAGCGTATCTTTGGGCAGATCACTTCAGGCCAAGAGTTTGAGACCAGCCTAGCCAACATGGCAAAACCCTGTATCTATTAAAAATACAAAAAATTAGCCGGGTGTGATGGTGCATGCCTGTAATCCCAGCTACTCGAGAGGCTGAGGCAACAAAACTGCTTGAACCTGGGAGGTGGAGGTTGCAGTGACCCGAGACTCTGTCTCAAAAAAAAAAAAAAAGTTATCTATGTGATGGCCTTTCACAATTTGATCTTTATATAACCTTTTTTCTCTACCTGAAAACGCTTCCTTTCTTTTCACTGTCTGACAAACTCCTACTCATCTTTCAAACTCATGTTTGCAACACTTGCCTTCCTCCATTCTCTTCCATTCTCCCACATTCTTTCTTCTAATACCTGCATCATAATTCTTTAACATTTGCTTACATATGTGTCTGTATCATCAAACTAATAGTTCAAGAACAGCAGACATCTATTATCTCTGAATACCTGACATCCAGTATCAGAGTCTTCTATTGAAGACTTTGCCACATTAAAGTTAAAATCCCAACTCCACAACTTCCTGGCTACATGAGCTTAGGCAAGCTAATTTCTCTAAACCTCAGTTTCACCACATTTAAAATGAGATATGAGTAATTAATTCATTAGTTGGGTTGTTTTCATGATTAAGCATAAGTTTTTAAATCACCATAGTAATAACTGATTCCAGCAAGAATCAAAGGGTGCTCAAACCATTAGGTGAAAGTTTGTGGAAGAGCAGGACATTCACAGTTTCAAACTAACATATTATTTGTTATTGGCCAATGGAAAAATATAACTTTATAATGAACAACACCTTAACCAAGTAATTAAACAAATACCACCAATAAGGGGACAAACAGGTGCGAAGTGCCCCTGGTGTGTGATGCACTGAGAAAGACTCATCATCTATGAAGAATTCCTTCTAAAAATTGTTTAGCCTGAATCTAATCATAAGGAAAAAACTAGATGAATCTGAATTAATCAAACAAATGGCCCAGGCTCTTCCAAATTTTGTTAAAAAAGACACTCCTCTCCCCGCTTAAACAGTACTGAGAAACTGTCTAGATCAAAGAAACCCAAATGGTAACTAAATGGAATGAGTGATCCTTGACTGAATCTCAGATGTTAAAACGGTTTATCTTTTTAAAAAAGTCCCAGCCTGGGCAACATGGCAAAACTCTGTCCCTACAAAAATAAGCTAGCCGTGATGGCCTGTACCTGTAGTCCTAGCTACTGGAAAGGCTAAGCTGGGAGGATCACTTGAACCCGAGAGGCGGAGATTGCAGTGAGCCAAGTTCACGCCTCTGCACTCCAGCCTGGGTAACAGAGCCAGACTCTGTCCCCGAAAAAAAAAAAAAAAAGATTAGCCAGGAGTCCTAGCTACTAAGGAGGCTGAGGTGGGAGGACTGACCGCTTGAGCCCAAGAGGTTGACACTGCAGTGGGCCATGATCATACCACCACACTCCAGGTTTGGAGACAGAGCGACCCTGTCTTACAAAAAAAAAAAAAAGAAAAAAGAGAACATTATTGGGATAACTACAGAAGTCTAAATACAAGGCTGTATCCTGGATTACAGTATTATACAAAAGTCAAAGTTTCTGCATACTATAACCATTATTATAATTGCTGCAGGCTAGAAAATGGCATTGTTTTTAGAAGATACATGCTGATGTATTTAGGAGTTAAGAGTCCCGACTTCTGCAACTAACTCTTATAAGTTCAGAAAAATACATAAATTAAGAGAGAGAAAGCAAATGCAACCAAGTATTAGCAATTGGTAAATGTAGGTAAAGAGTATATGGGATGTCGTTCTAATATTCTTGCAACTTTTCCTCATAAGAACTTTTCAAATATAAAACATTTGAGAAAATCTGTTAAATAAAAAACATTAAAAGATGCAAGTAAAGTGCTTAGCACAGTAACACAACAGGTTGCTATAATTGTTAATACTGTTATTATCTTCCAAAACAGATTAAGTGACAGATCTAAGAAAATGTGACATTGAAATCACTAGAATTAACTACATCAGAAACAGGAAAAAAAAGCATTCTCATAAAATTGGACTGTGCTATAATAAATCTAACACCATAAAAAAATACCATTACAAAACCCCTCATCGTGTAGTTTTACACGAATCCACTTTAAGGTCGTCCTTAAGCAAGTACTTAGTGAGCGTCTATTAGGTGCCAGTCTGTTCTAGGTTCCGAGGATAAAAACATTTGCTTTCAAAATACTTACGTCCTAGTGAACCAAGACAATAAATGTCATAAATACAATGGAGTAAAATAAAGTAGGAAGAACATGGGAGTGGGGAAGGGCTACCAAGAGGGTGATCATGGGAGACCTCACTGAGGTGTCGAGAGCAAAGTTTGGAGCCACCTAACTGAAGAGCGTTGGGAGCCGGCCAGGTAGTCAAGGCACAGTGAAGAGATCAGTGTGGCTGGATGAAGTAAGCCAAGAGGAGGGAGCTGAAGATGGGACTGCAGATGGAAAGGGGTAACAGGCAGTCCAGAAACCAAATATACCATCCTAAGAGCTTTAGCTTAGGAGAAGCCACTGTAGGTAGCAAAGGAGAGGCACAATCTGCGGTAACCTCCACAGTGGATTCACTTTAACATTCTCCCAACTCTCCTTCTTCCCAGCGCCGCCCTCCCCCAACCAACCCGCTACCTCGGCCAGATCACCTTCCAGTGAACCTGACACATTATCATTTCTTCATGAATATTATGGGTGTGTGCTCGGATGAGGACAGCTCTGGCATGGTACATCTTTTCTCTCACGATTCCCCAATCTGCTCAGAGATAACACAAACCGCTCTCAGGGACGCACACACAACAGAGAGGTCACACTCGACAGGGAAACACACGCCTCCCTACAGCCGCGCTCCACACACCCTCCAGCAACGCGCTGGGCGGAGCCAGCCGCCTCGAAGCGAGGCTCCCGGGTCGGCCGAGCCAGCCCCCGCTCACCCTCAGGTTCCCTTTAGTTCGCTGCTTGTTCTTCCCGCCCATGGTCGCGGTTGCAGCTGTACTCTGAGCACTCAGACCCCGGTTGACACGTCCGGGACACAACTTCCGGCTTCTGGCGGCGGAAGAGGACACCCTGTAATAACTTCCCCCGGGCCCTTTTCCGCCACCCACCCTGTCCATTTGCTGCCCCACTTCCGCTCCCGCCTCCCGCTGTGTCCCTGACCATCCGCCACCGGAGACGTCACAGCTAAAGCCACGCCTGTCTGAGTGATGTCATTCCTGGCCAATAGGAAGCCAAGCATTGGACCCGTGGCGCCAAATCCTGTCCTCCCCGCTTTCAGAAGCTAGGTTTGTTCCTTGCTTAGAGGGTAGGAAACTGGCGTGAATCATCAGAGGGGCAGTTTCACATAAGGGTAGCATTAGAATGTTATGGTAGAGGCTGTGGGAAGATGGGAGTGTTTTAGACTTCCAACATGATGCAATCATCAGTATCACCTGGGCGTTTTTTAGAAAAGGCCAACTCGGGCCCCTCAGAACTCCTGAATCAGATCCTGCATTTTGACAGTATTCCCAAGTCTTGTTAAAATTTGATTACTGCTGTAGGCACTATTCTCTCTAAATCTCCCCTCCCCGTCCCCTTTTATTCATATTGAAACTGTTAACGTGCAGTTTAGGAAAGAGGATAATGTGGGAGTCCCTATTAAAATTTGAAATGTACAAATCCTGTAACCCATTGATTGTGCGACTCAGAATCACACCAGAGAAACAAGTAAATGTGTGCTGGTTATTGTTTCTTGTCCACGCAGTCACCCTTTTATACTCAACTCCATGTTACTGGGGGGGCTTCTGCTAGATTCCACCAACAGGACGAACAAGAGGGAAACAAAGGCAAGAGGAAGAAGGGACTTGCTCCATTCTGTAAGCATCATGCCAGCAGCAGCTGCATTTTACCGTGGCAGGAGCAATTGCTTTAGCCAAAAGGTGGTTTTAATCTCTATCCTTTTTCCAACAATCACAGAATCAGCCTTATTGCACCCCTCAGAGATCACAGCAGCAGTCAGTGCTCTCCTCAGAGATCTGAATTCTACTTTCATGCGGCCCCTCCCCTGAGCTCCTGAGATAGCCAATGTTTGAGCCACCTCCTCAGAAGTTTGAGCCTCAACACCGTGGGATCCCTTCTTTGTGCTCCAGAGATCCAGTAACAGCCAGCCATCACCCTCTCTTCATTCTTCATAGGCCTGAACTAAGGTGTTCAGGGCCCTCCTTCAAGCTTTTAGGTTCTGATGACTCCAACCACTTCTTTTGTTCCATCCTTTCCTAGCTCTAGGAATGGTAGCTGCTACCTGCAGTGATTACCTGTTACCTTTTATAATTCCTTTTGACCAATTTCCCATATTAAAATATTTCTCAATAACTAATGTGATTTCTGTTTTCCTGACTGGACCCTGATTTTAAAATGCACACAAAAGCCAGGTGCAGTGGCTTATGCCTGTAATCCCACCACTGTGGGAGGCCGAGGCAGGTGGATCACCTGAAGTCAGGAGTTCGAGACCAGCCTGGCCAACATGGCAAAAACCCATCGCTACTAAAAATACGAAAATTAGCTGGGCAGTGGTGGCAGGTGCCTGCAATCCCAGCTACTTGGAAGGCTGAGGCACGAGAATCTCTTGAACCCGGGAGGCGAAGGTTGCAGTAAGCCAAGATCATGCCACTGCACTCCAGCCTGGGTGACAGAGCAGACTGTCTCAGAAAAAAGTCACACAAAGAGACATATTACAGGAGGTTCACAAAAACTTTATAATAGAAAGATAATTGTAAGCAACCTATGTCTATATATTGGAGAACTGCTAAATAAATTATATGTATTCAATAAGCTATTAGGCAACATTTAAGAAGAATAAGGTTTATCTGAACACACATAGGAAGAATTCTAAGACACATTCTTAAATAAAAAGCAAATACCAATATATACAGTATGATACCATTTGTGTTTTTAAAACCCACAACACAATAATATATATATATATATATTTATGCATATATATATAATATAAATACAGAGAATAGGCCGGGTGCGGTGGCTCACGCCTGTAATCCCAACACTTGGGGAGGCCGAGGTGGGTGGATTGCTTGAGGTCAGGAGTTTGAGACAAGCCTGACCAACATGGTGAAACGCCGTTGCTACTAAAATACAAAAATTAGCTGGGCATGGTGGCAGGCAGCCGTAATCCCAGCTACTAGGGAGGCTGAGGCAGGAGAATTGCTTGAACCCAGGAGGTGGAGGTTGCAGTGAGCCAAGATCGCGCCTCTGCACTTCAGCCTGGGTGACAAAGTGAGACTCCGTCTCAAAAAAAAATAATAATAAAATAAAGATCTGCAAGAATACATACCAGTCTGATCATTGTAGTGACTTTTTGTGGGAAAAAGTGGCAAGAAAAGACATTAGGGTTAAGAGTTATAGTCAAAGGAAATTAAGCCTTATCTGTAAGATTTTATTTTATACAAGGACAACATCTTCATGTATTAATTATGTAATTAAAAATCAACTCAGGCTGGGTGCAGTGACCGATGCCTATAATCCCAGCACTTTGGGAAGCCAAGGTGGGTGGATCACCTGAGATCAGGAATTCAAGACCAGCCTGGCCACGATGGTGAAACCTCGTCTCTACCAAAAATACAAAAACTAGCTAGGCACGGTGGCACGCACCTGTAACCCCAGCTATGTGGGAGGCTGAGGCAGGAGAATTGCTTGAACCCAGGAGGCAGAGGTTGCAGTGAGCCAAGATCGCGCCACTGCACCCCAGCCTGGGCAACAGAACAAGACTCCGTCTCAAAAAAAAAAAAAAAAAATCAACTCAACAAATATTGTTTGTTTAAAATAAATCATTGGTTACATATATCATGGTACATTGGTTATACAAATTGTAGTGTCCTCATTCTTGAGAGTTATACAATATAGCTGCAAACAGTTTAACACATTGGAAACACTACTAGATATCATGCCATTCACTGAAAATGTGGGTGTCACATATCAAAAATGCTACAGAAGGGGAAGATTAACATGTGCTTGAGTAGTCAGATAGGCTTTCCAAGCCAAAGCCCAAAGCTTGGAAAACATTAGGAAAAGTAAAATAAAAGGGAGAACATTCAAAATGGGGACGAGAGAGGGACAGAGACAGTGAGTTGGATTAGCATGGATTTCGGAAAGGACAGTCAAGAATCTAGCCTAACTTCAGTGCAGACTTACCCAGGGGGAAAAAAAAAAAAAAAACTTGAAGGACAAGACTGGAATGATTTTCTGTGCTCCTATTTACTAATTGTTTCCTAAATTTTGTCTGTTCTTGCTGGAAATATCTCTTCATTTCATTTCCTTGTATTCTGACGAGACTTTCCACCTTTTGCAACAGGGATCCATGCCTCTTGCCATGTTCCTCAACTACTCCAGGCCACACAGATCTCTCTTCGATTTTCCTAGGACATCAACTTATAACTGGTTTATTTTTTTACCCAGAAGTCAGTAGGATATTACTGCTTTGGGAACTTGAAAATAGTCTCATTGATTTAACAGTTTCTCATGTTTAGATTTTCCAGCAAGTCTGTAAATCCTTTGAAGGTGAGGCTATCTCCATGGTACTCTTAAACAGTGCCTGCCAAAGTAGATACCCGCAAATTTGTTTTAATTGATTCATACAAGGTTTTAGAAATCAGAAAATAATTGTTTCTATCAATACAGTAGGTGATAGGCAGAAAAGGTTTGGACAGAAGAACATTAAAAATAATGTTTAATTTTTGTCAAAATGTTAATGTTTATGTCAAGAAATGTCGGCTGGGTGCAGTGGCTCACGCCTGTAATCCCAATGCTTTGGGAGGCCAAGCCAGGAGGATTACCTCAAGTCAGGAGCTCGAGACCAGCCTGGCCAACATGGTGAAAACTTGTCTCTACCAAAAATACAAAAATTAGCCAGGCGTGGTGGTGCGTGCCTGTAATCCTACATACTCAGGAGTCTGAGACAGGAGAATCACTTGAACCCACGATGCAGAGGTTGCACTGAGCTGAGGTCACACCACTGCACTCCAGCCTGGGCAACAGAGCAAGACTCTGTCTCAAAAGAAAAAAAGAAAAAAGAAATGTCAATACTTTTAAGGCCAAGATTAGAAACTCTTCAGAAACCAGGTTGGGAGTTAAAAAAAAAAAAAAAAAGAGACTTGAAACCCTCCCTTCTTCATTCATAATTATTAATATTATAAATTCTTGTTTTCACAGATTAAGAGTTACACATCAGAATTATAGCCTTTTTTCCCTAAGTAAATATTGGGCATGCCTTACAGAAGTCTGATGTTAAAATAATCTTACCCATCCAGACAAGTTTCTGAGGAGGAAAATCAGACATCAAGCACTTAAAAATATATTTCGGCTGGGCCAGGTGGCTCACACCTGTAATCCCAGCACTTTGGGAGGCCGAGGCGGGTGAATCATGAGGTCAGGAGATCTAGACCATCCTGGCTAACATGGTGAAACCCCATCTCTACTAAAAATACAAAAAATTAGCTGGACATGGTAGTGGGCGCCTGTAGTCCCAGCTACTTGGGAGACTGAGGCAGGAGAATGGCATGAACCCAGGAGGCAGACCTTGCAGTGAGCCGAGATCGTGCCACTGCACTCTAGCCTGGGCAACAGAGCGAGACTCCGTCTCAAAACAAAACAAAACAACTCAGCATTAATTAATCTTTATTAAACTTGGTGGTACTTTACCTTCAACTGTTATTAAGATGTATTTTTTTGGGGGGGGGTACAAATACTTTTTAATGGGTTTAAAGTTTTTCTTTTTCTTTTTAATCTACTGGAAAATCATGCAATGCTGCGAGCATTGGACACAATCCAGGGCCACAAGTCTGCATACTCCTTTGCTACTGGTCCTATAATGGCAGAACCTTTCATTTTGCCTTTATTATTCACTATGACCCCTGCATTATCTTCGGAATAAAGAAACACACCATCTTTTCTCCGGTATGACTTTGGTTGTCTAATGACCGCTGCTGGATGTACCATTTTTCTGAGCTCTGGTTTGCCCTTCTTGACTGTGGCCATCACCATGTCACCCACACTAGCAGCAGAAAGTCTGTTCCGCTGTCCCTTGATCCCCTTCACGGAGATGATATACAGGTTTTTGGCTCCTGTGTTGTCAGCAGTTGATCACAGCTCCTACTGGAAGACCCAAGGAAATCCAGAATTTCACACCAGAGGACCTACCACGTCCTCGCTTTGACATCTTGAACGCTGGAAAGAAGGAAAAAAGTATTTTTAAATTCTTTTTAAGCAAACTTCTTATTTAAATAGCAGCAACACTACATAGGTAATATATGCCAGCAGAGCATTTGTTTGTCAACTGAGATCTGTAGAGAGTCAATTGAGAAAATAAGATATAATAGTTTGCTAACACTACAAAATAAATGTACAATAAGAATAATTTCAGTATATACCAGCTGTAACTCATCACAATTCAACATGAGATTGGGGTGGGGACAAATGTCCAAACTATATCAGAGGGATTTAAAAGAAAAGAAAATAACCATAATAGTACTAGAGGAATATATAGGTGAATTTCCAGTTCAAAATAGCATCTGCTAGCAGCCCCTCTCAAATTCACATACACACAAAAAAATTGATGAAAACATTGAAGACGACAAAAACAACACAACTAAAATTAAAACTGATGAAAAACAGACTTCCGGAATCTAGAAGGAAACTGTAATACTGAGTCTGGACTCAGGAAGTCAAGAAGGCAGGAAGGAGATACAGACACATGTATATATTATTTCCTTACCACATAAAACTGTGTCCTTTCCACGGTGGCTCATGCCTGTAATCCCAGCACTTTGGGAGGCCGAGGCGGGTGGATCACGAGGTCAGGAGATCAAGACCATCCTGGCTAACACGGTGAAACCCCGTCTCTACTAAAAATACAAAAAATTAGCCGGGCGTGGTGGTGGACGCCTGTAGTCCCAGCTACTCCGGAGGCTGAGGCAGAAGAATGGTGTGAACCCGGGAGGTGGAGCTTGCAGTGAGCCGAGATCGCACCACTGCACTCCAGCCTGGGCGACAGAGCGAGACTCCCTCTCAAAAAAACAAACAAACAAAAAAAAACTGTGTCCTTTCTTGCTGGTCTAACCCCTACTCCTATGTGCCCTACAAAGCCCTTTCTTCCCACATATTCTTTGGAATTGCAGCTTCGGTGATGAGCCAATATTCACCCTCAACACGTGTTTACAGTTTGGCTAATGACAGTGCTTCCATAGCAGCCTCTCATGAGTGCTGTTTATTGTCTAAAATCCTACCTACCTCAGGGGTCTGCAGATAAGAATAGGATCTTCTTTGCTTCCACTTTCCTTAAAACAATAAATCATTGTTTTTGGGCTGCTGTCAACAGAATACACCTTCTGACATCTGTCCTCTTACCAGCCTCCTGGTCACTCCCTTTTAGTCTCTAAAGACTTAGCACTTGGCTCTCCACCCTCATTCCAAACATCATCCTGGATGGTCTTTTTAAAGTCCTAATTAGGTTCATGTGGCATATCTGTCCATTGCTTGGCCTCTCAGTTATAAAAATCTTCATCTCTCATATCCTTTTCCTCCATTCCACTTCATCTACCACACCACAGTCACATCCTGATATTAATACTTAAATTTTCCCAATTTCACCCCACTCTTGGGTCACAATCTCTCTTGCCAGATTCCTCATTTAACTGTTTCCACCTAGACATTCTTCAAGGAAATCTTAACCTTGCATTGGCCCTTATATTTTCTCGCTAACTTTAAGGACTCTTTTCTCTTTACTCTCTTCATTGTTCACTTTAGAGTTCATGATCTTTTGTGTCAATCACTCTCTTGCCAATACCACGAAGTCTCTTGTACATCTGCTCTTTCAGCCTATTCATCTGGAGAAACCAAACACTACACAAAGCCAATTATTTGTTTTCAGCTTTTTTTTTTCCAGAGAAAAGTTGAACACTACCTGGAAAACAAACAATTTAGTCAACACAAGCTTTAGACCACTAAGAATTAATTATCCCATACCTTAGTTGTGTCTTCAATACAGCCCAACAAATGTACCATACTTCCGTAATGTCTTAGGACTCCCAGCAATTAATTATTTGAACACTTCTTCAAAACTCTGATCATTCTACCTTCCTCCTTGACTTCAACAGATGAGTTTTCCTCCAATTTCACAGTGAGAGGTGACAGCGTGCTGGCAGTCCTCACAGCCCTGGCTCGCTCTCGGCGCCTCCTCTGCCTGGGGTCCCACTTTGGCAGCACTTGTGGAGCCCTTCAGCCCGCCGCTGCACTGTGGGAGCCCCTTTCTGGGCTGGCCAAGGCCGGAGCCCGCTCCCTCAGCTTGCGGGGAGGTGTGGAGGGAGAGGCGCAGGCGGGAACCCGGGCTGCGCGCGGTGCTTGCGGACCAGCGTGAGTTCCGGGTGGGCGTGGGCTCGGCGGACCCTGCGCTCTGAGCGGCCTGCCTGCCCGCCCCGCCGGCCCGGGGCAGTGAGGGGCTTAGCACCTGGGCCAGCAGCTGCTGTGCTCAATTTCTCGCCGGGCCTTAGCTGCCTTCCCGCGGGGCAAGGCGCGGGACCTGCAGCCCGCCATGCCTGAGCCTCCCCTCCCCGCTTCCGTGGCTCCTGTGCAGCCTGAGCCTCCCCGACAAGCGCCACCCCCTACTCCACGGCTCCCAGTCCCATCGACCACCCAAGGGCTGAGGAGTGCGGGCACACGGCGGGGGACTGGCAAGCAGCTCCACCTGCAACCCGGGTACGGGATCCACTGGATGAAGCCCGCTGGGCTCCTGAGTCTGGTGGGGACGCGGAGAACCTTTATGTCTAGCTCAGGGATTGTAAATACACCAATCGGCACTCTGTATCTAGCTCAAGGTTTGTAAACACACCAATCAGCACCCTGTGTCTAGCTCAGGGTTTGCGAATGCACCAATCGACACTCTGTATCTAGCTACTCTGGTGGGGACTTGGAGAACCTTTGTGTGGATGTACCTAGCTAATCTAGTGGGGAGGTGGAGAAACTTTGTGTCTAGCTCAGGGATTGTAAATGCACCAATCAGCACCCTGTCAAAACAGACCACTCAGCTCTCTGTAAAATGGACCAATCAGCAGGATGTGGGTGGGGCCAGATAAGAGAATAAAAGCAGGCTGCCCGAGCAAGCAGTGACAACCTGCTCTGGTTCCTTTACATACTGTAGAAGCTTTGTTTTTTTTTCTGTTTGCAATAAATCTTGCTACTGCTCACTCTTTGGGTCCACACTGCTTTTATGAGCTGTAACACTCACCACGAAAGTCTGCAGCTTCACTCCTGAAGCCAGCAAGACCAGGAGCCCACCAGGAGGAACGAACAACTCCAGACACACTGCCTTAAGAGCTGTAACACTCACTGCGAAGGTCTGCAGCTTCACTCTTGAGCCAGCGAGACCACGAGCCCACCAGGAGGAAGAAACTCTCAACACATCCAAACATCAGAAGGAACAAACTCCAGACGTGCCATCTTAAGAGCTGTAACACTCACCATGAGGGTCCGAGGCTTCATTCTTGAAGTCAGTGAGACCAAGAACCCACCAATTCTGGACACAAGAGGACAAGATAATCAGATTATAATCCTTATCTTTTCAATAGCAAACATACAAATTGGGCTGATGATTATTATACACGTTTAACTAAATGGGTGTTAGAATAGTAAAATTCTCTGATACCCTCTGAAATGTTCTTTCATTGCCCTTCCCATTTCCCTAGGATGTTTCTGACCTCCCCCTGATTCCTGGCTAAAGTGTGAATTGCTGATTTATCAGGCTTCTAAAACCCCATTCCAGCCCTAGACATATGGCTATTCCAATGGATGGTGATCAGGTCATATTGGTTGTTAACTATGTTGAATATCCCTTCCCACGAAACTTCCATCTTCAATTATAGTCGCTCCATAATTCTGTTAAAGAAATAAGTGTTAAAGATGGGGGGGAGAAAAATGAATGCACAAGGCTAGTCATTGCTGCACCTTTTCTTTTTTTAGAAGGAGTCTCGCTGTGTCACCCAGGTTAGAGTGCAGTGGCGTGATCTTGGCTCACTGCAACCTCTGCCTTCCGGGTTCAAGCGATTCTCCTGCCTCAGCCTCCCGAGGAGCTGGGATTACAGGCGCCTGCCACCACACCTGGCTAATTTTTTGTATTTTTGGTACAGACAGGGTTTCACCATGTTGGCCAGGCTGGTCTCGAACTCCTGACCTCAGGTGATCCACCCACCTTGGCCTCCCAAAGTGGTGAGATTACAGGCGTGAGCCGCCGCACCCGGCCTAATTTGTTTTTTTTTTTTTTAAAGAAAACCCCGCATATACACACATGCAAAAATAAGATACTAGAAAATAAAATGTAAAACCAAAATTTAATATTGTCTTTTTGGACACAGGATTGTGGGTGACTTTAAAATCCAGTTATTTCTACTCTTCCTATAATGATACATATTATGTGTAATCATATATATAATACATATATGTAATACGTTATATATAACATATAAATAATATATATAATTTGTTGGTGGGAGGAACAAGGGAAAGCAGGTTTACAAAATCTGAAAAGCCAAATGCCCCAGTGGGGAAAAAACCCTCCATTTCGGTAATTCCCTGGTTAAAATCGAGGAACACCCTGGACTTCGAAGGCACCACCTGGGTCCCAGGGTGCACCATTCCTCTAATCCCCCAGTTGCAGCAACATCTGGGAAGTCCCGAGAATGGGGATCTATGCCTGTTTTTCCAAAAGATAATAAGCGTCAACAACAACAAAAAAATAAAAAGTCCAACTCCGCCCCAAAGCAGCATCTGGCTGGCCTGCGAGATGCCCACTGGGGAGGCGAGTCCGCAGCTTAGGACTCAAGCCCGGGGTCGGAAGCTATTGCCGAAATCCGAAACGCAGCGCTCGCAGCTGCAGTGACGCGACCTGCTCATAAGTCCCCGTGCTCACAGCATCCCGGCAACTTACGAGCTAGTGCTTCCGGGTCACCCCGGCCCAGGAAGGCGCACGCGCGAAGCATAGCGAGCTTCACTCCGCACTCTTAGGCTGCGTGTGAGGCCTGCGAGTGCTCGGGAGCTGCCGCGGTCACAAGAGAAAGCCTAGCTGTCAATGACAGCCCCAGAGCATCTGGGCGCCTTGCGATACCCGGGTGTCTGTAGGCAGCCAGGAGACACTTCCAAGCTGATCTGGAATCTTTCCTCGCCCAGCTCTGTCCCTCGCAGGGATGGCAAAGGACATTACGACCTACATCCCTTCCCGGATCTGATGGCTTCAGATTGGCAGATTGTGTTAAAGTGGAAGGCTCGTGGTGCCCCTTTGCTGAGTTTTTATGGACTTAGTTTTCCCAAGTAGTTCTAATTATCGCTGGGGGGGTGGGGTGGGGCGGGAACGTAATTTCTGCGTCTGCCCTTAAATACCTTTAAACCTTGGCTGCATTGCCGCTTTTATGGAATTTCACCCATAGTCTGTCTTTTTTAGTTTCCCTGATACGCATCTTTCTTAATAATAATAATAATAAATAAATAAATAGCACTTTGGGAGGCCGAGGCGGGCGGATTACCTGAGGTCGGGAGTTCAAGAGCAGCCAGGCTAACATGGTGAAACCTACCTCTCTACTAAAAATACAAAAATTAGCGGGGTGCAGTGGCGCGCGCCTGCAATCCCAGCTACTCCGGAGGCTGAGGAAGAATTGCTTGAACCTGGGAGGCAGAGGTTGTGGTGAGCCTAGATCACGCCACCGCACTCGCACTCCAGCCTGGGCTACAGAGCGAGACTTCGTCTTAAAAAAAAAAAAAAAAAAAAAAAAAAAAAAAAAAAACAAGGCATGTGGCCAGTATTCCCTGCCTATACTTGTTTTCTTTAGAAAAATGTAACTTTTAAACATAATTTGACTTGAAACGGTTTCTTTCCAGGATTTATCATTTTTTATAGGTGATTCCAGTTCAAACTATTTATTACATTAATATGTTGACAAATTGTCGTTGCTGAACAAATTTTTTATGTGCAATCATACGGAACATTTTATATTTAAGGATGTTTATATATCAAGTATATAATCATTGGCAGAAACTGGGCAGGGCGCGGTGGCTCACGCCTGTAATTCCAGCACTTTGAGAGGCTGAGGCAGGTGGATCATCTGAGGTCAAGACTTCAAGACCAGCCTGGCCAACATAGTGAATCCCTGTCTCTACTAAAAATACAAAAAATAGCGAGCGTGGTAGCACGCACCTGTAATCTCAGCTACTCGGGAGAATGAGGTGGGAGAATCGCTTGAACCCCAGGCGGCGGAGGTTGCAGTAAGCCAAGATTGCGCCACTGCACTCCAGCCTGGGTGACAGATCCAGATTCTGTCTCCAGAAAAAAAAAAAGAGAAAGAAACCTAAGAAAGCTATATTGTTTATACTCTAACATTTCTAACATTTAACTACATTTATCCATTCTCAAAGGAAGTTGGTCATCACAAGATTGGAAAATCTGTACTTCCCTGGCTTATATGACTTAATCATAAATGTCTAAATTTGACAGATGTCCCAGGAAAGAAAACTTATAAAACTACTCTGTTGCATTCTATGTGTTTATGTGACATTTGAGATCTGCATATTATACATAGCAATCTGGTTTTTAATATAATGTAGAGAGACTGAAAAAGTTTTAGCAGTTTAGCTGCCACTTTAGCTGCTTAAAGTAATATATGCATCATCTGCCCCCTTTGGTGGTAGGGATGTCAGATTCCATTCTCTGTAGGGTATTTCATACAAATCTGTTAGTCGCTGGAGGAATCAGAAACTAGACACACAACTGGTCCACCTGGCTGTCTGGTGGCAGCAGAGGAACTGGGATTTCCAGGGCAACTGACGGGGCGATAGGACAGGGCAGCAGGGAGGAAATCTGGGGACGTACATAAGATTTAGGTCCAATACAAGCACTGTGCTTTAAATACCATTCTGATTCTCATTTATGTTTAACCACCTTTATATTTAAGATCTATCCACATTGCCTTCTTCCATTTTATTCCTTCAGATTTCTACATTGTATTACATAATATATGCTGTCTTTTACTAACTGATTCATTTTGTGATAAGCATAGTTTGCCTACAACCTTTTACTAACTTAATGCATTGTCTCTCACCCCAACTCCATTCCTTAACCAAGTCTGACTGGTCAAGAAATATCCAACACCTGGTATCAACCTGCATCAACCTGCATGCTAGCAAATTAGCAAATAATAAATGCTTTTGGAACTAACTGGTTTATGGAGGTCCTCAAAAACTGGGTGGTGTGTTTATTTAATGCTAGGTCAATTTGGCAAAAATAAATGTACAGAAAGCCATTTCCAGAACAAAAAATGTCAGAATACAATTTGCCAAACAAATTTTCTAAATTACTAATTTGATGAATTGTTGAGGCTTGTTAAAAAAGTTTAAGCCCTACTAATGCCTCAGCCTTGTCTGAGGCAAGCCCAGGAGCAGGGGCAGAGCGTGAGTATACAAAAAGTGGGGAACTGCAAACTCCACTTCAGAAAAACTTCACCTATTTGTGTATCAAAAGGCTGGGGTAAATGCAAAACTAAAGCTCTGAAAAACTCTATTTGACAAACTAGCTTTCAACTGCTAGTAAAAAGCCTAGATATTGGCCAGGCACGGTGGCTTATGCCTGTAATCCAAGCACATTGGGAAGCCGAGGTGGGAGGATCACCTGAGGTCAGGAGTTCAAGACCAGCCTGGCCAAAATGGTGACACCCTGTCTCTACTAAAAAACACAAAAATTAGCCAGGCATGGTGGCGGGCGCCTGTAATCTCAGCTACTTGGGAGGCTGAGGCAGGAGAATCGCTTGAACTTGGGAGGCGGAGGTTGCAGTGAGCGGAGGTTGCACCATTGCACTCTAGCCCGGGCGACAGAGCAAGACTCCGTCTATTTAAAAAAAAAGCCTAGAAATTAAACAAAACTGGTTTTATTTCATAAGATGTTTAGAGACAGGCAATGGCTGGTGTTGGGTCAGCAGCTCAACAATGTGGCAACTGGCATCTTCGTGGTTCTCTTGGCCCTTCGTCGTGGTTCAAATAACTCCTCCAGCTCCAGTCATCACTTTGGTGTTTATGGCAGTAAGGGGGGGAGGAGGTGGCCTAGCTGCATATGTATCTTTAATCAGGAAGTAAAAGTTTTCCCAGAATTCCCAAGGCCAAAGCTGTGTCCTGAGGCCACTGAGAGTTGTTAGTTGCAACAGAGGCTGAAAGGGGAGCAATTAGCTTTTCTGGGTTCTTTAGTGAAGGCAGGTAAGGGAGAAGGGGGTTGGGAATGGCTGGCAAATTGGAGCACCAACATTACCTTTATGGATAATTTCTTTTTCAAAATGGGCAGCTGATATGTGAAGAAATATCTAACAACAATTTTAAGGTTGTAATTTGAAACTCAGTTCTGCTTTCAATCATGACATTTTTAACAGATGCATTTCAGCTATACTATTTTTTCTTGTGCCCCACTCCCCAACATTCTAGAATGGAACTAAAATAAAATTACTTAATCTTTCAAGAAAAAGTGGGAAAAAAAAATCAAAAGGCCAACAGTGGCAAGATACTTTCAACTACTCTTGATGTCATTGTCCTTCTACACCAAAGAACATCTGGAAAACATCCCCACATCCTTTGGTGTTTAAGAACTGATAGAGCTGACCAAAGTCCATGTGGTTTCCCCTGGCTCCATTAACACTGAACACTTTTTCTTCAAAAATGGAAAATTTCCTTTGTCTTTCCGTTTCATCATTTGTACCATCAAAAGGAATGTCTTCTCGATGGCGAATTAAAATTCTCTTCCAGTTTAATTTTCTGAGTCTGAAAAGAAATTTCCAAAGTAAACATTTTCAAAATGTATATTCTAGAGCATTTAAAACAGAAGTTATAAAACAGATTTATCAATGCCTTTTCCTAGAAGTAGTCTACTTTTTAAAATGTTTATAACTTTTACTTATTGATTTAGTAGAGGCAGGTCTTGCTATGTTGCTCATGCTGGTTTCAAACTCCTGGCTGCAAGTGATACTCTGGCCTCAGCCTCCCAAAGTGCTGGGATTACAGGTGTGAGTCATACACACCCCGTCCAAGAAGTCTACTTTTATCTCACAGGGATTTATTTTAATCAAATATGATTCTGGTCATAATCTCATCTCTGAACTCATTTGTTGCCCTTACTACAGCCATGTATCAGTAGTTTAGAAATGTAGGAATTACTGAATCCCAAACTACTATGGACCTTCTCAGAAATTCATTTAGTATATCAGTAGAGAAATGAGACTAGTGGCAATTCTAATGCTTCTAGAAAGCTCCTTACTTCACAGGGTATACAGTTTGCAGCATCACTAAAATGAGGGAAGGACCAGATCCATGGAAGTGGATGGGGTCATAGTGTCTGGGGCAGGAGCTCAATTCATTCAGTGCATATTTACAGAATGTCTCCTACATGCACTTGTCAGGTGACGGGGAAAATGCTGACTACATGTGATTTCTGCCATATCCATCAACTTGAGATTGAATCCCCATAAAGACACAACCCCTGGGACATACTTATCTCCACATCTCTAATAGTCATGTGTTGCTTAACAACGGGGATACATTCTGAGAAATGTATCTTTAGGCTATTTTGTTGTTGTACCACCACGACAGAGTGTACTTACACAAACCTAGATGGTACTTTTTTTGCATTTATATTTTTTCATATAGAAAACCAAATGTCCCAGCACCATTACTGAATATCATTCTGATATTCAATAGTGGGAAGATCAAGTGCCATATATCAGGTTTCTATATGTGCTCCATTATAATCTTATGGCATCACTGTTTTATGTGTTGTCCACTGTTGACCAAAACGTCACTAGGCAGCACATGACTGTATCTTGTTTAGTATTAACATTATTGACATGACTTCATATACATATGTAAAAGCAAACCTTGACCAGAATTCTTCACAGGCACTTTGTGGGCCTTCCACACAAACAACACCAGGTTTTCCAGGCATGCTAAACCCAGACAGGGAAAGCTCCTTTGCCCACTCTAGAATATTCTTTCTTTTGCATTTGTTATAGATATGATGGCTGTAGATCCAGAGTCTCGTGAAGATGAGGTCAACTGACTGGACTGTGCTTCCTGTGGTGGGTGAAGATGAAGTATCTCTGCTGACATAGCCAGAGGCGTGTTCTCTAACCCACTCTGTGGCATTCAGTATACAAACATCTCCATGACAATGTTTTTGCAGGAATGCAGTCAGATCTGTGTTCAGCTGAGTCTGCTGGGATCTACTCAATAATACTGATCTAATAGAAAAGATACAAGAAAAATATTGTCTTGGAACAGAAAACAAATTCGAGAATTGCTTTTATTCTCAGATTAATTTTGACCTCCAAAGTTGGCCAGAGCTTCTGTAACGTACCTGACAGTAATTTCAGGCAGAACTGCCGGGTATTTAAAGGGAAGAATACAGGCCAGAGAAAACATCGCCTGATTAAAGAGAAGAAGAAAAAGTGCACTAACCAATGTTTTAAGTCTCAACATGTTTCAATCCCTCTAAAAGCAAAACTGAATTACCATTTTTTCGTCAGATACATCCAGGTTCATATTGATAGTAAAGTAGACTTTTGAAGATCGCCCCTCCATTGTCTTCTTTTCAATACAATCTTTCAGTTCTGCTACAGCCAGCTGGTCATTCACTATGAGCTCATTCTCACCAGGGAACATACTGGCTAGC
This sequence comes from Homo sapiens, assembly GCF_000001405.40. NCBI lineage: Eukaryota > Metazoa > Chordata > Mammalia > Primates > Hominidae > Homo > Homo sapiens. The sequence goes on from NC_000021.9 coordinate 29,008,555, forward strand.
AGGTCTAACTCAGCAAGCTGGGCCTCCGCCTGCTCCATCTCAATCATTTTTGGACATGTGTAAGTTTCTAAGGAGGTAAAGATAAGAGAGACAATTTACATATGCAATCTTGGAAGAAATGAATACATCAACATGTGTACTTACTAAAATTGTACTTGGTTTCTTCATAAATTGTACAATTTAATTAGTCTCTTTCCCTATTACTCTACTTTCAGATATAATATGCTAAGTCCTATGCTAAGACCAGCCTGAGCAACATACTGAGACCATCTATAAAAAAACAAACACAAAAAAACTCTTAATAGTAAGTAGACACCACATTCTTCTGTGTCTAGATAGTTGAGTGGACAACTTGAGCTACCATAATGGGCAATTTCATCAAAGTAAACCAATTATGTAGTCAAAAAGCTGTATCAATAATGTAGCCAGAAGAGAGGATATGACTGGTTACACTGGAAACCTAGAATGAACAAAGTCAGTCAGAGAGTTTGGTTACGTGGATGGTCAATTTCTTCTTTTTAAGTAAATATTAATGTTTATTAGGTTTTTTTGAGACAGGGTCTAGCTCTGTCACCACAGCTGGAGTGCAGTGGCATGATCCCCGCTCACTGCAACCTCAACCTCCCACGCCCAAGCAATCCTCCCACCTCAGACTTCTGAGTAGCTAGGACCACAGGTATGCACTGCCACGCCCGGCTTCATTTTTTATTTGTAGAAACAAGGTCTTGCTATGTTGTCCAGACTGGTCTTGACCTCCTGGGCTCAAGCAATCCTCCTGCCTTGGCCTCCCAAAGTGCTAGCATTACAGGTATGAGCCACTGTGCATGGCATTTATTAGTTTTTTTTTTTTTTTTTTTGAAACGGAGTCTCGCTCTGTCACCCAGGCTGTAGTGCAGTGGCGCAATCTTGGTTCACTGCAAGCTCCACCTCGGCGCGTTCACGCCATTCTCCTGCCTCAGCCTCCCAAATAGCTGGGACTACAGGCGCCCAACACCACACCCGGTTAATTTTTTGTATTTTTAGTAGAGATGGGGTTTCACCGTGTTAGCCAGGATGGTCTTGATCTCCTGACCTCATGATCCGCCCGCCTCGGCCTCCCAAAGTGCTGGGATTACAGGTGTGAGCCACTGCGCCCGGCCTATTTATTAGTTTTTAAGAAGCAGAGGAACATAAAGAGAAAATAAGTGTTAATTGTCCTGTAGCTTAAGTCACCCCTGTTAACATTAAAACATCTTAAGCATTATACATATATATATGTGAAAAATGCTGGTATAATGTATAAATATGTACAATGTGAGATATATACAGTATACATATTTAAATCCAAAGGGGATAATATATACTTTTTCCTCCTATTTCCTATCTCCCTCCCCACCAAATATATTTTGTAGATCTATTCACTGTCAACATATAGTGATCTACCTCATTCTTTGTAACTGTCGGCTGTTATACTGAATCATGTAGATATGCCATAACTTATTTAATTCTTTACCTATTGATGGACACTTGGGTTGTTTCCACATTTTTACTAATATGAACAATCCTATAATGCAAGGTCTTTTTATATATATAGTATGGTAAACTGAATACTGTGTATTCAATAATAAACTTACAGAGGTGGATTGTTGTATCAACATGTACATTTTAAATTTTGATAGATATTGCCAAGTTACTTTCCAGAAAGTTGCCATACAGAACAGAAATTTACAATTGTACTCAGTCCCCTGCTTCTTTTCTTTAAAAGAAAATTCTTAATACATAGTTCCTTTTGGCCTAGCACGGTGGCTCACACCTGTAATCCCACCACTTGGGGAGGCCAAGGAGGGTGGATAGCTTGAGTCCAGGAGTTTTAGATCAGCCTGGGTAACATAACGAAACCCTGTCTCTACTAAAAAATACAACAAAATTACCCGGGTGTGTTGGTGCGTGCCTGAAGTCCCAGCTACTTGGGAGGCTGAGACAGAATCACTGGAACCTGGGAGTCAGAGGTTGCAGTGAGTTGAGATCGTGCCATTGCACTCCAGCCTGGGCAAAAAGAGTGAAACTCCGTCTCAAAAAATAAAAATAAAAAAAAAAAACCAAAAAAAACCCTCTCCCTCTCCCTCTCCCGTCTCCCCATGGTCTCCCTCTCCCTCTCTTTCCACGGTCTCCCTCTGATTCCGAGCCGAAGCTGGACGGTACTGCTGCCATCTCGGCTCACTGCAACCTCCCTGCCTGATTCTCCTGCCTCAGCCTGCCGAGTGCCTGCGATTGCAGGCGCGCGCCGCCACCCCTGACTGGTTTTCGTATTTTTTTGGTGGAGACGGGGTTTCGCTGTGTTGGCCGGGCTGGTCTCCAGCTCCTAACCGCGAGTGATCCGCCAGCCTCGGCCTCCCGAGATGCGGGGATTGCAGACGGAGTCTGGTTCACTCAGTGCTCAATGGTGCCCAGGCTGGAGTGCAGTGGCGTGATCTCGGCTCGCTACAACCTCCACCTCCCAGCAGCCTGCCTTGGCCTCCCAAAGTGCCGAGATTGCAGCCTCTGCCCGGCCGCCACCCCGTCTGGGAAGTGAGGAGCGTCTCTGCCCGGCCACCCATCGTCTGGGATGTGAGGAGCCCCTCTGCCTGGCTGCCTAGTCTGGAAAGTGAGGAGCGTCTCTGCCCAGCCGCCCTGCCATCTAGGAAGTGAGGAGCGCCTCTTCCCAGCCGCCATCCCATGTGGGAAGTGAGGAGCGTCTCTGCCCGGCCGCCCATCGTCTGAGATGTGGGGAGCACCTCTGCCCTGCCGCCCCGTCCGGGATGCGAGGAGCGTCTCTGCCCGGCCACCCGGTCTGAGAAGTGAGGAGACCCTCTGCCTGGCAACCACCCCGTCTGAGAAGTGAGGAGCCCCTCCGCCCGGCAGCCGCTGGGTCTGAGAAGTGAGGAGCCCCTCCGCCCAGCAGCCACCCCGTCTGGGAAGTGAGGAGCGTCTCTACCCGGCAGCCACCTCGTCCGGAAGGGAGGTGGGGGGGGGTCAGCCCCCCGCCCGGCCAGCCGCCCCTTCCGGGAGGGAGGTGGGGGGGGTCAGCCCCCCACCCGGCCAGCCGCCCCGTCCGGGAGGGAGGTGGGGGGGTCAGCCCCCCGCCCGGCCAGCCGCCCCGTCCGGGAGGTGAGGGGCGCCTCTGCCCGGCCGCCCCTACTGGGAAGTGAGGAGCCCCTCTGCCCGGCCAGCCGCCCCGTCCGGGAGGGAGGTGGGGGGGTCAGCCCCCCGCCCGGCCAGCCGCCCCGTCTGGGAGGTGAGGGGCGCCTCTGCCCGGCCGCCCCTACTGGGAAGTGAGGAGCCCCTCTGCCCGGCCAGCCGCCCCGTCCGGGAGGGAGGTTGGGGGGTCAGCCCCCCGCCTGGCCAGCCGCCCCATCCGGGAGGGAGGTGGGGGGGTCAGCCCCCGACCCGGCCAGCCGCGCCGTCCGGGAGGGAGGTGGGGGGGTCAGCCCCCCGCCCGGCCAGCCGCCCTGTCCGGGAGGTGAGGGGCGCCTCTGCCCGGCCGCCCCTACTGGGAAGTGAGGAGCCCCTCTGCCCGGCCAGCCGCCCCGTCCGGGAGGGAGGTTGGGGGGTCAGCCCCCCGCCCGGCCAGCCGCCCCGTCCGGGAGGGAGGTGGGGGTGGTCAGCCCCCCCCCGGGAGGTGAGGGGCGCCTCTGCCCGGCCGCCCCTACTGGGAAGTGAGGAGCCCCTCTGCCCGGCCACCACCCGGTCTGGGTGGTGTACCCAACAGCTCACTGAGAACGGGCCATGATGACAATGGCGGTTTTGTGGAATAGAAAGGGGGGAAAGGTGGGGAAAAGATTGAGAAATCGGATGGTTGCTGTGTCTGTGTAGAAAGAGGTAGACATGGGAGACTTTTCATTTTGTTCTGTACTAAGAAAAATTCTTCTGCCTTGGGATCCTGTAGATCTGTGACCTTACCCCCAACCCTGTGCTCTCTGAAACATGTGCTGTATCCACTCAGGGTTGAATGGATTAAGGGCGGTGCAAGATGTGCTTTGTTAAACAGATGCTTGAAGGCAGCATGCTCCTTAAGAGTCATCACCACTCCCTAATCTCAAGTACCCAGGGACACAAACACTGCGGAAGGCCGCAGGGTCCTCTGCCTAGGAAAACCAGAGACCTTTGTTCACTTGTTTATCTGCTGACCTTCCCTCCACTATTGTCCTGTGACCATGCCCAATCCCCCTCTGCGAGAAACACCCAAGAATGATCAATTAAAAAAAAAAAAGTCTTCTATTTTCTATTTGGAATACATTTTCAATTTCTGCATTTAAATATTTGATCCATCTGGGATATACTTCACTTTAAAAGGTGACGGAAGTTTCCAGCTTATTTTTTTTTTCCAGTTAACTAGCCATTTTTACCAGTACATCTTATAATAAATTTGAAATGTTTCTTTCAACATATGTTAAGTGCCTATATGTATTTGAGTCTTTTTCTGGATTCTCCATTTTGTTATATTGATCTGTCTATAATATCATGTCCTAATACTCTTTTTTTTTTTTTTTTTGAGACAGAGTCTCACTCTGTCACCCAGGCTGGAGTGCAGTGGTGCGATTATAGCTCGTTGCAGCCTCGAACTCCTAGGCTCAAGCAATCCTCCTGTCTCAGCCTCCCAAGTATCTGGGACTACAGTCATGCTACCACCATACCCAGCTAACTAATACTCAACTCTTGAAATCACTATGATGGGTTAGTAAATTGCTCCTACTCTGTCTCTTCATAGCCATCACTCTTCTTTTCTAGAATTCTTTTTTGGTATTTCCTGGCTTTTCTCACATATAAACATTAGAATAATTTTGTTAAGTTTTGAAAACAAGAAAAAATGGTAATTGCATTGAAATTAAAGATTAGGCCTGGCGCGGTAGCTCACGCCTGTAATCCCAACACTTTGGGAGGCAGAGGCGGGCGGATCATGAGGTCAGGAGATCCAGACCATCCTGGCTAACACAGTGAAACCCCACCTCTACTAAAAACACAAAAAATTAGCCGGGCGTGGTGGCCGGCGCCTGTAGTCCCAGCTACTCGGGAGGCTGAGGCAGGAGAATGGCGTGAACTCGGGAGGCGGAGCTTGCAGTGAGCCGAGATCGCGCCACTGCACTCCAGCCTGGGCGACAGAGTGAGACTCCGTCTCAAAAAAAAAAAAAAAAAAGAAATTAAAGATTAATACAGAAAAAGACGATATGTTTATAACGTAGAATTTTCCCTTCAGTAGTTTTTTTAATAGCTTTAATGAGGTATAATTTATATGCCATACCATACTACTGCCAAGCAAGATCTTTAAAATGTTAGCATCCCTTAAGGTTTGGTTGAGGACATCTTTATCTTCTCTATTGTCTCATGGTACCAAGTATTACTGAATATTAAATGTTCACAATTCTCAAATTCTTAGGATGTTCCAAATTCTCGAGCCCCATATTTGTAAATTTAACTATATCTGTATATTTCTATTGGATGTTATATTAGTTCATTTTCTGTTACGATAACAGACTACCTGAGACTGGGTAGTTTACGATGAAGAGAAATTTATTTGGCTTATTGTTCTGGAAGCAGGGAAATCCAAGAGAATGGTGCCTGCATTTTGCAAGGGCATTCTTACTGAGTCATCCCATGGCGGAAGGCAGAGGGCAAGAGAGAATGAGAGCAAGTGCAAGAGAGATGAAGGGGCCAAATGCATGCTTTTATCAGGAACCCACTCCCACAATAACTAACCCACTCCTGCAGTAACACCATTAATCCATTTGTGAGGGCCCTGTTCTTTGGGAACTTTTTCAACCCTGCCTTCTTTCTCTTCTTCTGAAATGCTGATGACAGGAATGTTACATTTTTTGTTATATCCCTGCATATCACTTAATCACCTCTGAAAGGTCCCACCACTCAACTCTATTGCTTTGGGATAAAGCTTCTAACACATGAACTTTGGGGCACACATTAAACCACAGCAGAGACCATCTCAGTCTTAACAGTCCTAAAATAGGTCTAAATGGCCTGGCGCAGTGGCTCACGCCTGTAATCCCAGCACTTTGGGAGGCCAAGGCAGGCAGATCATGAGGTCAGGAGATCAAGACCATCCTGGCTAACATGGTGAAACCCCATCTCTACTAAAAATACAAAAAATTAGCCGGGCGTGGTGGCGGGCACCTGTAGTCCCAGCTACTCAGGAGGCTGAGGCAGGAGAATGGCGTGAACCCAGGAGGCAGAGCTTTCAGTGAGCCGAGATACAGCCACTGCACTCCAGCCTGGGCGGCAGAGCGAGACTCCTTCTAAAAATAAAAAAATAAAAATAAATAAAGTAAAATAAAATAGGTCTAAATTATATTTCTTTAATAATAATTCTTTTATTATTTCTTTTCTGTTTAGAGAACCTATTTTAACCATTCTTTTAGGATAGGTCTGCTGGTGACAAATCTCCTAGATTTCCTTCATCTTAGAATGTCTTGATTTCCCCTTCATTTCTGCAGAATATTTTCACTGGATGCAGTATTCTGGCTTAACAGGTTTTTACTTTCAACAATTGAAAAATGCTGTGCCTCTTCACCTAGCCTCTCTGGTGACTGATGAGAAATCACTCTCATTTGAATTGTTTTCCTTTACAGATAAGGTTCATTTTTGTCACTAATTTTAAGAATTTTTCATTGTCTTTGGTTTTCAGAAGTTTGATTATGATGCGTTTTTTTTTTTTTTTTTTTTTTTGAGATGGGAGTCTCACTTTGTCACCCAGGCTGGAGTACAATGGTGCAATCTTGGCTTATTGCAACCTCCACCTCCCAGGTTCAAGCAATTCTCCTGCCTCAGCCTCCTGCGTAGCTGGGATTACAGGCGCACACCACTACGCCCAGCTAATTTTTGTATTTTTAGTAGAGATGGGGTTTCACCATGTTGGGCAGGCTGGTCTCGAAATCCTGACCTTGTGATCCACCCGCGTTGGCCTCCCAAAGTGCTGTGATTACAGGTGTGAGCCGCCACACCTAGTCTTTTTTTTTTTTTTTTTTGAGATGGAGTTTTGCTCTTGTTGCCCAGGCTGGAGTGCAATGGCACAATCTTGGCTCACCACAACCTCCGCCTCCTGGGTTCAAGTGATTCTCTTGCCTCAGCCTCCCGAATAGCTGGGATTACAGGTGTTCGCCACCACGCCCAGCTAATTTTTTGTATTTTTAGTAGAGAAAGGGTTTTATCATGTTGGCCAGGCTGGTCTCAAACTCCTGACCTCAGGTGATCTACCTACCCTGGCCTTCCAAAGTGCTGGGATTACAGGCGTGAGCCACCATGCCCAGCCCCATATGGTTTAGGTATTTATCCTAGACAAAAGCAATCCTAATTAGGCGAGAGACTATATGGGCACAATTCTTATTTGTGACTTCTCAGAGTCTTAAACTGTGAATTTCCAAGAGGGGTGTTCAGTATTCTGTCTGACTCCAGAACATGTTTTTCCAGGCCAAATGACATTAGCCCTCCTCTCCACAGAACAGAGCAGGATTCCTTATTTTGCCATGTAGTTACCTGAATTTAAGTAGTTTAAATATAAGCATTTAAAGTATCATAAAAGATGGTGGGTAGCCTTGATAATATTTATACATATATTAACATATATTTATTAATATGTCTATTCATGTTTAATTTGAAGTTTTCCTCTTCTAATAACTGTTGGAACTGCAAATATTCCTCCCTCCTTTAATCGCAATGTTTTCTTTTGTTTTTTTTCCGATTTTTTATTTATTTATTTTTTTGAGACGGAGTTTCGCTCTTGTTGCCCAGGCTGGAGTGAAATGGTGCAATCTCGGCTCACTGCAATCTCCACCTCCCAGGTTCAAGCGATTCTCCTGCCTCAGCCTCCCAAGTAGCTAGGATTACAGGCATGCGCCACCACACCCAGCTAATTTTTTGTATTTAGTAGAGATGGAGTTACACCATGTCAGTTGGGCTAGTCTCAAACTCCCGACCTCAGGTGATTCACCCGCCTTGGCCTCCCAGAGTGCTGGGATTACAGGCATGAGCCACTGCTCCCGGCCTTTTTTTTTTTAAACAAAATCCTCATACATACTTAAAATCCCTGGACTTATTGGAATTCCATATACATATTTGCTGGTCTGTTTTGGAGTTGAGAAACATAAAAAACAACTACTTGGGTGGTTATTAGAGGAAATGGTTTACTTTGTTTTTTTGTTGGCGTGGCTCTGTTACCAGTGTTTTTGGATTCTATTACCAGATTGCCAAGGTGCGACTCCTGGCTCTGCCACTTACCAACTGCAGGACCTTAGGCAAGTGGCTTAATTTATCTGTGCTTTAGTCTCCCCAACTCCATAACTGGGATGAGAGGGTTGCTGTGATGATTAGATGAGAATTTGTGGAAAGTGCCTGGCAACAGTAAATTTTATATGCGTGCTTGCTACTATTATTATTAATTAAAAAAACCTTTTTTTTTGAGACAGGGTCTAGCTCTGTCACCCAGGCCAGAGTGCAGAGTCGGCTCACTACAACCTCTGCTTTCTGGGTTTTTTAGTAGAGACGGGGTTTCACCACGTTGGCCAGGCTGGTCTCGAACTCCTGCCGTCATGATCCACCCGCCCTGGGCTCCCAAAGTGCTGGGATTACAGGCATGAGCCACCGTGTCCGGCTGCTTATTACTATTATTATTATTGGTCATCATTTCAACAAATGTTTCTCAAGCACTTACGTTCAAGCACTGGCACTAAGATAACAATGAATGAAAGTAATAAAACAACTCTACTGGTGGGAGGATACCATGACATCAAAAACAAATTTATACGCCCAGCCCAGGTGCGGTGGTGGCTCACGCCTGTAATCCCAGCACTTTGGGAGGATGAGGTGGGCGGATCACCTAAGGTCAGGAGTTTGAGACCAGCCTGGCCAACATGATGAAACCCCATCTCTACTAAAAATACAAAAATTAGCCAGGTGTGGTCGCCCACGCCTGTAGTCCCAGCTACTAGGGAGGCTGAGGCAGGAGAATCGCTTGAACTGGGGAGGCGGAGGTTGCAGTGAGCTAAGATCATACCTCTGCACTCCAGCCAGAGCAACAGAGCAAGACTGTCTCAAAAAAAAACAAAAAAGAATTTTTGTACCCAGTGAATAACTGCTATGAAGAAACCTGAAAAAGAAAACAAGGATAAGGGAAACAATGAGGCAGCAGGGGTGAGACTGCACACAGCATTGTCAGGAAAGGCCTTTCTCCTAAGGTGACTGTAGGGAAGAGACTTTAAGGAACTGAAAAAGGAGGCCATGTGTTTTTCTTGGCCAAGAGTGTTCAAGGGAAAGCGAACAGCATATTCAAAGGCCTTGAGGAAGGAGGGTGCTAGAACAGCTGGCCAGAGCACAGTGAGCTGAGGACACGGGGAATAGAAGAGTTTAGTAAGGAAATGTGGGGCAGTTTATGTTGGGACTAGTAAAGCATGGCCAGAATTTTGAATTTTATCCCGACTGACATGTAAGAGCTACAAGAGAGGTTTGACTTATGAAGATCCCCACACTTGCTGCTATGGAGAAAAGTGAAAGGAAAAGTGGGGTGACCAGATATAGACACCGCAATAACTAGGGAGAGATGATGGTGGCTTTGATAGGATTATAGTGGTCAAGTTGGTGAGCTTCAGGTTCTGGATACATGCAGAGAACAGAGGCAACAGGATTTACAGATGAATTACATGAGACACGGAAGAATGACTCCGGGGCTTTAAGGTACTGAAAGTATGGATCTGCCATTTATTTAGACGTTGATGGTCATGGGGAGCTGAAGCTTGGTTTTAGACACAAGTAATGAAGTGCCTACTAAGACACCTGTTAAATAGAGAGGTCTAGCAGGCAGTTAGATGTATAGTTTTGAAGTCTACGAGAGACTCAGCTAGATATATAATCTTGGGAGTCAACACTTATTTGGAACTATATATTTGTTTAAAGTCTCCCAGGGAGTGAGTAAAGTTGGGAGAGGGTGCTATTGAATTGGAGGTATCGAAGATGAAATGGGATTAGCAAAGAAGAACGGGACGGAGGGACTCTTGAACGGACAACTACGGGAGTGATGTCACAGGTCATTTATCTGCCAAATTATTTTCGCTTAAGAGATTTCAGTCCTTCCAAAAAACCCTCAAGATAATTTTATGATTCAAGATTTCAGCGAATGCTGTAAGATAATAGACTGTGGCCGGGCGCGATTGCTCACGCCTGTAATCCCAGCACTTTGGGAGGCAGAGGAAGGGGGACTGCTTGAGCCCAGGAGTTCAAGATCAGCCTGGGTAACATAGTAAGAGCTCGCCTTTATTATTTTTTTAAAAAATAAAATATATTTAAGAGAACGCAGACTGAAACTTGAGATTTCTGAGTGGAATAATATCTTTTCCTTGCAGATTTTTTTTTGAAGAACAGAGCAGGGTACCCCGCGACCCAAGCCAAGACGCTCTCAGGAAGAAAGCCCAGCACGCAGCCGCCCTCGCACCCTGATTGCCCCCGGGGCGAGGTCCCCGGCTGGAGCAGGGCTGCAGAAGCCGGGAAGCAACGCCGAGGACCGAGCCGACCGATGGGCGCATGCAGTGAGGGGAACCGGGGCCGCCATGCCGGGCACGTTCCCAAAGGGTTGCACTGGGCGCTGCAGCGTGGGAAACCCCCGTGGCGGTCACCACTGGCGCTAGCTGAGGCGAGACTCACCTTGAGCCGTGGCCCCCTCACTGCTGTAACCCGGGTTCCATGGCTGCATGGACAGCTCAATTTTCATCAGAAGGGAGCCTCAAAATTCTAGCATACTGCGACCCAAAACTTACAAACCGCCTCAGCTGGCGACCTACCGGAAAAAAAAAAAAAAAGCATGCGGCGCATGCGCGTCCAAGGCCGCGGACCGGAAGCTGGGGCTCGCCTGTTGGGAGCCGCGTCCGCCGGTGTTGGTGTCTGCACTTGGAAGGACGTAGGGAATGCGTTGTCCCTGCTAGGTACTTTTCAGTCGCAGAGTTCTCTTCTTCTTCTTTCTTTCTTCCTTTTTTTTTTTTTTGAGACGGAGTCTCGCTGTGTCTCTCAAGCTGGAGTGCAGTGGCGCGATCTCGGCTCACTGCAGCCTCCGCCTCCTGGGTTCAAGCGATTCTCCTGCCTCAGCCTCCCGAGTAGCTGGGATTACAGGCGCCCACCACCATGCCCAGATAATTTTTGTATTTTTCAGTAGAAATGGGGTTTCACCATGTTGGCCAGGCTGGTCTCGAACTCCTGACCTCAGGTGATCCACCGGCCTCGGCCTCCCACAGTGCTGGGATTACAGGCCTGAGCCACCGTGCCCGGCCGGAGTTTTTCTACTTAATACCTCTCCATGCCAACCCCGTTGTCATTTCCCAGCGGCCGCCTCTATAACGGGCACTTTTCAGGGACAAAGAATTGGTCCGTTAATGTTCCTCAAATTCGAACGCGCCTAGGAATAGTTCGGGGATCCTGTTGAAGTGCAGATCAGGATTCCGTAGGTAGGGGTGGGGTTCCAAATTCTACATTTCTAGTATCTTCCCACACGATGGTGATCCTCCTTGTCCCTGAATCATGGAGGAGGGCAATTAGGGAGATGTGAGCCTGGATGCATGGTGGCCTTGGCTATCTTAGGTGTTCTTGCCCATTAACCAAGCTGGGAGGAACCGTGTGAATGCATATCTATCCCTGTTAATAAAAGGGTAGTTTGAAGGAGATGCTGACAGGAGAATAATTAGAAATGTTTTTCTTCCCAATCCAACTATATGCAATACACTTTATAATATTCATTTTAGAAATGTCATAGATAAGATTTGTAAACATTGACATTTAGCAATACTAAATATCACTGCTAGGTCTCCCCTCCACTTTTTTTTTTTAAACAAAAATACGACAGTATGTATTGTAGGTCTTCATAAACTACGTCTTCTGCATAGTGTTTCATGAGCGTTTTTCAATGTCATAATTTATTTTTTCCTCCAACATTTATTATGAAAAAATTCAAGTGTAAAGCGAAGTCGAGAGAATTTTACAGTGGAGCAGACCTCAAGAGAAGGGGAAGGATGGATTTCCCCTCTATTTAGCAGTGTCTGAAGACATTTTGGGTTGTCACAACTGGAAGGATGGTATTGGCATGGGGTAGGTAGAGCACAGGGATGTTCCTCAACTTCCTACAATGAACAGGACATCCCCCGACAACAACAAATTTGCTGGTCCAAAATGTTGATAGTGTTGAGGTTGAAAAACACTGACCTGGAGAGTACAGAATTTTACTCTACCAGCTTTGTCACATACCTCATCAATCTATCTGTTTTCATACATTTAAAAGTAAACTGCAGACAGTACGCTTCTAAGTACCTCTAATGCACATCATTGGAGTTCAAATTAAGGATTTTTTAAGGTAAAAATGAAATGCATACCTTAAATACACATCAGTTTTTAAATGCACACGCCTATGGAACTCAAGCCATATTAACATATAGAACGTTACCATCACCCTAGAAAGTTCTTTCATGCCCTTTCTTAGTTCCCAACCAGTTCTCCCCAAAGGTAACCACTGTTCTGATTTTTTCCCCCACCATACTTATTTTTCTTGTTATAGAACGTCATATGGTTGGAGTCATGCAATAGATATTTTTGTGTAAGGGTTCTTTCACTCAGGGTAATATTTTCATCTGATATCATGTGTATCACTTTCTTTTGATTGCTCAGTAGTATTCCATCATATGAATATACCAGTTCCATTCTTGTTTTGATAGAAACCTGGGCTGTCTTCAGTTTTTTGGCTATTATAAATAAAGCTGCTGTGAACGTTCTTATATAGCATTTTATTGCTCATGACTTTCTTTTCAATAAATATTTATCGAGCACTTACTATATTCCAGGCATTTCCAGGTACTAATTATAGCCATGAACAAGACAAAGATGTCGCATCTCTCAAAGAGCTTATATTTGCACATTTCTGTGTATGTATGAAGAGGGCTAAACATAAAGGTAAAAATAAAAGAAAATTATGGGCCGGGCACAGTGGCTCATGCCTGTAATCCCAGCACTTTGGGAGGCCAAGGCGGGCAGATTACCTGAGGTTGGGAATTCAAAACCAGCCTGACCAACATGAAGAAACCCCGTCTCTACTAAAAATACAAAAATTAGCTGGACATGGTGGTGCATGCCTGTAATCCTAGCTACTGGGGAGGCTGAGGCAGGAGAATTGCTTGAACCTGGGAGGCGGAGGTTGTGGTGAGCCGAGATCACGCCATTGCACTCCAGTCTGGGCAACAAGAGCAAAACTGCGTCTCAAAAAAAAGAAAAAAAAAAAAAATTATGGCTGGGTATGATAGCTCATGCCTATAATCCCAGCACTTTGGGAGACCAAGGAGGATCACTTGAGCCCAGGGTTTGAGACCAGCTTGGGCAACAGAGACCCCTAACTCTACAAAAAACACAAAAATTAGCCAGGTGTGGGGGCGTGTGCCTGTAGGCCTGTAGTCCCAGCTACTCAGGAGGCTGAGGTAGGAGAATTGCCTGAGCCTGGGAAGTTGAGGCTGCAGTGAGCTGTAACTGCACCACTGCACTCCAGCCTGGGCAACAGAGTGAGACTCTGTCTCAAAAAAAAAAAAAAAAGAAAGAAAATTACCAGATAGTGGATAAACTGCTGGGCAGAGAAGTAAAGTAAGGTGATGTGAGTGATCAGATGACTGTGTTACTTAGATTGCCCTGTAACTGGAAGGAAGTGACTTTTAAGGCATGTATAGAAGCTGGGTGTGGTGACTCACACCTGGAATCCTAGTGCTTTGGGAGGCTGAGGCTGGAGTATCGCTTGAGGTCAGGAGTTTGAGACCAGCCTGGGCAGCAGGCTTTTGTAGAGACACGGTGACTTCAAAAAAAAAAAAAAAAAGTTAGCTGATGAGGTGGCACACACTTGCAGTACCAGCTACGCGAGGCTGAGGCATGAGGATCACTTGAGCACAGGAATTCAAGGTTACAGTGAACTATGACTGCACTTCAGCCTGGGCTACAAAGCCAGACCCTGTCTCTAAAATAAATAAATTAAAAATAAGGTGTGAACAGAATGACAATAAGATACCAACCCCGGAAGATCAGGGGGAAGAGGCTTTCTGACAGGAAGCACGTGGTACAATGACCCTAAGGCTCTGTTTTAAAATGCGTGGGGGCAAAAAGCCTGCATTTCTGGAGCTTGGAGAAGAAAGCTTTAAAAAATTATCTCATCCCACTCCTGTTCTTTTTTGCATGAGAGCTGGAGCCTATGCCCTACCACACATCCGTGGATATGCCCAGGATTTGACTTGGGCCTTCGAACTTTGCACAGTAGCTGCTACTAACTTTTTGAGATAATACATTCGTGGGGGCTCAGTCCTGCCTCATCTAAATCACCAGAGACCAAACAAGGACCAGCCCAATATCTCTTGGACTGTAATGTCATAATGTTGTCAGAATACAGAGAAAGATGAAACTAAGCCGGGTCCGGTGGCTTATGCCTGTAATCCAGCATTTTGGGAGGCCGAGGCAGGTGGATCACTTGAGGCCAGGAGTTCAAGACCAGCCTGGCCAATATGCTGAAACCCTGCCTCTACCAAAAAAATACAAAAGTTAGCTGTGTGGTGGGGTGGCACGTGCCTATAATCCCAGCCACTGGGGAGGGTGAGGTGGGAGAATCGGGAGGTGGAGGTTGCAGTGAGCTGAGGTCGTGCCACTGCACTCCAGCCTGGGTAACAGAGTGCAACCCGGTCTCAATAAATAAATAAATAAGTAAATAAAACAAAAATTATCTCAGCAGTAAAAAGCAAGAGAGCTAGTTTTCCCCCAAATTTAACCAAATGTTACTCTGGTGGTTAGTATGCCACCATCTTAAACTCCTTTTATCTGATTAGTAAGGATGGACATTTATTTTATGACCAATTGTTCTTTTATGGTGAATTACCTGTTTACATATCTATTTTTCTATAGCTATCTGCAACTCCCCCGACCCCCACGGTAGCGATTACTATCTTCTCTACTAAACTAAGACTCCAGGGCAGAGAGGCCTATGTTTAATTCATTTGAGGAAAGGCTTGGCACAAAGTGTGCACTTACATATTTTCTTTTTTTCTTTTTGAGAGGGAGTTTTGCTCTTGTTGCCCAGGCTGGAGTGCAATGGAGTGATCTTGGCTCATTGCAACCTCTGCCTCCAGACTTCAAGCGATTCTCCCCCTTAGCCTCCCGAATAGCTGGGATTACAGGCGCCCGCCACCACGACCGACTAATTTTTTGTATTTTTAGTAGAGACGGGATTTCACCACGTTGGCCAGGCTGGTCTCGAACTCCTGACCTCACGTGATCCACCCGCCTCGGCCTCCCAGTGTTGGGATTACAGGGGTGAGCCACCGCGCCAGGGCTCGCACTTACAAATTTTCAAAGAATGGACAGTAAATATTTGAAAATCCCCTCCTCCCCCGCAATTTATCTGACACCGTCTTTCGGTTTTGCTTTAAAAATTCACTCTCGCGGCCGGGCGCGGTGGCTCACGCCTGTAATCCCAGCACGTTGGGAGGCCGAGGCGGGCGCATCACAAGGTCAGGAGTTGGAGACCAGCCTGGCCAATTGGTGAAACCCCGTCTCTACTAAAAATACAAAAATTTTAGCTGGGCGTGGTGCCGTGCGCCTGTAGTCCCAGCTACTCGGGAGGCTGAGGCAGAAGAATGCACTCCAGCCTGGGCGACAGAGGGATATTCCGTCTCAAACAAACAAAAAATCACTCGCTGCGTTTTTTATTCTGACATGGTGCAGGAAGGTAAATTCAAGACAACTTAGGTACTCAGTTTTAGAAGTCGACAGGACAGAATTACGGAAACAAATTTAAGCGTTCCCCCTTTTAGCTCCAAATATAATGTGTTCCAGAAAGGTAACCATCTAGGAAACTCCAAGGCTCAGACCACCACCGGATGCCCACACTTCAGGAGCATTTATATAACTTCGTGGTTATGTCAGAGACGAGAAAACCCATTGACAACCAAACCCCTAAACCCGAACATCCGGCGCAAGCCGCACGCAGGCGCAGATTTACTAGCGTCAGAGCCGATGGTCCCGGGAGGTGGGGGTGGGGTGGTGGTGGCCTAGCCACTTCCCATAATGCCGCGTTCCGGAAGTTATTGCTTTCCAGGGGTCACTCTGGCTTCGACTCCGTCGCTCTCAATTCGTCACCAGGAGGAAGACGGAGCTGGCTGCCCAGCCCAAAGGCCCATGAGGGGATGCAGTTATGGGCTCTGTCGCCGTGGGTGAGTTCTGGTCCCACTGCCTGGCAGTCGTCGCTCGCCTGGCTTTCTGCGCTGGGAGAGCTCCTGTTTTCCGCCCCAACTTCGTTCTCTTCTTGAAGGCCGCTCTCCTTAAGCACGTAACCCGGCTACTTTCCGGTACTGCGATCTCATTGGCTGCATGTTCTGTCAGTTCCAGAAGCTGGCCAATGAGATGCCGCTGCTGGCGGCCTTCTCGACCCCGTGGACCCAGAGGTTCCCCCGTGGGATCGGAGCAGTTAGAAGGGGAGGAGAGGGAAGGTGTGGCAGGCGCCGAGCAAATGGGTGGGTGGCGCGTGGCAGGGACTTCCCTATGGGTTGGAGCTGGATTTGCAGCCGTGTTCATACGGCTGGTAGGAAAAGCAGGATCTGTCACTTATCCAATTGACTATATCTAGGAGGGGATTGATATACGCAAAACTTGAAAGCCACGTTAACACCTGCTGACAAAGTTTTCCACACGCTTACATTTTTAATGGAACCGAGTAGGCAGGGGAAGACTGGGAGGGCAGAGAGTGAAGAGACTTGGAATAATATGAGAACCGGCAAGACTATCTTTGATTTAGATTTTGTATGGAGTCCTGCGAAGAGTCATTTCACTAAGACGTTAATGCTCATCCGATGACACTACTTGAAAAGTGTATTAAGTTTATTGATGTTTTATAGCTGATGGAAGTCACAATATGCTCTCCTCATGACTCATTAGTTGCCTTTATAGTTGTCAGAACTTTACTGAGGCTCTTTCCGCAGCACTGGAGTGACCCCTCTGTCCTCTGCCTGCAGTAATTAACAATTCGTCTTTCAAGTTTTCCTATGGAGTCTAAGCTGCTGCAATCCTCAAACCAGATTTACTAGTGCTGTCTTCACTACTGCAGACTTCTGACTTCTCATTTTTCACCCTTTTCTTTTTCACCAGAACTTGTTTGCTTCATTCTTATGTACCTACCTTTGCACCTTGTAATCATCCTTTATGCCTCAGGTACTATTCTATTTTTCTATTTCAATGCAAGAAGTATTTCTTCAGGACCTGCTATGTACTAACATTATGCTAGATATTATAGGCAGTTCCAAAACTGTGCTTGAAACCATTTATTTTTCTAAGAACTTTAGATTCTGCTTACAGAAATAACATAAACCCAGATTAAAGATTTAAGAAATTCACTAGAATATGGGATAAGGGGACAAGATGACTAGAGCATACCATAAATACTGGGGAAGTTCAGTGGAGAGGTTTATTTAGAGTAGAATGATTGTCTAAGGCTTCCTTGAAATGGAGAGCTTCCAAGATTGGTAAGATTTAGATAGAATATTACAGCTAGAAATCAAAGACATCAAGGCGGGGAGGGTACAAAGTGTTTTGGAGTGGAGTACAAGAGAAGGACTTGGCCAGGTGCTGTGGCTCACGCCTGTAATCCCAGCACTTTGGGAGGCCGAGGCAGGTGGATCACGAGGTCAGGAGTTCAGACCAGCATGGCCAAGATGGTGAAACCCCGTCTCTACTAAAAATACAAAAATTAGCCGGGTGTGGTGGTGGGCGTCTGTAATCCCAGCTATTCGGGAGGCTGAGGCAGGAGAAGCACTTGAACCCGGGCGGCAGAGGTTGCAGTGAGCCGAGATCGGGCCACTGCACTCCGGCCTGGGCGACAGAGCAAGACTCCGTCTCAAAAAAAAAAAAAAAAAAAGAGACAGACTTGATTGGCAGGTAAAAAGTGGTGGTCTTGAAACCCAAACATCTGCATTTTACCTTTTTTTTTTTTTTTTTTTTTTTTGGTAGAGATAGAGTGTCGCTTTGTTGCCCAGGCTAGTCTTGAACTTCTGGCCTCAAGCCGTCCTCCCACCTCGATCTCCCAAAGTGTTGGGATTACAGGCGTGAGCCACCGCACCCAGACAACATCTGCCTTTTAGCTCATCGTTTGTGTGATCTTTCACCATTTTTTTTTCCTGACTTTTCTCCTTGAGTGAAATGCCTCTATTTAAAGTGTTGTTATGAAAATCCGATGTGATAATGTTTGTGAAAGGGCTTTGAAGATCAAAAGCACTATATAGTTATAACTTTAGTGGTTTTTTTTGTTGTTGTTGAGGTGTAATAGAAAGTCAGGATTAGCCGAGCAATGGGGCCGAATTTATAAAGGCCTATGAGTGCAAAGTTTAGGGAGTGTGGTCCAGGAAACTGTTAAATGCTTCCGATCAAGAGAGTGATATGATAAAAATGGCATAACTGGGAGATGAATCTAGTACTGAACTCCCACATCGATTAGAGTGAGTTGGATTGGAGGCAAGAACTTGGGTGCTATTTTATGTATTTATTTCTAAAATCTATAATTCTATATAATTAGGTAGACCTGTATGTACTTTTAGCACTTTTCATGTTTTCTAAGTTTGAATTGTTGACTAAAAAAGTGAAGATTTGATGTGCAGCTAGATTTGTCAAATAGCCTTCCAAAGTGGTTTTGGCAATAATATAATAATGTAAATAGTTGAGAATGCAGTTGTAATCAATTTTCATTTAGCTGATACGCATAGGAAATCCTGGTGTGGAAAATGTACAACAGTGTATCACTTTTTGTATTTGGCTTTGAAGCCATTTTGGAAATTTTCTAACTCCCTTCAGGAGGTTGTTAGAATTATTTTTAATTTTTATTAGAGAAATTATCAGTTTAATTTGCATAGACTGCAGAGCTAAGAAAGGTAGCTTAGAAGGGAAGCAAATCAGTTTTCTGATTAAAGTGCTGCCATTATTTCACATGTATGTAGTGAGGAGTCACCTTCCTAAGAGTATCAAGTTCTGAGACTGTTCAAGATCTGTGTAAGATGACCAAGGTTCTCTCCTGACCTTTACATATATTGAAAACCTCTTAAGCTTGCTAAGAATCACTTTCCTATGCTATGAAAAACGGGAGATAACTATTCTATCTACTTGAGTTCCTGTTGAAAATTAGATGATTATATGTGATTGGTCTTTGTAAATTACAATGTGATAGACATGCATAATATACGTGGCTTAGTTATATTACTGTCTCCTAGAGAAATATAAGACATACTTTTTTTTTTGGTCAAGCTAACTTTATCTTGTTTTCTAGATTGTTATTTTGTGTCAGTAAGTAATCCATAAAGTGCCAACATGGGAAAGAAACGGACAAAGGGAAAAACTGTTCCAATCGATGATTCCTCTGAAACTTTAGGTATATTTCATTGATTGAATCTTTAATGTTTATATCTCTAAATGAATATGTTTTAAAATGTAAAAATGGTATAAAGCTGCATATTATTGTTATATTATCTGCATTTTAATATAATGTTTGTATCTATATGTCATTTAATAGTCTTCTACTTTTTTTTTTTTTTTTGAGAAAGAATCTCGCTCTGTTGCCCAGGCTGGAGTGCAGTGGTGCAATCTCAGCTCACTGCAACCTCCGCCTCCCAGGTTCAAACGGTTCTCTCGTGCCTCAGCCTCTGAGTAGCTGGGATTACAGACACATCCCACCACAGCCAGCTAATTTTTTTTTTTTTTTTTAATAGTGACGGGGTTTCCCTGTGTTGGTCAGGCTGGTCTTGAACTCCTGGCCTCAAGTGATCCGCCTGCCTTGGCCTCCAAAAGTGCTAGGATTACACGTGAGAGCCACTGCACCTGACTTTCTACATCTTTTTTGTTTTTTTTCCTGAGACGGAGTCTGGCTCTGTTGCCCAGGCTGGAGTGCAGTAGTGTGATCTCAGCTCACTGCAGCCTTTGCCTTGAGGGTTCAAGCGATTCTCCTGTCTCAGCCTCATGAGTAGCTGGGATTACAGGTGTGCTCCACCACACCCAGCTAATTTTTGTATTTTTAGTAGAGACAGGGTTTCACCATGTTGACCAGGCTGGTCTTGAACTCCTGACCTCAAGTGATCCGCTTCCTCAGCATCCCAAAGTGCTGGGATTACAGGCGTGAGCCACCGCGCCCGACCTTCAACAACATTTTTAATGGCATATTATTGCATTTAGCAAAGACCATGGATGTATATTTCATAATTTATTTAGATAATTTTCTACTGTTACAGATTTAGGTAATCTTTAACTTTTTAGTATTATGAATGGCTCAGTAGTAAACAACTTTATAGCTAAATCTCTCTGTACATCCAAATATTTTCCTAATACACATACATAATTTTTGAATCGAAGGGTGTAAACATTTTTAAGACTCTTTTGATCCTGTTGCTAAATTGCCATCCAGAAATGTTTTACTAATTTCCAGGCCCCCTATTAGCGTAGTAAAGTGCCCATTTCCCTGAACCTTCATCGGCACTGGTTAGTATCATCTGTAAACATCTGTGCTGATTTGGTAGTTAAAAAAGGTTACCTTCTGACCAGGTGTGGTGGCTCACGCCTGTAATCCCAGCACTCTGGGAGGCCAAGGCGGGCAGATCACGAGGTCAGGAGATCGAGACCATCCTGGCTAACACGGTGAAACCCCGTCTCTACTAAACATACAAAAAATTAGCTGGGCGTGGTGGCGGGCGCCTGTAGTCCCAGCTACTTGGGAGGCTGAGGCAGGAGAATGGCGTGAACCTGGGAGGCGGAGCTTGCAGTGAGCCGAGATTGTGCCACTGCACTCCAGCCTGGGCAACAGAGCAAGACTCCGTCTCAAAAAGAAAAAAGAAAAAAAAGGGTACCTTCTTTTTCTAGTTTGTATTTCTTTGACTACTGAGATTTGGTAGTTTTTCCACCTGATCCCATTTGCATTTATATTTCTTTTCTTGGTGCAAGATCATTGGACATAAAGCTAATTATGCCACTTGACTAGTTTCTAAACCTCCAGTGTTCCTGGAACAACTCAGCACTGTAGAGTGGTTTGCAAAGCTCTTTACTTATCTTGGCCCCAACAGAGTTTTCAGCCTCAGGTTCAACTGCTCATTTTTGCACATTGTGTAACTCCATCATCTGGGGAGACAGCATGCACTTTCACATGTTTTTGTTCTTGGCATGGGCATTTTCAGATTGCCCTTCACTCCCTGAGGTCGCAGTTTAAAGTGTGAGCTATGAAGTCTGAAAGACTTGAGTCTAAATTCTGGCATAGATACTCAGTAGTTATGTGGGTACTAAATCTTAGTTTTCTCATTTGTCATTGGGAATAATAGTGTCTTCTAGGGTGATTGTAAGGATTAAATGGGATAATGTATTCAAAACATTTAACAAAGTTCATAGGACATATTTAATTAATATCAGCAATTTTTATTACTATTATTATCTTCTAGGATTGCACAGATGTTACCTCCCCTGTGAAACTTTTGGTGACTTTAGCCTTCTCTGCTTGTGCTGCTATACCATGTTTCGGAGATTCTTATACATTAATTTATTTAGCTGCCTTTCCTTCCAGAATGTGAGCTACTCAAAGAAAACAGCTGTGACTTGGTCAATTTTGGGCTCCTGAGCGTCTAGCACAGTGCCTGCCCTATAGTAGGTGTATTATTGACTAAATGAAGGACGTTTTCTACAAATCTTTAAAGATAAAGAGAATCATAAGTATGATAAAGGGCCTTAATTTAAAGGAAATAGCCAAATAAATTGAAATGAATTTGTAGTGGGGGACAGTGGTGGTTATATTTAGGACTTCAAGAAAGCGAAACTTCACAAATTTGTGTCAAATCTCTTTCTCACATATTTATCTCATATTATTCAAATATCAAACAATTTTAAGTTCAGAATATCTTAACAGTTTATAGAGTAAATTTCATTTTTGAAATGTGAATCGAGGGTAAGTTTTGAGATTAACTGAAGAAAGTCATTTTTGACCTTATATATTCCTTGTCTATTATTTGTTTTAATAGAACCTGTGTGCAGACACATTAGAAAAGGATTGGAACAAGGTAATTTGAAAAAGGCTTTAGTGAATGTGGAATGGAATATCTGCCAAGACTGTAAGACTGACAATAAAGTGAAAGATAAAGCTGAAGAAGAAACAGAAGAAAAGCCTTCAGTTTGGCTGTGTCTTAAATGTGGCCATCAGGTATGCTTACGTTTTAAGATCAATATGGGATTTTAGAAAACTCTTTGAACTTACTTTAGAAGGTATTACCTGAAAGTACAGTATGGATAAAAGGATACTAGTAACATAGATCATGTTCTCTGGAGAACCAGTTCTGAGATGTGTGTATAGGTGGTGGAGTGTTCTCTGGTACCACACCAGTAAAAGTAAGGGAAGCAAGATTAAGCATAGGGAGAAGTTGAATGAAGAGGCAGTGGCAACAGGGTCTCAGCCAATCCCACAGTGATCTCTTGCCTGAATTGAGGCAAGGAGCTAGACCTTTCTACCTGTGCATAGACCAGTCATTGGATGTGGCCTGCCCCTAGAGCAGGAAGTAACCTTGGGCAAGGCAGCTCCCTTTTGTTGAGACTGATTCCTGGGGATGGATGGACTAGACTGTGAGCTCTCAGCCGGCCACATTCTCAGCACCTGGGGGAATGAGTAGTACCTTGATCTTTGGCAGTGAGGGCATGTCTGGCTGGCACATCACAGTATCTACTCTACCAGCTCACAGTTATTACCGTGGTACTAAAGTCAGGGTCTCTCAGTTACCCTTAGTGGTGGCAAGTTAAGCTTATATGTTAGGAAATTGGGCTACTAGGCAGTAGTCATGAAGTCATGAGGCTTCAAGATCAGGCAGATAGCCAGTTTTTTGTTGTTTTTTTGAGATGGGGTCTCACTCTGTCACCCAGGCTGGAGTGCAGTGGCACAATCTTGGCTCATGGCAGCCTCCACCTCCCAGGTTCAAGCAGTTTTCCTGCCTCAGTCTCCAAGTAGCTGGAATTACAGGTGTGTGCCACCACGCCTGGCTGAGTTTTGTATTTTTAGTAGAGACAGGGTTTTGCCATGTTGGCCAGGCTGGTCTCAAACTCCTGATTTCAAGTGATCCACTCACCTTGGCTCCCTCAAAGTGCTAGGAATACAGGCGTGAGCCACTGCGCCCAGCCAGGATTTTTTGTTTTTTCACGTTTTCAAATTGAAAATCTTATTGAGGTTATTATAGATCATGTGCAGATCTAACAGATAATACAGAGAAATCCCTATGCATTTTTCTCAGAGTCCCCCAGTGGTAACATTTTACAAAATGAGTATAATATCACAACCAGGATATTGAGATTGAAACAACACACCAATCGCAATCAGATCTCCTGAGTTTGACTTCTTTTTTTGTGCATGTGTGTATGTGTACATGTGTATTACATTCTGTACACTTTTGTCACCTGTGTAGATTATTCACCACCACAGTCACGATACTAAATAGTTGAACATCACAGGGATCTCTTGTGTTGCCCTTGTATAATCATACCCACCTCCCTACTGCCACCACTCTCTGCAGCCCCTGGCAACTACCATTCTATTCTGTATTTCTAAATTTAGTCATTTCATCAAAAATGTTATGTAAATGGAGTCATACAGTGTGCAACATTTGGGGATTGGCTTTTGCTTTTTTCTTTTTTTGAGGCAGGGTCTCACTCTCTCACCCAGGCTGGAGTTCAGCGGTATAATCACGGCTCACGGCAGCCTTCACCTCCCAGGCTCAAGTGATCCTCCCACCTCAGCCTCCTGAGTAGCTGGGACTACACCTGCATGCCACCACTCCTGGCTAATTTTTGTATTTTTTCTAAAGATGCGGTTTTGGTATACTGCCCAGGCTGGTCTTGAACTCCTGGGCTCAAGTGATCTACCCCCCTGGGCCTCCCAAAGTGCTAAGATGATAGGTGTGAGCCACCGTGCCCAGCCAGGATTGGCTTTTTCACTCAGCATAATCACCCAAAGATTTATCAAAGCTGTGTGTATCAAGTTTGCTCTTTTTTTATTACTGAGCGTATTTTATGGCATATAGTACAACAGCTTGTTTTTACTGTTTACCTGTCGAATGACAACATCTGGGCTGATCCCATTTTTTGGTGATTACAAATAAAGCTGCTGTTAACATTTGTGTACAGGTTTTTGTGTGAACTTAGATTTCATTTCTCTAGGATAAATGCCCAAGAGTGCAATTGCTGGGTCCTATGGCAATTTAATGTTTAGTTTTTTAAGAAACTGCCAAACTGCCAAACTGTTTTTTCACAGTGACTCTACCTTTTATATTCTTACTAGCAGTGTATGAATGATTCACTTTCACTTTTTCTTCATTTTTGCCAGCATTTACAATTGTCACAGTTTTTTATTTTAGCCATCATGATAGTTATATACTGATATCTCATTGTGGTCAGTTAAAAAAATCTGTATGTTAGAAAAGATACTGTTTACTTGTATTTGAAAGGTTTAATTGTAACCTTTTAAATACATATGGTGAGTATGAATATGCTTTGCTATTTCAGTTTTTCAGAATATATTTTGTGTTACAAATTTTTGTGCTACCTTTTTAATTTGTAAGAATAAGACATGTCAGTATTAACTGCTAACTTTTTTCCCACTAGATACCTTTGGCACTGTTAGCTAATGATTCTTAACTGTTGTCTCAAGACAACTATGTTTCAAATGATCTCAAATGATGTTGTAATTTTCAAAAATAGTATCAAATGTTAATTCATTTATTTTGTAATTAAATGTTCAGTGGGATAAATTAAGCGAATAGTGTTTGGGATCATAGTTAAGGAATTAGAAATTACCAATGTATATTTCTTCTCCAAAGTATATATTTAGCGGCAATGGAAACACGACCGGTTGTTGTACTGTGATCCAAAAGTTGATAGACTGGTTCCAGTAGATACACAGTGAAGATATGTTTCTCAGCAGTGATCTGACTAGCTGAAAGCAGAAGTTTAGGTCATGTTCTTTTATGAATAAGCCTATACATCTTTTAGGTAAAAGTCTCCCATTTACTTGTTTAAATAGTGTTTTTTGACCACCTCCTGTGTTCTAGAATATTTGGTAATAGATTAAGTCTACTGCCTTGAGCCTTTGGGATTTATAGACCAGGTGAGAAAGGATATAAATATCAATAACGTTAGTACAAGGTAAAAAATAAGGAATGCCACTAGGAATTCATGCCATGTTTTATAGAATTTGTTTAAAGGAAGGAGACAGTATTTTCTCATCTGGGAGATAAGTATAGGCTTCTGGGAGGAGGTGGCTTTTGAGCAAGATCTTGAAGAGTGGGTGGGATTTGGTTAGGTAGCAGTGTTCATAAAGGATTCTGGATAAATAGAATAATGTGAACAAAATTGCATAGTTGTGAAAAGCGCTCAGTGTGTTTTTAGCTGGTCGTTGGTATGTGAATAAGAGAATGTGGGAGTTAACACTGGAGAGATATGTCGGGGTCAGAGGATGTCAGGTTTGTTTATTAGGAGTTTAAGAGTGCAATTCATAATTTTTGAATGGTGTATGAACAGAGCTTTGTTTTAGGAACACTAAACTGAAAGAATATGCATGTGAAGAAGGAGGCTGAAGTTAGGGGAATGTTTAGGAGACTGTTAAGGAATCCAAACCAGACTTGACTGCATTAGTGTGGTTTAATCTGGGCTGGAAAGTTGGACAAGAAGAGTACTTTGAGTGCATGGTTTTCTTTTTTTTTTTTTTTTTATTTTGAGATGGAGTTTTTGCTCTTGTTGCCCAGGCTAGAGTGCAGGCCCAGACGTGATCTTGGCTCACTGCAACCTCCGCCTCCTGAGTTCAAGCAGTTCTCCTGCCTCAGCCTCCTAATTAGCTGGGATTACAGATGTGCGCCACCACACCCGGCTAATTTTTGTATTTTTAGTAGAGATGGGGTTTCACCATGTTGGTCAGGCTGGTCTCGAACTCCTGACCTCAGGTGATCCCACCCCTGGCCTCAGCCTCCCAAAGTGCTGGGATTACAGGTGTGAGCCACCGCGCCTAGCGAGTGCATGGTTTTCTAAATACTTGTTGACTTAAATGTTCTCAGTTGCCTGTGCATATGTAAGTTTTAACAAAATATTGATTCTAGAGTCTAACATTTTCTTTTCAAGATTGTAAGAATGGCAGAATTTCATGAGCCACTTCCTTGTTTATGATAGATTATGCATTCTCCCCTCTTGCTGAGTTTTTATGGCTTTGAGGTTTATGATTATGATTTTTTTAGGGCTGTGGCAGAAATTCTCAGGAGCAGCATGCCTTGAAGCACTATCTGACGCCAAGATCTGAACCTCACTGTCTGGTTCTTAGTTTGGACAACTGGAGTGTATGGTGAGTTTCAGTTCCTCTGCCTCTTGGGTGGAAATTATTTGAAATATTAGAGAATGGAAATGTTTAAATATGTTTAAGAAGAAAGCAATTTAAAATTTTTGTAGTATGTTTTAAAATACCATCACTTTCACAAAGCTAAAGAATGCAGTATTATGAGAAGCTTTTACTTGGACGTTTGCACAAGCACAAACATTGTAACATAGAAGACTTAAGAATCTTTACCCCTTTGTTTTTCTTGCTTGTGATATTATAAGGCATATAGTGGAGATAGGGACGCTAAGAACAAATTTCAGATAAAATTGTAATAAAATTTTGGCTATGAATTTGCATGAAAATAAATGTCAGTCTGGTATGTTATAGATGCTGCATTGTAACATCATTAAAACAGATTTTTACGTCTTAAAAATCATTTTCACAGTAGTCTTCACTGAATGACATCTTTTTTTTTTTTTTGAGACGGAATCTTTCTGTCGCCCAGGCTGGAGTGCAGTGGTGTGATCTCGGCTCACCACAACCTCCGCCTC
The DNA here is from genome assembly GCF_000001405.40 of Homo sapiens. Classification (NCBI taxonomy): domain Eukaryota; kingdom Metazoa; phylum Chordata; class Mammalia; order Primates; family Hominidae; genus Homo; species Homo sapiens. Next base: position 29,035,465 of record NC_000021.9, read on the forward strand.
CCAGGTTCAAGCAATTCTCCTGCCTCAGCCTCCCGAGTAGCTGAGATTACAGGGATGCACCACCACGCCCGGCTAATTTTTGTATTTTTAGTAGAGACGGGGTTTCACCATGTTGGTCAGGCTGGTCTCAAACTCCTGACCTCGTGATCCCCTTGTGATCCGCATGCCTCAGCCTCCCAAAGTGCTGGGATTACAGGCATGAGCCACCGTGCCTGGCTTGAATGGCATCTTTCAATTGTAAAAGTTGTTACTTTTGTCTGGCTAACACGTTGAAACCCCATCTCTACTAAAAATACAAAAAAAAAGTAGCTGGGCATGGTGGTGGGTGCCTGTAGTCCCAGCTACTCGGGAGGCTGAGGTAGGAGAATGGCATGAACCAGGGAGCTGGAGGTTGCAGTGAGCCGAGATCCTGCCACTGCACGCAGCCTGGGCAACAGAGCGAGACTCCGTCTCAAAAAAAACCAAAAAACAAAACAAACAAAAAAAAGTTGTTATTTTTGTTAGTGTTATTCTGTATTTTAAAATATATGTAAACAATCTTTTGACTTCAATGTTATAACCAGTAAAGTAAAACGTTTGGAGTATTTCATCATACTACTTATATGCAGCCATAATTCTGGCTAATTTTATTAATAATAAACCAGAGTTAATATGCATAGTCTTCTTCAGGAAAACAGAATTTTTACGTTCGGTTTCTTTAATAGAATAAGTTGGCAGTTACACACTTTGATTCCAGGAATTATTATTTGTCTCCCCCTTTTTAGTTGTCATTTTGTCATTTTTCATCTCTGATTTTTGGGTCACAGGTGTTACGTATGTGATAATGAGGTCCAGTATTGTAGTTCAAACCAGTTGGGTCAAGTGGTTGATTATGTCAGAAAACAAGCCAGCATTACAACTCCAAAGCCAGGTAAAATAATTTGTTTCTTTAATATACACCAAATGTCGATTTGTGTATCTGCTGATACTTAGATTTGTTATACTACCTAGCATTACATACAGCTGAGTAACATTAGTTATGGTTGATTGCAAACTATGAAACTATTTTTGGTTTAACTATAAGGTATTAGAAGGGATATGAGAAATGATCTAGTCAGATGTGATGAAGGCCATAGACTAAGGTAATGGCCATTAATGCTAAGACTAAGGTAATTCCCATAACCCTAGCCAGGCTTACTATAGACCTGCCTTACACTGTTCTTACTGTCGTACATTTTGTAATAGCAAGATTTCAGTCTGTCTGCTGGGATAACATAAAGCATTTGTGATTCCTTCTAATGGTCAGATATTTCTTAGGTTCTTTCCATGCATAATTAAATTAATTGGCTGACATACAGCATTTGCTTTAAGCATGTTTTTTAAGTTTTTATTGTCACAAGTATCTTTGTCAGAGCCAGAATTATTTGTTTTTTACTTTAGGATTGATTTTTGACCCACAGAATTCATTAAAAAATTTATTTCATGTCCATGTTCTTGATTGTTTTATATTCTTAATTTCACAAGGTAAGATGTGTTCATTTGTAAAGAATTTTCGTGCAGTAAAAAAGGGAGATTTATACCAAAGCACATACTGTTTGGTTTCATTTATCAAACTAATGCTTACTTTAGGTCTGAGTATTTTTTGTTTACTGGGTTTTGTGTTTTTTTTCTGGATGGCAATTTACCTGTATCTATTTAAAATCAAATGGGTGGGTGGGTTGGAAAGAATGACTTCAGGTAAACTCACAAACTCTAGTACTGTTTCCCAAGTATACTTCTGCATTCGATATGACTGTATTACACATTTTGCTAAATCTTTTCTTTTTTTAAAGCAGAGAAAGATAATGGAAATATTGAACTTGAAAATAAAAAATTAGAAAAAGAGAGTAAGAATGAACAAGAGAGAGAAAAGAAGGAAAACATGGCTAAAGAGAATCCTCCCATGAATTCTCCTTGCCAAATAACCGTGAAAGGACTCAGTAATTTGGGAAACACATGTTTCTTCAATGCAGTTATGCAGGTACATTGTCATTTTTTTCCCTTTAAAAAAGCTGTCCTTTTCCTCATAGAATCTGCTACTTACATTATTGAGTTTTTTCCACCTGAGTAATTTATTTCTATGTATCCAAAGAAAACTTTTTTTTTTTTTTTTTTTTTTTTTGAGACAGGGTCTCACTCTGTCACTCGGCTGGAGTGCAGTGGCACGATCGTGGCTCACTGCAGCCTCTACCTCTTGGGCTCAAGCAGTCCTCCTACCTTAGCCTCCAGAGTAGCTGGGACTACAGGCATGCGCCACCACTCCCAGCTAGTTTTTGTATCTTTTGTAGAGACAGGGTTTCGCCATGTTGCCTAGGCTAGTCTTGAACTCCTGGGCTTAAGCCGTCCACCCCCTTTGGCCACCCAAAGTGTTTGGATTACAGGCGTGAGCCACCATGCCTGGCCAAAGAAAACTTAAGGAAAGTTTTATTGCATGACAGTAAGAGAGTTTGGTGAGCACTCGGGTGCAGTGGGTTTGAAAGAAATATTGCTGCTTCTTTCATGGAGCTTGCACTTGGGTGGAGGAAACACAGGATAACCTCATATAGAAGCAAATACGTACCTACAGGTAGTGGTAAGTGGTTGTGAGAGAGTCATGGTGGAGGATTGGGGATAGCTACTTCTGATTGGGTGGTGGGAGAATGCCCCACTGAGGTGATGAATAAGCTCAGAACTGAAGTAGTTATGACCCAAATAGAGTAGGGAGAGAAGCATCTGTAACTTTTCATTTTCCAAGTATAGAGTTTTCAGTGTTGGTCATGATTTTCTGTTTTGATAGAATAGACACTTAAGAAGTGTCAGAGTTGATTTGCCTTTAAATAATTTTTCTCTTTTTTTTTCACCCTACATTCTAGAACTTGTCACAAACACCAGTGCTTAGAGAACTACTAAAAGAAGTGAAAATGTCTGGAACAATTGTAAAAATTGAACCACCTGATTTGGCATTAACAGTATGTTCTTTAAACTTTTCTAGTCTGTAACTTTCCTCTCTGAATGTGTGTTTTCTAAATTATTTTAAATAACTGACACTCATTTCCACTGTTTTTGTTTGTTTTGTTTTACTTTAGGCTACTAACTTAAACAGTTTCAGGCTAATAGAAGTTATAAGGAGGCATTACATCTGTTTGCTGTGTGTGTGCTCTGTTTTTCTATGCTCGAGTGTTAAGCTTCCTTCTTGGGAATGTGTATATGTTTGAGAAGCCTTAGGCTTACATTATTATTTTTAACATCTTTAAGGTGACTTAAGAGCTGTGTAACCAAATAAATATTACCTTATCCATTTTTATTATTTACATTTTGCTTTGGCTCTTTCAATTCTTAGGTAGTAAGTGTTCCAGATAATCTAAAACTAAAATAGTAGAGCTGAATTCTGCATAAGACAGTCTGTGACCAAACAGTTTCTATCTCTTTTGATGTACATTTTAAACTTTTAAATGGGGCAGTTCTGTCAGGAACATTGGTAGTATATGTTAACTAATTAGATTTTAGTAAAGTCAGTGATTCCAGAATTTGACTGAAGAAAGTAATTTCTTTTCCCATATTCAGGAACCATTAGAAATAAACCTTGAGCCTCCAGGCCCTCTTACTTTAGCCATGAGCCAGTTTCTTAATGAGATGCAAGAGACCAAAAAGGGGGTTGTGACACCGAAAGAACTCTTTTCTCAGGTCTGTAAAAAGTGAGTATCCACTTCGATTGTGCTTTCAGTGCCTCAGTGAGATGCTGAGAAATAATATTAATATTAAATAGTAAAATATAAAAATATTAATAGCATTACATTTAGTCAACCCTCTATATACAAAAGGCATAGTTTTTTTTCATTTGGATTTTAAAATATATTTTATGTGATAGTTAAATCTCCCAAGGGTGTTAATGGACTAAACGGAAATTTGTAGAAACCAGAACTCTCTGAGATTTGGGATATGATCCTAAGATTTTCTAAAAATAGCTTCAGAGCTTAGTAGACTGAAGATTGCTTTTCTGTCTTTTTGTTTTTCTCTAGAGCAGTGCGGTTTAAAGGCTATCAGCAGCAAGACAGCCAGGAGCTGCTTCGCTACTTATTGGATGGGATGAGAGCAGAAGAACACCAAGTTAGCATGTTATGACCATTGTATTTTATGATCTTATCTTCATAAGCTTTCTGTCTCATTTGATATCTTACGAGTTAAAACAATGAAAGCTAGTTATTAAGGCCATCATACTTTAAAATTTTTTCTTACACCAGCTTTTTCAACTAGTATGTTTTCACCATTAGAATGAATCCAGAGAATTAGCAGTAATTCTCTTTCTCATGATGGCTTAAGTTTAGTTGATGTTTACAGCATTAATGTTCTTTAAAGATTCTGTTGTACTAACCTATACGAAGAGAGCTGCCAAATATTGGAAATTGTTTCTCCCAAACCCAGGTGCAGCACACCCTTACTTTTAATTCTGAGTCTGATTTAATACTGTTTTTTGAACCTAGGAAGTATTTTCATTTTGTAAGAGTCAGGGAACATTGGTTGCATTTTAAAATTTTTGTTACTTGCCAGGATATAAAAAAATGTATTTGGGGTATGAATTAATGAGTACTAATAATAGTGATAATAACTAATATTTATTTCGCACTTATTTTTATGCCAATCACTGTTTTCAGTGTTTTGTATTAATTCCCTTACTTCGTTCTCACAAAGTTTCTGTGAGGTGGATACTGTGATTTTTTCCTATTCCATAGATTGAGAATCTAGGCTGTAGAGAAGTTCAGTACCTAGTTTAAGGTCCCCCAGAAATAATGGAGCTGGGCTTTAAGCACTGGAGTCAGACCCTGTGGCTGTCATGTAATCATTGTGCTTGTAGGACAAGCTATTTCAGTTTCTTCTCAAAGGTGGTGGGCATGTTCTGAAAACCTTTGGCTTGAAGAGGTTTAAGATCTTGAAATGATAAGATAATACCTTTATTCAATGGTTAGTGATTGCTTTGTGACATAATTCCTTTTTAGCTCCTTGAATTAAGTTTGAAAATGTGATTTTGGAATTATTTAGTAAATATGGGGAGCTGTATCCTGATCACTTTCTTGACTTGATTACATATTTCTAAGGAAAATAAAATTTAAAATTTAATAGTATATATATATCCATTTTATTACTTTTAGAGAGTGAGTAAAGGAATACTTAAAGCATTTGGTAATTCTACTGAAAAGTTGGATGAAGAACTAAAAAATAAAGTTAAAGGTAATGTCTGACTTTTTGAACTAAAACACTATAGTTGAATTCCTCTGTACCTTAGGACAAGATTGCTGGCACATATATTTCCAAGTCCACAATTATTAATGTATAATTTCTCTTTATCAACGTTGATTAGTAAAAATTATTCAGTGCTCCAGAAGTGAACAGTTTTACCCCATGGTGTATTCTTTTTATGTATTAAAGATAGAACTATGATGAATTACAGTTTTACTTTTCAAAAGCTTAAAATTATAATTAGCAGTAATACATGAATTATATTTGTTACTGTGAGTTGTCAGTAGTTGGTTTATTAATCATGGAGCCAACTTAGTTCTTATTATGTGGCGTGTAAAGATTTAGGGCAGATCTGCCCAGTAGAACTTCCTATGTTGATGGAACTCCTCTATACCTTTGCTGTTCCATATAGAAGCAACTAGGCACGTGTGGCGCCTGAAATGTGACTGGTGAAACTGAGGAACTACATTTTTATTTTTATTTAATTGTAATTAAATTTAAATAGCCGTAAGTGACTAAGGGCACTGTATTATAAAGCACAGATTTGAATCAACTCATAGCAACTCTTTGCCTCCTTGGTGCCCTTTAGAGCCTGGCCAGTAATGGAGAGAATTACCCCTGCTGGCATTTTCTGTCAGAAAAGTGTGGTTCTGCATAAATTATCATTTGAATAATGCTTATAGGTTTCACGTATTTGGAAAATTGGCTGATCAAGTAGTAAAATTATGGCTTTTAGTTATATTAAACTTATCAAGATTATTTCTGGGAGCATAGGAAAATAAAAGGAAGATTTTGTTTGAAATATTTTCCTGAGGTTTTTCTTTTGTTTTTAAAATATCAAAGGAGTTCAGTCTTAGAGTTCACAAAACAAGTTACATGCATTTTCTCTCCCAGTTTGCTACTCTGGTATCTTTTATCAGTCTTGAATGTTAGAATGTTAGAGCTAGAACTAAGGAACTAGGCTGTCATTCAGCCTACTCTGAGCTGTTCATTTTATACTAATGGAGAGAGAGAGAAAGACATAGAAGTCTCACTGACTTGCACAGTTTACTTCCCACTGACTAGATCTTGGATAAGGACTTTTTTGTCTTATTCATAAAAGGCGATTGTGTTCAATTATGTTATGCTCAGAGGTGGAATATATAATACTGACTTCTATTGCTTAAAAAAGGTGATTATGAATGGAGGAAGAAGTCTGTGGGACAGGAAATTTAAAATAAAATTTTAGAGTTAGATAGGTAAGTAGTTTTAGCTTTTCTTGTTTAATTAATTATATAACGGTAATTGGTAATTGATAGACTTTTTTTTCTCCATAGATTATGAGAAGAAAAAATCAATGCCAAGTTTTGTTGACCGCATCTTTGGTGGTGAACTAACTAGTATGATCATGTGTGATCAATGCAGAACTGTAAGTAGATGTCATGTATACTGGGTTTATTTGCTAATATTCAACAGTTTATCAATTGTTTATTTCAAAAGCAGAAATCTCTACCTTCATAGGATATCTTTTTAAACTATTCAGATGCTATTCAGATGTGCATGGTTCTTTGTGGGAAATGTCAGCACTCCTTAAATCTTGAAGACGTTAAACAGTTTGATTTATTTCCCCCAACCCAAAGTCCTCAATGTTGTGTAATTTTTCATTTCAAATTTTCTTAAGCCTTTGTTTATTTTAAAACCCATCCCCTACTCCCCATCCCACAGGGCAGGGAGGATCTTACTATGTAACATTTACAGTATTTACATTTTTACACTGTCTTTTCTGATTGGTTAAGGTCTCCTTGGTTCATGAATCTTTCCTTGATTTGTCCCTCCCAGTTTTAGATGATCAGGTAAGACTATTGAATTTATTTTATTCAAGTAGATTTTTTTTCCTGTAAGATTTTGTGGGGGGAAGCCTTGTTACTCTTTTTAAGTTTGTATATTACTAGCCCATGCAGAAATTTTTCTTAATTTGAGGTAGAATGCATTTTAGGATTTGAATAAAGAACAGGGTAACTACTTTAAAAACAAGGATGGAAAAAAAGATGATGTATTCAGAATTCTGTACAAGTAATTAGTTTGATTGGTTTCCATACAGTGAAGTATTTTCCTTATATTAAAATTAATACTTATTTTTGTTATTTAAGACTAATCACGAATCCCTTGCACACCTAAGTTCATAAATGTTAAAGAGTATTATTTTGTTTTAATTTGGTTCCTTTTAAATAGTAGTAGGAAAAAAGAAGAGATGTTATGAGTATTGGATAAATCATTCTTCAACTTCATATGAATTATGAGACCCTTGGCTTGTTAACTTGGCAATTAAAGTCTCACCAAATTTTATTTTCTGTTTTTCTGAAACTGTCATATGCATGCAAAGAAAGAAAAGAATAAAAAAGAATACACCGTGGTGACTTACATAAGTCACTTAGAAAATGTATTTGGAAATGGACGTATTTACAGTGTGACACAGCATGTATCTAATAAATTTCGTTATATTTCTATTACACTTACATGTGATGTTGCCTTTTGCTGTTTTGTTGGTTTGCTTGTTTTCTCATTATGTGAAGATTGCTTTCTAGTGTATGAGATAAACGAATTTTGTCTCATCTATTTTCAAATATTGTGGAAAAAAAAAGCTAATACATAATAGAAGTAGAAAAATATTTACATAGTGTGGATTTTTTTTCACCAAATGGTAGTTGTAAAATTTTGTTTTTGACCTATGTTATCTATATTTTAAGAGTGGTAAGAAAAGTGTAAATGATAAAAATCTGAAAAAGACAGTGGAGGATGAAGATCAAGATAGTGAGGAAGAAAAAGATAACGACAGTTACATAAAAGAGAGAAGTGATATTCCTTCTGGAACAAGTAAGCACTTACAGAAAAAAGCAAAGAAACAAGCCAAAAAGCAAGCCAAGGTGGGTAATTAGGAGGAAAATCATATGCTTGTAATTTTATATTTTGAGCTATTGAGTTTGTAGTCTGAATGACATTGGTTAGACATGTCTGTTATTTTAGATACAGCACTTTCATTTGACAATTACAGAATTTAGCTCATTTAGTATTCTCTGCAGGGAAATTGCTTTGAGTATATGTGAAGAAAACGTCGTGCTTCTTTTTTTTTAAATCCTGCATTGCTTGTAACAAGTATTTGTAGTAAGTTTAATTAACTTAATTTTCGAGTTAATATTATTGACATCCACAAATTTAAAAATATATAAAGGTAAACAATAAGTCCCCCTCCCACCACTGTTTTTTTTTTCCAACCCGAGATGGAGTCTTGCTGTGTCGCCCAGGCCAGAGTGCAGTGGCACGATCTCTGCTCACTGCAACCTCCATCTCCTAGGTTCAAGCAATTCTCGTGCCTCAGCCTCCTGAGCAGTCAGGACTACAGGTGCATGCCACCAAGCCTAGCTAATTTTTATATTTTTAGTAGAGACAGGGTTTCACCATTGTTGGCCAGGCTGGTCTCAAACTCCTGACCTCAAGTGATCCTCCCTCCTCAGCCTGCCAAAGTGCTGGGATTACAGGCATGAGCCACCGCGCCCGGCCGACCACCACTTTCCTTTTATGACAAAGATAAACATTTTTGTTTTTTCTTACGTATCCTTCTGGAGTTTCTTTTGGAAAATATGAGCAAATACAAATATGCAGTCTTGGTTTTTTTCCCCCTTTCTCACCATTCACACCATTCTGGATTGTGTTGTTTGTTTATACTTAGATTCTTGGAGTCCTTTCCATTTTAGTATATAAAACTTCTTCATTCTTTTTTTTTTTTTTTTTGAGATGGTGTCTCACTCTGTCGCCCAGGCTGGAGTGCAAATGGCGAGATCTTGGCACACTGCAACCTCTGCCTCCCAGGTTCAAGTGATTCTCCTGCCACAGCCTCCCAAGTAGCTGGGATTACAGGCATGTGCCACCGTACCTGGCTAACTTTTGTATTTTTAGTAAAGACAGGTTTCGCCATGTTGGTCAGGCTGGTCTCTAACTCCTGACCTCAGATAATCTGCCCACCTCAGCCTACCAAAGTGCTGGGATTACAGATGTGAGACACCGTGCCTGGCCCATTCTTTCTTTCTTTCTTTCTTTCTTTTTTTTAACAGTTGCATGATTCTGTGTTATGGATGTGCCATAATTCATTTAACCATTTCTCTATTGATTTAGGTTGTTTCTAGTATTTTGCTATAATGGTGAGTGCTCTAGTGAATAACCCTACACATAAGTCATCTGTAGGGTAAATTTTGAGAAGAGGGATTGCATTTGTAGTTTTGGTTGATACTAATTGTCCTTCACAAAGGTTGCTCCTGACCCTTGACAGCTGTGTGTTATCAAACTTCCAGATTTTGATTGGTATGTTAGATGGAAAATATTATCTCAGTGCAGTTTTATTTTACATTTATTTTAATATAAATTAGATTAAGCATATTTTTATGTTTCAGAGCCATTTGCATTTCATGTTCTTTGAAGTTTTTGCTTATATTCTTTTCTTATTTTTTATTCATGTGTTCCTCTGTTTTTACGGAAACACATCAGAAAATGTTTGGTTCCCATCCTGTTTGCTGCCCTTCATTCTTCTGGTATTACAGAGTAGCCTCACAGGGGCTGTTCTTTCAGTTCTTTCTGTTACAACCAGAAATGCCTTTGGGTTTTTAGGCATTTCAGTAACAGGAATCTTGATGAAATGCCTTCTTTTCCTCTATTTGGAAGTAGGTTGCAAGTGGCAAGAGTGATTTTAAAGGGAAAAGTTCTTTACTCTCTTCTGTATGTGTGGCTACCTTGCTTCTTTGCTAACTTCAGGCCATTTTTTTCCCAGAATACTTTTGTCCATTCCTCTGACCAAAGCAGTCCTGTACTTGTGCATCCTTGAGTTTTCTTTCAGTTTGTTTTTTTTTTTCTCTCAGTGAAACCTTGACCCAGTAACTCATATGGATACATTTCTTTCTGTTAGTGTGGAGTCAGACCCACCGTGTGGTATAACATTTGACTGCCTGGGTTTAACAGTCTTAGTACTCTGCCTGGATTACTTCCCTTAGCACAGAGACCATGTCTTGCATATTTTTATTTCTACAGTAGGGTGGTTTTTTGATGGTTGGTGATGGTTTATTCCTGATTTCATTTAAATAACTTTTTCTTTCTTTTTTTTGGGAACAGAGTCACTTTGTTGCCCAGGCTGGAGTGCAGTGGTGTGGTCTCGGCTCACTGCAACCCCCACCTTCCATGTTCAAGCTATTTTCCTGCCTCAGCCTCCCGAGTAGCTGGGATTACAGGCGCGCACCACCCATGTGTGCATTACAGGCACGCCTGGCTAATTTTTGTATTTTTAGTAGAGATGGGTTTTCACCATGTTGGCCAGGCTGGTTTCAAACTCCTCACCTCAAGTGAGATGCCCTCCTTGGCCTCCCAAAGTGCTGGGGTTACAGGTGTGAGCCACCACACCTGGCCTAAATAACTTTTCTTCATAATTTATTTTTTGAGACAGAGTCTTGCTCTGCCACCCAGTTTGGAGTATAGTGTGCATGATCATACCTCACAGTAACCTTGAACTTTTGGGCTCAAGTGATCCTCCCACCTCAACCTGCTGAATAGCTGGGACTACAGGTGGACACCAACGTGCCCAGCTAATTTTTATTTTTATTTTTTTTTAGAGATGGGGTCTCAGTATGTTGCCCAAGCATGTCCCAAACTCCTCAAGTGATCCTCTTGTGATCATCTTGCTTTGGCCTTCCACAGTGCTAGGATTACAGGTGTGAGCCGCCATGCCCAGCCAATTTCGTCATAATTTTTTTGATCCTTGATAGCAAAGGAACTTTTTAGGATCAGATTGTGAGAGTGAACTCTTCCTTAGGAAATTATTTTTGATTGACAAGCAGCAAAACTGGATATAGTACATGTGTGTGTTTTGTCCTTCTTCCTCTATCTCTCTTCCTCCTTTTCTCCCGCTCTTTCTTTTTCTTTATTTTTTGATGCCGTATACTTTTTACCCAGAACCAACGAAGACAACAAAAAATTCAAGGAAAAGTTCTTCATTTAAATGATATTTGTACTATTGACCATCCTGAAGACAGTGAATATGAAGCTGAAATGTCACTTCAAGGAGAAGTAAATATTAAATCCAACCATATTTCACAAGAGGGTGTTATGCATAAAGAATATTGTGTCAACCAGAAAGATTTGAATGGCCAAGCAAAAATGATCGAAAGTGTAACTGACAATCAAAAATCCACAGAGGAAGTAGATATGAAAAATATCAACATGGATAATGATCTGGAGGTTTTAACATCTTCTCCCACTAGGAATTTAAATGGTGCCTACCTAACGGAAGGGAGCAATGGAGAAGTGGACATTTCCAATGGTTTCAAAAACCTAAATTTGAATGCTGCTCTTCATCCTGATGAAATAAATATAGAGATTCTGAATGATAGTCATACTCCTGGAACAAAGGTGTATGAGGTTGTAAATGAAGATCCAGAAACTGCTTTCTGTACTCTTGCAAACAGGGAAGTTTTCAATACTGATGAGTGTTCAATCCAACATTGTTTATATCAGTTCACCCGTAATGAGAAACTTCGAGATGCGAATAAACTGCTTTGTGAAGTATGCACACGGAGACAGTGTAATGGACCAAAGGCAAATATAAAAGGTATTTTAATGCTCTCACTGTAAGTAAAATTAATATTCAGGGGCACATTTTGCACTGCATAGGTAGAGTACTCCTAATTGTATCAGGATTTGGATGGCATGAATAAGTGTCCTTTTCTGTGTAAATATTTTAATAGGATGGAAAAGTAGGACTTTATTGAAGTGGCTAATACACTGTGACATCCCAGCAGCAGTTAAATGGGACAGTTTTCTCCCTGACATCTCTCCCTGTGGGTAAATTATCCCCTTGGAATGCAGTCACCACAGCATCCTGACACATAGTGGCTATTTTTTTCCACCCTTACCTCCTTTGCACCCAGGACGCCACACTTGAATTTATCAGTGAACTAATATGACATGCCCAGTGCAAAGCACTGGGAAGACAGTGCTTTCTTACAGTCTTCCTCAAATGGGAGAAAGGATCATACTGACAATTTCCCTTATCTCCCCATTGCTTTTTTTTTTGAGTTTGGGTAAATAGGATGTGGAGGGGCCATGGATTCCTAAGGATTTTTAGTAGAATTGTTGAAACATTTTAAAATTCTAAGTAGAATTTTATTTATTTACATATAGAGACAAAAAGTAAGCCTGTGTGTGTGTGTATGTATCTTATATGTGTGTGTATGTATATATATATATGTGTGTGTATGTATATATATATAAGCTCAGAGACTATACAAAAATAGGCTTACTTTTTGTCTGTATATATATCAGCTCAGAGACGATACGTGTGTGTGTGTGTGTGTGTGTGTGTGTGTGTGTGTGTGTGTGTGTGTGTTTTGAGACAGAGTCCTGCCCTTTCTCCCAGGCTAAAGTGCAGTGGCCAATTTCAGCTCACTGCAATCTCCACCTCCCGGGTTCAAGAGATTCTCCTGCCTCAGCCTCCCAAGTAGCTGGGACTACAGGCACCCGCCACCACACCTGGCTAATTTTTGTATTTTTAATAGAGATAGGGTTTCGCCACGTTGGCCAGGGTGGTCTCAAACTCCTAACCTCAAGTGATTTGCCCGCCTAGGCCTCCCAAAGTCCTGGGATTACAGCGTGAGCCATCGCACCCAGCCTAAAAAATATTTTTTATAGATGAGCATTTGCAAATGATTTGATGTGATGGAATATACTAAACTTTCAACCTCATTAACCAAAATATTGTGTCTCTCCACAGTAATTCAATTTTGCTCTGATTGTAATCATTCTCAGTTATTACTGTATTTTGATTTCATCAGTAAGAATTTATGGACATTTTAATCTCATAAATACCTATAAAATATCTTTGATTTTGCCTCTTACTCCACAAATTCTACAATATTTGTTATCTAGTACTTCATAGAAAAAGTTTACTGATCCTTGCTTTAGATGTTTGGAATGATTTTATAGCAAATCTGAATGCTTTAGGGGTCTAAAATGATTTTCTCCCTGTTAAAAATTTCTTCTTTTCTTTAGGTGAAAGGAAGCATGTTTACACCAATGCCAAAAAGCAGATGCTAATTTCTCTTGCTCCTCCTGTTCTTACTCTTCATTTAAAGAGATTTCAGCAGGTACTCCTTGTTACCCAAAATTTGTTTTAAATATGTAACACCTACTTTATTACCTATTTTTTTCATTACTGTCTCAACATACTACTTTGTTTCTTTGGTTTTCTGTTGTTTCTTAACTGTAATGTCAATGAAGTCAGAAAGGGAAAAACATAGGGGCTAGGCAGAGGCGCATGTGAAGATGGAGGCACAATCTCCTCAGATTTCCTAGAACTCATTTATGTCCCTCTTTTTAGTACGATTGGCATCTTACTTTTATTTCAGGTTAAAAAAAGAAAAAGACTGGTGTGTTACATATATCTCATGCTTAGGAATATTAGTGATTTTTTCTGTTTTGTGTGTGGCATCTTGTTTTTACGGACCCTTGATAAAAAGACATTGGTGCCTTGGATTGTCATCATTTTGGTGACCTCATCTTTTCTGGAAAACTTTTGCTATAGCTGTATAACTTCTAAACTGTGTTGCAAATTCCGAAAGTACTTTCAGTATCTTCAGAACGTTTTGCCTCTTGTGGTTGGTATGGGCTTGACTAATTGGGTGGGCCTTTATTAACAATTCACTAAGCTTGGTTTGAGCATGAGGCTGAGAGCGTGTGTTTCACAGAAAAGTATTATGCTATCGCTGAGTTTTAAGCACTCAGAACCTGTGGTCTAATCTGGCATTTCTGGATGGCTGAAGCAGAAACATTGAGAATTTTCTCACGAGAAAAGTTGTTTTTCTTCTTTTTGAAACAGTCTTGTTCTGTCACCCAGGCTGGTGTGCAATGACACGATCATGGCTCACTGAAGGTTTGACCTCCCAGTCTCAAGCGATCCTCCCACCTTAGCCTCTATAGTAGCTGGGACTATAGGTGGCTACCACCATGTCCAGCTAATTTTTTAATTTTTTTGTAGAGACAGAGTCTCACAGTGTTGCCCAGGCTGATCTCGAACTCCTGGGCTCAAGTGATCCTCCTGCCTCAGCTTCCCAAAGTGCTGAGATTACAGGCATGTGCCATCGTGTCCAGCTGGGAATAGCTTTCTTAATGTGTTGGTGTGTGTTTTTTGTGTGATACATGTGTACTTAGCAAAAGCAAACCAACTTGGAATCAGTTAGTGTTCAGGAAGAATTGAGTCTCCAAAGAAAATTGAACTAGGACTTAATGTTGATATTCTTTTGGACGTCGGAGGGGACTTCGGTTTACTTAACCTGTATTGCTTTTCCAAGAAAAGAAGTCAATCTGTTATGCTTCTCTTTTAGGCTGGTTTTAACCTACGCAAAGTTAACAAACACATAAAGTTTCCGGAAATCTTAGATTTGGCTCCTTTTTGCACCCTTAAATGTAAGGTAAGTCAAAGTGGTCTTTTTCAGGAAAGTCCTTTAAAGTCAAATTGTGGCTTACCTAATGCTCCAGTAGCAACTCACTTAAGTATGAAGTTGATAACACTTATTGAGTAGAGTGGGTCTTTGATCATTGTACCTTTATAATTTGAAGATTAGTGATGAATCATTTTGAAGAATGGGTTATTTCAGTTCAACGTTTGGAATCCCCTTTATTATGGCATACATTGTCTTGTGAGCGGAGGGCATAAAACTAAAGGTGAGCAGATCTATTAATGAATAATCTGTTTAATGTGGTTGAATGTTAAGGCTGGTGAACATAGGTCAGGAGTGGTATACACTTAACCCAGCATGTTGGTGGTTCAGGAATGGCTTTGTAAAGTAAACCATGCCTCAACTATATTTAAAGAAGGAGTAAAAGTATGATGAATCAAGATGAAATGAGTTTTGCAGGCAGAAGGAACAGCAGGAGTAAAAACAGCAGTGTAAAATAGGATGGTGATTGCCAGAGACTGGTAACGTATGTAGTTCTAGAGTTTATAGTACAAGGTTATAGGGAGAGTTGAGAAATGAAGCCAGAGAAGTGAGATAGGAATGAAGTTTTGGAGGGTTCTCATGGTGAGGAACTTGGACTTCATTAGGTATACAGTGGGGAGCCCTGAGGAGTTTAAAGCACTGGGGTGGCATGGTCAGATCTTCATATGACGTAGGTTACTTGTTGATGTATGAAGGCTGAATTTTAGGACGGAAAGACTAGAGGTGGGGAAGTGAGTTTGGAGGCTGTTGTATTAATTCAGCCAGTAGTTGATGAGGGCTTAAAGTTGGGCAGGAGATGGGGAGATAGAAGGAATATTTCAGGAGGTAGAATTAACCAGACTTAATGATTGATTGGCACTGTAAGGTGAGGCAGAGGCCTTTTATAAGTGGATGCTGAGGGTGGCAGAGAAAGGGTTGAGGATGATTCCTGAGGCCTGGCACGACAGATGGGAGTGCTGTAAATTGAGATAGGATATATAGGGAGAAAAGCAGGTTGAGAAAAGCAGGTAGAGAAAGGATAATGACTTCAGTTTTAGATACATTTGAGTGTCAGATACCTTTGAGAAATTAATGTGCTTAGTCTAGAAAACATTTGGATATACATATCTGAGACCTATAGCAGAGAGGTTAGGATGGGCCCAGGGCACAGATTTAGAAATCAGTACATATGTGGCAGTTTAAACTATGAGAAGATGGGATCCCTTGTGTATAGAGTCTGAAGAGAGAAAAAGGAGATGGCCAATGACAGGACCCTCCTAAGTATCTGAGTGGAAGAGGCAGGGGTAGAAAGTGAGGACACCACAAAGGATCTCAAAGAATCTCCATGTTGAAGAATTTGGGGCTGGGCGTGGTGGCTTACGCCTGTAATGCCAACACTTTGGGAGGCCGAGGCGGGTGGATCACTTGAGGTGAGGAGTTCGAGACCAGCCTGGCCAGCATGGTGAAACCCTGTCTCTACTGAAAATACAAAAATTAGCCAGGCATGGTGGTGTGCGCCTGTAATCCCAGCTACTCGGGAGGCTGAGGCAGGAGAATTGCTGGAACCTGGGAGGCAGAGCTGCAGTGAGCCGAGATTGCGTCACTGCACTCCTGCCTAGGTGACAGAGCAAGAAACTCCCTCAAAAAAAAAAAAAAGTCTGGGCCAGTTGCTGTGATGGGCATAATGGAAGAGGCCGCTAAGGACAATTTATAAGATTATGGTCACATTGAGGACTATGACAAGGTACATGATCATTTATTATACTTTTGTTTCTTGGCAGTAGTGGCCATCTGGGTTTGGGGCATGGCAGGTACATTATAGGATTCAGGGTGAGGTTTTGTGATGAATTGGATATGGAGGAGATTATTTGTAAGTGATACATGTGATTGAAGTTCCCAAACTTTAATGTGTATGTGGGAATCAGACCTACAAATTTTGATTCTGTAGGTCTAGTATGGGATCAAAAATTCTGCATGTTTAATGTAAACTCTCAGGTGATGCTGATGCTGGCTGTTCATGGACCACATTTTGAATAGCAATGGTCTAGACTGCATATGGGAATTATATTATGTCAGTTTCCATGCTGCTGATAAAGATATACTGGACAAGATATACTGGGCAAGACTGGGCAATTTACAAA
The DNA here is from genome assembly GCF_000001405.40 of Homo sapiens. Classification (NCBI taxonomy): domain Eukaryota; kingdom Metazoa; phylum Chordata; class Mammalia; order Primates; family Hominidae; genus Homo; species Homo sapiens. Next base: position 29,052,329 of record NC_000021.9, read on the forward strand.
AGAAAGAGGTTTACAGTTCCACATGGCTGGGGAGGCCTCACAGTCATGGCGGAAGGCAAGGAGGAGCACGTCACATCTTACATGGATGGCAGCGGGCAAAGCAAGAGCTTGTGGAGGGAAACTCCCCCTTAAGAAACCATCAGCTCTCATGAGGCTTATTCACTATCAAGAATAAGGATGGGAAAGACCTGCTCCCATGATTCAGTTGCGTCCCAACGGGTACCCTCCCATGACATGTGGGAATTGTGGGAGCTACAACTCAAGATGAGATTTGGGTAGGGACACAGCCAAACCATATCAGGAATGAAGCCAAAAGTCTTCATAGGTGAGGAGAATATGAGCATTGGAGATCCTGTTAGGTTAAAGAGTACAGAATAGGTGAGATGAGAGTTGAATAAATAGAAGACTTGTGGACTAAGACTAAAAATAAGATTTATGTCCCTTCAGCTCAGGAGTTTGAGACCAGCCCAGGCAACATGCTGAAACCCCATCTCTACAAAAAATTAATTTAGCAGGTCATGGTGGTGTGCACCTGTAGTCCCAGCTATTCCAGAGGCTGAGGCGGGAGGATCACTTGAGCCCAGGAGGCAGAGGTTGCATTGAGCTGAGATCATGCCACTGCACTCCAGCCTGGGTGACGGAGTGAGACCCTGTCTCAAAAAAAATTTTATGAAGTTGAACAATTCTGAGTGATGACAAGCCCAGACTCTAGTCCTGGGTGTGGTTGACTAAAATGGAATGGCATTTAAAGTCCTGTGAGAATCATAGATGGACGGAGAAGTACTAAGTTCTTCAGTGAATATGGAGGCACAGATTGGGAAGCTGAGTATAGGAGACAGTACTACTGAAGGGCCGTGATGCCTGTTACGGACTTTTACATGAGAACATAAATAGTTGTCTGAAAAGTGGCTCCTGGCCCAGAGAATGCCTGTTCCTGTTGCCAGCCCTATGGCATATAGAGTCCTGAAAGAATAAGCAGCGTGCACTCTCTCGTGGGGAAAGTGAACACTTGAGAGGTTGAATGTGCTTCTCACCAACTCCCTTGGGGACATTTAAAGATGTAAGGGGTAATTTTTGGCACAACCTAAAATACTGTTCTCTTCCTGTTCAGGGCTTACCTTTTTTTAAACAGGGTATTCAGAGTTGTTAATAGCTAGGGTTGTTAAGAATTATCCTCAGGCTCCTAAAGAAACTGGCAAGTTGAATTCAGTTATTTGGTATCTGAGCCAGGTAACTGCATCAAGTGGCCTGTGGCTTACAGCTTTTCTACCAGGGGAACAATGGTGAATTTATAATAAAAACAGAAGTGTCTCAGGCTGAGAAGAGGTATGGAGAAAAGAGTAGACTCATGAATGATTTCTGCACTCTCAAAGTAATGGTTAAAGACCCTTTGCATAGTGTAAACTTGTCTTGCCCATGACATCTGTGTAAATGGAACTAGAACTAACTTTTGGATTCTACTCATTTTTAAAGAATGTTGCAGAAGAAAATACAAGGGTACTCTATTCCTTATATGGAGTTGTTGAACACAGTGGTACTATGAGGTCGGGGCATTACACTGCCTATGCCAAGGCAAGAACCGCAAATAGTCATCTCTCTAATCTTGTTCTTCACGGTGATATTCCACAAGGTAAGATGTCTTGGAAAATTCAGGCACTCAGCAGATTACGGCAAAACCAAAAAGTAATCAACTTGAATCTTTCCATTTATGTTTGATTTTTCATTTTCTCATGACAGATTTTGAAATGGAATCAAAAGGGCAGTGGTTTCACATCAGCGACACACATGTGCAAGCTGTGCCTACAACTAAAGTACTAAACTCACAAGCGTACCTCCTATTTTATGAGAGAATACTGTAATAATATCAAAAGCACTTTTTCTGGAAACACATTTATGGCTTTTATAATGGCTGAAATAACGATAAAAAAAGACTAATTAAAATCATGTTCACTTAACATTAAATACATGCCAGAAGAAATCATGTTTATTTAAATATTGAAGGGAAAAATACCTAAAAATGTACAAAGGTTTTATATTGTCATAGTGGTTTTTATTCCTGCTTTGTTTCTGGAAAGGAAATCCTGAATTACTTAAGTACTTTGTGTTTAATATATCTGGGTGATGGATCACAACACATCAATAAACTGACTTACCCTAAAATCTTGTTTTATTACTGGGAAGATTTTAACTTCTATTGACTTATCCTACTAGGTAACACTTTAAAAAATATTTCATCAGACTGGCTAATGAAGCTTCATTACAAGTGTGTTAATTTTTTTTTTTTTTTTTTTTTTTTTTTTTTGAGACGGAGTCTTGCTCTGTCGCCCAGGCTGGAGTGCAGTGGTGCGATCTCAGCTTACTGCAAGCTCTGCCTCCTAGGTTCACGCCATTCTCCTGTCTCAGCCTCCCGAGCAGCTGGGACTACAGGCGCCCGCCACCACGCCCAGCTAATTATTTGTATTTTTAGTAGAGACAGGGTTTCACCGTGTTAGCCAGGATGGTCTCGATCTCCTGACCTCGTGATCCACCTGCCTTGGCCTCCCAAAGTGCTGGGATTACAGGCTTGAGCCACCGCGCTGGGCCATACAAGTGTGTTAATTTTATAAGCATCTATATTGACAGCAGAATATAAATGGGAGCAATGTTTCTTTATAAGCCTTCTGATGCCATAGTGTGCATAAGCTGGGGTATACAAGGCCTTACTCTGTATTTGCTCTGTGCCAGTGGTCAACTGATTTTGGACAGATGTAAGACAAACCAGTCTCACTCCTATGAGTATAATTGGGTACCAAACCCCTTAATACCAGCATACCAGAGAAAGCCTGTGAACTGTCCCAAGTCAGCCACTGTTTGAGTTACATGCAACACAAAGAGCTTAGGGACACCAAGCGTCTCTGAACTTCTTGAAAGGTTCTCTGAGGACAACTTCGACATACGATGAACATTTCTAACTTGCTGTGGCAGTAATGAGAGTTGTATCATTCCTAACAAACACCTGTTGAGTTTATGTAATACCCAGTCAGTCATACTGCTTCTAAAATCTCTTGGAAAGAATACTAAAAACAGGCTGGTGCGGTGGCTTATGCTTGTAATCCCAGGACTCTGGGAGGTCAAGGCAGTAGGAAACGTTGAGCCCAGGAGTTTGAGACCAGCCTGGGTAACATAGTGAGACCCTATCTCTACAAAAAACTTAAAAATTAGCCAAATGTGGTAGTGTTTGCCTGTGTCCCCAGCTTTTCAGGAGGCGGAGGTGGGTGGATTGCCTGAGCCCAACAGCAGAGGTTGCAGTGAGCTGAGATTTTACCACTGCCTGTGCGACAGAGCAACACCCTGTCTCAAGAAATACATACACACACAATTTCAAACAGTATTAAGGACCTTACATAACCAACACATATAGTAGCACATGTCCTATAAAATTCAGTATGATTATTTATAATAATTTATTTATAATGTTCTTGGCTTTTTCAACACTCCTTACTGATTTTAACAAAATAGAATCTGCTTTATGAAAACTGACTTAATTTTGTATGTCAGTTTATCTATTTTCTAAGCATTTTTTTTGTACTTTGCTAAGTCGAGTGTCTTCAACAAATTATTAATTGCTATTGAAACAAGTCACCTTGAGTCAGGAATTCCAGAGCTGTGACAAAAACACTGGAAATCTAGTCCAGGTGTTGGCAGCACTTTCCTGTAGAGGGCCAGATAGTAAATATTTTAGGCTTTGTAGGCCCATTTGGTCTCTGTCAAAAATAAAGATACTTAACTCTGCCACTCCCTTGTTAGAAAGCAACTGCAGACAATATGTAATGGTATGAGCATGGCTGTGTTCCAATAACTTATTTACACAAACAGGCAGTAGGCCAGATATACATGGGTAATAGGCCTCTACTTACATAAGTGACTTGCCTTAAGTCCCACAGCTAATGTGATTAACAAGGTTGAGAGGAACACAAGTCATTTAGAGCCAATAACCGTGGTCATTAGACAATAAGGCTTTGACAGTAACAATATGTTTATTATAACATCCAGCCAAGAATACAAACACAAAATAACTCTTAATTTAAGGAGAATAAGAAAACATCAGGTGATTCTTGAGTACTACTACAAATACAGCCTTCACCTACAGTAAAAATTAAGCCAATTTCAATCATTTTGGTCATCATCCCAGTCTTTCTTCCCACTTGGAGGCTTGGGCCCACCAGCTGGTTTTGCCATGATGATCTGCATAAAAAAGAATCACACAAGAGTATGCTTATCAACTTAACCTTTAGAATGAAAAGAATGCTTCTATTAGCATGATTTAAGATTAAGCAGTCTTCTTGGTATAATTATGTACTGCATATAAAACACTACAGCACAGAGTTTGCTAGCTCCCTTGTTAGAAATTCAATTGTAAACTTTCAGCGCATGAGAAAGTTTACTGCTTTTATGGATAACCGCAATAAAATCCACAGAGATTAGTGAACATTCCAAGACATGCACTTCAATAACTCAAAAAGCTGAAAGTGAAAATATGTGCATGCATCACTGGTGTAAGTCGGTCAGTTTGGCACCTGATTTGCTATTTATATATGAGATGTGTCTTGCCAACCATCTCTGTCCCAATTTCCTTGTGGTTTAGGAGCTTTAGGCCCACCTGCCAGCTTTGCCATTATAATCTAAAGTAGTTGATACATAAGTATATACAAAGTTTAACACTGAAATTTTCTAAAACCTGTAAATGAGAATCATTCAAGCAGCCAGGAATTTTCATAAACAAAAATCTAAGTTCCCAACTTAAAAAAAAAAGCGCCACAAACCTCACCTTACTTTATCTAAAATAAATAGGTTTTAGCTTTTTTTTTTTTTTTCTTTTTGAGACGGAGTCTTGCTCTGTTGCCCAGGCTAGAGAGTGCAGTGGCGCGATCTTGGCTCAATGCAACCTCTGCCTCCTGGGTTCAAGCAATTCTCCTGCCTCAGCCTCCTGAGTAACTGGGATTACAGGTGCCCATCACCATGCCCGGCTAAGTTTTTACTTTTAGTAGAGACGGGGTTTCACCACGTTGGCCAGGCTGGTCTCAAACTCCTGCATGATCCACCCGCCTCAGCCTCCCAAAGTGTTGGGATTATAGGTGTGAGCCACTGCGCTCGGCTGGAAAACATCTTAATTACCATCTGCAAACCTGAACTGGGCAGTGGCTCATGCCTGTAATCCTAGCACTTTGGGAGGCCAAGGTTTGAGGCCAGGAGTTTGAGACCAGCCTGGGCAACAAAGTGAGACCTAGTCTACAAAAACTAAAAATATATATATATATAAAATATATATATAACATTTGATAATATATATATGATATATGTATCATATATACGATACATATATCATACATATATCATATATAATATATATCATACATATATGTATGATATATATATCATGTATATGTATGATATGAGATATATATGATATATATGAGATATGTATGATATATACATATGTATGATATATACATATGATATGTGTGATATATACATATCAGATATATATGATATATATCTCAGCCAACCATGACAGCACCTGCCTACAGTCCCAGCTATTCGGGATGTTAAGGCAGAAGAATCACTGGAACTCAGGATTTTGAGGCTGTGGTGAGCTGATTATGATTGTGCCACTGTCCTCCAGCCTGGGTGATAGAGTAAGACCTTATCACAACAACAACAAAAAAGATACCTAAACCTGAAATTCTCAGAATAACATGTTACCAATTGAGAGTAATTTCAGACTGAATTAAAGGCATTAAGCATAATTTTAGAACCTAAGTGCACATTGATTTTAAAAAGTAACTAAAAGCTGGGTGTGGTGGCTCATGCCTGTAATCCCAGCACTTTGGGAGGCCAAGGCGGACAGATCACGAGGTCAAGAGATCGAGACCATCCTGGCCAACATGGTGAAACCCCGTCTCTACTAAAAATACAAAAAAAAATTAGGTGGGCATGGTGGCATGCGCCTGTAGTCCCAGCTACTCGGGAGGCTGATGCAGCAGAATTGCTTGAACCTGGGAGGTGGCGGTTGCAGTAAGCTGAGATCACACCACTGCACTCCAGCCTGGTGACAGAGCAAGACTCCATCTCAAAGAAAAAAAAGAAACAAACACTAAAACAAGTAGTTCCCAAACTTTAGTGGGCACCATAATCAAAAGTGCTCATTAAAACAGACTGCTAGGCCTCTTCCAGCATTTCTGATATTGGTGGGTCTGGAGTGACATCTGAGAATCTGTATTTCTTCTTTTTTTTTTTTTTTTGAGATGGAGTCTTGCTCTGTCGCCCAGGCTGGAGTACAGTGGTGCCATCTCTACTCACTGCAGGCTCCACCTCCCAGGTTCATGCCATGCTCCTGCCTCAGCCTCCCGAGTAGCTGGGACTACAGGCATCTGCCACCACGCCCAGCTAATTTTTTGTTTTTTTTAGTAGAGACGGGATTTCACCATGTTAGCCAGGATGGTCTCAACCTCCTGACCTCGTGATCCTCCTGCCTTGGCCTCCCAAAGTGCTGGGATTACAGGCGTGAGCCACCGCGCCTGGCCTCCAAGAATCTGTATTTCTTATTTATTTTTAGTTTTTTAAAAGATGGAGTGTCACTCTGTCAACCAGGCTGGAGTGCCATGATGTGATCACAGCTCACTGCAGCCTTCAACTCCTGGGCTCAAGTGATCCTCCCACCTCAGCCTCCTGCGTAGCTGGGACTACAGGTGTGAGCCACCATACCTGGCTGAGAACTGTCATTCTAACAAGTTCTCAGGTGATGTTGATACTATTTTGGGACCATACTTTGAGAACTAGTGAAATAGACATTCCAACAAAGATTAATCCAGTCCGTACTACACTATCCAATGCTTAAAGCTTGATGTGCAATTCCTTTTCTAGAATATATACTATACAAATTTAGGTTCATTATACTATACACTATATACACAAACTGGTTAATACAGTTGGATGGGTTCTTTAGATACATACTTCACATAGAGTGCAAAGACTGGGGGAACAGATCAACCAACAACTTCCCCTACCATAAGATAAAGCAGACTTCCTAGTTTAAAGCCAAAATTCAAACTGCCTTTGTGACCAAGGGTGGTGGTTATTGTCTTGCTTGAATAATTGACATTCAAAGTTCCTAACACAGTTGGAATTTCTGCGTTCCTTATGCTGCAGTCTACTTAGCTTCTTCCGTCCCTGCTATTTTTGGTTTCCCCTTTTATTCTTAGCCACATTCTAATTTCTAGAATAAGTATTTTCTTAGGTTTCTATTTAAGAACTCAAACATATTCTTCCATTGAAAATCACCTAATAAGCTGACAGAGAAACCCGTTAATCTGGTACATAAACATCTAGTTTCTGCTTATTTTCAATGACTTGAAACTAAATATCCAGTTCCATTTTTGGTCATCTCTTGCTATCATAGTTCTTCCAATAAATTTGTTATAATTACCACCAACTGGTCCTTACTGTACTTAAAAGCTGAAATGTCTTTCCACTGATTTCTACTTAGGACTTACTCCACCTTTAATATGACATATGACTTTTACCTAATGGATGTATACTGTCCCTCTAGCAAATTAAAATTTTCTATTAAGTACTTATAAATAGTCATTGCTTATTAATTACTTCTAGAATTTTGTGGGGAAATGTATTTAATTAAGTTTGCCAGAAAATACCTTTTGGAAAAATAATTATGATTTCAGGTTTACTTCTATATATAGAACAGTCTACCACAATTCTTCAAAAAAAAAAAAAAAAGGGTAGAAATATGATTTTAAACACCTTTAACATCTTTTAGTATCTCAAGCTGTAATTTGTCATAGCAGAAAAAATTTTCAATGCCCAGTCCTCTTATCTGCAGACAGCTAGAGACTCCATTTTCCTTCAAGCTGGTGGTCTGCAATGTCTGCTTGAGAGCTTTATGGTCCTTCCAAATTCCATGTTAGTATTATATATTAAATTTACTCTCTAAATTATTTGTACAAATGGGTTCTAAGGCTAAAAGGTTTGAAAGTTATATATTCAATACAATTTATAATAGAAGAAAAAAATTGGAGGGGGGCACATAGTATCTCTAATAGGTGAGGACTAAGAATCCTTTGAATTAGAACTATGCTATGTTCTAGTTCTGGGAAAATATACTATTAAACAGTATGCAAATGAGTATTTTTAAAGATCAAAATTTCACTTTGCTCACCTGATCCACTCTAAGTACAGTGACTGCAGCATTAGTAGCGAGTTTGATAGCCCAATATTTTCCCAGGTAAGTATCTAGAATACCAGCTTCCAGCATGTCCTTTACAGCAGGGACTTCAGCCTGTCAAACACAATTTTCATCCTTTCATTTAAAATCCTTTTATGTGAAAATGTTTACACCCACAAAAAGCCTCACATAGCTCCTTAAATAGTACTGGAAAGTAACCAAGCACAGTCCTACCTTATAGAGTCATCCTTTAGTATGTGAGGATTGGTTCTAGCACCTCCAAGGATGCCAAAATCTGTGGATGCTCAAATCCCTTACATAAAATGGCATGGTGTTTGGATATAATCTATGCACATCCTCTCATATACTTTAAATCGTCTCCAGATTAATTATATAACATAGTGTAAATAGTTGTTATAGTGTATTTTTAAATGTCTTTAGTTTTTCCAAATATTTTCAATCTGTGGTTGGTTGAATCAATGGATACAGAACTGGGCTGACTACACACTACAGAACAAAAGACTATCAATAAAACAGAAGGAAAATGAAACGTTCCTCCATCAGACAACCTATGTAAAAACTAAGAAAATAATCTGCTCCCAAATCAGAACACTGTTTCTCATTGATATTTCTTTTAAACTCATACTATTTTTAGGTTGTGCATTCCCCAAATAAAGCAATTTAAGTTCAGTGTTTTTTCAAATACCTCAATATCTAATCCAACGTTTTTATTTCCTTCTTGATGTACTGCATAAAGTTTAGAGATTACTTCATTGGCCTTAACTCCAGAGTTTTCTGCCAGTGCGCGGGGAATAGCTTCAAATGCCTCAGCAAACTTCTTAATAGCATACTGTTCAAGTCCAGGACATGTCTAAAACAAAAATGCGTTAATTACTGTCTTTTATTCAAGCAATGGAAAGAAAGTCAATTTATACAGAAAAAGCTGTACCTCTCCATATGATGTGATCTGTTTGGCTAATTCAATTTCTGTTGCTCCACCTCCGGGTACAAGACGTTTATCCTGTATGTAGCGCCCCCACCAAAAAAAAAATGAACACAAAACAAATTCACTAAAAATCAGTTTGCAGTTTTCTAATCTTTTCACATTCCAGTACCCCACCAAACAGGAGTTTTTATCAGTCATTGTTACTCAAATACATATTACAAATTTGGTAAAAATGAGTGGGTGGGGCAAATTTTCTTAGTGCACAGTGTCTGGTGTATGAAAAGGACCAAAGTGAAGAATGGGAATAGTACCGTATCATTTTTGCATATCCACAGATATAGCACTAAGAACTGCTTTAGCAACTAACAGTACATTACAATGGAAAACAACGATAAACAATTTTTTTTAAAGCTCTGTTTTGCTGTTAACTCCTCTGTACAATCTTTTTTGGAAACTATCATATTCACTAACAATGGACACTTAAGTCTTAGGTAAAAACAAAAACAGGTGCTTCATTTCATATAAACCACTCATTCTGAAGTTCTCATGATGTGCAAGAGTCTGCAAACTGTACTTTTAAGACCATACAAATTACTCAGACCTTACAAACTACTAAGAATATTGCTGATACTGACCCTTGTAAGAACTTTGAAAGTATTAACACCATCGTCTACTGCCCTTTCTATGTCATCCATCAGATTGTCTGTAGAGCCTCGAAGTACTATGGTAGAAATGGCGCCATCTTCCTTTTCTATCAAAAAATTAAATATATTTGGTGATTAAATACAAGAAGCTAAAGCCCTACACTTAAACATGTTTTACCATTCCTACATACCATGCTTAAAAACCACCACCTGAGTATCTCCAACTTCTGAGAGGTAAACACTGTCACAGTGTCCCATTTCTTCAAGGACAGGAGGTGTCTGTAAGAAAGTGACTGTTGTAATAAAAATTCCATCTTGTTCAACTATCTTTTAGTGTTTTCCAAAATACATACCAATCTAGGAAGAGCTGTAGCACCAACAGTTTTACAAAGTCTTCGGAGATCCCATTTTGAGTTTAGCCTTTAAAAAACACAAAGACCTTAATAAAAGTTTTAATCAATTTCAGATAGCATATAAAGTTCAAATTAAAGAGGAACCTGTATACCAGCCCCCATGTCACATTCCTTTGACAATGGATTTTAACTCAGAACATGTCTGGATTGCAATGAACACTAAGGCCAGGAAGCTGATTCCTGACTCTCTGAGTGAGTCCAGCTGGCCAATAGTACCACATCTTAAGCCTGTGTTGTATGGCATTGTTCTAGAATTGGGAGAATGGAAGTCACTTTAGGATGTCAGTGGTTTATAGTTCTAAAACACCAGAGAAACCCTTACAAAACTCAACAGCATATAGAAAATTTTTGCTTTACTTTGTGCAATCAATGTTCTGTGAACAAGAGTGATTTATTTTGCACATTTTATTAGGTACTAGGGATGGTGGTAGGTAGAAATGGGTTAAGTTGTCTAGTGTGCACCATAAATGTGTTCATGGATTAAAAGGGATCTTCCTGACTCCATACTCTGATAGGCAATGCACCAAGCTTGTGTCTAGTCTCTTGGACAAGTTGTTCCTTTTGCCTGGAATGCTTTTCCCTCTTCAATTATCTGGTAATTGGTTCTTCAAGCTCTCAGCTTAAATTTATGTTTTCTCAGAGGTGTTTCCTGACCCCTCCCCAAACTAAATCCTTCTGCTATTTGACCTAGTACCTTTACTTTCCCTTTATTAACAGTCTTCATGGTCTATTTCGTTTAGTGTTTTCACCACCAAAAAACCATTTATGATATAGGTAAAAAAAAAAATCGGCTTTTTCTTACCTCACTAACATGATATTATATTTATTTGCATAATGAAGAGCCATGTCTGCCACTTTGCCACCTGTTACTACGACATTTGCACCAGTATCAGCAATAGCTTTGACTTGTGCATCCATGAGGTTTTCTTCTCCCTTACTAAAATTCATCAATTCTTCAGCAGTCTTTATCAACACTGTTCCCTGGCAAAACAAGTAAACATTCCCTTTAAAATCATTTCACTACGTTGGTGTTCAAAGTCATTAGATAATAGTTGACTGAAGAAATAAAGGTTTGGCAAAAAAATATGAAGATATATGTGCATATATTATGAAGCAGCAGAATACTGTATGTGTGAAATAGAAACTCAGCTTGCTTCTAGAACCCCCTGTCAAAACAGATGCATCTGCTTTTGATAAGTACTTAGGTGGAAAAGTACTTTTATCTATTTATTTATTTTGAGACAGAGTCTCACTCTGTCACCATGCTGGAGTGCAGGCAGGATCTCGGCTCACCGCAACCTCTGACTCCCTGGTTCAAGCGATTCTCCTGCCTCAGCCTCCCAAGTAGCTGGGATTACAGGCAAGCGCCACCACGCCCAGCTAATTTTTGCATTTTTAGTAGAGACGGGGTTTCACCATGTTGGCCAGGCTGGTCTTGAACTCCTGACCTCGTGATTTGCCTGCCTTGGCCTATGCTGGGATTACAGGCGTGAGATACCGTGCCCGGCCGAGAAGTGCTTTTATTTTAAATATGTCAGGTAGGTAGGTGTCCTGGTGTTTGTCTTTTGACAAAGGCTAACTAGTGTTCCCAATACAACATTGTGGTTCTCAAACTTTTTCTAAAATGTGGACTAGGCCGGGCGCGGTGGCTCATGCCTGTAATCCTAGCACTCTGGGAGGCCAAGGCGGGTGGATCACTTGCAGTCAGGAGTTGGAGACCAGTCTGGCCAACATGGTGAAACTTTGTCTCTATTAAAAATACAAAAATTAGCCAGAGATCACTTGAACCCAGGAGGCGGAGGTTGCAGGGAGCCAAGATTGTACCACTGGACTCAAGCCTGGGTGACAAAGCAAGACTCTAAAAAAAAAAAAAAAAAAAAAAAAAAAGAATAAAATACAATAAAATAAAATATGGACCAAATGACCAGACCCCCCTCATGCTACAAAATTTTAAAACTATCAACAACTTGGATTTCAAGAATTCTAGAGATGAAGTCAGCCACTATTGACTATAAACACAAACTTCAAACTTTCTAACATGTATTTTTAGAAACATACTTACCATTTTCAAATTACATTAGCTTATCTTGTTTTAGGATGCTACAGAATGTCAACTTTATTTTCGTGAAGAGCACACAAAATACTCACATTCTCATATTCTTTCACTTGCTGAATGTATAAGCTCTACTAGAAGGGCTGTGTGTCAGATTATAAATAATACGGCCACCATCTTTATATTTCCAGTTTAATGTTCAGTAGTTGAATTAGATATTTGAAGACTATAAATCTGGCATAAAAAAATAGGTAAGATCCTGCAATGTTCAGTTTTTTAAGAAGTACTTACTGGTTTAAGAGCTAACTCAAACAATCTGAAAGTGCAACCCCAATTATTACTTTTAAGGTTTGAAGTCTACATACCTTAGTTTCTGTTATCATGCCATCAAAAGGACAAGAGTACACTGCTATTTTTGCATCTTTGACAGATGTTACATCACCTTCGGTTTCCTTCTTAAAAACCATGCCATGCAATACTGAAGAGGAACTGATACCAGAGCCCTAAGGAATTGAATACCAAACTCATCAGCAATCTCCTGAAAATAACATTACGGTCAAACTGTTGATTCTCCATATACCAAAAATATCCCTTTCTAAAATAAAGTCATAAACCAAGGCAGTGACTCCTGGGATAAGGGGTGGAGTGGTGGACATACAGCACACCCTTCTGCTCGAGGCAGAAATCACTGAGGGAATGAGCTACTTTTAGGGAGGGGAGGTCCTTCCATGTACTGGGAAGAACCAAAGGCAGAGAACTGGTCTTAGCCATTCAGTTACCTAGTACTTGGTGCCAATATACCAGCCACAGCTGTCAGTACTGCAAATACAACACAGAACAAAGCAAAGATTCTGTTCTCACAAGGTTGCATTTAATGGGAAAAGCTGGCAGTACGTGGAGGGAGACAGCAAACATAGAACACGTGAGTATCTTCAGGGAAAGCACATGTACTTATGTTATGCTAAATTCACATTAACAATCAGAATGCCAATGTGCAAAACCAAAACCATTCCACTGATAGGTTTTACTCTATCAAGCACATTTTATCAAAAATATACTTTAATATTTCAATACTAACATTAAAGTGTGAATTCTATTATTGAAGAGGAATAGGACGATTTCCACCCCACTCAAAACTGTCTTATAAGCTTATTATAATTCAGAGTATTATGAAGAACACAAAAAAATTAGTATTTTGCGCTGGGCGCGGTGGCTCACACCTGTAATCTCAGCACTTTGGGAGGCCAAGGTGGGCAGATCATGAGGTCAGGAGTTCGAGACCAGCCTGGCCAACATGGTGAAACCCTGCCTCTACTAAAAAAATACAAAAATTAGCTGGACATGGTGGCATGCACCTGTAATCCAGCTACTTGGGAGGTTGAGGCAGGAAAACCACTTGAACCTGGGAGGTGGAGGTTGCAGTGAGCCGAGGTCGAGGCACTGCACTCCAACCTGGGCAACAGAGCCAGACTCCATCTCAAAAAAAAAAAAAAAAAAAATTTAGTATTTTGTTTATACATTATTCTTAAACCCACAAGACATCACAGAAAATGACTTTATAAGGAGATAATATGTCAATATCCTTTTAAACTTAAATAGGTAGTAGTATTATTACAACTTAGCAACATCAAAATGTTACAAAATAATGCCTCAAAGGCCAGGCACGGTGGTTCACGCCTGTTAATCCCAGCACTTTGGGAGGCCAAGGCAGGTGGATCACCTGAGGTCGGGAGTTCGAGACCAGCCTGACCAACACGGAGAAACCCCATCTCTACTAAAAATACAAAATTAGCCGGGTGTGGTGGCGCATGCCTGTAATCCCAGCTACTCGGGAGGCTGGGACTGGAGAATCACTTGAACCGGGAGGCGGAGGTTGCGGTGAGCCGAGGTCATGTCATTGCACTCCAACCTGGGCAACAAGAGCGAGACTCCGTCTCAAAAATAAATAAGTACATAAATAAAAATAATGCCTCAAAAAAAGTCCTAAGTGTTCAAATCATGAAGTAACATTTAGGTTTAGATGAACACATTTTTTTTTTTTTGCACAAAAAAACAAAAAAAGCACACAAAAAAACTGACCTAGATATGTAGCATTAATGCATTTTCTACTTACCAGAATTTTACAAACTCTGATGTTATCAACATTGAAATGGCCGGAATCAGGAAAAATAGATACTGTTAAGAAAATGAGACATATCAAAAGATTATTTTGGGACAACAGAGAAAGTATCTAGTCATGTTAAAGGTATTTTTATTTTGGATCTTTTCATTTACTGATATTTACTTACCGCATGCCTGAGCAATAAGCTTGGCCAGAAATACTTCATTACCATATTGTTTACTCATTATGGAGGTACGAAGTAGAGATGAGACTTCATCAATATCTCGAAGGTTTTTTGCAGAACAACATACCAAATTAGGAAGAATCTCATGAGCTTTTCTGCAGGCTATTTCATAACCTTCTATGACCTAAAACATAAACAACATTTCCTATTCTGACATGACTTAAAGTAGCTTATTTTGGTAACCCAATGCATATGGATGTTTATTTTTGATACAAAATGACAAAGAATATACTTCGGAATAAAACATATAGTAGACTCTACTAGTTATGAATGGAGGCTTAGATGACAGCCCAAATTTGAATCTTAACTCTACCTAACTCACTAGCTATGAGATCTTGGGCAAGATTTTTCTAATTTTAGTCTCTTTTCTCATCTAAAATAAAGTGGGAAAAAAAATAGATAAAATGGGATTATAAGGCCTCACTAATAGGGTTTTTGTGAGACTAAAATGATACAGCATGTGAAGCATATGTACTATAATGGCTGGTACAGAGCAAACTGCTCAGTGCATGTTAGCTACTACTATAATAATGATTTTAGTTTATGTTTTAAGCAGGTGTATATGTAAGCAAAAATTTAGTAGGAGTAAATTATAAATGAACACTTGCCTCTGAAACTGACAGGCCAATCCTCAGAAGTTCTTCAGCTAATTCCAGGAGAGCTCCAGCAAATACCAGAACAAAGTTTGTGCCATCTCCAACTTCTTGCTCTTGCATATGAGAAGCCATTACAATCATTTTTGCAGCAGGATGCTGTACCTAGTAGAAAAGGTAATATCAAGTTAAACATCTGATCCTTAAAGCAACATAAAATTGTTCATTTCCATTTCTTAAATAGACTCAATTTTCTTGTAGATTAGGTAACTCCATCTGATCACACTGCTACACTGCTATACGCTACTTATAGTGTGGTCACAAGAAAAAATCCAAGTCCCTTTATGCCGATCAGCACAAATGTATCACTATAAATAAGAATTTCAAAGTGCATCCTCTTTTGGTGGCCTGCACATACAGTGCCACACATATGTTTCACCATATCATATTTCACTAAATTAAAAAACAAAGTAATTACAACCACCAAACCTAGATATTTTTTAAAAGCCTTCAGGAGAACTAAAATAGATACCACTTAACTTGGTCATGACTCTCAATATCTATTTTACTATATATTCTTGTTGTAAGGGTTATCATTTGTGATTTAAAGAAAAGGGGGAGTATAAAACTTTTCTTCAAATATAACATAATTTTATGTGGATTTTATTCTTAGGATTTAATTTTAGATACCTTTACAGAAACAAGCCAAGGAGTAAGAACTGAGAGCAACAAGAAAACTATAAAAAGTCAGCCCTGTGATTTTATTATTTTGACGGTATCACCACTGTACTTTAATAACTCCTGAGATCATCAGTGTGCAACATTAACATTCACAGTGACAAACCCTTGTACAAGTGTTTTGTGGAGTTAAAATTTAACTTTTAACTTAAGTTCTTTAAGAATTTATATATATAATATGTATTTTTTTTTCTTTTTTGAGATGGAGTCTTGCTCTGTCGCCCAGGCTGGAGTGCAGTGGCGCGATCTTGGCTCATTGCAACCTCCGCCTCCCAGGTTCAAGCAATTCTCCTGCCCTAGCCTACTGAGTAGCTGGAACTACAGGTGTGTGCCACCACGCCCGGCTGATTTTGTTTCTGTATTTTTAGTAGAGATGGGGTTTCACCATGTTGGCCAGGCTAGTCTCAAACTCCTGACCTTAGGTGATCCGCCTGCCTTGACCTCCCAAAGTGGTGGGATTACAGGCGTGAGCCACCGCGTCCAACCAAAAATATATTATTTAAGAGGTTAGAAAAATGTTGATTCTTCTATCGTTTCATTTAAAACAAAAGATTAAGTTCTAGTGCTTTCAAGGGCTAAGCTTCAGGAAAATTCCCTGAGGTTGAATATGTTATCCTTTAATTACAAGGCGGGAATGAGGAATGGCTCTCTCTGCCTGTTCAGGTGCCAGACCTTCCTTATAACCCTGCTGGCAGGCAGTATCTATTTTATAGATTCTAATAGTAAAACTAAAGCTGAACAAAGTAAAATGCCATCAACTGATTGTTTTTATTTTCACAAAACCAAATGGTTGGATCTTTTTAAAAACCACTGTTATATGTATACGTTTTTGCACTGTGGAATAATTCACTTCAGAGTCACCCTATAGAATGAAGACAATGGTAATCAATTTCATATCGTAATTAGCAATGTATCACAACCAATCCCTCCATAAATTAATAACTTGAGAGATTTTTAAGATTTCAGTGGCTAAAACATTCAATCTAAAGAGGACTCTTTATAATTAGAACAATCTGTACAATAAATTTTCAAGCTGGAAAAATAGTCCCTTATCCAATCTGAAATAAGAGATTTCTTCTAGTTAAAATCTACTTAATTTTGATGTCACCAAAATATTTCTTGACTTTTTAAAGAAACAACTTACTTCTAGTTCTCTTAAAATAGTTGCTGCATCGTTTGTCACAAACAACTTCTCCAAGTGGTTGATAACCATTTTGTTCATTCCTCAAAAGTAACAGTTAAAAAAAGAAAAAGAAAGCCATTATTAATCAAATCCTTCCCCAAATACCCAGGAAAATCTAGTTAAGAAATTATAAATTTGTATATTAAAAAAAGAGCTTTGCAAGAAAACACATACTATCTATTCTTCAAGTTTATCTTATAGCCCCATGGGCATTCTCTGACTGCAGACCCATATTCTTTCTTCCCTTTCTAATGTCCTACAATATTTACTACGTAAGATGCCAAATCTCACATTTTTGCCAATTTCTATCTTCTGTTTGCAACATGACTGTCATGCAGCAAGTGCTCAACAGAAATTAACATGTAAAAAGGCCAAAATAATCTACTTAGTATATTTAGTTGTATGTTTATTCCATGAAACTGTATCATTTAAATTTAATTGGTGGTAGAAGGCAAGAGGAAGGAGAGAATTTTCTTCCTTAAACTATGTCACTTTTATATTTAGTGTTTGTCAGAATGAACATTAGGTACTATCTTACTAGTCAAAGTGTTATAATTTTTCTATCCTCTCAACAGGATAAAAAGTAATATATTGACCCCCATTTTTCTAAAGAGATGTGAGTTGATTGAAAATTAGAAATAACTAAAAATTGGAAATGAACTATCATTGAGCTATCAAATTAACTTCCGAAGTCATACCATAACATCCTCAGAACAAGTCTGAAAGAAGACGTAGTACACAATATTCTACTACTGTATCTTTACAAATATTAATTTAGAAATTACCATTTGGTCCATATGCTGTACGAGTGGTTTGGGCAAGCTCCTTGCAAGCTTGTATGTTTCTATACACAGCCTCTTCTAATCCTGAAAAGTGCTGTTAAAAAAAACAAACAAAAAACCCCGCTAATTAGACAGGACAGTGAAACAAAAATTTCAAATACAAGATATCTTTGCTTATATCTTGCCTCTAATAAAGAGGGAGCATAGCTTAGGTATTTGGCACAAGAGGGCTGGTTGCAAATCTTAGCTTTCTGGCTCTTTTTAAATTTGGGCAATTTTCTTAACATTTCTTCATTATAAAATGAAGTAATTATAATAGTACCTAACTCATAGGATTGTTGAGACAATCAAACAAGATTTTTTAATGTAAAACACAGCATTTGATATTCATAAATGATGCATACATTTCCTCTCTAGTTGAATGAATAAAGTATAACATTTTGGGGGACCGCAGGTACCTACTTACACATCAAAAGACTTAAAATTTTTTTTATTAAAAGTAGTGAAAAGTACAGGGAACCATGCTAAGACTAATTAGAGAAAGGGTATGAGGTACTTCAAGTAGAATACCTTTCCAGAATTTATCAGTATTTTCTAACTAACTGTTGAAATGTGGAATATTCTTATTGTGTTAGAATCTGGGCTTTTGTAAAGCCAGAAGTTCTTTAAGTATGTGCCACTGAAGTGTTTAGAGACTGAATACTTTTTTTGAATTGCAACATTATCCCAATGTATATGTATTGAAAAGCGAACTGCTCACGGTACTAAAAATTCTCACAAATTCTACACTGGACTTTTTTAGAGTTGAGGTTTACTTGGGTCCTCAGATATATTTCACTAATCTACTGTGCATGAGAACATTTCTTTAGAGAAGCGCTGCCCAATACAGTAGCCACTAGCTACATACATGGGGCTAGTGAAAGCAATCAAAATAAACTTTCAAGTAATTAAAATTAAAAAATTCAGTTCCTCAATTGCAGGAGCCACAGTTCAAATGCCCAGTAGCTACATGTGGGTAGTGAATATCACACTGGACAGCGCTGATACAGCGTATGTCCAGCACTGCAAAAAGTTCTATTTACATAGTACTGCTTTACAATACAAGCCATGATTTTGTGATCCAAAACCAAGGTTAATAGCCATTACTCTTTTTTGAGAGAGAGAGAGTCTCCTCTATCGCTCAGGCTGGAGTGCAGTGAGCTGAGATCGTGGCACGATCTCAGCTCACTGCAACCTGGGCCTCCCGGGTTCAAGCAATTCTGGAGGCTCAGCCTCCTGAGTAGCTGGGATTAGAGGTGCGCGCCACACCAGGTTGGTTTTTTTTGTATTTTTTTGAGAGGCGGAGTTTCACCATGTTGGCCAGGAACTCCTGGCCTCAAGTGATCCACTGACCTCGGCCTCCCCAGTGTTGGGATTACAGGTGTGAGCCACCAACCCCTGCCAATAGCCACTGCTTTAAAAGCATCTTCAGCAATAAGAACTGTTATTCCAGCAATAACACTTAAGTCTGAACTCCTGGCTTACACTCTTGCTTCTTCCCCTCACTCCCCATTCTGTGAGAAACTACCATTTGATCAGATCCCCTCATTCCCATACTTAAGACCCTTCAATGGTTTCCCAACCAGCTTAGGATAAAATGCAAATCCCTTTTCAAGGAAACAAGGCCCTACGTATCCCGGCCCTTGTATGGCTCCTCCTCTGAACTTACCATTCTTCCTTTCTTTGGTAAGCTTCAGCCCTACAACCTGTTGTTGTTGTTGTTGTTTTAAAAAAAAAACAGGTCAAAATCATTCCTTCCTCAGGGTCTTTGTACTAGTTAGTCCCTGAGCCTGGCATTTCCCCCTAAGTAAGAGGTCGGGGGAAACAGCCCAGGCTCAGGGGCTTCTCTCACTAAGCACTGAGCTAAGAGTTCTTCCCTAAACGTCTAAGTGTTCTGTCTATTCCTGATCCTTCTTTTACAGACATTTTTACCTCCTGTCATCCTCTACTATAGTGCAGTTTCTTTCATCATTATTTGGAATTCTCCTTTTATTTAATCATTATTTCTGCCTTAGAAGGACATAAACTCTACGACAAATGGGACTTTTGTCTTTCACTGCAGTTCCTTCAGTACCTATTTATTGAAAGAAATAGCTCAGTGTTCTGTAAAAAACTACTAGCACTGGAATGACAAATAATGTTTTGTGATACACGAGTTTTCCAAAACTGTATTAGTGAAAAAAACCCAAATTGGAAGCTATTATCTCAGCCTGATTTTTTCAAGGGAATCAGCCCATATCATTTTCAAAAGATTATTCCACCAACATTTACCTTGAACCCTGACATTTACTTACTATACCGACATTATTTGAAAAGTGCATCCTACAAACATGAACCTAGTTCTATTAAACTGTTAATGCTCCCCGTACCTCGCATAAAACCTTAAATTCAACCACACTGATCTATTTCTTGAATTAACAAAATCTGGAGGACACACAGAGGAATGCAATTTGAATAGCACAAGAGACAAATTTATCAATAGTGCAGTAAGATATTTTTTAAAACTATGCTACCGAACTAACGTTCAAGAAAAGGCCATTAAACAAAAGTGTTATCTGCACCCCTCTATCACTTATCCTGCAGATTACACAGAACTCAAAGACACCACCTCTTGGTCCAATCTCCATAATTTAAAGACGAAGGAAACAAAACCCAAGAAAGTTACATTTTAGATTAAGCCAGCTAACATAAGTTGGGACCGGAACTCATTTGGCTACAACGCATGGCTTCTGTCAACTAAGCTGAAAGCCGTATGTTTCTCACTGGGAAGCAAGCAACCAAGACCCGGCCCTTTTTCCCACTCTCTTCTCTGGATCGGCTAGTTCTCGTTCTTCCCCATCCTACAACTCGCGAGCTATGTGATAATCGACGTCGCAGTTCTCAAGACAATTTCATCTACGTTATTCAATTTCACCCTCACAACCTCCTTTAAGGGTGACGGGCCTTAGCCCCATTTACGGATGGAGGCAAAACGCACGCGCGGCTTCACATCCGTCCACCTTCAAGGTGTACAATGTCGATCGTGCCGCCGATCCCTCGGCCTTCTCCCGGTCGCGGAAGAAGAGAAGTGCCCGCAGGCTCCGGTGGCCGAGCCCTTCCAAAATCACCTCCCTTTCTGGAATCTTCTCTTCCCCCGGCCGCTGAGCCAGGGCAGCACGCTCAGCCCGTTAGTAGGCCCTCCTACTTCGCCGCGGCCGCCGCAGCCCTATGCTGACGCTCCCACCTCATTCCTTTCCTTCAGCCCTTACTTTCGCTCCCTCCTTGAGCATCTGGGCAAAGCCCGGAGCCTTGGGAACGTGAAGCGCCATGGCCAGCCTGCAGGAAGCAGTTCACGCGACCGCTCGGAAGACCGCGGAGGAAGCGAGGAGCACGCACAGCCTTCTGGGAAAGCAGCGTGGGGCCGCCTCACGCTCTTCCTGGCTCTCCAATTAGCCCACCCTTTCCCTGCCGCCAGGTCTGAAGCATCGCGAGAAGAGCAACCTCTGTGGCCAGAACCAAGCTGACGATCCCCGATCGGGTCGATCGATAGGGCGGGCCCAGGGAGCCCCTCGGGTTTCTGGCTCACGCACGCGCAGACAGCCCAGGCCGTGAGAGGTTGCTCCAGTCTGTGCTCTCTGACCGTAGTCAGTAGTCACGGCGTTAGATTTTTGCGGTTTTTGATCTGGAAGCCACACATCCTTAGCTTAATTTCCACGTATCTTCCAGACCCAGCCACCAACGTCAGGGCAGGTGTGCTTTTTTTTTCCCGAGGCAGAGCATCTGCCCCATCCCCCAAAATTGTCTCTAGGCGTCCGCTCTGTGTTGGGCACCATAGGAAGCGCTGGGAATGCGCACGATAATTAAAGTCGTCACTAAGAGTAATGTAGTACACATCAAGTGCTCAAGTGTGCCATATTCTGTGTGATCTGCTTTACATGCAGTATCTCTGTTAATGGTCAGTCTTAAAAATTAATGAATTGTCGGTTAAAATACCATTTAGTTTTCCTTCCATAAAATGGAGACGATACCATTAAAAATTAAAAATTAAATGGTACTGTCTCTATTTTGTAGAAGGGAAACTGAAGTTCACAAACTGTAAATAATTTTCCCAAGATCACAGAGCTAGTAAATATTAAAGCTAGAATTCCTATCTAGATCAGACTTATTGCAAAATGCCGGTTCTTAACCACTATCTATATTCCTCTTTTCTACTTCTTCCTGGGAATATAAATCCCTTTTACTCTTTTAAGATCAGATATAAATACATATTTATTTATCTGATTTATATATATAATATACACATTTTATATAAATATATCTGATTTATATATGAATTTATAGATAAATATAAATCCCTTTGGCTTGGTGGCATGCACCTGTAGTCTCAGCTGCTTGGGAGGCTAAGGTTGGAGGATCTGCTTGAGCCTGGGAGGTTGAGGCAGCAGTGAGCTGAGATCATGCCACTGCACTCCAGCCTGGGCAAGAGTGAGGCCCTGTCTCAAAAAAAAAAAAAAATTGCAAAAATGTAAATGCCACTGATATGGTTTGGATTTTTGCAAAAATGTAAATGCCACTGATATGTTTGAATTGCCTGCCCAAATATGATGTGGAATTATAATCCCCAGCTGTTCTTGTGATAGTGAGTGACTTCTCATAAGACCTGGTTGTTTAAAAGTGTGTGGCACCTCCCCACTCTGTCTCTTCCTCCTCCTCCAGCCTTGTAGGATGTGTCTGCTTCCCCTTCACCTTCCACCTTGATTGTCAGCTTCCTGAGGCTTCCCCAGCCATGCTTCCTGTACCGCCTGTGGAACTGTGAGCCAATTAAACCTCTTTTCTTTATAAATTACCCAGTCTCAGGTAGTTCTTTATAGCGATTCGAGAACGGACTAATACAGCCACCCTTTTCATTCTTGGAAAATAGAGATATTTTAAATAAAAACATACATATTATCATGTGATAGGATTATTATTTTTTAAATAACGTTAAAAATTTATCAGTTTTAATTTCTAATATAGCAAATATTCATACCTATAACCCACATAAACAAAAGACCTTTGGGGAAGTTAATTTTTAAGAGTCTAAAGGTGTTCTGAGACTGATACGTTAGAGAACTACTGTAATGATCAGTCCCGAACAACAGAACAATCCAAGATTTTTCCTGGATTAGCTAAGAAATAAACAAAAGCACATTCCTCTGACTCAGAGATAATATTACTTATAAAAATAGCTAACACAAAATAAAATTGAAATAAAACTGAAAGGAGCTAAAATGACACCTGATTAACATATTAATATATATTAATCTATATTTAAAGTGACTTTGAGGCCTAGGTTCTGGTCCTTGTCTCACTGGTATCTTCTCCATTTGGCATTAATGTCTTGTATTCTGGCCCCAGTACCTGGAATAGTTCGTGCTGTCTGCTTTACCACTTCTGCCTCAGGGTCTTTGCCTCTGCTGTTCTTCCTACCTAAAATGCTCTTCTATTCCCTTATGGCTGAATTAATTCTACCTCAGTATGCAGACACTTTCATTAGAAAGTCTTTGATGACTCCCAAGACATTCCCTGTTTGTCATTCTCATAGCTTCTGTGTTTCTCCTTCATAGCACTTACCACAGTTGTAATGACAGAATTATTTGTCATCTTTCTCCACCAGCAGGTAGGTGGTGAATCACCAGCACTTATACTGTAATTGGACAATGCACGGAGTAAGGAGTCAATAAATCATCATCAAATGAACTACTGGGTGACCAAATGGATATCCAGAAGAGGAGATCGAAGAATTAAGGTGCTGTGGTCTCAATGTTTGTGTCCCTCCAAAATTCATGTTAAAATCTTAGGCCCTGAAGTGATGGTATTACGTAGGGCCTTTTGGGAGATGATTAGTTCATTAGGTCTCCACCCTTATAAAAGATTAGCGCTCTTATGAAAGAGGCCCAGGGGAGCTTATTTGCCTTTCCACCATGTGCTGACACAGCTAGAAGGTACTATCTATGAACCAGGAAGCAGGCCCTCACCAGACACTGTATCTGCTAGCACCTTGATCTCGGACTTCCAGCCTCACGAACTGTGAGTAACACATTTCTACCGTTTCTAAGCCACCCAGTTTGTAGTATTTTGTTATAGTGTGTCTGGAATTGGTGGGTTCTTGGTCTGACTGACTTCAAGAATGAAGCCGTGGACCCTCGTGGTGAGTGTTACAGTTCTTAAAGGCGGCGTGTCCGGAGTGTGTTCCTTCTGATATTCGGATGTGTTCGGAGTTTCTTCCTTCTGGCAGGCTCGTGGTCTCGCTGGCTCAGGAGTGAAGCTGCGAACCTTCGCAGTGAGTGTTACAGCTCTTAAGGCACGTCTGGAGTTGTTTGTTCCTCCCAGTGGGTTTGTGGTCTCGCTGGCTTCAGGAGTGAAGCTGCAGACCTTTGCAGTGAGTGTTACAGCTCATAAAGGCAGTGAGGACCCAAAGAGTGAGCAGCAGCAGGATTTATTGCAAAGAAAAAAAAAGCTCCCACAGTGTGGAAGGGGACCCAATCGGGTTGCCACTGCTGGCTCTGGCAGCCTGCTTTCATTCTCTTATCTGGCCCCGCCCACATCCTGCTGATTGGTAGAGCCCAGTGGTCTGTTTTGACAGGGCGCTGATTGGTGTGTTTACAATCCCTGAGCTAGACACACAGGTTCTCCATGTCTCCACCAGAGTAGCTAGATACGGAGTGTCGATTGGTGCATTCACAAACCCTGAGCTAGACACAGGGTGCTGATTGATGTGTTTACAAACCTTGAGCTAGATACAGAGTGCCGATTGGTGTATTTACAATCCCTTAGCTAGACGTAAAGGTTCTCCACGTCCGCACCAGACTCAGGAGCCCAGCTGGCTTCACCCAGTGGATCACGCACTAGGGCTACAGGTGGAGCTGCTTGCCAGTCCGCCGCCGTGAGCCCACACTCCTCAGCCCTTGGGTGGTTGATGGGACTGGGCGCTGTGGAGCAGCGGGCGGCGCTCGTCGCGGAGGCTCGGGCATGGCGGGCTGCAGGTCCCTAGCCCTGCCCTGCAGGAAGACAGCTAAGGCCAGGCGAGAAATTGAGCACGGCAGCTGCTGGCCCAGGTGCTAAGCCCCTCAACTGCCCGGGGCCGGTGGGGCCGGCAGGCGGCTCCGAGTTGCGAGGTCCGCGGGGCCCACGCCCACCCGGAACTCACGCTGGCCCGCAAGCACCGCGCGCAGCCCCGGTTCCTGCCCGCACCTCTCCCTCCACACCTCCCCGCAAGCTGAGGGAGCCGGCTCCGGCCTCGGCCAGCCCAGGAAGGCGCTCCCACAGCGCAGTGGTGGGCTGAAGGGCTCCTCAAGTGCCGCCAAAGTGGGAGCCCAGGCAGAGGAGGCGCCGAGAGCGAGGGAGGGCTGTGAGGACTGCCAGCACGCTGTCACCTCTCAATAGCAGCCCAAACAGATTAAGACATGGGAGGTATGGTCTCTATTCTTACCATCCAGACGTATGTGAAGTAAAACCAGAGAACAACACAAAGCAATCAAGAGGGTTTTTGCGCAGAGTTTGCAAAACGCCAAGGAGACTGTAGGTTTCTGTTATAGTGATTCAAAAGCCTGGGATCCTCATGTTAGGTGCTGCCTGAAAACATGGCCTCCAGCCTCCAGGAGAGCTAAAAGCCGTGAGGATTGGGGGTTGGGGATGTCTGAGCCATCTTAGGATTCTGATAAGGACTCAGTTCACTATTTGTTTCTAGTTACTTTGTTTCTGTTTTTTTCATTTTTTGTTTGTGTTAAAGTTTTAACCCCTGTACGTCAGAATTGTTTAATGTTTTTGGCTTGTCTATGTGTTTTGATTTTTTTTGTATTATTATTTAATTTTCCCAATTCCCATTAAATCCTTAACCTCCTGACTTTTCTTTTTCTGCCTCCATTTGTATTGTTTATTTCATGTTACTATATCATCTTATGTTTCAGTATTTTTCTGTTGAATTTTAATTCTTTTGTTTGGCTTTGGAGTCTGACTCATTTTGTGTTGGCTCATTATTTTGCTTCAGGATATTTTTGTTGTTGTTAAAATCTTTTAATATTCCTTTATAAATTTAAATTTTTTTCTCTTTTAATCGAATTTATTTGGGCTTAAGAGGGCACAATAATTTATACCCTTATTCACTTTCTGAGTTTGGAAACAACCAAGAAAATAGAGGGGTCAGGAGGCTGGAATTCAGAGTCTCGCTGGACTACAGAGAACGTGGCTTAGGGTGAAAGCACAGGCATGCTGGGCATCATTGCTGCTTTGCACTGATCAGAGAAGGAGAGACTTTAAATGGGTTAACTCCATGCAATCAAGAAAGGTAGCCCCATGTCAATCCCTTACCAGTGAGGTAACTTCCAATGTGGGTCAGAAGGAGTGGATTGAGAGGCCGAGAACTGGGGGTAACCAAAAGAGTAAGACTAAACAATACTCTCCTCTCAATATAATTGTTACTTTTGTTCATCTCCCTGTAAACCTCCCTCCCACTCTTCTGCCTTTTATCTATGGAGTGGGGATGAGGTTGAGGGGAGACTCGGCCTACGACTACCATGTTGGTCCCACAGCTCCACTTAGTTTCTGTCAAGCACACATGAGACAAGGCATGGCTAAGGTAAAGTCCTGACTGATTCGACTGGTAAAGATGCAAGGACACTTTTTTAGAATCAGACCGTTTATTCATTACATAGATGACAAAAGGAAGACTAGCCAAATGTGCCAACTCCTTGAGGTCATTGTTCTGCTCATCAAAAAGAATGACACTGAAACCAAAGGGACTTGGAGATTGCAATGCGAGTTGGGTAATGCAGCTCGGTGGTTTTGTGTTCTGCCACTCTATTAAGAGAGGGTGAAGCAGGAAGACCCACGTCTCATCAGAACACTGGAGGTGATGAGAAACTGCTTCATGACAGCTTCCCAGGTGAGATCAGGAGGTGAAAGGAAGATGGCCTTGGAGAAGCTCTTTGCAGGTCTCCATCTTCTCGTGTTCCAGGTGGATCACAAGGCATTTGGCCAAGACTCAGGCCACAGGAGAAGCAGTGCCAAGAGACAGGAAGGAAGTGGCTCTGCCCTGGTGTATCCACAAAGGGCATGCAGGCAAAGGCCCATGCTAATCTGAGTCTTGGCCAAATGCCAAGCTCTTTCTTAGCTTTGGCTTGCTTCCTTTTCTCTATGGGTCTCTCAGCTTCCCCATACTGTCTCACCACTCCCCCCAGAAAGGTCTCTACGTGTTTCATATTCAAACATCCCAAGAGGGAGCATCTGATTGGTTCAGTTTATTGCTTTGCCACAAAAAGCCCCCAGGTTCTGCTAAATTTTCAGAAAATACAAGTTTCCATGGCTGCTTTGGCCTAAGCAAGAATTGGTGGTGCACTCAATGGCAAACGAGGGCCAGGGTCATGTGAGTCATCTGTAACCTTGGTGTGAGAATGCTCTGTGGCTGTTTTGTTCCAAAGTGGGCTCTGTGTGTGGCCTACATTCAGAGTTTCAAGAATAGTCCAATCAATCTACTTGAGGCTGTACTGGAGTGAGTAGCTCCCTTAAAGTCTCTCCAGGTTAGGGCAAAGTCACAAGAAATGAAATGTATTATAATCACTCCCTGCTTATTACCATTCTAAGAGGGAAGATCTTGAACTGGATGAAAGTGATTGATTCTTTTCTTAGTTTAAATGTTGGTTTAGTTGTCCCGGTGTCTTTTGTGCCTAGGTGTGATTGAGCTGGTTAGATTAATGGGAACGAGAAGGGTGAAATGGAATGAGATGCATTTAAATCCTATTGGTGATACCTTAGATATCTAGAGATGAAATCTTTATTTCAGGTGACTTGAGAGAGAAGGTTCTCTTGAGCCTTTATGAATCAACTGTTGATGAACTAAAACTGTGTTTATCAGTCTCTCTTTCAGCAAAGATAGAAGTTACTGTCATAGTTCCCCTGATCAGTGTGCTAGACTGGCACACATGGGGTCTTCTACTGCAAGGCTGGGAAGCAGAAACTGTGTTTCTTGGATTCTGTTGCAGTTATGGCTGTGGGTACAAATAAGCCTCCACCAATTAGATACTTTCATGTGAGGATTGGAAGGTGGTAGGAAAACAAAGCCTATTTTCATGCTGTTTTGGCATTTCTGCCATAAGCCCCTAAGGCTGCCGTGGTTTAAACCAGAATTCCTGATGCACTCATGGGTGTCCAGGGGCCAGGGTCTTTTGTAACCTTAGTGTAGGGAATGTGATGAGATGATGCATTTTTGGCACCTCTTTGCCAAAGATAACACCTTGCTCTCCGTGCTTACAGATGTACAAGGGCAGCCGTGGGGCTGGCAACAGCTTCGTAATCCTGGCTTCCTGCTTTCTGGGTCAAAGCCCTGGTGGTGTGTTCTTGATATCGGTCCATCTAGTGGCGTTGTTTGATTCCTCCCACCTTGCTGATCATTCGTAGTGTAGCCCCCAAGGTGAGTCATTCTGTTACATCTGGGACCTATTCCCAGAAGCCCATTTTAGAGCTTGCTTCTCTAGCCCATCAAGAATTTTTGAAGGATCTGATTCCTGTATTAAAGCCCTTCTGCTTGAGTGGTTTTTGTTTCCTGCATGCTGTATGACATAATTCCTGTGTTTATGATTGTTACAAAGCTAAAAACAGCCATGGCCAGGCTTGTGAGCTCACATCAGAAATGAAATTCAGAAGTCATTCAGAATCTTACCAAATCCAGTTTTTACTCTTGATTTAAAAATATTTTACTTTTTAAAATTAATTATTGTGGCTCGCCCAGACTTGGCAGTTAGAATTGAATATCAGGAAAGGTTTTAAGACAAACCTGACGAAGAAAGTTGAAGTAGTCACAGTATCTAGAAATACAAGAGGGCCTCTTTTCTCAGGCTTATATTTTGAGATAAATTTCCTCTCCTTAGTACATGCAGGGAACATTTCATTTCATAGTTTTGCTGATTAAAAAGGCCAAATTATATAAATTACCTGGAGGAGGTTTTCTGCTATTAAAATTGTTTATGGTCAGCCGGGCGTGGTGGCTCACGCCTATAATCCCAGCACTTTGGGAGGCCAAGGCAGGTGGATCACAAGGTCAGGAGATCAAGACCATCCTGGCTAACACGGTGAAACCCTGTCTCTACTAAAAAAAATACAAAAAAATTAGCTGGGCATGGTGGCAGGCGCCTGTAGTCCCAGCTACTCGGGAGGCTGAGGCAGGAGAATGGCATGAGCCTGGGAGGCGGAGTTGGCAGTGAGCCGAGATCGCGCCACTGCGCTCCAGCCCAGGTGACAGAGCGAGACTCCGTCTCAAAAAAAAAAAAATTGTTTATGGTCTGTAAGTATCTGGCCTTCCCAACTTGGTTCTGATGGACCAAAATATAGTATATTTCCCATGTCTCCCTTTGTAAAGAAAGGTAAATTTACTCTTTCTTTTATTATGAATTCATCAGTTTACTGGTTATTCTTTTTTATATTTTAGCCAGTTTCCCACCACAGATTGCAAGTTTGGGTTCCTCAGACCATTGTTTTATGCAAGAAGCAGGCTTTTGGCAAGTTTCTTCCACATCAAATTACTTTTCCTTCTGTATATTTTATGCAGAAATCTTTCAATAACAAGATAAGATTGTTTGCAGCTTTTATTGATCTTTACTCAATATTTGATTCTGTGCATAGGAACCAGTTGTAGGCGAGCCTGCTTACGTACAATATTGAACCCAGTCCTGATTCTTATGTAGAATTTGCATCTTAACACCAGTGCAAAGACCTGGGTTTGATAAGTTAAATGGTTATTTCAAAATGAATAAAACAGGGATGTTTTGACTACTTTGTTTCTTTTTGTTTTATAATATAATATTACTTTTGGATGAGCTAACTGAATCTGTCCCTCTTTCCACTGAGAGTAAAAGTAATAAGTATTCTCTACTAATATTATTAAGTTCATAGATGACTCTAGCAGCTCTTGGTCCTATTTCCTAATATTATGTAAAGAAATGGCTTAAGTTCAGGCACTGCATTAGTTAGCGATTGTTGTGTAACAAACCACTCCAAATCTCAGTGGCTTAAAACAACAGCTACTTCTTATTTCTCACAAAATAATTTCTCACAAAAAATTTCTAAATTTTTTGTATGCCTAGGACTGGTTGGGTGGTTTGGCTGATCTGACCAAGCTTTACTGTATTAGGCAGGGATTGTTTATGTATCTGCAGTCAGCTGGTGGGTGGGCTTGGGGTTGGGGAACAGTGTTGGCAGGCTTGGAGGTCTCAGCTGGAACAATTCAGCTGTGCATCACATGGTCTCAGCCTCTAGTAGGTTACCTGGGCTTGCTCTCATGAAAGTAGAGGGTGCCAAGGGAGCAAGCAGCAATGTGTAAGCACCTTGTTAAATTTGCTACTAGCCCATTGGCTGAAGTAGGTTATGTGGCCACACCCAGGATCAGTGTGGCAGGGCAGTATCAAAGGCTGTAGATACATGGAGGCACGTAAGTTGAGGACAATAGTGCAGTCAATCTACCACGGCCACTCTAAAACCCCAGTCCCTGCTTTTGGCAAGAGTTTTCCACCATTCATTTACTTGGTGTTCAACAACTTCATTCAACAAGTTTCTTAAGAAAATACTGGGATCAATTTACCTTGCAGGATTCACTAGAAAGCAATATTACTTAAATTAAGGTGTCATTTTGATGTTTCACTGAGCTTTTTTTTTTTCTTGAGCCACCACAGCAGGTGACTATTAATATCTGTATTGAAAAAACTCTAGCTAAACATTAGTGTCATCATTCTTCGTGTCACAGAGCATTGGTGTCTTACTTTCCCATTTAATTATATTTTGAAATGAATTCAGAAATATTTGGAGGGCATGATATTGGTCCTTTCTAAAGGTACTTGGGTGTTTTGCCTTGGGCAATTCCTCAATTTTCTTGGCCTTACTCTATTACACAGAAATCTGCCCCCTGGACTCCAATTTGAGAAGATAATTTCTAACCATTCCTTATCCAATCCTTATCAAATGCCTAATTGCAAAAATTTATGTTTGAGCAAAATTCCCTCAATGCCGTGCAGCACATTCCCATTTAGATAATTAATTTTGCCCTCGGATGAAGCCAGACCATTAAAGTTTTAGTCCTTTGGAGGACTGAGTTTGATAAATTGCATTTTGGTATCATGCCATTGTCTTATAATAAGGAAAATTAAAAGGAATGGCCAACTATCATAGACTGTTATCTCTACTCGATGCCTGTTTTTGATGGATGTCAATCATTTCATTGCATGGTATCCTTTTTATATGACCTGTGGGAAAAATTTATCTCAGCATTCAACCATGGTTTTTATATTTTATGGCCGCTATGAATCTTCCAATGTTTTTGTTTCTCTCTTTAACTGCTGGAAACTTAGAGCCAAATGTGTAGCCCATCTCTACCAACTCTACAGGGCTCTGGTGCAACATTTCTGTCTACCACTCTTAACATTTGGTTTTACTATTTTCCTGATTGTTCTTTCTTTTTTGCTCAGACTATCTCAACTTAAAAAAATCCTTAGTGATTTTATTTGTTTTTGTAAGCCACATAAAGTTCTTTATGGAATCAGCTGGGATGTGTGTGTGTGTGTATATATGTGTGTGTGTGTGTATGTAATATATATAATATTACCTCTCTTGTTTATGTAATATATATATCTCTGTTTTACTAATTCTGAAATAATCATTTAATATTATAATATATAATATATATAATTGTATATAACATATGTATACACACATGTATATGTATATATTTTATGACATATATGTAATATAATTATATATAATATTATATGTATATATACATGTATAATATGTATATATTTTTTTTTCCAAAATTGCTAGTTTATGAATTCACAGATGGTTTGGGGTTGATTAAAGGGATTAGCAATTTCACTTTAGAATAATTTTGTTTTTTACTTAGAAGGAAGAATTTATAATTTGTGGCTTAAACTGGAAACACTACCACATCATAAGTAGCACAACACTAAAGCATAAAAAGCAATCTTGAGACCTTCTTACATTACTATATATAGATTCTATTAAAAACAATAATGGGAACTAGAGGGTCATTGTAGAATATTTTTTCTTAAGGTCTACACACTAATTGATTCATGTAAGATGGTCCCTGATTTCTTTTAGGTACTTAGCCCATGAGCCAGTACTTATTTTTGTAGTTGGATTAGTAACGATGCTTGATGGTTCAAATGCTTATCAGCCATCATCATTCTCACTTGCCCTGTTCTTAATGTTTTGGCTATTTTTATTACAATGATTTCCTCTGGGATTTTCATTAGGGTCAGTCATTAGCCTCAGGGGAATAAAATCAAGGGAGGATCTATGTGTCTATTTATGTAGCAGTCTGCTAGAGCAATTACATTTTCTCATTGCTATTTGATTAGACTATTTTCTTTCTTACCAGATATTCACTCCTCTGACTCTATGCCAAATGCACCATCGAGGTGAAAGTTAAATCACATCAGGAATCTCAATGAAGAAGGAGGGTAATGGTTACCAAAAATCCTTCCAAAAGATCTTTTCATTCCCTGACATCATCACACAGTGATTTTTGATAACTTAGGCAAATATAGTCTAAACGCAATTAGAAATTAACTTTCTGAGATGAGTAAGAAAGTTTATTTAGGAAATGCAAGTGAGAAACAAGAAGTAGAAGAGAATATGTTTGGGAAATGTAATAATGCACAGTGACTTATCTCAAGATGATTCTCAGACTTTGCCAAAAATTCACAAAGGAAAAAAAAAGTCAGCAAGGAAAATGCCTGTCTCTAAGCCCATATTTTCTCTCATTTGAGGTGTGGAATAACCCTTAAGCCCTTACCGGGGTCCTTCTGGACTGAGAATTGTTGTAAAGTAATACTGCTCAGGTTCGTAAGTTTTATAATCTTCTCACACAGAGCAAATGAGAATGGGGTGGGAATGTGCAAGCCAAGAGCAGTCAAACCTGCCAGTAGTAGCAAAAGTGACAGCTAGACCAACAAGGGCTTGACATGCTTCAAGGAGACTTGCTCACCAGAACTTGAGAAACATAATTGAGGCTTTTAGGTGAAACCATTGCATTGCACGTAGCCGTGTATTATGCTTAAAGTGATCATTGGCTATGAATAAACAAAATAAAGATCCCTGCACCTTATTTAAGTGGTCATTGGACATAAAAAGTGCATTTAGGCTGAGGCAGGAGAATGGAGTGAACCCGGGAGGCGGAGCTTGCAGTGAGCTGAGATCGTGCCACTGCACTCCAGCCTGGGTGACAGAGCCAGACTCTGTCTAAAAAAAAAAAAAAAAAAAAAAAAAAGCATTTAAATTCTATCAAAAATGATTCAAAGTTTACTAATATCTTTTGGTTCTTGTTGGGGTGAGCTTTGCTTGTCTGCAAAATTCATTTATGTAGAAAACCTCGTTCTCCCCAATATTGTATGTGAATGAAATGTTACTGTATTTAACATTAATTGAATGCCAACGGCATGGTTAGTATGTTGTTTGAAGGAATGTTGCGATGGCTTTGATGCAGAATCATAACTCTCTATATCCCCCAGGTGAAAGACAACTTGAGTGGTTAAATTACTGTCATGCAAAGCGACTAGATGGTTCAGCTGATTGCACCTTTAGAAGTTATGTGGAACGAGGCAGCAGATCTTAAGGTATGTCCGCCTTCCCCCAACCCCTTCCTGTAAAACTGTCGACTATAATCCTGTTTTCAGTGAAAACAGGGTGGGAAAAATGTAGGAAAGAAGCAGAGAGAAATGGACCTTGGAAGTCTCAGCTAACCATTACTGTTGGCAATCTGTGGGAGGTCGGCAGACTATTTGTTAAGGTGCTGATTGAAACTCTGGGACACCGGTTCTTTCCCTTAATACAAAACCAATTTTGAGCCAAGTCATTTAAGACCTTTTGAAAACTGATTCTAAAATAGCATGTGATATCCTGCGGAAAAAATAAACCATGATTTAGTAAACTAAATGATCCGTGGAGTAAGGACTGCTTTATATGGTGTTCTTAGAGAAAGAGCAGGCACAGATGATAAAATGTGGCCAGGAAAAATCATTGGCACATCTATGTGAGTTCCAGCTTGAAATGAACTTCTCGAGGTTCATGGCCCCGTAAGTGTTTGCTGCCCACCAGCTCTGGAAAATGAGTGGAAGGATTCCCACCCAGCTTGGAAAACAGAAAGTCCGCTTACCTGATGATGCTCTGGGGGAAATTAAGGAATGTTGGTGTCATTTCATAGTGACCACAGCATTGAGTATTGCTCCTTCAGATTCATTTTGCTCTAGGCTGATCAACATTTCACTTCCGTGATGAGCAGTGCTGGCCTAAGATTTTACTTAAGTTTCATTGATAATAAAGCTGATGGTGAGAATGATAATGATGGCAAGAAATATAGTAAAGCCTGCCCCACAGTAACGAGAATCTGGCCAGGTGGTGATTGGCAATAGACTCCTATCCTCTGCTAAGGCCCTGTTCTTTCTTCATTAATCTTGCAATAACTTGACCCTGAGTTTTAAAGTAATAAATATTTTGGACTTCACATATTGTATGTTAGGGTTTTATCATATATCAACAATGATTATGATGACGTCCCCCTTTCCTGAGTATTCACTCTGCACATTGTGCTGAG
This sequence comes from Homo sapiens, assembly GCF_000001405.40. NCBI lineage: Eukaryota > Metazoa > Chordata > Mammalia > Primates > Hominidae > Homo > Homo sapiens. The sequence continues at coordinate 29,086,895 of NC_000021.9, forward strand.
TGCTTTATGCGTGTTATCTCAGTCTTCACGACCATCCTGATGAAAGTCCTCCAATGGCTTTGAACTGTACTTAAAATAAAAACCAAACTCTAAACCAGTTCCTCTAAGGAGTGGCATGATCTAGCTCCTGCCTACTTCATGTCCTGCGTCTTTTCCACTTGCTCTGCCCCAGCCACACTACCTTCTTTTTGTTCTTGTGACATGCCACACTCATTCTCTCTGCTGGACTTTTTCACCAGCTTTTCCTTCTGCCTGGACCTCTCTTCTCCCAGACCTTAGTGTGGTTGATGCCTCCTTCAGGTCCCAGATTAAATCTCGTCTCCCCAGAGAGGGTTTCCTTGACAACTCTGTCTTCAGGAACTTCCTCAATATTCCTTTTACATCACCCTATTTTATTTTTATCCTAAAAGCTAATACTCCCTAAACATTTTCACATTAATTAATTTTAAAAACTCTCTATCTCTGCCAATTTGGATGTAATCTTCCTGAGAATTTGGACCAAATATGTTTTTTAATTATGTTCCCAGTTCTCAGAACAGTGCTTGGCACATGTTAAGTGTTCAATAAATGAATGAACCTCAGTTTTTGGATGAAGAAGCTAAAGAACAGAGAGGTTAAGCTATGTCTTAGGTCGTATATCTCCTAAATGGTTTATGCAGGATTTAACTGTAAATCTAATGCTCATTTTCTTTTTCTTTTTTTTTTTTTTTTTTTTTTGAGACAGAGTCTTGTTCTGTCTCCCAGGCTGAAGTGCAGCGGCGCGATCTCCGCTCACTGCAAGCTCCGCCTCCGGGGTTCAAACGATTCTCTTGCCTCAGCCTCCTGAGTAGCTGGGACCACAGGCTCCCACCACCACGACCGGCTAATTTTTTGTATTTTTAGTAGAGACGGGGTTTCACTGAGTTAGCCAGGATGGTCTCGATCTCCTGACCTCGTGATCCGCCCACCTCGGCCTCCCAAAGTGCTGGGATTACAGGTGTGAGCCACCGCGCCCGGTCGTGCTCATTTTCTTAATGATCATGCTATACAACACTATGAGATTTCTGTACATCACACCTGGAATCACATAAAGATTATAGCTTAAAACTACACTTAGCTTCCCAAAGAGGAAATTACGATTGTATTTTAATCTACTCACTAAGTGAGTAAGAGCTTCTTCGTTGAACCACTGTGCATTAGATAGGGACCATATTTCTCAAAAGCTCCAAAGTGTATGTCTCTGCACTCAAGAGAGAGCAGAGCTGGAAAAACATTTCACTTGTGTTCTCATAACTCTGATCAAGATAGATGCTTTTATTTTTTTTCAGCATTTTAACTATGAAAGGTGAAGCTTTAATAGGCACACAATTTAGGCTGTTGTATATATTCTGGATTAAAAAGTTTAAATGTAACCATAAGAAAAAGCAAATAATAAATGCTATCACCTTTTGTTGTGTTTTCCTGCAAGTGTTTATTTTAAAATATATAATCTGTTTGACAAAAACACAAGTTTACAGATTGCATTACATTTTCGCACTGTTTTGAATTATGTGTAAGCAATAAATATAATTTCTGAGTTATTCCAAATTCCCTTTCATAAGCTCTCCTTAAGTTATTTTACACACTGCAAAGTTTAATTTAACCACGCTAGTTTTGTTTAATAGGTTAAAAGGAATTAAATTGGTCTTAAATTACGCTGTGAATAATAAAAATGCTAATAGGAAATATATTCCATAACACTAGTGCTGTATTTCTTAAAGCTATTGAAGCCTGGTTATCATTACAGTCAGTCTTAACCTACAGATGCCCAATCTATAAAATGAGTGTTGGTGACACAGGAAAGTGTGTGTGCATGTGTGTGTGTTGAAGAAAGCAGAGAGAGTCTACCATTTGGGCGCTGCTTTCTCTGATGATGATATTAATTTTTCTTTGTTCTCCAGTTCAGAAATCTTGGGGTGTGACTGTACCTGTGAGTTAGCTTCCTTGTTTTGCACTAAAGAGTGCTAACAAGATACTGGCCAGGCGTGGTGGTTCATGCCTGTAATCCCAGCACTTTGGGAGGCCGAGGTAGGTAGATCACTAGGTCAGGAGTTCAAGACCAGCCTGGCCAACATGGTGAAACCCCGTCTCTACTAAAAATACAAAAATTAGCCAGATGTGGTGGTGCATGCCTGTAGTCCCAGCTACCTGGGAGGCTGAGGCAGGAGAATCACTTGTACCCAGGAGGGAGAGGTTGCAGTGAGCCGAGATCGCACCACTATACTCCAGCCTGGTGACAGAGCGAGACTCCGTCTCAAAAAAAAAAAAAAAAAAAAAAAAAAAAAAAAAGACACTGGTCCTGGGGTTGTCTGGCATGGATCTCCCAGACATAACCCTCATCTCTGAATCAAGAAACTGGGAGAAGACTGCTCACACCACCTGCAGAAAGAAGGATAATCTGAGAGCCCAAGATGGGCCTTACATTTGTCTTTTTCCATAAAAATACTGTTATATATTAGTGTTTGATAAAGTAAAAATAATGATGTTATTATTATCTATCTCACATACATTATGGGTTAATACGTATTTGTGCCCTTGTGAACTGGCCCAGAAAAAATGAGAAAAAGATTTCTCGTTCCAAACAACCAAAATATAAACTGCCTTTGGGAAGGTAACCCTTTCCTAAGTTAGGGGCTGCTTATAATCACATACTTGACACCATTAAGCTTGTGGCTGGTGATGTTTGTGGCCTTATTATTTCTTTACTTTGTCTGCCAGATTGGATTTAGAAACATGAATGAAGCATTAACCTCACAAGGAAACTGTACTGAAATAAACAGCATAAATCTCTAGGCTGAGTTTGGCCTTTTGCCTTCTGTCTTTATATAGGATTTCCAAACAAGATGTGTCTAAGCTGTTCAAGAGTGAAAGCAAGAAAAAAGAGGAAGGAAGGAAGGAAGAAAGGGAGGAAGGGAGGGAAGCAGGAAGGAGGGAAGGATGAGAGGGAGGGAGGAAGGGAAGAGAGGGAGGGAGGAAGGGAAAAAAGGAGAAAGGAAGGGAGTAAGGAGAATAAGAAAGAAGGAGGAAAGACAGGAAGGAGGGAGAGAAGGCAGGAGGGAAGGAAAAAAGAAAGAATTGATATAACCTAATAATTTTGATACTATTCGACCCATTTCCTTGCCTTTATTTTCACCATTATTGAATCAGTGATGACAGCAGTAGATGCAGTAATGTGAAATGTTAACTCATCCATTCATTTATTCATTCTGCAGTATTTTTTACAGAACTTTGCTGTTTAGTATTTCTGTATTGCTAAGTAGCCTGCAGAGGGTGCACTTTCCTTATTTTTATGTCTTTCCATCCACTTATGACCAAAAGAGGACACAATGTTTTATAAGATTAAAAGAGATTATTCAATGAAAGAAGTGAGGAAGGCACAACTTCTCTTTTCTTTCTTCTACCAAATGTTACAAAATGAAATACGTAAAAGGCGTAGGGAATGCAATCTCTATTAGCTTCTTTGTTTTGTTTTGTTGTTTTTTTTTTGAGACAGAGGCTCACTCTGTCGCCCAGGCTGGAGTGCAGTGGTGCAATCTCAGCTCACTGCAAGCTCCGCCTCCTGGGTTCACGCCATTCTCCTGCCTCAGCCTCCCGAGTAGCTGGGACTACAGGCACCCCTACCATGCCCGGCTAATTTTTTGTATTTTTAGTAGAGACAGGGTTTCACTGTGTTAGCCAGGATGGTCTTGATCTCCTGACCTCGTGATCCGCCTGCCTTGGCCTCCCAAAGTGCTGGGATTACAGGTGTGAGCCACCGCGCCCGGCAGCTTCTTTGTTAATAGAAAAATCAATTTTAGTGACTTTTTTTGCATGGAGCCAGGATCATCAAGCCTGTGGCCTTCCTCACTTTTTTTTTTTTTAAAATTGCTGCATCCCCGGGACTTCGTTTTTTTTCTTGCTCTTTGTGTATGTGTGTTCTTATTTTTCCTCTCTATACTGCATTGGTCAATAGAAATATAATGCAAGCCATATATGTAATTTAAAATTGCTTAATAGTCACATTAAAAAACTAAAAAGGAGGTAAAATTCATTTTAAAATATTTTATTTACTCCAACTTACCAATTTTATCATTTCAACATTTTGTCAATATAAACATTTTATTGAATATTTTACTTTTTTTGGTACCAAATCTTTGAAATCTGCTGTGAATTTTGCATTTACAGCACCTCTCCTCTTGAACTGGTCACATTTTAAGCTGTGAATAGCCACATGGTACCAGTGGCAACTGTACTGGACAACACATCTATATACATTCCTTTTTCATTCACAATTTCTCCATCCCTAACCAAACCAGCAGAAAACAGTGTATTACCAAATGGTGCTGTTTACTCAGAAAATCTTTATGACTAATTATCCACCAATTTGAATCATGCAGGAAACATGAGATGGCCTGTGTTCCCTCTAAGAGACTGTCGTTTACAGTTTTGAGATTTTAAAAAATAGAATGTTTTTAGCCAGTTGATTTTTAAGTCACTCTAGTTCCCTCCATCACAAAATGAGGTATAGCTCTTAATAAAAGTCCTTCAATTTTATTTTCCTGAGTGTACATTTTCTTTTCTTTTTTTCTTTTTTATTTTTTCAATACAGCCCCTTGCTCTGTCACGCAGGCTGGAATGCAGTGGTGGAATCATGGCTCACTACAGCCCTGACCTCCTGGGCCCAGGTAATTGTCCCACCTCAGCCCCTCAAGTAACTGGGACCACAGGCGTGCACCACCACATCCAGCTAAGTTTTTCTTTCTTTTTTTTTCATAGAGATGGAGTCTCGCTATTTTGCCCAGGTTGGTCTTGAACACCTGGCTTCAAGCAGTCCTCCTGCTTTTGGCTTCTTGAAGTGCTTGGATTACAGGTATGAACTACTGCACCTGGCCTGTCCATTCTCAAATACATGATAGTAACTCCCATCTGCTGAGTGCTTCCTATGTACCAGGTACTATGTATTAATTGTTTATACATATAATTCCATTTAATATTCACAAAAGTCCTTTTGAGTTGGATACTGTTGTTATCACCTTTGTTTTAAAGATGAAGAAACTGAGCATGGGGAGGGCTAGGGGAGTTGTCTAACATAATCCAGCTAGAATACTGCAGAGCTGGGATTGCAAGCTGGGCCTGCATGACTCCAAATCCTGCCTTCTGTAATTTTATGCATGGTGTCTCCCAAGTGGGGAGTATATTAAATGCAAATTTAAGATGTTGGTAAAGGGTAGAATTCTAGAAGTGGTAGAAATCCTAGAGTTCTTATAATCAGCTCTCTTTGTTTTTATAAGAAAAATCTGAGGCAGAGCGAGGCTGAGTGGTTTCTCTGTTGAACATCCAGGACTGGAATCCAGGATTCTGAGTCCAAGCCCAGTGCTCTTTCCCCTGATGAGAAACCTTTCCAGATTTAAACCATTAACAACCCTCTCTAAAGAGGAGGCAAGAGGTTTCAATTTCTTCTCAGGGAAAAAAAGAACTGACATCAAAAGGTCTGTGCGGGGTCATTTGTCTCATCATGACTTTGATTTGGCCTTGATCTTTATTTAGTATTTCAGTTTTATGCTCTGCAACAAGTTTGGCCATGTTGGAGGACAATCCAAAGGTCAGCAAGTTGGCTACTGGCGATTGGATGCTCACTCTGAAGCCAAAGTCTATTACTGTGCCCGTGGAAATCCCCAGCTCCCCTCTGGGTGAGTATTCCGTCCACTTTCTGGAAGTCTCAGGTTCTGAAGGCTTTTTACACACTGCACCATGGGAGCCTAAGGCTGGTTGGGCAGCACCTCATTCTGCAGGGATCTGGGTCAGAGCAGGACAATGGCTCTACGACGTGCTGGGTGTTCTTCTATCTCCTTCAGTCAATGTGCTAGGATTGTGATTTCACTTTCTCACCAGGCAGGGGCTGCAGTTTACAGGAGAAAGACTATTCCTGAGTTTGTTCGACTGTGCTGTTTTTTTACTCCTCTTAACTGATTACAAATCTCTCCAACGTCTCTGACTCAGGCTCACTATGACTTTTTTGTTTTTGTTTTTGAGAAGGAGTCTCTCTCTGTCACCCAGGCTGGAGTGCAGTGGCACGATCTCAGCTCACTGCCACCTCCACCTCCTGGGTTCAAGCGATTCTCCTGCTTCAGCCTCCTGAGTAGCTGGGATTACAGGCATGTACCACTATGCCCAGCTAAGTTTTGTATTTTTAGTAGAGATGGGGTTTCACCATGTTGGCCAGGCTAGACTCAAACTCCTGACTTCAAGTGATCCGCCCGCCTCGTCCTCCCAAAGTGCTGGGATTACAGGCGTAAGCCCCTGCACCCAGCTGACTATCATAAGACTTCTATTTCCAAATAATAGCTCATATAATAACTTGTGTAAATATCTACAGATAGGCTTCCCTTATTATGGATGCACAATCCATTTTTCATACTGAATAATCTGTTAAGAGTATCTCTACAACTATTATTTCTCAGCTAATACTGAATTTTTTACCAAGAGCAATAATATTGTTAAAGACTAGAAATAACCCCTCCATAGCTCATTTAATAAGGTAATTCTCTTTATTTATGAAAAAGAAAGACCTAGGTTTTTTTGTTTGTTTGTTTGTTTGTTTTTGTTTTGAGATGGAGTCTCGCTCTGTCACCCAGGCTGGAGTGCAGTGGCGTGATCTCGGCTCACTGCAAGCTCCGCCTCCTGGGTTCACGCCATTCCCCTGCCTCAGCCTCCCGAGTAGCTGGGACTGCCGGCACCCGCCACCACGCCGGGCTAATTTTTTGTATTTTTTTTTTTTAGTAGAGATGGGGCTTCACCGTGTTGGCCAGGATGGTCTCAATCTCCTCCTGACCTTGCGATCCACCCGCCTCGGCCTCCCAAAGTGCTGGGATTACAGGCGTGAGCCACCGCGCCCGGCCGAGAAGGACCTAGGTTTAAGTTCCATCTCTGCCACTTAGCAGGCAGTAACCCTGGTCATATCAAGTAACTTGTATGAATCTCAATTTCCTTACCACTAAGATGAGAATGATGATAATTACCCTCCTTCTAGGATTACTGTGGGGAGCAAATGACTTATATGTGAAAGTGCTTTGTAAACTGTAAACTGTTTAAAGGTTAGTTTATGTCACATTGTCATGTATCTGTGAATATCATTTTTGTAAGTTTATATGTTATGCTTTAGGCTTGGACCAATCTAGGTCATAGTAATTACTCTAGGGCAATGGTTCTCAACTGGGGGCAATTTTTCCCCCAGGGGATATTTGGCAATGGCTGGAGATATTTTGGGGTGTCACAACCAGGGATATGGTACAAGAATCTAGTAGCTAGAGGCCAGAGGCTAGCCTAAACATCCCACAATCCACAGAACAGCTTCCCGCAACAACAATTATCTGGCCCCAAATGTCCATAGTGCTGAATTTGAGAAACTCTGCTAGACAGCAGTGGGTTCTCAAATGTTAGCATCTGTCAGAGTCACCCAGGGGAAGTATCGAAACACAGATGGCTGGACTCCATCCCAACATTTTCTGATTCAGAAAGTCTAGGGTGGGGCCTAAGTATTTGAATTTTTAGGAAGTTCCCAGGTGATGCTAATGTTGCTGGTCCAGACATTGCTCTTTGAGAACCATTTCTGGAGAGAAATCCTTCACTATGCATGGGTCGCTTTGATAGACTACTTTGCTTAGCCTACTGAGCAAAGTAGTATCTTATTAAATGGTGCAAAATTTGTATCAACTAGTTGAGAAGTTTGACTCTAGGCCAAAATCCTTTGTGTGATCTGTGTGTGATTTGAGATAATGACAAGGCAAGCTCCATGGAAGGAAGAAGCTGCCCTTCCCATACCAGACTCGGTGCACAGCCAGTGCCTTACGGTTTCCTCTAGGGAGTTGCAGTCAAGGATTCATGCGGGTATCTTTCTTCTCACACCTGTAATCCCAGCACTTTGAGAGGCCGAGGCAGGAGCATTGCTTGAGCCCAGGAGTTCAAGACCAGCCTGGGCAATATGGCAAAACCCCATCTCTACCAAAAATACAAAAAAATTAGCCGGGCATGGTGGCATGCACCTGCAGTCCCAGCTACTTGGAGGCTGATGTGGGAGGATGGTTTGAGCCTGGGAGGCGGAGGTTGCAGTGAGCTGAGATTGCACCACTGCACTCCAGCCTGGGTGATAGAGCCAGATCCTGTCTCAGAAATGAAAGGAAAGGGAAGGGGAGGGGAAGGGAGCAGAGGAGAGGGGAGGGGAGGGGAAGGGAAGGTTAGGCTCATTCATTTAAAAAAAAAAAAAAAGAGATTCTGTTCCACCACCCCACCCCCACACCCCTGCACCCACATGTATGCGTGTCTGTATGCCTAGCCCAGGTGTCTCTATTCAGAGGCTGTCTGTTGGGGGCCTTGGCTGAGGCACTTTCCTCCACTTTGACTCCACGCCTTTCTACTCCTAGCCCTTTCCCGTTTCCCAGCCTGTGGGCTATAAAGAGGCAGGAGCCTTTTGTGTGGGGCAGGGGCTCATTTTTCTTGCCTGTTCTGCATGTCATCTGATCCTCACCTAGAGCTGTTCCAGGGGGATAAGGGGAATGTGGGGGAGCTGGAGCCGTCCTCTTTTGCCTCTTGCCCGCACTGTTGTAGAAGAGAATAAAGACCTGATTGTTACTCTCAGTTTGGCTCATTGAATTAATTGACCACCTCAACATCTGATTCCTCAAAAGCCAGTATTAAGTATTTTCCTTCACCTGTGGTCTCCCAACTTATGTGCTGTGAATACAAATGTTGTAGCACAAAAACATCTGCTGTGACCAACTATTCCAGAGCAGTGGTTGAGAACTGTACATGGTAATATCTGGGGATCTTGTTAAAATGTTTCTAATTCTGTAGGTTCTGGGATGGGGCTTGAGATTCTGCATATCTGAAAAGCTCCTGGAGGGATATTGGTTTTACTGGTCCAGGGACCACACTTTGAGTAGCAAGACTAAAGTGTCAAGGAATTAACAATTTCATTTAAAGAATTAGAATTAATACACAGAGAAACACAAAACAATTAGGGCAGTGCCACTTGATAGTATCAGCTGTTTAAGAGGAAACATGAGGTGATTTTGAAACAGTGGTATTTAACTCTGGGCTGCAGCTCAGAAGCTTATTATTGATTTTCTGCATGAAAAAATGTTTTTAGAAGTAGGTGTTTATAGTGAGAAGTAGGCTGGATTAGGAGTTGAAAGTCACATTTTCAGCCTGGTAATTGGCCTTCTGAGCTGTGGGATCTTAGGAAATTTAGTGTCTACCAGCTTAGTTCTACTAGGAAGTAGGGTTGAAAATGTACACTAAGTTTTGAAAATATATTGACAATACACATAGAAAACACCATTCGTTTACTTGTTCATTCAAAATATACCTTAGGTGCGTACTTTGGGCCAAGCACTATTCTAGGTGCTGGGGAATATATCAGTGAATAAGACAGATGCAGTTCCCTGATCTCACAAAGCTCAGAGTCTAGTGGTAAAGAGAAACATCAAAGAGGCAATAATAATAATAACTAGGGTGAGGTTGATGATAGGGAAAGCACAAAGTGCACAAAGAGTTTATAGCAGGTGAATGACCTACATCTAAAAGTCAGGTAGGACCTCCTTAAGACAATGATGTTTAAGCTGAGATCTGAAGGCAATGGCTCCAGGCAGAGGGATGATATATTCCAAGGCCCAGGGATGAAAGAGCACAGTGACCAGATTGTGTTCAAGTATGGTTGAGCACAGAGAGTGAAAGGGAGCATGGCTATGAGTTTGGAGAGGCACTATATTCAACAGGACACATTTGATTACAGGTGCCAGAAGCCAACTCATAGAAGCTTATGTATAAAAGAGAAATTGTTGGTTTACTGAACTGGGAAGTCCGTTGGGTAGAGCTGGCCTCAGGCAGAGAAATGAAATCATCCGATCTATCTCTTTGCTCTCTTCCTCTCTTCTACTTCCCTCCATGTGCTGCTCTTATTCTTCCCCATTTCAGGAGCGCTTCCTTCATATGGTTGGGAAATGACAGAGTATGATTACAGGTAGTTCAAGGTTTACAGCAACCCAGTTTAGCAACTGAAAAGAAAAAGGAGGTCACCTTTCTTTCAGAACGCGTTTAAAATCTCGGCTAAGAACTCTGATAGGAACTTGGAAGAGCACCATTTTTAATCCTAGGCTAACGATTGTGGCTGGGGGATGAGAGGAGTATTGTGATTGGCTGTCCCACCAAAATCACAAGTAGGGGTAAGGGATACTACCTTAGTGGGAAAGGAGTTGCAGTTATCAGGAAAAGAGGGACACATAATACTGGGCAGACAGAACCCAAAAATATTCACTCAGAGTATCTAGTAGGAATTTGGAGGGAGTATGCATACTATGGTAAGCATGGTTTTTCCTAACTGCAGCATAGATGGTAAGTTTAGTTTTGAAGAAACTGAAGTGTCTATAAGCTATAGGGTAGTAGATAGATATTTAGAACTTATTATCCAAAGAAAAATAAGAAGAGAGGGGAAGAAAAGAGAAAAACGCTCTTATAAATAAAAAATATTACTATTGTTCATAAAACATAGGAGGTAGAACAAAATTAAAATTTATTTTAAATTTTATTATTGCCACTGCAATTCCCCTTACGTCAACCTTGATATACCTTTTAAATATTTAAGGTGTAATGATTACTTCAGTTCTTAGGCCAATAGATAGTCAGATTTGCTACATAGTCTCCCTTACAAGTTTTTTTTTTATTAGTCATTTCTTCTGTAGACATTATGGTCAAATAACACGATATGTAGTTATCATAGCAATTGATTTCACATAAATTAAGCCAAGGAGCAACATAATGAAAACATGCAAAGATATAATTTATATGATGTTTTTAATTGGTCAGAAATGGCTTACTGACTAATGTTATAATATTGGGATTAATAGAAGTAGAAAGAATGTTGATTTCTACCCCCCGCACCCAGATTTTAGCTCAATTAACATAAACTGGTTGAACAGTTAAGGTTGGACAACATCATAAAAAATGTGTGTGGGGACAAACTGTACATTCTATAAACTGTTGTGTCTGTATAATTTGAAGGAATTATAGGGAAAAAATCTAGGTTGTATATTACCTAGATTTGCGCTAATATGATAGCTATATAACTTTGAATTAATTATAATTAAATAAAATAAAAAATTTAGTTTCTTGGTCATGCTAGCCATACTTCAAGTGCCAAGAGGCACATGAGGCTCATGTCTACCATACTGGACAATAACCATCTAGGACATTTCCATTATCACAAAAAGTTCTGTTGGAGAGCACCAGTCTACACAGCACCAGCAAGTCAGTTCCCTTTCTTTGGAATGAAATAAGCTAAATAAAATTTTTAAGAGGGATTTTTCTCTCCGTGTGCTCCACAGTAAGCACTGTCAACTCTATGTTTAAGATGCATCCCAAATCTACCCACTTCTCTTTTTTTCTACTGTTACTCTCTGAGCCTGAGCCATTTTTATCTCCCATCTGGACAACTTCAATAGTCTCCTGACTCACCCCTCTATTTCCATTCTTTCAATTTATATATGGTCTCCATGGAGCAGCTGGAATGATTTTTAAAAAACACGTACTGGTTTTAAATTTCTTGAGAAAAAAAGGAATGTGAAAGAAGGACACAATATTTTCTGAATTTCCATTACTTGTGCCACTGTGCACCGTTCTTTCAAAGAAGCGATCTTCTTTAATCTTTACAATAATAAAGGAAAAGGGAGGTATTATAATTCCTTTTTGCAAAGGCGGAAATTAGGACTCAGAGAGGGCAAATAACTAGCTTGTGTTCACCTAGCTAGTAAGTGGCAAACCCTTTGAAGAAATGAATGGATGATTTAAACAGCCAAGTCCTAAGCTTTCTACTAGACTACCTCGCCAAACATTATTAAGCACTGAAGGAGATTTGTTACTGGGCTTCTTCCTTTTGAGGAAGAGAGAAATTCTTTGTATCTTTCTCTACCTTATCTGCTCATTTATCTGGACTTTGCCTCCTCAGTTATGAGTATAGCAGTCCCCTCAGGGTGAAGTTGAAGGTCTCTATTCTTTTAATTCTCAAAGATGCCAAAGTGGCAGGTACAGTTTTGACCCCATATGGAAAGGGTCTCCTCCCAACCAAGTTGGGCTTGCTCTTCCACGGTTTAGGGCAGTGGTTCACTCATTTTTAGGTCTGAGGCACAGTTTAAAATACTAGCTTTCTTTTCTTTTCTTTTCTTTTTGAGACAGGGCCTGCTCTTTCCCCCAGGCTGGAGTTCAGTGGTGTAATCATGGCTCACGGCAGCTTTGACTTTCTGGGCTCAAGCAATCCTCCCACCCCAGCTTCCCAAGTAGCTGGGACTACATGTGTACACCACTGTACCCAGCTAATTGATTTTTTTTTTTTTTTTTTTTTTTTGTAGAGACGGGATCTTGCCATGTTGCCCAAGCTGATCTTGAACTTCCGGGTTCAAGCCATTTTCCTGCCTTGGTCTCCCAAAGTGCTGAGATTACAGGCATGAGCCACTGCGCCCAGCTAAAATACTAGTTTTTGAAGGCATTTAAAGGAGTTGAAAGATTCAAAACAGCTCACACACAAAAAGCCAGTATAATAACAACAAATTATAATAAAATAAAACATCTCAATATATATAAGTACAGCCATGGTTATCATGGTTGTTATTACGCCCTTCCCCTGCTTTGTTCCACATGTTCCATCTGCCTAGCCTCACTGTATTTAAGAGTCTGTGTACTGAGTTGTAGCAAAAGTATGTTGTATTCCTTTTATTATCTTTATTGCAGCTGGAAGGATCTCTGTGAAGATATTGCAACATAACAGTTGGTCAGAGCAGGTTAGAAACCTCTTCTTCCTTTCCTCTTAAGAAACAGATCTCTATCTTCCTGTGACAGACTAATTTAAAAAAAACAAAAAAGGGGCCGGGCGCAGTGGCTCACGCCTGTAATCCCAGCACTTTGGGAGGCCGAGGCGGGCGGATCACGAGGTCAGGAGATCGACACCATCCTGGCTAACACGGTGAAACCCCGTCTCTACTAAAAATACAAAAAATTAGCCGGGCGTGGTGGCGGGCGCCTGTAGTCCCAGCTACTCGGGAGGCTGAGGCAGGAGAATGGCGTGAACCTGGGAGGCGGAGCTTGCAGTGAGCCGAGATCACGCCACCTCACTCTAGCCTGGGCGACAGAGCGAGACTCCGTCTTTAAAAAAAAAAAAAAAAAAAAAGGAAATGGATCTCCTCCTCCCACCTTTGTCCTCTGAGCGGCAGCCCGAATGAATAGGAAGCTGTCAGCATCAGCCACGTATGCCCTGGAGAGTCACAAGCCTCACTGGTTTTCGGCATGGCTGCCTTTCTTCATCTCAATTGAGTAATCTTCAAACCCTTGTTTCCCCACTCCACATTTCTTAGTATAAATATCATTTCAGTTCGCTTCTTGGGCTACGGATAAAGCAGAGGAGGGGTATGAAATTTTAGAAAAATAGAGATGAATACTTTGTTTCAGTCCTTAATTTTACTGATGAGGAAACTGACTACTAAGAGGTTGCAGTAACTTTCCCAAAGTCATACAGCTAGTTAGAGTGTGGATTTCAGAGCCACACTGGATTTAACTTCCAGTGCTGTCATTTACTAGCTGTTTTGAGTTTGGGAAAGTCATGTAAATATTCTGAGTCTCCGTTTTCTCTGTAAAATGAAGATGATAATAGTTAGATCACAGAGTTGTTGGTTATTGCAAACTATTACGCATCACCTGGAAAAGTGTAGTAGTTATCTATTACGGTGTTACAGATAACCCCAACATTAGCAGCTTAAAACAGCAAACTTTTTTTTTTTTTTTTTTTTTTTTTTTGAGATGGAGTCTCTCACTCTTGTCACCCAGGCTGGAGTGCAATGGCACGATCTCGGCTCACTGCAAGCTCCACCTCCTGGGTTCCCACCATTCTCCTGCCTCAGCCTCCCGAGTAGCTGGGACTACAGGTGCCCGCCACCACACCTGGCTAATTTTTTGTATTTTTAGTAGAGACAGGGTTTCACCGGGTTAGCCAGGATGGTGTCGATCTCCTGACCTCGTGATCCGCCCGCCTCGGCCTCCCAAAGTGCTGGGATTACAGGCATGAGCCACTGCGCCCGGTCCCTCTTTTTTTTTTTTTTTAATTAGTCTGTCACAGGAAGATGGAGGTCTGTGGATCTGGGATTACAGGCATGAGCTACCGCGCGTGGCCGCAAACATTTTTTATCTTACGATTTCTGTGGGTCAGCAATCTGGGTGTGGCTTCGCTGGATACCTCAGGCTCAGCATCTACTACAAAGCTGCATGATAGGTCATGCAAAATGCCATTTACATGGGTGTGAAAAGCAGGAAGTGGAATCATTGGAGACCATTTTCCAGGCTGTCTAGCACAGAGTATCTGCTTCATAATGATTGATTTGGGATTAGATACTGGGTCAAGTAATAATGTCACCCACACAGATTATTGGATCAATGTTCACCTGAAGGCTTTGTTCTCAGCCTGGTCTTGTTTAACATGTTTGTTTTGTTTTGTTTTTTTGAGACGGAGTCTCGCTCTGTCACCCAGGCTGGTGTGCAGTGGCGCCATCTCTGCTCACTGCAAGCTCCACCTCCCGGATTCAGCCATTCTCCTGCCTCGGCCTCCTGAGTAGTTGGGACTACAGGCGCCCGCCACCATGCCCAGCTAATTTTTTGTATTTTTAGTAGAGACGTGGTTTCACTGTGTTAGCCAGGATGGTCTCGATCTCCTGACCTCATGATCCACCTGCCTTGGCCTCCCGAAGTGCTGGGATTACAGGCTTCAGGCACCGTGCCCGGCCACATTTAACATTTTTATCAGTGACTTAGATGATGATATAAAACAATAGTATCTAATTTTTCTTGATTATGTGTCAGTAAAAACTTGTAAGTGTTCACTTCAAATATATATATTTATTTATAAGTTAACACATGTGCCAGTGTTAATCTATTAACTAATAGTGACTTACTTTCATTCATTCTTTAGATTTAAAAAGTTACAAATAGAAGTTCCATTATTTTTTCACCTGAATCCCAAAGGATTCTTATGTACTCTCTGGGTGTGCAAAACCCACCAACAGAGAAAGTGACTGAGAGATGGAGAATGTGGTGGATGTCACAGTCAGGATCTAAAGAAAGTACCAAGATTGGGGCTAAATCATGTAAACAATCAACATCCCAGGGGCACTGCTGGCACATGAATCACATTGTGGGGATCCTTGCAGAGGTGCCCTCTTTGAGCAGAAGAAAGACAAAGATTATCTCCTTCTTTAGGGAACAGAGTGTGGCGAACTGAGTCCAGGTTGGATTTCAGTCACTTCTCATCTGTGCCTCTTCTTGTGCAGTGCACAAAAGGTACAACAATCCATGGAGACCTGTGGCTTTCCATTAACAAAGAGGCCGTTCTTGGAATTTCAAGTCAGTTGACTTAACTGAGGCTCAAGAAACAGAAAAATTAAGTATATGGTGGAAACAAGCCTCAGAAATAAGGCTAAATCTCAGCTTTTTAAGACATAGATCACACATTTGGCCAAGATATCAAGACTGACTTGATTCTCTCTCTCTCTCTCTCTTTTTTTTTTTTTTTTTTTTTTAAACACAGGGTCTCGCTATGTTGCCCAGGCTGGTCTGGAACTCCTGAGCTCAAGAGATCCTCCCTCCTCCGCCTCTCAAAGTGCTGGGATTACAGGCATGAGCCACCGTGCCTGGCTGAAATTGAATTGATTCTATGACCTTCTTGTTTTCATCTTTTTAGCCCCAAAAGGGGGGAGACTAGGTTCCCTTTTTAAAAGTGTGGACTGGATAAATGACTCAATTCTAAAGAATAAAATATGACGGAATATGTATAATTAGGTCATAGAATGCCTCATGGCTTCTTTCTTATTCTCTCTTGGATTATGGACTCTGGGGGAAGCTGCCATGTGGTGAGGGCACTCAAGCAACCCTATAGAGGGGTCCATGTAATGAGGAACTCAGGTCTCCTGCTAACAGCCATGTAAATGAGTCATCTTGGAAGCAGATCCTCCAGCCTTGGTCAAGCCATCACAGGACTGCTGCCCCCACCAGCTAACAGATCGATTGCAACTGCGGGACAGACTCTCAGCCAGAACCACCTAGCTAAGCTGCTCCCAGATTCTTGACCCATAGAAACTGTGAGAGGTAATGGGTATTTGTTATTTTAAGCTAGGGGTTGGCAAAGTACTGCTCCAAGGCCAAATCCAGTCTGCAGCCTGTCTTTGTAAATAATGTTTTATTGGGACAAAGCCATGTCTGTTGGTTTATATAGTGTCTATGGCTACTTTCCCATTACAACAGCACAGTTGAGTAATTGTGATAGCAACTATGTGACCCACAAAGCTGAAGATGTTTACCATTTGGCCGTATGTTACAGAAGGAAGGTTCATGGCTGGGCATGGTGGCTCACGTCTGTCATCCCAGCACTTTGGGAGGCTGAGGCAGGAGGATCACAGGAGCCCAGAAGTTCCAGACCAGCCTGGGAAACATGATAAGACCCATCTCTACAAAAAAAAAATTAAAAATTACAGTCAGACGCGGTGGCTCATGCCTGTAATCCCAGCACTTTGGGAGGCCGAAGAGGGCAGATCACTTGAGGTCAGGAGTTCGAGACCAGTCTGGCCAACGTGATGAAACCCTTCATCTCTACTAAAAGTACAAAAGAATTAGCCAGGCGTGGTGGCATGCTCCTGTAGTCCAGGCTACTTGGGAAGCTGAGGCAGGAGAGTTGCTTGAACCTGGGAGGTGGAGGTTGCAGTGAGCCGGGATCGTGCCACTGCACTCCAGCCTGGGTGACAGAGTGAGACTTTGTCTCAAAAAAAAAAAAAATTAGCCAGGCATGATGTTATGCACCTGTAGTCCCAGCTACTCAGGGAGGCTGAGTTGGGAGGATTACTTGAGCCCAGAAGGTTGAGGCTGCAGTGAGCCAAGCTGTGATTGCTCCACTGCACTTCAGCCTGGGTGACAGAGTGAGACCCTGTCTCAAAACTAAACTAAACTAAAATAAAAAGTTTGGCAATTCCTGTTTTAAGCTTTTGGAGTAATTTTTTTTTTCTTGCACAGCAGTAGATACCTAATATGGAGGAAACTGACAATGCTTTAATTTGTGTTGAGAGCACCCAGCAACACAAACTCTTGCCATGATGTTGTTTACTTTTTTCCCCTTCTTGATACATATTTGTTTTGTTGTAGTTTGTGTGTTTTTTGTTTGTTTGGTTTTTTGCAAATCAGTATCAGGCCTTGTGTCCCATGAGGCTCTGCTGCTCAAAGGGTGGTCCTTGGTCCCAGCAGCATCAGCACCAGCACAGACAACCCTTTAAAAACAACAGACATTTTTTTTTTCTCGGGGTTTTTTCTGTTCTCATTTCAAAACTATTCTTCATTTCTCCTCTTGGCAAGAGCTGTGGTTTACATGTAAACTATTGCTGTCTCTGCAGAAGAAAATCACTTTCCCTACCTTTAAATGAGTTGACTTCTCATTCCATTGTTCGTGGCCTGTGTTGGTGATGCCTGTAGTAGTTGTTTCATTTCCAGTTGCATGGTGGACAGAACAATAAGCAAATCCCCCACGTGGAGGCAAGCTTTGCTGTTTTCAATTCTGTGCTAACCAGCCTTACGCACATGCTGTGAATTTGAGAACCTCCTTTGCCGAAGCCGGGAAAGCTTGTCTGGATTAGAAAAGTCCTCCATAGAAACCTGACACTGTCCTGAGCTGGAGTATTTGGAATCACACACAGGAAAGGCTGGGTATTTGCTGACCTGCCTGAATGGCAGAATGTGTGTGCGGTTGTCTCCAATTACAGCACTCCAGGAAGCATCACCCCAAAAGTGCGCTTGCTATGAACCACAGCGTGTCCTTCGGCTAATCCTCGTTAGCTGAGGTGGATTCTCTTTCTACATGTACCCTCTTTTCGAAGTGGTATCCTTCCTGCAGTCTTTTCATGCCTTGGCCTAAGACTCTGGACACAGGCCTAGCTTTGCCCCCACCAGATCCATTCGATAGTTTTTCATGAATCACCAGCTCTCCTGGAGAAACTCAGGGTTCTAATTATTGAAGAACCATGCATAGGGAACTGGAGATAAGCCACGGGTAAGACTTTCCCACATGTTTCCTAAAAAGGGAAGAAGGTCTCATTGGAAGCCCCCTAACATTCAAATGGCAGGAGCTGTCTGATTTCCACCCAAGAATCCAGCTCTGAGTTAGTGGTGGGATCTAATCACCAATCATTCTCTGGGCAATTCCTCATTTTTTGCTTTCCGTCTACAATGACCCCATCACTGGAAGTGGAGCTTGCCCTGGGGAATGCTATATTGAAAAAGGCCTTGCTCTCTGATCTTTCTCAGTCCTCCTACAGGTGATCGTTCATTCTCTTCCTCCGCCTTCCCATGCCATGCTGATGATTAACATTCAACAGATCTGATTCTGCCCTGCCTTCTTCCTGTTGCTCATTCCACTGAGCCTCTCGAGCTCTGAGCTGAAAACCAAGATGATAAGGATGAGGTCTTTGGCCTCAGGGAGGAGCTTCCTGCTTAGTTATCCAGTTATACCTATAAAGGAATAATCCTAGTACTGTGTGATTAATGATCTAAAGGACATTCAAGAGCTATGGGATCCTTGAGGAAGGAGTGTGTAATTATTTATCTGGAGAAGTGGGATGGGGCAAGAGATTCCAGGCAGTGGGAAAAAACATACCAGATAGAGGCACAGGGCCATGAAACCACATGGGGAAGAGCTTATAAGCAGTTCCTTCAGAGAAACAGTCTTTTCATAAATCTCGTCTTAGAAGCTCTGTGTGGAAGGGGCCAGTGGGGGAGGAGGGGCAGTGACATTCAAGAGCGTTTTAAATCACCTCCCCACATTGTATGGGACTAAGGTGAGTCCTGTCTGGAGTTGATGCTTGGATAGAAAAAATGCATATGATCCTGTACTCTGACTGTTGGAAGAGGGCTACATAGAGGGAGACAGAAAAAAATTCTACTCCTTATGAATTCTTTTTCTTAAAATGTTGCTGAAGGTAGCTCTACAAAATTAATCCCTGGCCAGGTCTTGCATGGTTCCTGGCCTTTTCTTCACAAAATTGAGACCCCATGAACCTCCCTGTCTTCTCATCTGTAGGCTCACACTAATCCCTAGGCTCTAAGATCAAGCCAGACTGGGGTATAAGTAACCTATATGGAATTTCCACACAAATCAGGAAAAGGCATCTTCTTCTGTGTGGTCCAGGGCATGTCAAGGATAAGACTCCTTTGAAAGTACTAAGAAAACGGCACTTTTTTTTTGTTTTGAGATGGAGTATTGCTCTGTCGCCCAGGCTGGAGTACAGCGGCATGATCTCAGCTCACCACAACCTCTGCCTCCCGGGTTCAAGCTATTCTGCCTCAGCCTCCCGAGTAGCTGGGACTACAGGCATGCACCACCACACCTGGCTAATTTTGTATTTTTAGTAGAGACAGAATTTCACCTGTTGGCCAGGCTGGTCTCGAATCCCTGACCTCAGGTGATCCGCCTGAAAAAGGCAGTACTTCCGAAGAAAGAGGCACCTACTTCTTTAGGAAGATAGACTCCAATAATGGGGTTATGGCTTGGAGAGCATTGCTGAGCTGGGTTTTATCCCCATCCACTTCTCTCAGTCTGGGGCCCTTGCACTGATCACAATCTGTACAACCACGTGTGCCAGTTCGGGAACATGACCTCTGGCCAGAAAGTTTTAAGGATCAGACATGAGTTCAGTATTGAAAGGTTTAGAATTGAGTCACTGCTGCCACTAGTCCCTCTCTAGCCTGATGTCCCAGCTCTGAGCAGTGGGGCTTTGTCTCTGCGTCTCAGACTAGTTTCTGCCTTGTTATGGTTCTGCACACAGAGCCTCATGTGGCCAAGCTGTTGGAGCAGGCCTCTGCCCTACTCTCCGCCCCTAGCCCCATCCTGAACACTTGTCTATTCTGCCAGTCCTTGAAGCACAGGATCTTGCTCTTTCTGATAGCTTTGTCCAATTCTGTCCAAGCTGCGGCTTGTTGGGGAAGAAAGAAGGCAGGCCTGTGTAGGGCTTTAGGGCTGACTGCTAAGAGAAGGAAGATGGCTGGCATTCAAAGTCTGGGGTGTATTAAAGTCTGACTTAGGCCAGGCGTGGTGGCTCACGCCTGTAATCTCAGCACTTTGGGAGGCCGAGGCGGGTGGATCATGAGGTCAGGAGTTCAAGACCAACCTGGCCAAGATGGTGAATCCCCGTCTCTACTAAAAATACAAAAATTAGTCGGGCATGGTGGTGGACACCTGTAATCCCAGCTACTCAGGAGGCTGAGGCAGAGAATTGCCTGAACACAGGAGGCGGAGGTTGCAGTGAGCAGGGATCTCGCCACTGCACTCTAGCCTGGGCAACAGAGCGAGACTCCATCTAAAAAAAGGAAAGAAAGAAAACAAAAAAGTCTGACTTATAAAGAAAATTGGTCTAAGATGAAGGATGAACTCTCAGGAACAGAAAGCAACAGTATAGAGACTGCCGGCAGCCCAAACAAGAGTGATTTCCCTTTTGTGATCCTATTTTGTTTCCGCAGGAAAAGTGGTGTAAGTGAATCATGATAATCCTATTTCTTTCTGCAGTGATTTAGGGTAGGCCTGTTCCCTGGTTCTGGGGAAGTCTAATGAGAGCCTCTGGGAAAGATTTTCTTCCCTTGCCACCCCCACCTGTCTTTGGAAGTTGTCACGTGGGGATGTGGTATCTTGAGCTGCAGCAGCCATGTTGAGACCATGAGCGAATAAAGTTATGAAAAAAATAGGGACACTAAAACAAAGTGTTGACTTTATTGAACTGCTACATTAATCAATCCTGTCTCTGGACTTCTTGTTATGTGAGAGGATAAATGTCCATTGGTTAAACTATTTTTGTTGAGTATTCTATTAAAGGTTAGTGAAAATAACTGATATGGAAATTATTGTTTGCTAGGCATTGTGCTGCAACTTCATAATATTCATGACAACTCTATGCAGTATGTCTTGCTGTTATCTCTCTTTTTGTATATGAGTAAACTGAAGTTCAGAAATGTATTTTGCCCAACAACATTGCAAGGAACATACTTATTTACATATATTTTGATAAATGGGATTAGTTATTTTCTTGAGTTAATTTCCTGGGAAGGAAACTACGAGCTTGAAGAGTATACATATTGTTATTGATTAAATGTCTGTGTCCCCCTAGAATTCATATGTTGAAGTTCTTACCCTCATTGTGACTGTATTTTGAGACAGGGTCTTTAGGACCTAATTAAATAAAGTCGTAAGAGTGGGACCCTGATCAGATAGGCTTAGTGTCCTTATAAGAAGAGATACCAGATAGCCCCCTCTCTCCATGCGCACACAAAAAAGAGGTCATGTGAGGACATAGCAAGAAGGTGGTTGTCTGCAAGCTACGAAGAGAGCCCTCATCAGGAATGGAATCAGCTAGCACCTTGATCTTGGACTTCCTAGCCTAGAACTGTGAGAAATAAATTCCTGTTGTTTAAGCCCTCTAATTTATAGTATTTTCTTATGGCAGCCTAAGCTGACTAAAAGGTTTTTGACACCTACTGCCAAATTGTCCTCCAGAAACATTATACCAGTTGGCATTCCTACCAGTAGTATATAAAAAAATACATATTTCCCTGTGCTTATATCAGTACTGAATGTAACCTTAGAAGAACTGAATTTAAAGTGCAGTATACCTTACAGCATCTGGGTATGTTTGGACAAACCACTCCCCTCTCTGAGTCCCAGTATCCTCATTTGTCAAATTAGCATCATAATAATCCCTGTCTTGTTGGTGCCATCTCACAGCACTGTTGGGAGTTCCAATGAGATGAAGTATGAGAAGATGTTTTGCAAACTGTAAAGGAAAACATAAGTATTGTTGGTGGTGTTATTCATCTCCCTGCCTCAGTAGAATAAACTGTAGAATGTTTAGGAGGTCAAATGAAACAGTCAAAAATAATTTTGCAGTGTTCAGTCAGCTCCAATGGTGTGAAAATTAGTCAAAATGAGAAATGCATGAATGCTTTGGTTACAGTCTTGAAGGTCAACTTGAATCTGAATTCAATGTCGGCTGGACCCAAATAATTTTCTAGAATCAGAAAATTCTACTTCCTACTAGGTTGACATTCGTAACCTTCCTGGATCCTATCAGAGAAACCTTGTTCATCATTTCATTTCCAAATTATGAAGACCACCTGGGCCTGACTGAAGATGCTTGTTTCTTCCTCTTCCCTAACGCCCTTTCCACCAGTGCGGACTGCAGGTATGGACATAGGGAAGGGTGGGTAAGTATTAAGTGCTATGAGCTCCGAGGAAGAAGAAATTCCATATATACAACCAGATAGTGCATGTGTGTGTAATGCTTATTTTGTGCCCATTTAATTAATGCCATGATCACTATTCCTTCTAGTAATTAATTTGATTTTCATTAGTAATAGAAAGATAGATCAACTCCTTGAAATCAGAGAGAGCTTTAAAAAATGCTCAGCCAGGAGGTGTTAAGTATTTCACTAAGTGTGAGACTTCTGGCAAAACCCCCATCTCAGCATTCGGTTGTTCTCTTTGTTAACAGTTGTTGGCAGAGATACAGGAATAGATTTTGACCAGCAATTCCATAAGTACTTTACTCTACTGAAATCCATTTTTTGATTTATAAACTGCACATTTAATGTAAATAGCACATTATTCCCCTCGTCACAGAGTTGATATAGTAATGATGAATGTCTATAAGTGATAATTACTCTGCATTTAGGGTTCTCTGCATGATCTCGGCTCACTGCAACCTTATACAAACCTTATACAAACAGTTATATCTCAAGCTGGCCCTAGGCAAAATTGTACAATGGTCTAATAAAGTGTCTTTTACTTATATCTTACGTTCTGCTGCTGCTTCTTATATATATACATAGTGTAGACTCCCAGGAGTGGGATTTCTGGGTCAAAGGGTATGTTGAATTTGTCTTCTGTTATTGTCAGATTGCTCTCCAAGAAGACATTAATCTAGCAATGTGTAGTAGATTTCTCCTGCAAACCCACCAACAAGAGATGTTATCTATTTTTAGAATGTTATGAGTACAATGCTGTATAAAGTGATATGATACTGTGTACTTACTTGCATTTCTGTGACTATTAGTAAATTTGAGCATATTTTTACTTTTCTTCAAGCCTTGTATAACTTTTAACCATTCACGTTTTTTCTTTTACTATCTTCCATTACATCTACAGCAACCAGCCATTTTTCTTTAAACACAAAATTAATCTATTTTCCATAAATAAAAAACACATCCACTATTAGAACATATATTCATATTTCTTTGCCACCATATCCCTCCATCACTCACATCAATTACAATTTTGACTAAAGTCATTAACTTTGAGGTACGTCTACTTTTTCACTTTCTGGAATTTCTATATTCAGATGCTTGGGGGACTAATGCTCTAATGTTCTTATCATCCTGTTGCTCCGTTTTTTATCTCTGTATCTTTTTTTTTTTGAGGCAGGGTCTCTATCTGTTGCCCAGGCTGCAGTACAGTGGCGTGATCTCAGCTCACTGCAACCTCCACCTCCCCAGTTCAAGCAATCCTCTTGCCTCAGTCTCCCAAGTAGCTGGGATTACAGGTGTGTGCCCCCAGGCCCACCTAATTCTTATATTTTTAGTACAGATGGAATTTCACCATGTTGGCCAGGCTGGTCTCAAACTCTTGATCTCAAATGATCCACCCCCGCTCAGTCTCCCAAAGTGTTGGGATTATAGGCATGAGCCACCACACTCGGCCATCTCTGTACCTTTTTGTTCTATTTGCTGGTAGTTCCTAAACTTCATGTCCCACCCCTTCTATTGAATTTTTCATTTCTGCTTTCATGTTCTTAATTGTGAAGAACTTCTTTTTGTTCTCTGAATGTTTCTTTTAAAAATGCTATTCTATTCGTATTTCATGGATGCAATATCTTAAATCTGAACGTATATATTTTAAAAAGAGTTCTCTCACTCTCAGCATTGTCTCTCATTGCTGTTTTTGGTCCCTGTCTTCCATGTAAAAAATGTTCCTTGGGGGCTGGGCGCAGTGGCTCACGGCTGTAATCCCAGCACTTTGGGAGGCTGAGGTGGGCGGATCACAAGGCCAGGAAATCAAGACCATCCTGTCTAATAGGGTGAGACCTCATTTCTACTAAATATACAAAAACTTAGCCAGGCGTGGTGGTGAGTGCCTGTAGTCCCAGCTACTCGGGAGGCTGAGGCAGAAGAATTGCTTGAACCCGGAAGGTGGAGGTTGCAGTGAGCCGAGATCACACCACTGCACTCCAGCCTGGGCGACAGAGCGAGACTCCTTCTCAAAAAAAGAAAAAACAAAACAACAACAACAACAACAACAAAAAACGTTCCTTGGATGTCTCATCATCCTTAGTTGTCTGCTCTTATTTAACAGTGGGGAGCTAAGAGGCTGGCTGGTGTTCTGGGTGTGTCAGGTGGGCTTATGGAGTACAGAGTGACCCCACTGTTTGGATTGGTGAGGAGCTCTATTCCCTACCCCTCCATTGTCCCCCTTCCCACTGCACCACATCAACATGTTTAGATCTATCTTCTTGTCCAAGTCTCTTGAGAAGAATCTTCATCTCTTGCCTGGAGGGTGAGAGCTTGACTGTTTGCATTGTGGATTTTGAGAAGGACTGGAAGTCTACGTGTTTTCACTTAATCCCCCTTAAGTCCAGGCTGGTGTAGGGAGACAGCCTTTCTTCCCCCTTCTCCAAAGAATGAAGCCTAACTCTGGGGTGAGGAAAGGAGGGTGGAGTAGAAAGGGATTGAAGAGTCTGACTGTGTCTTAAACAGATTTCAAACCATCCTTATTTTAGTTTCTCACTTTGCCCCCACTTCCAGAGGCACCTAGTGCCTCCCATTCCTGAGCTTTTTGTGAATACTGTGTTGCAAATCAAGTTGATTCTTCACCTTTCCCATGGATGACTTAAACCCACTGATGTGCTAAGCCAGCTCTCATTCTTATGTCTGCTTTCCAAACCCAGACTTTGTATTGCCTCCTCTCCAATCCTCCACGTCCTTAAAGCTCTGTCTTCTTTCATTGCAAAATCTTTTGTTAGGTCAGGCACGGTGGCTCACACCTGTAATCCCAGCACTTTGGGAGGCCTAGGCGGGAGGATCACCTGACGTCAGGAGATCAAGACCATCCTGGCCAACATGGTGAAACCCCATCTCTACTAAAATACAAAAAAATTAGCCAGGTGTGGTGGCGTGCACCTGTAGTCCCAGCTACTCAAGAGGCTGAGGCAAGGGAATCGCTTGAACCCAGGAGGCAGAGGTTGCAGTGAGCTGAGATCACGCCATTGCACTCCAGCCTGGCGACAGAGCAAGACTCTGTCTCAAAAAATTAAAATAAAATAAAATAAAACATAAAAAAATCTTTCATTATAGTTTTTGGAAGGACTGAAATTAGATGCACTCTTCAATCCTTACAGCAGCAAATTTTTCTTTTATTACTTTGTTTTATGTGTCTTCCTTGCAATTAGTATTAACCTAGGATTTTTTAAAAAACCCACTCTCTGCTTTGTAGTTTAATGATTGATGTATTAGATTTTATCTCATATATCTGACTTTATATTTATTTATTTTATACATTTTTATGTTATTTTCTTTTTTCCCTTTCTTTGGTAGGTTTGATCAAGTTCAGTTTCTTTCTTTTCCCTTGATAATTAGTATATTTTTTCATTCTGTGTTCCCTTCCTGTCTCTCATAATTACATAGATCTTTCTTTATGATTTTTGAAAACAAGATACCAATTATTTCCCTAATCCAGATGTCTTTTAAACTTCATGCTTTCTCCCTCCATCAGAATACATTTCTTCATTCTTCTGCCTTTCCTCCCAGCAAACGAGACCTTTGGAAATTTTTTTTTTTTCTTTTTTTTTGAGATGGAGTCTCACTCTGTTTCCCAGGCTAGAGTGCGCACCACTGCAACCTCTGCCTCCTGGGTTCAAGCGATTCTCCTGTCTCAGCCTCCCGAGTTGCTGAGATTACAGGCCTGTGCCACAACACCCAGCTAATTTTTGTTACTTTTAGTAGAGACGGGTTTTGCCATGTTGGCCAGGCTAGTCTCAAACTCCTCACCCGCCTTGGCCTCCCAAAGTGCTGGGATTACAGGCGTGAGCCACTGCGCCCGGCCCCATTTATCTATATCTTATTTTCTTTTCCTCTTCCTCTGTGCCTTGGAATTTCATTATGATTTAAACTGGCAGGTGGTTTGGATATAGGATTTTTGGATTGTGACCATTTTCTCTCAAAATTCTTTTTCTTCATAATTTCCATCGTGTATATTTTTGCTTTGTGCTTTAAGATATTTATTCTATTAAATATTTTATGCCACTATTTTGGACCTCAACGTGGCCTTCCTTTCTTCCAACTCATGCAATATTAGTTGGGAAATTGTAATTTTTAGCTCCAGACTGACTTCAGACTTGAATTTGGACTTCCTTCACTGTTCTCCCAGAGGCCTTCCCCCATCTCTCTTTCTCTTGGCATGTGTAAATCTGAACAATCCACCTGGTTGCTCGCTCTGTGCTCACTGCGGCTGGAGTGCAGTGGCATGATCTCAGCTCATTGCAACCTCTGCCTCCTGGGCTCAAGCAATTCTTGTGCCAGGCTGGAGTGCAGTGGCACAATCTCAGCTCACTGCAACCTCTGCCTCCCAGGTTCAAGCAATTCTCCTGCCTCAGCCTCCCCTGTAGCTGAGATTACAGGTGTGCCACCATGCCCAGCTAATTTTTGTATTTTTAGTAGAGATGGGGTTTCACCATGTTGGTCAGAGTGGTCTCAATCTCCTGACCTCAGGTGATGATCTGCCTGCCTCGGCCTCCTGAAGTGCTGGGATTACTTGTAGGCATGAGCCACCACGCCCGGCCATATAATGCCTACTTAAGCATCAATTGCTGGCCTGTTCAGTGTTGCTCATATGGTTCTGGTCTGCACTGGGCGAGGGCATTTGGCAATGAGGAAGGAGTGTGCTTGGTTTAGAATAGCAGCTTCTGTGGTTCTTTTTAGAGGTATCATTTCTGCCCAAATCTGGGGTGCCTTTTCATTGATCTATATTTGGGAGTTAAATAAAAGGAGAGTTTTATTCTAATTAATTAAATTAAATTAAATAATTTACTTATTTTTGAGACAGAGTCTTGCTCTGTCACCCAGGCTGGAGTGCAGTGGCGCAATCTCGGCTCTTTGCAATCTCTGCCTCCTGGGTTCCAGAGATTCTCATGTCTCAGCCTCCCAAGTAGCTGGGACTACAGGCATGCGCCACCATGCCTAGCTAAATTTTGTATTTTTAGTAGAGGCAGGGTTTCGCCATGTTGACCAGGCTGGTCTCGAACTCTTGGTCAAAATTGATCTGCCCACCTCGGCATCCCAAAGTGCTGGGATTACGGGTGTGTGCCACCATGCCAGGCCTTATTTTGTTTTTATATTTATTTATTTTTTATTTATTTTTGAGACAGGGCCTTGCTCTGCCACCCAGGCTGGAGGACAGTGGTGCAATCACGGCTCACTGCAACCTCGACCTCTCGAGCTCAATTGATCCTCCCACCTCAGCCTCTCAAGTAGCTGAGTCTACAGGTGTGAGCCACTACACCTGGCTAAGCTTTGTATTTTTTGTAGAGACAGGTTCTTGCTATGTTGCCCAGGCTGGTCTCAAACTCCTGGGCTCAAAAGATCCACCTGCCTTGGCTTCCCAAAGTGCTGGGATTACAGGCATGAGCCACTGCACCTGGCTATGATTTTTAAAATTCAAAAGCAGAGTATAGATGGAAACCTAAATGACGGCAAATAATAATAATAATAAACTCTCAGAGACTGTAGGGTGTAGACCAGGCCCTGGATTAATGGGAATGTCTACATTCCATCCCCTTGAGCTCAAATATTCTAGTCAAAGTGAGTCACCCAAGGTTACTTTCGATAGAAGGTGGGTGTGGAAAGACTTGGACAAGAAAATCTAGGAGCCACAGGAGGCCAGATGCTTCTCTCTACAGGAGACTTGACCTTTGACACAGAGCCCTGAGGAAATCTTGACTGTTTTCTTTAGTATTTGATCCTCAGCTGATGCAAACCATTTATTTATGTTTGCCCATTGGACAGCAGGGGGTTTGGGCTGTTTTCACGTCTATATAAGGCAGTGCAGAGTGCTTCCTTTGATGTGTCCCGCCTCTGCTGTGGCCTCATCATGCCGGGCTAACTTGGTCTTCCCCATGTAGGGCTCTAGATCCCACTCCTAAAAACTCTAATTTGAGGATCAGAGTCTGAAATAGCCCAAAAGGTATCCTGTTTAGCTTGTCATTTAAATAGCTAAGCCCCTGCTACGACCATTTAAAACCATCTCACCTTTCATTTAGCTAAGCAGTTCTTTTTTCAGATTTGGCTTGTTTGTGTTTTTCTCTATTCACTGCAATTCTGCATCTATAAAAAGCATTGATGGAAGGAGGAAAGAGTGAAATCAACATTCTTTTTAGTAGAGGGCCTTAGTTGGAATTGCAGAAATATCAGGGAACTTAGCTATAAAGGCCTCCAGAGTTATCCCTGAGTGCAGGGGGCCAGAGTGGTCACAGTCATGGCCTGGATGTGAAACTTGACTTCAAAAATGACTAGCTTTTTGACCGTAGGCAGGTTATTTGACCTCCCTTTACCTCCATTTCCCCATCTGTAAAACTGGGGTGATAATAGTTCTTGCCTCATAGGTAGGACTGGTTCCATAGCTTCCAGACTCTTGTTCAAATCTCAATGAAATGAAAATGCTGGGCCCCTTGTTCACCTTTCAAGACGGCAGCAGCATAGCATCAAACCAAGTGTGGGACCCCTCTGAGCATGGGCCCTGTGACACTTGCCAGGAAGCTGGCCCTGCTCGCAGGATCACTGTGAGAACTAAATTAATTATTCTATTTAAAGCCCTTAATGTACTACCTGACACATATGCAGTCTATGTAAACATTAATTGAATCTAAAAAATGACAGAGGAGTAATCTGGGAACCAGAGAAATTGTTACTAGCTCAGAGTAACGCAGTGAATTGGTGGTAAAGCGAGCCTTGGATTCGATCTGTTCCGTGGCTTTCTGCATAGTTTACTTATGTATACTCTAGTGGTTTCTTCCGTGAAGCTCTTTCATTGAATCAGCATTTTTGAATGCTTTTCTATATCCCATGTGCAACAGTAAACAGTGGCGACGGGTAGTTCATGAGTTTTGTTTTTATTCGTTATTTCTATTTCCAGTGCTATAGCAGGCTACAATAAATCTTCAGCTATACTAACTCTGTCACTGAACAAGCCATGAGATTCTTACCTTGTTAAGTCACATGAATTTAGAAGAGTCAAGTAAATGACATCTGGGATCTTGGTAGCAACACGTGAAGAAAACTTATAAGTACAAATATTTAAAAAATATAAATGTAAATATAAATGATGGATGAGTTTTCTCGAGTAAAATCAGAGGATGATTTAGATGATCTGAAAGAAGCCTTCTAGCTCTAACATTAGTAACAGAATCACATGGGCCTCAATTCTTTCCTACTGCCCATGTAGCCACAAATGGAAAGATCTCGTTGAAATGACTATTTTTTTTGTTCCTAATGTGTCCTTAAAGAAAATTATTAAAAATATCTCAGGTCAATGACAGATAAAATTTTCCTAAAGTCTTCCTTTAAGAAACCCAAAGAGAGTACAAACTTCTGTCTGTATTCTGATTCATCTTCATTTAGTTTTTCTTGATAAACAGGGAATGTCATTCTTGTTCATTCTGAATTTCAGAATCTAAATTTGGAAAAAGAATACTAAAAGCATGCTAATTAGGCTCTTCAAAGAGTTCTTTAAAAATTTGAATATATAAATAATTTTATCATTCAGGGTGTGAATCAGCTATAGTTAGTCCAAAAAGCTTTTTAAAGCAATATACTTTTTCATGTTCAGGAATGATTTCCTGATATATAAATAACTTCCATTGCCATGGTACTTAGGCCATAAAGGGCCCTGCAGAACACACTTGTCTAATTTGAATTGTTTAGATTAATTTGGCAACTGGTGAAATATCACTTTGATTCTAATTATTGTCATGCTCACCTTGAGTAAGGCTTTTTGTGGTTTAATAATGCATACTCTTATTTCAAACACAAAAGCATCTGTGAAATCTGTCTTAACTATCAATATATTTCTTCTATTTGACATAATTTAATTTAATTTAATATAATTAATATACATTATAAGATCCTTAAATCTCAAAAGAAGATAATCTCCTGTCCTTCACTAGAATTTTTCTGTTCCAGGAAAATGTCATTTTCTATTTGTGGACTCTTCTAGGAAATCTTCATTCCCATTTAGCTGGAGCGGTGATGGAAAGCTATTCCTTCTCTGATGGACTTAACAATGCTATTTCTGTATCTCATTTGTGAGGCTGGGCAGCCATTCATTTGTGGTTAATACTGTAATTCTTAAAATGTATTTTTAAGAAGTGGATAGAAATATCTGATGCTCCATTTTAGTTTGAATGCTATCACTGCTGAAGCACACACAAAACTGTCAGCAAAATGCTGTTTGTATTGGACAACTCCTGTGAATTGAAAGTAGCTAAGCTAAAAAAAGGAAAATTGACAGGTGCCTTATTAGGCCCCAGTGATTAGTCATTTTTGTGTCTGCACAAGTAATTGACACTCACTTCTAAACAAGGATTGTGCATTTGCATGCTTTCAGGAAGAAGTCCTGCTGGGTGATTCTAATCTACTATTTTAGGATGTGATGGCTTAATTTGAAAAATGTTTTTATGAACAAAACATGATCTCTTTCTTGTCACTTTTTTGAATGTCCTCAGGTTTCACAGTGTGATCAGGGACTGAATGGATTTTATTCGGGTACCAAATATCCGATGACTAAATGGGTTTGGCAGTAAAATTGAGGGTTGTGTTGGTAACTACCTTCCACAGGAAGAAGAGATTATCTTTATTCTGTTCTTTTCTTGACGACTGCTGTAAAATGTATTTTTGGTTTGTTACAAACCAGTTGAATCTTTACAGAATTAAAACCAGAGAAGAAATTCTGTGGATAATTATTTTTTTATTCAGGGACTGGCTCCACCTACTACAATTTAGAATTGTAAGAAACTTTAGAGAGTATTAATTTAATTTTTTTAAATTAAAAAAATTTTTTTTGAGACGGACTCTTGCACTGTTGCCCAGGCTGGAGTACAGTGGCATGATCTCAGATCACTGCAACCTCCACCTCCTGGTTCAAGTGATTCTCCTGCCTCAGCCTCCTGAGTAGCTGGGATTACAGGTGCGTGCAACCACACCTGGCTAATTTTTGTATTTTCAGTAGAGACAGCGTTTCACCATGTGGAGCAGGCTGGTCTTGAACTCCTGACCTCAGGTGATTTGCCTGCCTCGGCCTCCCAAAGTGTCTTAACTTTTCTCCATGTGTGTCCCTGACTTTTATGGGTACCTTCCCTATTAGGCACTTGCATCCCAGGTTCAATTTAGTTCCAGAAATATTTACTGAGGCCCTGCTAAGGGCAAGGCACTGATCATGTGTCTTTGGTTGAATTGGGGGTGACAGTGGGATGGTAAATGGAAGCAGCACAATGTGGTACTCAGTGCATTAGCAGGAGAATGAACAAAGGGTTTTGGGAGGACAGGGGTTGAAATGACTACACAGACAAGGTGACAGGAGTGAGGGCCTTGATCTGTGAAGGCACAAAGTTGGCAATGAGGCCATAGTATCTGAAAACACTGAGAGAAGTTCGGTGTGACCCCACTGTAGGGAAGGTGGGAGCATGAGATGAGTATGGAGGAAAGGAGGACAAATTATGAAGGGCTTTGGATGCCAAACTAAAGACGTGATTCTTTAGGCAAGAGTGAGCCAACAAATGGATCTTTAAACATTTTAATTTTTCTTTAAGTTGTGCATGCGCATATGTTAAGGAGTCAAATAGTTCTGCAAGATTTATTACAAAAATCCCAAGAGGGCTCAGCCCTCCTACTTCCCATATTCCCCATTCCAGAGGTAAACACTGTCTAGATGATGGTGCTGGTCTTTACTTCCCACTTTTATGAGATGTGTTTGCATGACTATTTCTTGCTTTTACCAGTCTCGGCCATTATCTATTGGCTTCTCCCCATGGAGGATGAGGATTTGGCTCTCTCCCTGCATCCCCACACCATCCCACACACAAATACCCTTTCTCTGCCACCTCCTTTCCACAGTGTAATTTTTGTTAGATCAACATTCAGTACTGACAATATTAGGCTCGTGTAAATGTATTCACAGCTGAGGCAAATAGTCAACGATGGTTATTTTTACTTTACAGTAGAGTTTCAGCCCTGTCCCTGGAGGGCAGGCTAAATTTTTGTTTGTTTGTTTGCTTGCCTTTTTATTCCATGTACTCATCACTAATTCAACCCTAAAGGTCTTTGCCCTTCTGCCAATTGCCTAAATGTCTTTTCAATATGGCATCAATCAAGCAGTCTAACCATTTCCTATTCCTAATGGAGCCATTCTTGTGGCTTTCAGACCTGCTTCTGTGAGGTCTGGCACACAGGGTCACTCTGTGATTCCCTTTTATTGTCGTCCTGAAGGGCCATTTTACCCTGTGTGCTGTTGCGCCTTTGTGTTTCCTGTGTTCCAGGCTTTCTCTTTCCTGGTTTACACCAGCAGCTTTTTGAAAAACGTGCATGGGATATAAGAATTTTGTTGAAGACCTTAATCCTAAAACTTTTTTTTTTTTTTTTTGAGATGGAGTTTCACTCTTGTTGCCCAGGCTGGAGTACAGTGACATGATCTCGGCTCACTGCAACCTCCACCTCCCGGGTTCAAGGGATTCTCCTGCCTCAGCCTTTTAAGTAGCTGGGATCACAGGCACCTGCCACCATCCCTGGCTAATTTGTTTGTATTTTTAATAGAGATGGGGTTTCACCATGTTGGCCAGGCTGGTCTTGAACTTCTGACCTTAGGTAATCCATCCACCTCGGCCTCCCAGAGTGCTGGGATTACAGGCATGAGCCACCATGCCTGGCCTTTAATCTTAAAACTTGATTGATAGTTTGGTCAGATATGGAACTTTAGGTTGGAAATAATTTTTCCTTTAGAATATTGAACATTAGTTCCATTTCCTACTGGTTTCCAGCATTGTTACGGAGAAATATGAAAACAGTTCTGGTTATTGATTGTTTTTATGAGATCTTATTTTTTTCCTCCTTGGAAGCTTGATCTTTTGTTTCCAGTTTGGGGAATTTTCTTTTTTTTTTTGAGACAGAGTCCTGCAATCTATTGGTATCTTTGTGTCTTTGTATATTTGTGTATTTGTATCTTTGTATATTTGTATCTTTGGCACCAATGAAAAGGTATCTCCTACAAAGGCAATTTGAGCCATATACCATAAACAGGATTTTGGTGTGTCAATGAAGAGATTTAATTTTGGCAAACAAATTAGCTCTTACACTTTATGAGCTCTGGAACTTTGGGCAAATCATTGAAACTTTGTAAGTCTCAGTTAGTTCCTCTATAAAGCAGGAATTTACAGTAGCTGTCTTAAAGGGGCGTTTTGTGCATTAAATTACATCATGGGTATGAAAAGGGCCTAGCTGAGTGTCTGGGACATAGTATTTGCCCCACATAATTCATTTCTCATCACCTTAAAACCAGAATATTTCATGGGATTTCGACATATTCTACTCATGAAGGTATTAACATAGAATGTTTGAGTCTCTTTTCTTTCTTTCTTTTTCTTTCTTTCTTTCTTTCTGTTTCTTTCTTTCCTTTCTCTCCTTCTCTCTTTCTTTTCCTTCCTTCCTTCCTTCTTCCTTCCTTCCTTTTCTTTCATCAATTTGAGGAATAGGCTGGGCATGGTGGCTCATGCCTATAATCCCAGCACTTTGGGAGGCCAAGGTGGGTGGATTGCTTTAGCCCAGGAGTTCGAGACCAGCCTGGGCAACATGGTGAAACCCCACTTCTACAAAAAATACAAAAATTAGCTAGGCATGGTGACATATACCTGTAGTTCCGGCTACTTGGGAGTCTGAGGTGGGAGCATCACTTGAGCCTCGGAGGTTGAGGCATCAGTGAGCTATGATTGTGCCACTGTACTTCAGCCTGGGCAACAGAGTCAGATATATATATATAGTGTATATATGAGAAATAATGCCTTTCTTACCCAACTTCATTCATGAAACCGTATTGCAGGCTTCATCTGTTCAAGTACTCTACCCATTATCTACAGTGAAGGAAATGGCACTCAAGTTTGGGCAATGACTGTCTTACCTGGGAATTCTGAGGGAAAAGGTCTTCCCTTCATGGGTTTGTAAAGCTGGTAGGACATAAATGTAGGCAGCTGGTGGCCAACTCATGGGAAAACTCCATCTGAAAATGAAGCTAAAATAAAGAAAGCTGACCATGAAGTGGAGTAAGTTAGTTCCCTAACGGTATCAGTTGTGCCTTTGGTAAATCAATGTCTAAACAAAAAGGTCCCTGGATTTCCTACTTTTGTGAACCAATAATTACCTGTTGGTATTCAAGCTAATGTTAAGTTAGTTCTTGACTCCTGCAACTGAAAGAATATAGGCTCATTCAGAGCTAAACTTCTTTTTTCTTTTTTCTCATTCACATGGGAGGTTTGGTTGGCATTTGGTCCTTTCTTGCAGTAGGAGGATGTCCAAGTAAAGACATAAACCAGAAAGGTAGTGAGCCAGATCTTTAATGAGCCAAGCAGTTCAGTGTTTGGGATTTTTAGAAATACTTCAATGAGTTTCCTTTATAATTTCAGTAAAGATATGACCTTAACATTGAAGCTTATTTGAGAAATGTCTGAAGGGTACTTAGGCTACATCTCGTAGGCCTTCTGATTTTAAGAGGCTTGTATTCATGGATAAATGTAGCTGTGGTTGGGGAAAAAAGAGAGAGACCAACATTTATGAACACCAGGCACTCAGCACTTTCCTCACAATGTGTTCTTGCTGCATGAAGACCAAGGATGTCACAGGCACTAGTCAAATTTGAGTTGCAAAGCAGGCCACAGAGGGAAAGTCCTGCAAGTACTCAGTCATCAGCATGGGGAGGAGGAACTCAAACCAAGTGTACACTACAGAATGTGTCCCATGTTCATGTTTGTGCACCTGTTTGGTTTCTGGAAAGTGCTCCCTCATGTTAAATTTATGTAGTTAAGTTGTAAAACAGGAAATCTTCCTTGACCCTTTGCAGGATTTGTGAAAGGGGTGGCTTGTTTACTGAGCCCGCAGCACTCAATCCCTTACGGGATGGGGAACATGCAG
The DNA here is from genome assembly GCF_000001405.40 of Homo sapiens. Taxonomy (NCBI): domain Eukaryota; kingdom Metazoa; phylum Chordata; class Mammalia; order Primates; family Hominidae; genus Homo; species Homo sapiens. Next base: position 29,122,214 of record NC_000021.9, read on the forward strand.
GTAAGTGGGTGCGGGGGCCAGGATGAGTGCTTCTGGGTGTCAGCGGGAGCAGAACTTTGTGCGGCCCTGTGACAGCATCTGGGGGGGTACCCGTGACCCCTGGAGCCCTGAGGGCATGTATTACACTGCAGTTTTTTAGCTTTGCTGTTCACGGATGGCTTAAGTGTTTAACAGCTCAATGTGACAGCCCTCTGTATCCTGAGCTCTCATTCAGTGTCCAGGAAGAATCAGGTTGCACGAACGAATTGAAGATGGTAAATTGTGGGCGATTTTATTGCCAATGAAACTGGCTTTTAGTGGAATGGAGAGCTGGAAAGGGGATGGAGCGGGAACGTGGTCTTCCCCTGGAGTTTGGCCATCCACTGCCAAACTCTTCTTCGAGGCCCTGCCGTCAAGCCGTCCCTCTTAAGTTAAGCTGCTTCTCACCAACGTCTAGCTGCTGCTGCTTTTCTCTACTTCTCTGCCGCTCTGCTGCCAGTGGCGGCTGGGGTTTTTCTGGGTACAGGATGGGGGTCAGGGCAGGCCAGGGTGATTTTGGAAAAGGCAACATTCGGGTGGGAAATGAGGAATGCATGTTCTTACTTTGGGCCATGGGTCCAGGTTTGAGGGTGGGGTCCTCACTGGGGACTGCCCTCTTCTACCCAGTATTTTCCTGCCTCCTGTCTGTATCAATTGTATTTTAAATTTGTTACTTTATTTGAATTTAAATTATAAAATTGGTTGATAAGAACTTTGTACATTTGATTTTGTAAGAGTTTTATAAAAAGATTATATATAGTTTTATGCTTATACTTAAGTAATGCTATTTTCAAAATGAAGTCAATACTGGAGAAGAAATGATCTTTTTTTTTTTTTTTTTTTTTTTTGAAATGGAGTTTTGCTCTTGTTGCCCAGGCTGAAGTGCAATGGCGTGATCTTGGCTCACTGCAACCTCTGCCTCCTGGGTACAAGTGATTCCCCTGCCTCAGCCTCTGAAGCAGCTGGGATTACAGGTGCCCACCACCAGGCCTGGCTAATTTTGTATATTTTTAATAGACATGAGGTTTCACCATGTTGGTCAGGCTGATCTCAAATTCCTGACCTCAGGTGATCCACCTGCCTTGGCCTCCCAAAGTCCTGGGATTACAGGCATGAGCCACTGTACCCGGCTGATCTTTTAAATAAATGTTATTCGCTGTCTATGAAGTAGTCCTGCAAAAAAAGAAAGTCACATCTGAATCTGACCGAGTTTCTAGATCCAATGGCTAATTTACAGTGGACAGAGAGAACAGAGAAGCATATTAAAAAACATTATGGAGGTGTAACTTTGGGAACTCTATAGTTTCTTTAACAAATAAATTTGCAAAAAAAGAGGGAGGAAGAGTAATTGTAGATTTATAAATATAAAAACTTAGCAGTCCATCATGTGTCCGGACTTTGGATCTTGATTAAAAATTTAAAAATTAATGGAGAAAACAATTGAAAATGTTTGTGATAAAATTGGAGGTTTGAATGCTGTCTGATGATGGGTAATGTTGGGGAATTACTGTGGTGGTGGTTGTTGGTGTGATGGTGCTATTTGGTTCTGTTAATGAAGAGAGTGCTCTTCCTTTTTGGGGTACACACTGGGATATTAACAGATGATGAGAAATTTATGTTTTCCTTAGGATAACATTAAGAAGGTAAAGTAAATCTATCTATACTATAATAACAAGCTTTAAAATTTGGTGCTGTTAGTCCTTCTAGGTTATATTCTTGGGAAAGATATAAATACTAAAATATAAGATAAACATTATTTTCTCATACAGTCAAAAATATTAAAGGAAATTTATTCTTTCTCCAAGAGTCTGCTGTCTAGGTGTTTATAGAAAAGGAACACAGGCCAAGGGTGGTGGCTCATGCCTGTAATCCCAGCACTTTGGGAGGCTGAGGCTGGTGGATCATGAGGTCAGGAGTTCAAGACCAGCCTGGCGAAGGTGGTGAAACCCCATCTCTACTAAAAAATACAAAAATTAGCTGGGCGTGGTGGCAGGCACCTGTAATCCCAGCTACTCAGGAGGCTGAGGCAGGAGAATCGTTTGAACCTGGGAGGCGGAGGTTGAGGTGAGCCGATATCGCGCCACTGTGCTCTAGCCCGGGCAACAGAGTGAGACTCCGTCTCAAAAAAAAAAAAAAAAAAAAAAAAGAACACATGTGTCACATTTAATTAACTTTAAATGGTAAACTCAAATTGTATAAAACCATTTAAGTTTTCATAAATAAAATATTTAGATAAAAGATTAATCCATTTAGATAAATAGATAGCTAAATCAAGTTAAAAAGGCAAAACAGTGGCTACACACACATCACGTTATTCCCATCTGGGGAAACCCTGAGTTAGTCCATGCTTGCTTGTTGGCTATACAAATCAAGGGTCCAAAAACTCTGAGGATCAGGTAAAGTCTGTCCCACAGCCTGTTTTGGTATGACCCAGGAGCTAAGAATGGTTTTAATATTTTAAAATATTTGACAAATATCAAAAGGAGAATAATCTTTGGTGACATTTGGAAATTATATGAAATTCTAATATCAGTGTCTGTACTTTTACTGGAATACAGCTATACACATTTACTTACTGTTTTTGTAAATAAAGTTTTACTGGAGTCATCCATCCATTTGCATATTGTCTATGACTACTTTCAACTTAGAACAGCAGAGATGAGTAATTGTAACAGAAAGTGTATGGCCTGAAAAACCTAAAATATTTATCTCCTGGCCCTCTACAAAAAAAGTTTGTCAACCTAGATGAAAAAACTGAGTCCTGGAGGTATGAAGTCTCTGGTCTAAACTTCCACAGCTTTTGAATGCAGCATCACAATGCAAACCCAGGTCTTCTGAATCTAGGTACCCTTTGGATGTGGTTTTTTCCTATGTTTTTGCCCCCTTGAAAAAATGATTTCTATTTACATAGTGCCTGTTTTATTTCTGGCATTGTTGCACGTACTTGTATTGCTCTTTTAATTGTCATAACAACCTGTAGGACAGGTACTATGATTATCCCCCATTTTATACTTGGGGAATTTGTGGCATATAATTTATTAAGTAATTTAACCAAAGTCCTACATGAGTAAGAGACAGAGCTGGGTTGGAGACCCAGGTGGCCTGACTTAAATGTTGCACATTGCTCTGTCTCCTTCATTAAGGGAACCACAAAGCTAGTGAAAGAGAAACCATTGAGTGGTTCAGTGGTTCTAACCCCTGTCATTCCTCTCTTGAGCTTTGGGGGCACGAATGATATAGGGTTGATCATTCTGCTATCTTAAGCCTGAAGTGAACTTTGATTAGGAAAAGTGGCTCCCAGTTACCCTTAAAATCAAAGGCTGTGACAGTATGTGATCAGAAATCCTTACTCTAGAAACATACAATTTTTCTTTGTCAATTAAAATAAAAAGAAGTTCCTGGGGGAGGTGGTGTCTTGTTTTTGTCGTTGAGCCTTGATCCTTGCTTTGTGGTTTTTCATTGCATTGCCCTACGAGAAGGTTTGAGAAGGAGTAACAACATTACTGCAAGTTAGCACTGCAAGAAGGCTTCCTGGGAAACCTGGGAAACCTTACCTGACATTTCACTGGGGTCAGGAGCGGAGGAAGAGGCTCCTCCAAAGAGCAATGGCACAAGACCAGCTCACAGTATGGAACAGGTCCCGTGGCACTTTCTTACCATGGCCTGCACATGCAGTCTCATGAACCAATTGGAAGAGGTGTTTATTCACTGGTGTTTTCTTCAAACAGATGTATCAGTGCTTCATAGAAAAGCAGGGTTAATACATAACTTTGGGACTTTTGCTTTACTAACTGAGAAATCTGACAAAATTTTTTTATGGGGATGGAGTTGGGAAGAATGAATTGAAGAAAGTGGCAGCAAAAGAAGAGTTACTTCTCCCAGAGGACTCTGCATGTGCCATACGGCACTGTGGGGGGAGCTGTGCCTTGGCTGTCCACTGGATGTTCAGTCAGGATAAGGCCGTCCACTGGATGTTCGATCTGGAGAGGCTGGCAAATTATAGTCTGCAGGCCAAATCCAGGCTGCTCTCTCTTTGTAAATAAAGTGTTTTTGGAACACAGCCATGTGCATTTGTTTCCTGTTTTTGTCAATAAAGTCAGAGCCCATCCATTCCTATACATGTTGTCTATGGCTGCCTTTATGCTACAGAGGCAGAGATGAGTAGTTGTGACAGAGATCCTTAAGAGCTCATAAGTGTAAAATATTTCTTTCTTTCTGTTTTTTTGTTTGTTTGTTTGTTTTTTGAGATGAAGTTTTGCTCTTGTTGCCCAGGCTGGAGTACAATGGTGTGGTCTTGGCTCACTGCAACCTTCACCTCCCGAGTTCAAGTGATTCTCCTGCCTCAGCCTCCTGAGTAGCTGGGATTACAGGCACTCGCCACCACGCCTGGCTAATTTTTGTATTTTTAGTAGAGACGGGGTCTTACCATGTTGGCCAGGCTGGTCTCAAATTCCTGACCTTAGGTGATCCGCCTGCCTCGGCCTCCCAAAATGCTGGAATTACAGATGTGAGCCACCGTGCCTGGCTCACAAGTGTAAAATATTTCTAATATGGCCCTTTAGAGAAAAATTGTGCTGACCTCTGGATATAATGGAAGAGTGATTATTTTGCCGTCATGGAATATTTCTTTGTTGGAGACTACCGGCCGTATATGTCACATAGCAATACAGAGCTGACTTTAAAATGTTGGGGAAAATGTCTTCTCAACTATTCTCTAAATGCTATGAATAGCCATTAAAATTTCTTTTTTAAAATTTCCAGAATGAGGGTCTACCCAGACTACTGAGTCACTATGGCAAAGCCTGGGAATGGGTATTTTTTAAAGGCACCTAGTAATCAGGTACTTTTGAGAAACACTAGCCTGGAACATACCAAGCTACATACGTATTGAGTTGTACTGAGAAATTGATATTGCATAATTGTGACAATAGTCTATGGTAGGAGTGTATTATTGATCATAATTCAGAAGCAAGTCTAGAGCTCAGTATGTGAAAAGCTCCTTGAATATTATTGAAAATAACTTTCCAAATAACTGTAAAAACACATTTGTTGCTGAAAATAATAAAATAAAAATTATACATTATTGCCACCATCAAGAAACATACTGTTAATCTGTTTATATATTGATGCAGAAACACATCCTTTCTGGATTGAATTTATATAATTCTATTAAATTCTTAAAATACCATGTAGTTATTTTGGGTTTCAGTTATGGGAAGGGATTTCACTTGGATTTCAGATTTGTTACTCTCTTGAAAGTGTTTGGATAAAGAGCCAAGAAATACATCATTGCTCATATGGGAACAGAAAAGCTGGTAAATGTTAATTGTGACTGAAAACCTTGAATTTATGTTATCAGATTCAGAAAGAGAACATTTAGACAATTTAGATGTATTTTTTTTTGTTCCTTTCTCATTGTTGTCAAATTATCTTTTAATGAAATCTTTTTCTTTGTAGCCCTTTACCAACTGGGCATCTACCACACCTCTCTTGATGTCATTTTTGATGTCATGAGGACGTAGCTGTCAGTGTTGCAGCTCACACAGTGGGCAATCCCCAGGCTCACTTTAATGATTCCAGAGAGTTCTGTGGATAAAGATCTATGCTGTGTTGGTGAGGAGCTGTTGACAGTATCATAGAAGGCAATATTTCCGTTGTGTTTAATATGTAACTGTCTCTTTCTATCTCTGTATGGTTCTTTGAGAGCCTGATGGTCAGTGCAGAAAAGGAAGGTGCTACTTCATCCTAGGTCTGTCCATTCTGAACTGTCAGTTTCACTAGAATTCAGCCACTTCCAGTCACTGACTGCCTTGGCAATGTCAGTGTCACCACCAGCTTTTCTGAAGGCAGACCCAGGGGGCCAATTTGAGAGACAGCACAGATGTGGTATCTGCTTTCCCATTGGCACACATAAGATGCAAAACTTTGATTTTCTTGGGGTGGAACTTGGGTGTCATGATAAAGATGGCTAGTGTCAGATGAACCTGGATACTGGACCACTGAAGAAAGTGATACTTTTGTCTCCTCCAAACAAAAGCTGAGAGTCAGACTTATTCTAAAAAATTTCAATTAAATTTTTTTTTTTTTTTGAGATGGAGTCTCACTCTGTCGCCCAGGCTGGAGTGCAGTGGCACGATTTAGGCTCACTGCAAGCTCCGCCTCCTGGGTTCACACCATTCTCCTGCCTCAGCCTCCCGAGTAGCTGGGGCTACAGGCGCCCACCACCACGCCCGGCTAATTTTTTGTATTTTTAGTACAGACGGGGTTTCACCATGTTAGCCAGGATGGTCTCGATCTCCTGACCTCATGATCTGCCTGCCTCAGCCTCCCAAATTGCTGGGATTACAGGCGTGAGCCACCGCGCCCGGCCAATTAAATCTTTGATACGGAGTGCATCCTGGTGTAGTGGAAGTAGCTTGAACTAATAATTAGAAAACCTGGATCCTATCTGGGTTCTTAATTCTATTATGGTCATTCATCCTCAAGCCTGTTATTTGAATTGTCTGCGTCTCAATTTGCTCATCTGTCAAATCGGGATGGCAATACTGACAAAGACTATTGTATAGGATCTTCTGGAAGATTAAAATGAGGTCGTGAATAAGAAATTCACTTCGATAAATTATAATGCATTAGTAAGTTTTATTATAACCATAAAATAATATTAAAACAGTAATATTAATTCCTGAAAAGAATAAGCTTATATGTGAATGTTTTAATTGTCTGAGTCTGTACAGCTTTATTGTTGTATATATCATAACAAATTAGCCTTCCATTCATTAGATTAAGAAAGCCTGCTGAGTCCTTTTACTTGTATATTTAATACCTTTTGAACAGTTGTCAATTTACAGAAAAAAACGGAGTAAAATGTATGGAATTCCCATATATTTCCTCATCCCTCTAACCCCTAATTAACATCTTTGCTTCAATTAATGAACCAATATTGATACATTATTATTCATTATTAGTCCATAGTTTACATTAGGGTTCACTCTGTGTTGTACATTCTATGGGTTTGGACAATTGTGTAATGATGTGTATCTACCATTACAGTCTCATATAGAATAGTTTCACTGCCCTAAAAATCCCTCATGCACCACCTATTCATCCTTCCTTTTTCTCTTCCTGAATCCCTGGCAACCACTGATCTTTTTACAGTATCCACAGTTTTACCTTTTCTAGAATGTCATGTTGTTGGAATTATACAGCATGTAGCCTTTCAAGATTTAGCTTCTTTCATTTAGTAATATGCACTTAAGATACTTCCATATCTTTTTGTGGCTTGATAGTTTTTCTTTTTATCCCTGAATGATATTCCATTGTCAGGATATACCAGGATTTATTTACCTATTGAAGAACTTGGTTGCTTCCAAATTTTGGCAATTATGCATAAACCTGCTATAAACATCTGTATGCAGGCTTTTGGGGAAATAACAAGAAGTGTGATTTCTGGGTCATGTGGTAAAAGTATGTTTGCTTTTGTAAGAAACTGCCCAACTGTTTACTAAAGTGGGATATACTATTATGTTTTCATTCCCACCAGCACGGAATGAAAGTTCCTGTTGCTCCACAGCCTCACCAACATTTGATGTTGTCAGTATTTTGAATTTGGGTTATTCCAATAGGTGTATAGTGGTATTTCATTGTTGTCTTAGTTTGCAATTCCCTAATGACATATGATGTTGATCATCTTTTCATATGCTTACTTGCCATCTGTATATTTTCTGTAGTGAGATATCTTTCAGATCTTTTGCCTATTTTTTGATTGGGTTGTTTGTTTTTCTGTTGTTGAATTTTAAGAGTTCATTGTATATTTTGGATGCCAGTCCATCATCTGATATGTATTTTGCATATTTTCTTTCAGTCTGTGGCTTGTGTTTGCCTTCTCCTAATATTTATTTTGCTTATTTAACCTCAAAAATCACAATCCAATTATTTTTTAAGTACCAATGACATCCAGGTTTACAGTTTTTAAAAAGGTTGACAAATCCTAATGCTGTATTCTTATTTACCATTGACTCCTTTTGTGGTTGGTTGCATTTGAAGAATGAATCGAGTCATCAAGCCCAACATGGGCTCAACCTCAAACCTCACATTCTTAACCAGGATCCTCGCTGCTATCATCTGAGAGTCAGCCTGTGGCCTGTCCAAGTTGGCTGGGTCTGGCTGAGCTGATTGGAGCGGCCGACATTTTTGCTGACTGGAGTCATGCTATCTTTGCCAGTTTGCTGGAATAGACACAGACACCGATTGGGTCACGCTGAAGACATTCCTGTCTTGTGAAGCAAGTCTGTTTGTATTTTAAGTTTGCCAGGACTAATGAATTAAAACATTTGGACTCCCCACAACTTGCTGTTTATCAATGCCTCTGACAGGAGGAGGGTTTTCTTTTGCTCTTGCTTTTTCTAGAAAGATGACAACATCCTGGCTGTTAGAGAGGCAAGGAAAGGAGAGAGGGGTTGTGAAGGGAAGCGGAAGGGAAGGGAAGGGAGGTCCCGTGGGACGCTGGGGTCTGGGGCAGAGCAGGTAGCAGCGTGCTGCCCTGACAGCTGTCTCCGCTCCTCAGATTGTCAGTGGCTGCTATGCAGCAGGTGCAGCCTGGTCTCTCACTGAGTCTCTACTCCACAAAGGCAACGACTGGCCAAGGCAGTGGCTGGCTCTGGGTTACACAAGTGCAGACACTCAACTAAGTGAGGTAAGCCAACAGGTGTGAAAACTGAACTAAATGCTCAGATCAGCAGCAACTTAACCAAAGCTCTGTTACAGCCTGTAGCCAAGAGAAGGAACCTGTGGTTCGTTTCCCCAGACGGTGTGATGAAAAGGCAAGTTGGTGTAGGGGCATTTGTGGTCAACATGGTGTGGAACTCAAAGTCCACTCAGTCTTGCCACCATCCTTTCATAGGCAGACAGATGTTCTCCATTGAGCGGAGGGGAGGGACTCTAATTAGCTGTGTTTATTAATTCCATTTCCTGTAGCTGGAAACCATACCAGAGGACTATTTACAAAATCCTTGAGGCAAATTTCTACCTCTTGTACTTGATTTCTTGGTGCGGGAAAGTGTTGGGGGATTTAGCCAAAAGAGGAGTGCAACTTTCCATCCTTAGATGTTATGCTAAAGTGATTCGGTGATTGTACAATGCATAACAGTAAAACTTTTCTTTTTAGCTAAAATGTTAAGGGAATTTTAATGGTTTCTTCTGTTGAATTTGAGACAATCCATGCCATTCCCTAGGTGGCTAACAAAATGCTTGATTCTGAGCAGGTAAGACTGGACAGAAGGGTGGCAGAGTTAAGATAAAACAAATCCTGAATCAAATAACAGATATTTTATATTACTCTTTTTTAAAATTAAATGTTTCATGTCACTATTTCTTTCTAACTTAGAATTACATGATATGGACAGTGGAGAGCTTTTTGGTGCATTGCTACTTGTAGTGCTAAATAAATGGGCCAAATTATGATTCTAACTGGATAATAAACAGTTGCTGGTTTTTCTCCAAAGCTATACTAGGGTTTTAATATAAGCCTGATCTTTTTTCATATGCTGGGTAAGATGATTCCATATGTATGTATGTCTAAATATACATGTATATATATATGCATTGGCTTTGGCTCTATAAATACTTTTAAAAACAAAATTCAGTGTTCTGGACACTATTTTTAGATAGATAGAGGAAAGTTATGGGAAAAAGTCAGAAACCGTGCTGTGAGAAAATGTCCTGCTAAAGCATTTCCCAGAATCTCTTTAAGGATGGCTAAAGAGATTATTTATACTTTGCCATTTTTAGAGCTATTTCCCTTAAAATATCATTCAGGTTTTTTGGTTTACTGTCTACATGAGAAGGAAAGTAGAGGGTTTAGGGGAGGTGGGACTAAAAATAGAAAAGTTAAATATATGTTTTTAAATAAGAAAGATATCATGTATTTATAACTATCTTTTCCTAGTCCCCTATAGACATCAAATTATCAAATATCTTGGTTAAAATATATTTGGGCTAAGTTCTCTGATTATAACCAGAAATATTCATGTGTTTTTGCCCATTCCATTTTATCTGCAGGATGTTTTTTTTCCATTCATTCTACCTTAATTAATTAAATGATGATTTGATAGCTGGAGTAGAATATCTATAGGATGTTTTTGAGTCTTGTCTTTGCTTTTATAGAGTGTTAAGATGTGCATCCTTAGAAATGTTTGGTAGACTTACAGGTAGTTAATCAGATATTTAAAGCATATGATATTCATCATATAACAGATATTTTAAAGTGGTTTTTGGTATTCTTTATTTATTTATTTATTTTAGACAGAGTCTCACTCTGTCGCCCAGGCTGGAGTGCAGTGGTACGATCTCGGTTGACTGCAACCTCTGCCTCCCGGGTTCAAGCGATTTTCTTGCCTCAGCTTCCCAAGTAGCTGGGATTACAGGTGCCTGCTAGCATGCCCCACTAATTTTTGAATTTTTGATAGAGATGGGGTTTTCTCATGTTGGTCAAGCTGGTCTCGAACTTCTGACCTCAGGGGATCTGCCTGCCTCGGCCTCCCAAAGTGTTGGGGTTACAGGCATGAGCCACCACACCCAGCGACTTTTGGTATTCTTTAAATGATTCCATGAAACCCATTCTTTGCCACTCTCAGATTAATAATTCAGATTTAATTTAGGCTTTTGAACATGAAAAGCAAGTCTAATCTGAAGCCATCTGATACCTTATTAAGACTATATCTCTTTTTATCCTCCTCAGTTGAAAGTAAAATACTTTATATGACCTTAAAGAGGCAGGATTGAACTGGTCCGTGTAAAAAGATATTGAGCAAGTAAGGCAGGTAGAGATATTTCCCATATTTCATTCATTCTAGATGTATATTGCAAAAGCAATTTTTTCTTGAGCCAAGAAAAAAAGATTTAAATGGGGCGGATGAATACTTTTGACATAGAAAAAGCTCAAAACTAGGAGTATCTTTAGAATAAGCAGGTAATGCTTACTAACCTTAATAACTTCACCTGTAATTTCCAAGGGCCTCTGAGTATTTAGGGGGATGATGCTGGATAAAGTGACAATGGCTCTCTCTTGCTGTCACAGCTGGAAGACCCAGGAGAAGGCGGAGGCTCAGGTGCCCACATGATCAGCACAGCCAGGGTACCTGCTGACAAGCCTGTACGCATCGCCTTTAGCCTCAATGACGCCTCAGGTATACTCTGCTCTGGAAGAAGGATTGTTTCCTTCATACCCCACCTTTCTAGCATCTTTTCTAATGCCACGCCTCTGTGGAAAATTTAAAGTTGCATGCTTGCATGACCTGATGATGGGGAATGTGATATTTCATCATGCATTGTTAGATGGCGGCTTCCAGAAATGCCTCTAGTGATGCTTTCCTCCACCTTGAGTTTTCGGGTCATTTAAACTCATTTTTTTTCTCCTCCCTCCCCATTCTAGCTTTCTTTTAGAATAAAATTCACTGAGCTACAACAATTTCTAACAATAGCAAAGTGTGTTATTGTTAAAACTGCATGAGGAAACTTTTATTAGGAGCTGGCAGTTGGTTAGGTAATATGAAAATATCACTGTTCCGTTTACAGCAACATTTGCTGAAGCGTAAGTTAGAAATGCTGGTTTCTCACTGGTGCTCCCACACTTCTGGCTAAATCAACAGACTTCAGCAGGAATGATAAATGGGACAGGTGAGGAGGAGCCTCTCTAAATAGTAAGGTCTGAGGTGAAACTGCCATACTTAGAGCCCTTCGTCATGGCTCCCCTCAGTGACCTCTTAACACACATTGAATTGCACCACTTTTGAACAAAAGACCTCATGTGGCGGGAGGTCACGGTGCTGAGGAAAGGAAGGCTTGGCTCTCTTCCACTGGCATCCGCCATTGCTCTTAGTTTAATGTCATCTGTTAAAATCACATGCTTAAACAACATTACCATTTAAACCTTGGGTCTTTTGAGGACTCTCTCTCTCTCTCTTGCTATAATGCCCATGTAGGGATGATGCTTTAAAAAGTAATGATTGGCCGAGCATGGTGGCTCACGACTGTAATCCCAGTACTTTGGGAGGCCAAGGCAGGAGGATCCCTTGAGCCCAGGAGTTTTGAGACCACCCTGGGCAACACAGGCAGACCTCATCTCTATTTTAAAAAAAGTAGTAATTGAAAAGGGACAGAATCATTCCAAAATAATGCAAAGTAAGGAGCTCTGTGAAATCTGATGTCACACAACCATTGCAGGCTTGGGGTTACTATGCCAGGTGACACATTTAACCTGGAGTTTCCTAGACTGTTAGCCTCCAGTGGAGGATGTATTCCGTAGCAGGAAGAGGTGAAGGCTTGACTCTTCATAATCAGTTTTTCCAAACCTCTTCTCATGATCTGCCGTTGTACTGTGTCCTCACTCAGGGTCACCCTGAAAGACAGTGGTGAGAAGAAATCCTCCCAACAGGCAAATCAATCCACCCCAACATAGAAATGACAACTGCCATTAACTATACTTCTCTGTCATAATAAGCATTTGCCTGTATTATCTCTGATCCTTAAGACAACCATGCAGCCGGGCACGGTGGCTCACGCCTGTAATCCCAGCACTTTGGGAGGCCAAGGCAGGTGGATCACGAGGTCAGGAGATTGAGACCATTCTGGCTAATACGGTGAAACCCTGTCTCTACTAAAAATACAAAAAAAATTAGCTGGGCCTGGTGGCGGGCGCCTGTAGTCCCAGCTACTCGGGAGGCTGAGGCAGGAGAATGGTGTGAACCTGGGAGGTGGAGCTTGCAGTGAGCCGAGATCGTGCCACTGCACTCCAGCCTGGGCAACAGAGCAGGACTCCATCTCAAAAAAAAAACAAAAAAAACAAAAAACAAACCATGCAACATAAGCATTAGTATTCCTTATGTACAGACACAGAGATTGCCACCCAGAGACCACACTGTTTGTAGGTAATGGAGTTATGTTCTGAACTCAGGGCCCTAGGCTTGAAGTCTGAACTTTCTCTATTTTCGATGCTGCTTCTCTAAAAGGAAAAATGAAAGCCCTTTCTGTTTTTATACATTTCATAAATGCAAGATTTCAAGGAATAGTCAGTGCTTTTCATGGCATCTTGAGTGGCTAGCTCTCAAGACACACGCGTGCAAACCCAAAATCCAGAGGGAAGGAAAATGTATAATTTCCTTTCTTTTTTACTCATGCTGCATGTGAGCAGAACAAGTCCTGTTACAATCAACAGCCTCACAAAGAAAATTTCAGTATATAAAGCTTATTTATCTCAGGCAGTATTAATTTTGGACCAAATAAATGTACTGTTCCCCTGTCAACATTTTAACAGGAACTTAATTTATGTACAGAAAAGAGCCATGGAGAGGTGAATCTCCATCTTTGGTTTGCCTGAATAACCTCTTTCTTGAAATACAGGATGTACAACTTGCAATTAATTTGTCACCATTCTTTGAACTCTCTTGGCCCTTGACTAGGAGCTCACAGATGTTTTTCATCCATCAGTTTAGACTGGTTTGTTCCAGTGTCTTTCTCTTCTCTTTCAAATGACTCCAGAATGCCCACTTTCAAAATCCATGGTTTTTAATAGGTAGCCTCAAAAAAGGATTATAATTTATTTTAAATTATTCCTACCCTCTAGCCCCACCAAAAGATGCTTATGAAAAAACTCCCCAAATTAAGTATTTTAATCTTATGGTCAGTGTGTCCTCATATCTCTAGAAAGGGCACCTACCTGGAGAACCTAGGGCAGGAGCTGAGGTTCAGTGTTTCTCAACCTTGCCTGATTAAAATCATCACCTGAGAACACTCATTGAAAACACGTGTTCTAAGGCCCCACTCCTATATATTCTGATTCAGGAGACCCATTATTGTTGTAAGAAGAAAAAGAAAACCTCCTCCTATGTTTTATGCATATCACAAATGCAAGATTTCAAAGAATAGTCAGGGCCCAGGACTCTCTATTTTTGCATATACATGAGGCTGAGTGCACAAAAAGATGCTTTGCAGATATTTGGGACACTCCCTTTAAATTCTTGAATAAGGAACATGTGGAGTGTCACACAGGAAAACACTTGCCATCAAGCGAGCTGTGCATGCCTTTTGAATTCCAGTGCATGTGGCCTGCAGACCACACATTTAGGGGGAAACAAAGGAAAACCCCCTAGACTTTCATAGTAAATGAGGGCACTAATGTGGACTTTTTGGGAGTAATTCTACATTGTTGGATTTATTGTTGATGAATAAGCAGAGTCCATGAGAAAAGGAAACATCTTTGCTTGTGAATGTTGACATGTTCATTTTTTTCTTTTCTTTTTTATTTTATTTTTTTTTTGAGACAGAGTCTCTCTCTGTCACCCAGGCTGGCGTGCAGTGGTGCAATATTGGCTCACCGCGACCTCCGCCTCCCTGAGGTGATTCTTCTGCCTGAGCCTCCTGAGTAGCTGGGACTGCAGGCACCCGCCACCAGGCCTGGCTAATTTTTGTATTTTTAGTAGAGACGGGGTTTCACCTTGTTGGCCAGGCTGGTCTCGAACTCCTGACCTCAAGCAATCGGCCCGCCTCAGCCTCCCAAAGTGCTGGGATTACAGGCGTGAGCCACCACACCTGGCCCGACATGTTCATTTCTGATAAGCCTAGCCTAGTGCTCATTTCATCCAGTCATTTCAGGACTATATATTCCTGAGATGATTTAGTGTAGAGGTTAAGGATATGGCTTTACAGCCAGAGAGGCATGATTTCTAGACCTACCTCCAACACTATTTGTATGATCATTCCACCTTGCTGAAATTCAGTTTCCTGTAAGATGCGTATAGTAGTAATTCACAGGGTTGTAATAAGAAGCCAATGACATCTTATAGGTAAAGTATTTAGCAGAGTGCTTGATACAAATTAAGCATTCAACTTACCCCTGAAATTATGATAATTGATTGTGGAGTATAAGGGAAATGTAAACCACTAAGCAGTTGTGTCTCACCTACATCTCACCTTGATGTCAAGGTAGATTTTATAGCATTACTGACCTGCAGTTATTTAGGGACTAGTTATGCAGTTAATAGATTGTTCATATCCTATTTTACCTCTGGGCAATTAGCTGAATTTATTTGGTTTCGGTGTTTCCAGCAGTCTGCCAAAGGTGGGTGGGATGTGCAAAAGAGAACAGCATGACCTCCTATGGGCTTTGTAAGGCAAGATGTTTGGAGAAAAGTCTGTGTCACCCAGAGCAGTTAGTAATTGCTTCTTGGAAGAGGTGATAGTCAAACTGGGCTTGAGGGCAGGTAGAGTATAGAGGAGCAGTACAGGACAGATGCCATTCCTGGGTACTAGATACAAAAAAGGGGCTACATATCTTGTAACCAGTTTTCTTTCTTTTCCCTCTAAACAGAAAGCAGGAGCAAAACTTAAGAGTCAGGAAGAACATGGTGTGTTCAGAAAAGACTAAAACTAGTCATTTGGAGCAAGACTAAGACTAGTCCACTGAGCTGTGGAAGAGTAACGTGTTGTCTACCGAGCCCTGCTTGAGTCAGCCATTGTTTTGGATACTTACATAGGGTACTGTTTAGATAGCAATAGACTAGGGTTACCAAGTCAATCTTCAAAGTTCAGCAAGGGGTCTGGACTTGATCAAAAGCGATGAAGTGTCAAAAGTCCTTAGAAAAGGGAATAATATGATGAAAGTGGTAAAAATTTGGCGGAATAGTCTGGAATGTGGAGAGATGAGAGAATGGAAGAGGCATTTTATAATGGTACAAAGTGATGAGAGCCTGCATTAGATAATGTAATGGGATGACTTAATTCAGGGTCCATTTTGAAAGAAGGGTTGAAAGGACTTGGTGACAGACTGGCCCTGGTAGATGAGGAGTTGGTCATTTTTCAGTGATAGCAGAATGAGCTGTAAGACTTTGAATAGAACATGGACCTCCAGAGGTCCTTAAATAAAGGAAACAAGGTTTTGGAGAACACAAATATATATATATTCCTTGACAATGCAATCTCCATTTTCAGCCTATCATCAGAGTGCTTTTTAAAGTAAACTTAGCTAATGGTAATTCCCAGAGGCAGTGATGCCTGTCTTTAATGAGCTAATGATATTAATGATAATCAGTATTATTTCTAAACTGGAAATTTCAAAGAGTCGAAACTTCCTAAACTGGAAACTTCATGGAGTTAATTTTCTTAATAGAAAAAGTGCAGAAGAAAAATATGAATCCCACCTCTTGGGTTATTCAAGAATCACTGGCCCTTCTCCAGCTAGAGGGAATTTAGAGTTGGACAGACATTAGGATTTCATGTCAATTATATGAGACTTTTCTTCATCTTCAGCTAAGCTAAAAACTGGCATGCTCCTTGTAAATTTAGACCTTGGCTTTGGAATTCTTTCTGTCTTTTGCATTTTTTAGAATAGTTTTTTGTTTCGCTTAGAAAGAGTCAAGAATACTAGTATCAGCTCAAGCTGGTAGCTTTTAATATTTTGTTTTTAAAAATTCTTTCTGGCCAGGCACGGTGGCTCATACCTATAATCCCAGCACTCTGGGAAGCTGAGCCAGGAGGATCACTTGAGGCCAGGCAAGACCAGCCTGGGCAACATAATGAGACCTATCTCTATAAAAAAAATCAAAAAATAAGCCAGGTGTGGTGGTGCATGTCTGCAGTCCCAATTCCTGGGGCACTTGCTTGAGTCCAGAGGATCAAGGCTGCAGTGAGCCATGATTACACCACTGCACTCCAGCCTGGGTGACAGAGCAAAACCCTATCTCAAAAAAGAAATTCTTTCAAGCTGTTAGAAATTTTTTATATCTGGATATGAATTAATCGTATGACACTTAGTTTTTGTGTTTTTTTTGGTACTCCGGAACCCATACCATTGGTGTCACTTTTAAATAATACAGTTTTCTCCTCAAATATCAGGATGTTTTGTGTGGTAGGGAGAATTACATGGAGTAGTTGCAATAGCTACCTTTGAATCCAATGCAACAAGTTGGGTGTTATGTGAGATCTTTTTGTGTGTACTTCTAAAACTGGCTCTCAGCAAAATTGTGGTGCAGGTGAAGTGTCTTCTTATTTATCATTATTTTTTAAGGCTAGTCAAGTGAAGCACTGGGAGAAGAGAAGGAACAAAGAAATCTGTAGCTGGTTGTGATTAAGTAGTTGTAAACACCATTGTACTCGGACCAGCCACAAAGTGTCTTTTGTCACTGTCCTCTTCCTTCAACCTTTTCTACCTTCAGTATTATTCCCCTTGTCCTCCTCAGGATCCGAAGTAATCTTCGGATCTAGTAATCTCTTCTCTCCACACTTTTAATCATTGTTCTCTGGAATAACTGCAAAACCTCATCTGCACTAAGCTATAAATGAATATTGAGTTTACCATTTTCCCCTCTCTTCTTTTTTTTTTGAGACGGAGTCTCACTCTGTCACCCAGGCTGGAGTGCAGTGGTGTGATCTCGGCTCACTGCAACCTTCACCTCCAGGGTTCAAGCCATTCTCCTGCCTCAGTGTCCTGAGTAGCTGGGATTATAGGCATGCGCCACCAAGCCCAGCTAATTTTTGTATTTTTAGTAGAGATGGGGTTTCCCCATGTTGACCAGTCTGTTCTCAAACTCCTGATCTCAGGTGACCGCCCGCCTTGGCCTCCCAAAGTGCTGGGATTACAGGAGTGAGCCACGACGCCCAGGCCCCATCTCTGGCTTTTTTTTTTTTTTTTTTTTTTTTTGGCATATTCACAGGGAACTCTGTAGGAAGTCAAGGGATAAAGTTCCCACTGGGATTTTAGAAACCAGGAACCAGGTATTTGCAGGAAACTGAGGCTCAGATAGTCATTATGAACTCTCTCGAATCACCTTCTGTCCCAACATGAGCTTACATTTAAAGCCGCCTCAGCATGCAGTGACAACATTCAGTCACAAGTGCCTTAAGGGCATGGTGGAAGGTGGGTGTCTCCTGTATTTACATTTCTGATGGAGCACAGAGTTGAGAACTATAGTAGAAACTGAATTATCAAATACTTATAAAATCAGTAATACACTATCTGTAACAACTTGGGGTTCATTATCCTGGTGTCAGATGAAGAGTCTGAGATACTATGGGATTTATTGGTTGGAATGTATTACTTAAAGTTGTGAAGAAAGGCCAGAAAGAAGGTGAGTGTTCATTGAGTACTAAGGAGTAGTGCTTTTACTGGCATCTTCTCATCAATTTAATATTGGCTGCAACCCCACAGGAAGGTGCTATTCCATTCATTTTCACAAAAGTGGAAATAAATGTTTGCTAAGTGAGGCGAAGTGACTTGCTTCAAATCATGCAACTAATACATAGAAGGAGGGTTCAAAGCCCGGTCCTCAGGACTGTTACTTCATTGCCCATTTAGAGGCAGAGTTCATGTTATAAGAGAAAGCTCAAAGCTTCTTGACAACAAATAGCTTCCCGACAACAAATAGCTTCCCAAAGGCCATGGGGTTGATGGAGGAAGGTTACTTCTGGTATGTTGTGGTAGGAAAGAAGAAAAGAAGGGGTAAATTTTATTTGGTGGTGTGCTGAAGGATAAATATACTTCCAATAGGCTCTTGTTTGCTCATTTATTTCTTTATTTAGACAGGATCTCACTGTGTCACCCAGGCTGGAGTGCAGTGGTGCAATCTTGGCTCACTAGAGCCTCAACCTCCTGGGCTCAAACTATCCTCCCACCTCAGCCTCCCAAGTAGCTAGGACTACAGGCATGTACCATGATACTCGGTTTCTTGTTTATTTTTTGTAGAGATGGCATCTCACTATGTTGCTCAGGCTGGGCTTGGACTCCTGGGCTCAAGCAATCCACTCACGTCAGCCTCCCAAAGTGCTGAGATTATGGGCATAAGCCACTGCCCCAGCCCCAATAAGTTCTTCTTGAGGCAGGTGTTTTTTGGACAGTGAGTATGTTATAACCTAAGTCAGTCAAAATATTCTAACAACAGGATAAATAGACACTCACAAAATGATAGCTACAATAATAGTGAATAGGTGTTTCCAAGAAACATAAAATTTGTCCTTGGCTGGGCACAGTGGCTCACGCCTGTAATCCCAGCGCTTTGGGAGGCAGAGGTGGGGGATCATGAGGTCAGGAGATGGAGACTATCCTGGCTAACGTGGTGAAACCTGTCTCTACTAAAAATACAAAAAATTAGCCAGGTGTGGTGGCAGGTGCCTGTAGTCCCAGCTACTCAGGAGGCTGAGGCAGGAGAATCGCTTGAACCTGGGAGGCAGAGGTTGCAGAGAGCCGAGATTGAGTCACTGCACTCCAGCCTGGGTGACACAGCGAGACTCCATCTCAAAAAGAAAAAAAAAAAAAAGAGAGAAATTGTCCTTAACTGAATCAAGTCTCTTTTTTGCATAGCAAAACCAGTCTATTGATGCATGATCTTGTTAGCCTGACAATTTTAGGTACTGGTTAAGATAACATCATGTTTATTAATTTACAAAGTATTGAAAACCTGCTTTGTCATCCCAAATCTCTATCTTTATCCATATCTGTGTTAATATCCACATCCATCTCTATAGCTATACTTGTAATCTTATGGGCCCTGAAAATCCAATGTATATTAAATAATTCACATCTCTAGTGTTTAATAAGCAGGAAGCAAAGTTTTAAAAAGCTTTTGTTGTGTCTTAAAACTATGTTATACTCTAACAAGGACTTGGGTATCTAGCAATTAATTTTTTTTGATATATTGGGAATGTGCATTGGCTACTTTTTATCACATATTTTATTCCTAAAAATAAAATATTAATTTAAATTTAGATTTAAAATGACAGTACTCAAAGACCTTTTATGCGTAAGTTAATTTTTTTTTTTTTTACTATCTTTCATATAAAAAGTGTTTGGAAGTAAATTTTGTTTTTGAGACAAGGTCTCACTCTGCCACTCAGACTGGAGTGCAGTAGCATGATCTCTGCTCACTGCATCCTCAACCTCCCATTCTCAAGTGATCCTCCTGCCCCAGCCTCCCAAGTAGCTGGGACGTCAGGTGTGCGCCACCATGCCCGGCTAATTGTTTTGTATTTTTTGTAGGTATGGGGTTTTGCCATGTTACCTAGGCTTGTCTCAAACTCTTGAACTGAAGCAATCCTCTCACCTCAGCCTCCTAAAGTGCTGGAATTACAGGCATGAGCCACTGCGCCTGGACAGAAGATTCTTAAATTCAGATTTAAATGAAGAGAGTAAATCCACAAGACCTGAGGTTATGGCTGCATCAGGGAAATCTCCCTTAAGTGGCAGAGGCAGAACTCAGTAATTAGAGTCATTGACCTTAACCCTGTGTTTTGCCTTTGTATTATTCAGATGATGAAGAATAATTCCCCACCTCAGAAGTTTAGCTTGATAGAATAGACATGGGTTAGAGGAAAAAGTGCCACTACTCACATATATACACACACAGCTCCCCTGTCTCCACATTACTCCTTTGGTTGGCTTTATAGTGAAAAAGAATGAAAAATGAACTTAATTATATTAAGCATTCATTGTTATTACTGGTTATTTCCTAGGTGCTGGGCTTTAGGCCAGTGATTGACATATACATTGCTTTATCAATACAAATTTTCAGAGACAGGTAATACCCTTCCCATTTTGCAGAGGAGGAAACTGAGTCTCAAGAAGATTATGCCAGTTGTTCACATTCACCAATTAAAAAGTGGCCAACCCGAGATTCAAATGCAAGTCTGTGTCCTACTGAACGTTGTACTGACCCGCTGTGTTCTTAGTGGTTAGGAGCCTTCATAGGCAAACAGTTCCTAGGAAAGTTTCTGTATGAGCCTCAACACTTAAGCCACTACTCAGATTCACTTGCCTTGTAAGTGTCAGTTTGTCCCTGGTGACCTGCAGGACAATTTACAGGACACCAGCACTCAGAGGTCATACTGCAGGTAGAATCAACTTCATAATTTGCAGGACATGGTGCAAAATGAAAATGCAGGGTTCCTCATTCAAAAATTTTTAAGAAATTCAAGACACTATAGCATTAAATTAAGCGTGGGGCCCGTCTGGAGGGCGGGCTCTGTGTGATCACATAGGTCCAATGCCCATGAAGCCAGCTGTAACTGCAGGAAATGTCAACAAATTCAGTGGATCCTGGGCAAGGCTGCCTCTTGTGTTCTGCTTGGGGAGTGGAGTGGGCTTGGGAATGTCCTCTGGGCATGGCTTTCCCTCTCCTGAGGTCTTCTCTGTGTGGAAACCTAAACACTTTTTTTTTCTTTTTTTTTTGAGGCGGAGTTTCACTCTTGTTGCCCAGGCTGGAGTACAGTTGCGCAATCTCGGCTCACTGCAACCTCCGCCTTCTGGGTTCAAGCAATTCTCCTGCCTCAGCCTCCTGAGTAGCTGGGATTACAGGCATGTGCCACCACGCCTGGCTAATTTTTGTATTTTTGGTAGAGACTGGGTTTCTCCATATTGGTCAGTCTGGTCTCGAACTCCCGACCTCAGGTGATCCGCCCACCTCGGCCTCCCAAAGTGCTGGTATTACAGGTGTGAGCTACCCCGCGTGGCCCAACCTAAACACTTTTTAACAAGGATTTAGGGCGTCTCAACTTACATCCCAGTTATGTCTACGATGGGGAGCACAGTGGGAGGGGGAGATGATTGATTGTAAAACCCAGTGAAGATGCTGTTTAGAACAGTGGTTCTCAAAACCTGGTCTGGCTTTGATGAAGTTTTCACCCCTCTGATATAAAGAAAGAAAGAAGGGTACGACAGTGAGGTGTTTTGGGTATATGCTTATTTTTATCTGTAAAGCTAAATGTATGTAATATAATGGCCACTCCTTTACTCTATGATTGCCTTATGATTTTGGTGTTGAAATGTTCTCTCTGTCCTAAAGGGATACTAATGATATCCGGTGGTCATTTTTGAATCATCTTCACTAGCTAAATAAAAAGTTGGATGCTCTTAAGACATAATTCCCCATGTTTTAGGGAATTTTTTTTTTTTTTTGAGACGGAGTCTAGCTCTGTTGCCCAGGCTGGAGTGCAAGCAGGGGCTTGATCTTGGCTCACTGCAACCTCCAGTTCTCACTGCAGCCTCCTGGGTTCAAGCGATTCTTCTGTCTCAGCCTCCCGAGTAGCAGGGACAACAGGCATGTGCCACCAAGCCAGGCTGATTTTTGTATTTTTAGTGGAGACAGGTTTTCACCATGTTGGCCAGGCTGGTCTCGAACTCCTGACCTCAAGTGATCCTCCTGCCTGGGCCTCCCAAAGTGCTAGGATTACAAGTATGAGTCACTGTGCCCAGCCAGAATATTTTAGGGAAAATTTTACTGGTTCATGAAATACGAGTCTGAGAACCTATGGACTAGTAAGTGAAGAAGAGCGGAGTGGTATGGTGGAAAGAGCCCAGGGCTGGGGGACACCCCTTAGTCTTACATGGCCACGAATCGTGGAGTCTTGGGTGGCTTCTTTCCCTTTTTGGGGTCCTTGTCTTTAGCTCTACTCTGAGGGGGCTGGACCAGATGGTTGCCTAGTCCTTTCCAGCTTCAATATTCTCTGTTAACTGATTGCTAGCTATCATTGCTAAATAACAGGGAGGATTTGGATTACAGACCCAATGTGTCCTATTTATTCAAGTTATGGAGAAACACAGAGAAGACAATTGAAGGGAATCTACAAACAAAATAATCCTGAAACCAACCCAACAGCTGCTCAATAGATGTTGAAAAGAGCCCATCATCAAATGTACTATGGTACATCATAATGGTTGGGCTGTCAGTAAGAAAGTTCTAGCTTAAGGACGTTGGCTTAGTCACATTGTATTTGCCAAACAGGCAGTGAACATCTGTTTATATAAAAAATTTTCCTCTTCTTTCCTTTATATTTCATCCTTTAAAAAATTTCTTAGGATACATTTTGCTTGGTCTAGTAAGTCTACAGTGCCATTTTGAAGAAGAAGCCTTCAAATTACTTCCTTAATGCATTAAAAATATGATAAAGTGATTTGCCAATTTGCGTAAGTCTGAGTCCCTGTCTTGCACAATAAATAATTGGTAAATTTTAATAAAAATGTACTTGTGCTGTGATTTTGTCCCATTATAAACATATCAAGCAACTATTTTTTTTTTCAAAAAAGCTAAATTTGCTAGAGGGTCTCTTGTACAGCTACTGTACAGTCTACTTTATGCTTCTGGAATTGTCAAAACAAACTTAACTGCTGTCAGGAACTCCGATCCGGTATCACTGTCAAAATGTTTTACAACGATTCAGCCAAATGTTTTTGGAACAGCTGTGCTACAAGTCAGCATGAGTCATTTTCCTTCTTTCCTTTTGGCCCAATCCAGTGATTCATCATCCTGCTTTTAGAATATTTGCCTATTTTTAAAACCAGTCAAAGAAGGCAGCCACTGTTTAAAAGTAAACACACCACACATCAACTTGGGGCAGCTTTGTAAGCAGCTTCGCAAGCCCTGAAACTTCTGGCTGGTAGGGATGCCAGCTAAACCAGATGGCATCAAACAGTGAAATACAGGCCTGGCTTTCAGACTTGGTAGGCTTCATACATCTGTCTTTGGTTTTCTTGTTTCCGCTGCTATTTCCTGCTTGGGTTAATCCAACTTGATCCATTCTTTAACAAAAGTCTTACTTTTTATTTTGCTTGACTCTCTAAAACATCTATTGTATGTTGATTTCTACGTTAATCAATTAGACTTTTATTTCAACTCAAGGAGTCCAATTTGAAGCTACTTTATTTATCTGTAAGTTTATCAGTATGGTCACATATGTGTGAGGTGACATGGCGTGACTATAAATAAGGACGTCGATTTCCACAACGGGCCTCATTAAGTCTGTTGATACCAGGTGTTTGCTATTTACATTACTGTAGTAAAGTAAATGGATAACTTTTTTTTTTTTAATAATTAAGCAGGAAGGAGTGTGACTTCACAGGGGGCAAGGTGGATTAAGTCTCAGGAAGCCTTAAGATTCATTCCTGGCTGTCTTCTAGAATTCTAGAATGTCTCAGCTGCTCTCATACTTTACAGAGTGGTTTCTCCTTCCAACAAGTGCCTGCTTGTCTATGATTATTAGGGTTGGGATGCACAAGTACAGTGTGTTCCCATTTACCTTTGCCAAATCATTCTGGCCTTGGACCCAATGAGCTAAAATGGTCGTGATGTCTAGGTTATTAAACTTGTACTGCAGTGAATGTAAACGCACTTAAGAACAAAATCAGTTTCACAAAGCATAGGTTTTATAATGAAGCCTACCTCTAAAGGTTCAGTGGTGACAAGTGTATTATTTTTGCCTTTTGTCCAATTCTTTGCAAACATTGGGGTGGATTTAACAAGGCACAGTAATTGGCAGAATTTGTCACTTCTGGTCTAAGTAGAGCATTCAAAGGGCCTTGGGACTGAATCTCAGTTCCTCTGAAGACTGTCCTCTAACCTGCAGCAAGGGGCTTGGGAAATTTCTCAGTTTTTACTTGTTCTGTGAGCTAAAGTTAAGTGATATCACTGAATCTGAGGACACCCATTGTCTAGCATAGGAGCAGATACAAAACAGATTCAAATTTGGTGATGCATTGTCATTATTTTAAACTACTTTTAAATGGAAGTATTGTTATACTACTCTTGACTAAAATATACCAGAGACTATTAAGTGATATGACCCTTGAGGGGTTTGGTCAAAGTGAATACCATGCTTGTTTAAATTATCTTTTTGGTGATTATCTTCGATGCTTTCAATGCCTTAGATGCCAGAAATGCCTTGTGTACTGCATTTTATTCTGGACTGTACTATCAGCACATTGGGAGAGGATACTTGTTTCCACATTGTATGTGGCCCATGTCACTTCCTCTAGTTCAAAAAGAACACCAACAAGTTTTTATCAAGAAATTTGGTGATGACTATGAAAACATAAAAACTGTTATCTTTTCTTGCTTTATTATAATTTAAAATAGCTTTGGTTTTTAAATTATTTTTTCACCTTATATTTTGCATACATACTGTATATGCATAGTATGTGTACTGTATATGCATATGTGTACTGTAAATGTATATATGTATAGGTACTATATATGTATATGTACTGTATATGTATGTGTACTATATGTATAAGTGTACTGCATATGTAGTATATGCACTGTATCTGTACTGTATACATATATGCACTGTATATGTATCTGCACTGTGTATGTGTACTGTATGTATGTACTGTATATGTATATGTACTGTACTGCATATATATGTGTACAGTATATGTATATGTACTGCATATGTATCTGTATTGTATCTGTATGTGTACTGTACATATCTTATTGTATCTGTACTGTATACATGTGTACTGTATATGCATCTGTACTGTATCTCTATTATATATGTATATGTGTACTGTATCTGTATTGTATATGTATGTGTACTGTGTATGTATCTGTACTGTATGTATATGTGTACTGTATATGTATCTGTACTATACCTGTACTGTATGTGTGTACTGTATATGTATCTGTACTGTCTCTATTGTATATGTATGTGTATGTGTACTGTATGTGTATTTGTATTGTATATGTATGTGTACTGTGTATGTATGTATCTGTGCTGTATCTGTATGTGTACTGTATATATCTAACTGTATCTGTACTGTATATGTGTACTGTATAAACCTAACTGTATCTGTACTGTATATATCTGTACTGTATATCTGTACTGTATCTCTATTATATGTATGTGTATGTGTACTGTATCTGTATTGTATATGTATGTGTACTGTGTATGTATCTGTACTGTATCTCTATTATATATTATATATGTTTGTGTATGTGCATGTGTACTGTATGTGTATTGCATATGTATATGTACTGTATATGTATCTGTACTATACCTGTACTGTATGTATATGTGTACTGTATATGTATCTGTGCTATATCTCTATTATATATGTATGTGTAGGTATACTGTATGTGTGTCTGTATTTTATATGTATGTACTGTATATGTATCTGTACTGTACCTGTACTGTATGTATATGTGTACTGTATATATACCTGTACTGTATCTCTATTATATATGTATGTGTAGGTATACTGTATGTGTACTGTATATGTATCTGTACTGTACCTTTACTGTACATATATGTGTACTGTGTATGTACTAGGGTAGGGATTGGAAATGAGTGGCCAATGGACCTTAGAGCCAGAGAGTACCTGGAGATAATGGAAGTTCTGCTTTCTAGCACCAAGGCTCGGTCAGCACTATGTTCTTGAAGAGATTGGGGGTGACTTGGATATTTTGACCCATATTTTGGTCAGGTTTCCTCAAATGCTTCTTAGAACTGCATCTTGCCATCCAGCAACAGCTGCCTATTGCCAACCAGTCAACGTAAGCATGAGTTAGGAGGTCTTTCGGGACTCTCTGGGCTCTGGCGCTCCCTAACAAAGCTGTGAATTCTGCTGCAGGGTAGGAGTGCTGCCTGGTGTATTGGAAAGAAACGCCCCATTTGGGTTGCTGCCTGCTTCTCACTGTAACCCAGAATGAGTTTCTGGTTAACTGCCTGTTAGTGTGGTTTGTGGTAGGAGCAGACAGCAATACCATCACAGCTTGTGGCACTTGGAGTCATTCAGAGCAGAACGAATGCTTCTACTTTTCACTAACATGTTCTCCTGTCCCATTAAAGTCCTTCTGGCCACCTCATTAGCACCTTGTTAAAGCATTTTGTTTCATATCATATTTTTTGGTTTTGGCCAATGTAAGAGTATTGAAAGACAAGCAGTCCTTCTTAATTGGAGAGCTGCCAGCCTGGACATTTGAGGATTCTGATATTTGCTTGCAAAATTTTGTTCAGGCGACCTAAGCTCTCCACGCATCTGTGTGTACAGAAAATGAGCAAAATTGTCCTTTACATTCTGTCTGTCCCCAACTGAAGTGATGAAATGACTGAAACAGTGTATACTGATGGTCTAACTCTGGGGGAGTCCAAGGACTCCTACAAGAAAGAGCTCCATAGTGAAGAATCATTTTATTTCCTTGTTTTAGATGATACACCCCCTGAAGACTCCATTCCTTTGGTCTTTCCAGAATTAGACCAGCAGCTACAGGTAAGGATTTTTCTAAAGTCTCTCTTCTTTCCTCCTTAGTGTCATAAAGTATAGCGAGCTGGGCAGAGAGTGGCCTGACTAGGGGAGACTGACTTGGACCCAGAATGTGGGGCTTTGAAGTCATCAAGGATTACATTTCTAGAGCTCCAAAGTCAGGCTGAAGCCCTCATGGAATGCCCCTGTCTGGTTATCTGGCTATGGCACCAGGACAGCAAGTGCTTATAGCATAAACTGGCTCCTATTTTTAAGGGGTTCTGGAGCCTGGGAAAAGGACGGGTCCCTTCTCTACTTCGATATGGCTGTCTCTAGGTCATTGCATTTTTGGCTTGTCTGGGGTTAGTGATTTAGTATTAAACTCTGCAGAGAAGACTTACCATGTTTGCCAAGACTTTGGAATAATCTTCCTTTCTCTGTTCCCTGCCCCTTCCCCAGTTCTCTGACAACTTTTAATGGAATATAACTATTTTAACTTAAACCTTCTGAAAATTGACTTGTTGGACCCATGACAAATTATTTTGTATATGTAGTTTCTGAGTGATCTGTTGAAAGATATTTTAATACACCAGAATTATTTGAAAGGAGCTCATTTATCACATTTTAATTTTCTTTAGATTATCCATGGTGATTCCAGGCAAAAATGGCTTTCAGAAGAGGTTCTGTCTAAAATACCAGGATACTGGCCTTGGGCCAGCCATTCACTTGAATACTTAACTTTGTAGTCACATTTAGGCAAGTCCAATAGGGGTCTTGAATCCTGTACACAGACATTTCTTAGTCACCACTTTTTTCTCCTAAATATTGATTTTGAAAGCCTTTAGGAGGGGTTTGTAACCTCCAGTTCCCAACAGGCCCTGACATACCCTATTATCTTACACACAGCAGCTTTTCCCATTTGTGGGTGTGCCTTGTGTCCTAACGTCATTTGAGTTTGGCATTCTTATTCCTGGACAGCCCTCAACAGAGGTGGAAGAAGAACCAAGAATGAGCCCTTCCGCAAGCCAAGATAGTGTTCCTTTTTGTTTGCTTCTGTTCTTACCTCAGTATGCAGAGCACTGTGTTAAAAACCTGGCAGCAACCAGGTCAGGTTTGAAGAGCTGGTGTTCTACTGCCAGGGTGGTCTCTAAAAACCAACTGAGGGTGACTCAGGTGTGATCTGGCCGCTTGGAGGAGTCCTCATTCTCACCTTTGTAGCAGTCCTGGGCATTGTCTCAGCTTTCCAACAGAAAGCTGCTCAACAGAGCATTATCAGTTATGTAGGTATTACTGAAAATTGTATAGGAGGTCGGAGGGTTACACTGATCACCACACAGCTGTCAAAAGAGCTCTGTCGTCCCCTAAAATTTCCTCTCTAGCTATCAGCCATCACGTCTCCCTCTTTTTTCTATCCTCCATGCAGGGTTCTCAACCCAGCTCTCCTGGCTTCTAATTTTTAACCATAGTCTCTCCCTTCCCCACTCCCACCCCCACCAATATGTCTTCTTTTCAGCATGAAGAACAATTCAGCTCTCCCTCTACCTTTCCTTTTTTTTTTTTTTTTGAGACAGAGTCTCCCTTGGTCACCCAGGCTGGAGTGCAGTGATGTGATCTCGGCTCACTGCAAACTCCACCTCCTGGGTTCAAGCGATTCTCCCATCTCAGCCTCCCTAGTAGCTGGAATTACAGGCATGTGCCACCACGCCCGGATAATTTTTGTATTTTTAGTAGAGACGGGGTTTTGCCATGTTGGCCAGACTGGTCTCAAACTCCTGACCTCAAGTGATCCGCCCGCCTCAGCCTCCCAAAGTGCTAGGATTGCAGGCGTGAGCCACGGCGCCTGGCCTGCATTTTCTTCTGGTCTGTTGACACTGCAAGTGATAGTTCTTGCTTAGGTTCTGTTCTCACAGAGAGGCTGTCTATGTGCTGCTGGTGGTGTAATTGGGATTGCTATTGAAAGTAATGCCATTGGCCCGGTGCCGTGGCTCACACCTGTAATCCCAGCACTTTGGGAGGCTGAGGCGGGTGGATAAGACCAGCCTGGTCAATATGGTGAAACCCCATCTCTACTAAAAATACAAAAATTAGCCAGGTGTGGTGGCACACACCTATAGTCCCAGCTACTAGGGAGGCTGAGGCAGGAGAATCGCTTGAAACCAGGAGGCGGAGGTTGCAGTGAGCCCAAGGTTGCTGTGAGCCAAGATCGTACCACTGCACTCCAGCCTGGGCAACAGAGCAAGACTCCGTCTCAAAAAAATAAAAAAGAAAGTAATGGCAAAAACTACAACTTCTTTTGCACCAACCTAATAGCTATTTTTTCCCCTAGTCATATTTTTTCCTCTTTATTCTATGGTCATGTCAAAGCTATTTTATTATCACGGAAATCAGGTGAAAATAAGGAGTAAACATATTTTGAAAATAAAACACTAAAAGCATATTCAGGCTATTGTTCTCTCATCAAATTATGGATCATTAATTCTACTTTTTTTGTGTTGGAACAACATTTTTTCCTTTGGGAACTTTAATGGTCTTCTCTGGCTCGTGGATCATTCTCCACAAGACTCACAGTAGCTCTGGCAATTATCCAGATAATTTTTCTGTTAAAGCATTGCCAGGTCCATTTGAATTTTATAGCTTTAATTCCACTTGACATATGTTAGAAATTAAGTCTATTTAATTATTTTATTCCAATGAAACTATTTCATCTTCATTGATCTTTAATGAATTAGGCAGTTGAGAGGGTAGTTTCTGGCTCATGGTTTTGATTTTTTTTTCCCCCTTAAAGTATGATAGTGCTTTATCTCTTTGTGAATGGAGAGTGTGTTACCAGCAATACAACCAAACACATTTCAGTAAGTGCTTGTTTGTTGAATGAAGGATAGGAGTGAGTGTTACAAACATTTACCAGTTGTCAAGGCTTTTGGGTAGGGTTGCCTCTGTCTAGAGCTGTTGCCTGTTATCTTTGTTCTGTACTCCAGGGCGTGAGTGACTAAACAGCAAGACGATGATGGTTGGGAGGAGAAATCTAATAGAAGATGACATCTAAAAGCAGATTTTTATTTCTATACTTAGCGTAAGCATATACATTTAAGCCTTCTGTTGCAGGAAGTCTCTGTATTGAAAGCAGTGAAAATGCTTTATGTACAAAAGGAACAATCTATTACACAGAGCAGGCCATCTTTATAGTCAGTCTCGTGTGCTTTCATTACACAGTAATGGCTCTTGGAATTTTATCGACTATCATCATCCACTATGGAAGAGTAAAAGTTGGATTACAAAGGCATATGAAGTGCCTTGTGGTTGCAACTATTTGCTTGAGAATGAATTGAGTCTTGATTACCTCTATCAGAGACTTAAACATTTTCTTGGTGGAAAATAGATGATGCTAGGTATTGTCAGCCCCGTTCTCTGCAAAACCTCGGATTTAAATCCCACCGAAGCCACTGAGTACCTATTAGGCAAGGGGTGTTTCCCTACATATGATCTCATTTGATCTTTGCAATAATGAGTAAGCTAACTGTTTTGTCTCCACCTTACAGATGAGAAACTTGAGGCCAAATTTTGGTCTAAATACATTTACTATTCCCTTCTTTCCCTTACGCTTTTTAAGGAATATACAGGCTGCTTAAATTACTTTGATAGGTGGAAACTTTTTTTGTTTGTTTCTGGTTTGCAAGATTGCCATAATGTAGTTATAGAATAACCTTGTAAAATCTGTTCTGACTTTCTGATATCCATTACACATGCTTTGGTAGTTTATAAAATGCTGCTATAAAATAGCTATTTGGTAGACACTCAATCACTAATTTGACCCCCAGGATTTTTCTGTTGTTTTGCCAAGAATGTGGACAAGTTTGAGCATGTAATTTGCAGTGCTTCTATTTTCACAGAAGCCAAAAAAAGCCTTGTGCAAGAATAGCAGTGAAAAACATTTCTCTTGATGTCTCTATTAATGCAAAATATTGAGCAAGAGACCGCAGGAGAAGGTAGGTGTTAAAATGAATATCTCTTTATAATGTTCATTTGTGGGCCTTGGGCCTCTGTCCAGGAGTAGGTGGAAGGTCAGTTCTATTTGTGCAGATTCCTTTCTTGGGACTAGGTTTCTAAATTTCCCATGCCCATCAGGGACAGTATTTGAGTAGAGCTAGTGTAGATGATATAGTCAGAAGAAAGGACGCCCAATTCTATGTCCATTTCTAAGAATGAATGAAAAATCACTATTCTCTTTCTTTTTTATGTTTTGAGACAAAGTCTTGCTCTGTCACCCAGGCCAGAGTGCAGTGGCATGATCATGGCTCACTGCAGCCTCGACCTCCCCAAGCTCAGGTGATCCTCCCACCCCAGCCTCTTGAGTAGCTGGGACCACAGGTGCATGCCACCACACCTGGCTAATTTTTGTATTTTTTGTAGAGATGGGGTTTTGCCATGTTGCCCAGATTGGTCTCAAACTCCTGTGCTCAAGGGATCTGCCCACCTCAGGCTCCCAAAATGCTGAGATTACAGATGTGAACCACCACACCCAGCCATTACTTTTCTTCAGGTCTCAGCTTCTTTCTGTTTGACTTGTCTCTCTCTGTTCTAAAAGATGGTGGCATCCTTTCATGGTCCCAGGGTTTGGGTCAAGACCAAGCCTGTCTTACTGCTTAAGCATGTTATGTTTTTGGAACCATGATTTGACTTACACATGATCCAAAACTATGCTATAACGTGGTCTTAACTTCATTGGAATGAGAAATATGTTTTATTGTCAGGTATAGGACATGATAACTAATAAGAATGACAATGACCAAGGCATGGGCATTAGCATTGGGTTGGCCTGGATTTGGATCTCAGCTAAATTTGTGATTTCCAGCATGTTATTTACTCTCTTGAAAGCTCACTTTCCTCAACTGCAAAGTGGAGATAATGATATCAATCTCACATTGTTGTGGGAATTAAATACGGTAATGAGTAGATCTAGCACAGTCCTTGACAAAATAATTGCTCAATTAATGTAAATTTCATTCTCTGGTGAAATTATTTATTGAATGAAATACTTAAGAATAAGTAATTTATTTTTATTCATGTAAAATGAAATAAAAGCATCTGCTTGAATTTTTAAGTTAGGGATAGAAGTTCTGATGCCCTCTTCTTTTCATTAAGCCAAGGTGCTTCGAGAACAATATGACTTTTTTTTTTTTTTAACCAAATTGAGCAATAGCTTCAATCCCTCCTTAAAGTCCTCCTATCTAATCTGAGATGACAGTGACAGGTGTCTCTGTGGTACACACTGAACTAACAGAGTCTGATAAGTCCAGAAACTGATGTCACCTCCACAAATAAACAATTTCGTAGCTTCAGTTGTGTACCATAATATCCTGTTATCCAAGCAGCCTCTCCGAAAACTTCTTTTAGATTTTGCATCAATATATTGCTTGACATCTGGGAAATGAAAATGATAGAAAATGAAGAAGTCTAGCCTTCCAGGATTCTGCTACACTGGTCTTTAACATCCATCTGGAAATGTGGTTAGGGTATATTCTCATAGAAAGCACCAGACGTAGCTGACATTTTCTCTCATACACACATTGAAAAGTATTGTATACTGCAATTTTTCTTTGATTGCTGTGTCCACACAGAAAACATATATAGATACTTTGGAGCTTTTCAATAATGCCTTTAATTTTTTGTTTGTTTTGAGAAGCTCAGTTGTCATTTAGGTATGGCTTGTTCAAAAAGTTTGCTACTCTTGTGTTCTTTCTCCTTTTGATATTGTTTATGTCAACAGAAATGACTTAAATATACTTTACTCCAGTGTAACATGATGTATAAGTTCTGTAGTATAATTGATAGTGCTCAACTTGTACTGTAATGTAGATACTATATAAATGTCATTTCTTAAAATATTTAAAGTTCTAAGATAATAGAGTTCTTAAATATCGAAATCAGCATGGACTGTGTTTTTCCTCTCAGTTTTAACAAACGATGCTTGTTAATTTTAAGACATTACAATGTAATGTAAATTTAAATCAGACACCCCCATCTTTCCCAAAAGTAGGTAACCCTGAGAATCAAGGAATAAATACAAAGAGTGCTCAGCGAGTGTAGAATGTTTAGCTTCCTAAATATATCTCCTGTGTGGGAAGCTGGGATAGGAAAATTAAATTCTGACATTTTTGAAGAGGATGGGGCCAGTAGTATTCGCAGAAGCCAAATAGAAAACGGAAACGCCCGAGCCGGCTTTGCTCCTAGCTGAGGGTGGCTTGGCTGGGTCCTTCCCCATGGGGTCTGTTCCAGGGAGTGGAATCCACTTCGGGAGGAGCTTGCTATGAACCGGCAAGCTCAGGCAGAGAGCAGAACAGCACCATAGCACCGTGTGGCTCAAGCCGGCATTCTTGGAACCGGACCCTGCGGTTTCTCTCTTACTTCATCTTGTTAAATCGGTCCTGATAATTGGGGCGGATACCAGAGATAGCAGCAGCTCCTTCACGCTGCACTGCCATGAAATATTAAGCCCTTGCGAGCTCCATCCTCAGGCGGCAGCGGGAGGAGGCGGAGATGGAGGAAAAGTGGGCGAGGAGGAAGTATCTCCTCCTGGGCTGTGACCTCACCCAAGCCCCAGTCTGTGTCTTGGAAACATGTGTTTCAAAGTTGGCTTGAGGCGCTGTTAGGAGAAGGTGTTAATTTCACCTCCTAAGAACTGGCTGCGTTGTATAGTAAACCAGATACGATGGCAGGGAGTGCATCTGAAAAGCTGCTGCTGTGACCGCACAGAATTTGTGCTCTAGTACATTAGCAGTATCTTTATTCTTCAATTTATCAACTCAACTATCTTTGGATTCCTTTTCTTTGGAGTGCAATATTTCATTCTTTAAGCAGGAAGGTGGGATAAGTGTATCCAAAATTGGAGGATGTAGCATCATTGTGGAGAAAATAACAAGGGAATTTTTTTCCTCCTGATGTGAAAAATAATTAACTATCAACATTAAGAGTTTATTTATCGTACATCCATTCCCAGCATGGGCTTATAACTATGAAAATCTCTCTGACAAGAATAGTCAAAATCAAGCAATGAGAACTGAAATAGTGTTTCTTTTATTCCAAGAAGTTAATAGATGTTTTCTCATCTAGTTACCCACAGGTATTCTTTTAAGTTATTTTACAGTTTTTAATTTGAGCATGTGTTACATAAACCCACGTACAGCCAGTTAATTCATGAGTGCCAGTGTTTTACATGTCATGTTACTTAAGCGTACTGACACTCCATTTTTAAACTGGAAACCTGATTCTTGAATTCTAAGAATCGATTTCCTCAGGCAGAAGCTTGTGTTTGATTAATACTGTTGGCCATATATTGTCTCTTATTTTGAGGGATTACCTCTCAAAAGGTAAGGTAAGAGAGGATTACCCTCAGTCAGGACCTGATGATACAACATACATACACACATTATATCACAAAGCAATGAGAGTTATTCCATCCTACATGGAACAACACATCACATTATTCTATAGTGCCACTTTTTGTATTAGGTATAAAACCTGAATATCTTAATACTTGTATTCACCAGAATTCCTGCTGGGACAAGAACCATATATATTTAAGCAAATTCTTTGATCAGTTTCCTGGCTGGGGTAAATGGCCAATGATGTCAACTGCCCTCTAAGAACAGTAGATTCCGTTGACCGGAGAGCACTTTGATTTGCTCAACAATGTTTGGGGTTACCAGTGAATGGCTCGAGATTATAAAGGGGTGAGAAATTTGAAGTTCTCTGGGGAGAAATTTGGGAAAGAGCAAAAGATTGAGTACAAATGGAGTCAGCCTCTCCTAGGTAACCCTGGTAGCACTGCTTAGAAGATGGGCTAGAGACAGCAGAAAGGTTTAATGAAATAATTTTTTTTGCATTGATTTTTTTCTTATTATGGGTAAAAACGCATATGGTAAAATTTACCATCTTAACCATTTCTAAGTGTACAGTTTGGTAGTGTTAAGTATATTCACATTGTTGTGCAACCGATCTCCAGAACTTTTTCATCTTGCAAAATAGAAAGTCTGTACCCATTAAACAACAATTCCTTATTTCCCTCTTCCTATGGCAACAAATGAGAGAATTTTACAATGTTTTGGTGGGTTATGCAATATAACCTTCCTCTTTACTTAAAAAATAGAAATCTATATTGCTCTTTAATGTTTTCATACAAACTTGGAACATTTGAAGTGGTGCTGAGTTTTATGTCAAGTTGAAGGCTTAGTTTTTAGGATCCAGAGGCTGAAGTGACCCCTGGAATCTTTGTACTCCCTGAAAACTGGATACAAAGTATTTTAGGCTTATTCTTTTTTGATTGTCCCTTCTTTATGATGGGAAGTCTTGAAAATATTATTATGTATAGATAGCATGATCATGCTGCTGAAAGCACGTGTGGATATCTTGAAATATGTACTACCTATCATCACATATGCTTAGTGGCATGATCGCTCTACCTATAGATAACAACATCTTGAATTTCCCACAATTAAGAGGTGCCAGTAGTAAAAAAAGAACAAATGACAACATTTCCCACTTAGTAAAAATCATTACAGGTGGTAAGCTGGGGGTGAGGCAGGGAAGGCCTCTCCCTTCTTAAGAAAGTTATTAATGTACTTTTCAGTTTTCCTTTTAAATTACAGCAGCAAAAGACATATCTCCCTTTACACGGCTGCTCTCTATGTTATCTTAAAGTTGTGAATCCTTTATGTAGAGTTCTAGAACTTTTTCGCTGCCACATAGTTAACTGTGCTGAATTCATGGTTCAGGTACCTACACGTACTGAGCTCTTGTTTCAACTGAGTATAGCCTGTGTGGTGTTTGTAAGGACAGGATCTGATGTGTAGAGTCTTAGGGCCTTCCAGGAGGCAAATCCTTTAACAGGGCACAGATGATTCAACAGCTTGGCTATGGTGCCCAGAATAAATTGCTTTCATTCCCCTTACTGTTATACCTGGTAAGTTGCCAGTGTAACAGGTGAAAATTGATGAGTGGGTAGCGATTTCTGGGGCACAGACTGGAGGAGCCAGGAGTTCTGAATTCCTTTGGCAATAGCTTTATCTCATGGGGCGAGTTATACTGTAGTACTACTGTGCGTTATTTTTCAATTGAATCCCGTATAGAAAGGGATGATGGTTCCAACAGTCTGAGTTTATGCTGTGAATGTGTTCATGGGCAGCAGAGAAAGGTGCTACCTAATATGATTATTATGAGATTTTCCATGAACTGGGACATAA
Source organism: Homo sapiens (assembly GCF_000001405.40). Lineage (NCBI taxonomy): Eukaryota > Metazoa > Chordata > Mammalia > Primates > Hominidae > Homo > Homo sapiens. The sequence continues at coordinate 29,158,463 of NC_000021.9, forward strand.
CAGATGTTCCACGTGAAGGTAAATTTGACCTAAATCTATTTAGAATTTTATTTCCTTTAAACATCTCTACTCAGAGGCCTCATGATACATAGGGAATGTCATCTTATCTATCAATCAGACAGTAAACTTTATTGAATTTCTATTACATCATGGGAGGGATCACAGAAATAAATATGACACCCACAGAAATCTGTGTCCTTGAAGAATATAATGAGAGGAACAAATAGTAAAAAATTCATTAGTTCTCAATTTCCTAATATAAAATTAGTGACAATATGACCTTGTCAGATACATAGTTTATATATAGAGAGAGACCATTGTGAAGAAAGGATAAGATTGAAGAGCCTATTTCACAATAAACTGATATTTCTCAGATTTTATTTACTTTTTTCTATATATAATTGAAAAGGGTGATTTAAAAAAAAACTCTTAACTAGTATTCCTAAAAGTAGTACTTTTTTTTTTTTTTTTTTTTTGCAATGGAGTCTCACTCTGTCACCCAGGCTGGAGTACAGTGGCATGATCTCGGCTCACTGCAACCTCCACCTCCTGGGTTCAAGCGATTCTCCTGCTTCAGTCTCCTAAGTAGCTGGGACTACAGGTGGGCCCCGCCATGCCTGGCAAATTTTTGTATTTTTAGTAGAGATGGGTTTTCATCACGTTGACCAGGCTGGTCTCGAATGCCTGGCCTCAAGTGATCCACCTGGCCTAAAAGTAGTACTTTTAATCACGCATTGCTAAACAAGAAATTAGAAAAATAAACTTGGGGAAAACTCGTTCTTTAAAAATAATTCCTAGAAGTAGGGTTTTCACCATGTTGCGGTCAGAAAGGCTTGCCACGCTGGCCTTTGCTTCTTTCATGGATGGGAGAAAAAGAGAAACATGAATCTTATAGGGATGGTTTTTTTTTAGGGGGAGGGAGATCCGGCCTTTCTTACAGGTTGCTTAATCCTTGCAAGCATTATTTCTGGCTCAGCATCTTTCTTTAGCCCAAATGCATTTCTCAGAAGAGAGCTTTTCTTCTCTACTCTGCAAGATGAGATTATACCTCCTGGCTACAGAAACAGAAAGCAAGGGATAATTGAAACAGACAACTGAACTATTTCCCCACCACTGCTCTTCTCTAAAGCAAAGTCTAAGATTTCCGGGGAGTACGGTAGAATCCTTTGGAGACTTATTTTTACTCCATCACAAGGCAGGTAACTGACATGTAATGGATTTCAGGGCTCTGGCTCAGGCCTGAGATGCCCATGAATGACACTGGGAGATGAATGTGGAGACTATCTGTCCACCTCTCTATTTTCAGTCAAATAGAATCAGCTGAACTCTGTTGAATGTTGACTGACAATGCTGTTCTCACGTTAAAAAAAAAAAAGAAGAAGAAAAAACCTTCGTTTAAAGAACATCAGCGAGCAAAATGGTTGGTAATTTATCCTGATGCAAAGAAATGGACTAATTTCTTCTTGTTGTTTGTGAAGCCCCTGCCGCCTTGTCATGACTCCGAGGAATCCATGGAGGTGTTCAAACAGCACTGCCAAATAGCAGAAGAATACCATGAGGTCAAAAAGGAAATCACCCTGCTTGAGCAAAGGAAGTAAGTACCTACCCCCCTCACTCTACATCTGAGCACTGCCTACTGGGCAAGGACCAGGGGCAATGGGCAGGGGACAGGCTGAGTGTGAGGATGACAGGGAGGCAAGGGGGTTACAGCAATGATTCAAGTGGTGCTATTGGAGATTAAGTGCTTTATGGAGTAGCAAAAGGAATACCAGGAATGCTTCCTACTCAAAACTTAATTTTTTAAATAAGACATTTTAGTTCATGAAATTAAAAATGCCAAAATACCACCCAAAACCACACTATGTTTTCCGTAAATGTGCCCAGAGGCTGCAGAGCACTGTGGCTTGGTGTGAATTTTAATTTCTGCTTAAATGATGGCATTCCCACATCACGTGAAGAAGCCACTGGGATAGCTCTTCAAAATAATGTAAACGTTTTAGTTGACTGACTACATTTTATAGTAGGGTAAGTTTTTATCTTGATAGCTTTTATTACTATTACAGTTCTGCTATAGGGAATTATACAGTTCTATTAATTAAAGCATTCTGATTTTACTCACTCATAACTTTTTGTTTCTGGATCCTTCTTTTTAATTGCACTTGATTCCGCCAGTGCCTACCCCAGTGAATCCCATTCTTTTATACTTGCAAAGCTTCAGAGTAGACACCTTTCCTTCACAGTACTAGCTGGTTGGGATTTCCCATTTATTAACGAGATATCTTGATTACTAGGATCTTTTGATTAGATCTCCTTTTGATTACATCTCCTACTAGGTGGTAAGTGCCATAAAAGCACTGATAGTCAGGTGTTGTCACCATCAGATTCCTGGAGCCTGGTATGATATGTGGCACCTAGAGGCTGAGTAAATTATTGTTGATGTGTGAAACAGAACACAAACATATTGTGATTCTTTATTTCTTATATATCACGTGTCACCCTAATAAAAGGAAGGGGAGAAGAAATAAACATGCTACCATGCTCAGCTAATTAAAAAATATTTTGTGGGGGCCGGGCGCAGTGGCCCACGCCTATAATCCCAGCACTTTAGGAGGCCGAGGCTGGTAGATCACCTGAGGTCAGGATTTGAGAACAGCCTGGCCAACATGGTGAAACCCTGTCTCTACTAAAAATACAAAAATTAGCCGGGTGTGGTGGCGGGCACCTGTAATCCCAGCTACTCGGGAGGCTGAGGCAGGAGAATCGCTTGAACCTGGGAGGCAGAGGTTGCAGTGAGCTGAGATCACGTGCCACTATACTTCAGCCTGGGCAACAGAGTGAGACTCTATCTCAAAAAAAACAATTTTTTTTTTACAGATGGGATCTTGTTATCTTGCCCAGGCTTGTCTCAAACTTCTGACCTCAAGCAATCCTCCAACCTTGGCCTCCCAAAGTGCTGGTATTACAGAGTCAATATCAGCAATAAAGGGCTGCTAAGATGAATTGTTAAATTAGGAAATATGATTATATCTTATATTTATAAATACATGAGGTTGGTTTTCCAAGGGTTATTAATGATTATTATTTTCATTAATATAGATATGAAATTTCATAAAGGAATTAAAGATTATTAATAATGTGACCAGTATTGAAGTCAAAGGAAGATTTATATAATCAATAGCCTGTGAATAAATGTATCTTCTGGTGTGTGTATGTGAAGTGTGGTGGTATAATAAAAATACACACACACACAAAATTTAATTTTTACAAAAAGCGAATGAAATATATTTTGTGTTGAGAAGTTTGTGAAATCCTTACAATTTTTTTGAGACTCCCAGAATGGTGGTCGGACAGTATAGCATGATGGTGGACAGTATGGGTTTTGGGGCCAGACTTCTGCAAAACCTCAGTTAGTACCTTACAAACCCTTCCTTCCTTGCTTGGTTTGCCATGCTTCAAACATAAAATTGTATCTAGACTTTTGGCTACAGGGGATTAAAAGATGTTTATTAGGAGGTCACAAATACAAATTTTCTCTTCCATGTCTGACTATTTTCTTTTTGTTCTAAGAGTTTTGATAAAGTTGCTTGGAATACTCAGATTGCATGATTACACACAGTTGGAGTCCTACAAAAAATTTCATGAAGGAATTGAGGATTATTAATCATGTGATCCATATTGAAGTCAAAGAAGATCTATATGACGAATAGCCTGTAAATGTATCTTCTGGTGTGTGTGTGTGAAGTGTGGTGGTATGATAGAAAAATCCTCAGTAATTATGTCTCTATTTATAAACTCTTCAGACTGAAGGTACTGGAGGACTTTGTTATTTAAATTAAATTTATGTGTAGCTTTTTTTTTTTTGGAAATGCAATACTCATCCCCTAAATTACATGTTCTGTAAGTTTTTTTTATGTTGCATTAAAAAAAATATGGTAGGGGCCAGACGCAGTGTCTCACACCTGTAATTTCAGCACTTTGGGAGGCCGAGGCAGGCAGATCACCTGAGGTCAGGAGTTCGAGACCAGCCTGGCCAACATGGCAAAACCCTGTCTCTACTAAAAAATACAAAAATTAGCCTGGTGTAGTGGTGGGCGCATGTAATCCCAGCTACTCGGGAGGCTGAGGCAGGAGAATCGCTTGAACCCAGGAGGTGAAGGTTACAGGGAGCTGAGATCGTGCCATTGCACTCCAGCCTGGGCAACAAGAGCAAAACTCTGTCTCAAAAAAAAAAAAAAAATGATATGGTAGGATAATGACATGAGAGTGACTCCTATCTAATGTTTGAAACATATCCTTACTGTTTACATTGAAAGCAATGATAACTCTGGGTACCACTACAACAATATTAAAATGAAAAAAGGGGCCAGGCGCAGAGGCTCACACCTGTAATCCCAGCACTTTGGGAGGAAAGGCAGGCGGATCACCTGAGGTCAGGAGTTTGAGACTAGCCTGGCCAACATGGCAAAGCCCTGTCTCTACTAAAAATACAAAAAAATTAGTCGGGTGTGGTAGATAGCACGTGCCTGTAATCGCAGCTACTCAAGAGGCTGAGTCATGAGAATTGCTTGAACCCAGTAGGCGGAGGTTGCAGTGAGCCAAGATCACGCCACTGCATTCCAGCCTGGGTGACGGAGTGAGACTGTCTCAAAAAAATAAAAATAAAAAATAAAAAAAGGAAAAGTCAACTTCTAGAAGTAACATGGCTAGCAGGCTAGTGGAGGTATTTTATACAACCTTCCAGACCACATACAAGTGGGCCGGACCCCCTCCTTAATTACTTATATGCCTGTGTGTGTTTCTGCAGAACTCATCTTGTTTCCTTCCCCAAAGTACTTGAAGTGTCTCCCTAAATAATTGGCTAGATGTAGGGCCAAGGCCAAATTCTTTCATTATATATATATTTTCTTTTTCGTAAAGTCTCAAGTTCCTTTTTCTTCATTCTCACTTCTACCATTTGGGCTTGGGACTTATTACTTGAGATCTTGGTTGATGCAATATTGTAACTAGTTTCCCTGCCTAGGGTTTCTTGTTGCTAGAAAATGACAGCCAGTTCTTGGCATAGATTTCAAGACCTCCCTGGGGATGCCTTGGAACCTCTGTAGAACTTCCAATCTCATCCCTCAACTTCAGCTACATTGGCCTCCTCACTTCTCCCGGGGCAGGAGGTGGGTCCTCCAGTCACTGAGCCCCTGTTCACACCAAGCTCTTGGCCTAACAGGCCCCTTTCTTCCTTTTTTTTTTTTTTTTTTTTGAGACAAAGTCTTGCCCTGTCACCCAGGCTGGAGTGCAGTGATGCAATCATAGCTCACTGCAGCCTCAACCCCCTGAGCTCAAGCAACTCTCCCACCTCAGCCTCTTGAATAGCTGGGACGACAGGTGCATGCCAGCATGCCCAGTTAATTAAAAAAATTTTTTTAAAGAGATGGCATCTTGCTATGTTGCCCAGGCTGGTCTCAAACTCCTGACCTACAGCAATCCTTCCACGTCAGCCGCCCAAAGTGCTGGTATTACAGAGTCAATATCAGCAATAAAGGACTGCTAGGAGGAAAATTGCTCGAACTCGGGAGGTGGAGGTTGCAGTGAGCCTAGATCACACCATTGCACTCCAGCCCGGGTGACAGTGCGAGACTCCATTTAAAAAAAAAAAACAAACTGCTAGGATACATTGTTAAATTGGGAAATATGGTAATATCTTATATTTATAAATACATGAGCTTGGTTTTCCAAGGATTGTTAATGATCGTTATTTTCATTAAGACTTTACTGAAGTGGAAATTCATTTTGCAACATGTCTTTTCCCAAACAGTCTTTATTTTCAAGCAAGATATATTGGGCCAAGTGAATTTGACCCAAGTAGTTAGCTCTCCATTTTTTGATGATTCTGTTGAGAATTTCTTTCTCATTATTTCATAAAGTGTAGCTGATTATGTTGCCTCTAGCTTGGCTGGCGTAAGCTAGATGCAAAGAGAGACGCTAACTAAGGTATTTTAAAAGACAGTTTTTCTTTATTGGAGTCGTTCAGACACTGCTTAAGGTTTGAACTCCAAACTGAACTTCTCTCTCATCTCCAGAGGAGGTCTCCCTGGATCAAGTTTGGGAGAATTTGTCTTAAGAGGCGTGATGAGAAGAGTTGCTGAAACTGTTATTTTAAATCATATCTGTTGGATGGAGAAAGAGAGTCAAACATTTTCTAGGATTATAAACTCAGCATTGGCTGAATCCAATTTAAAGAATCGCTTCTGGCTTATGACCAATGATGTACGAGAGGTTTGTTATATTTTTACTGATTTTTTTTTTCTTCTCCGTGTGAAAAAGGTGGGAAGGACTTTCTTGAAAGCTTTGAAAAATTACCAAGAATTCTGATATCTTTAAAGAACTCCTGCTATCATTTTTATCTAATTCTTTCTAGGCCTTTTGCATGTGAATAGACATTTTAATATAATTGCATATACAGTAACGTGGAATGTATAACATGATTTTTTCCGTAAATATTATAAGCATTTTTCTACAACATACCTAGCTTTTTGTGTATGTAATATGAAAGTCATTGAAATGAGATATAGACATTTTATGGCTTTTGAAATCTATCACCAAATTTAGAAAAAATAAAATAAAAAAATGAAATCTATTACCAAATTGTTTGACAGAAATTTTTAAAAGTATATTATTAAGCTACAATCAACTGTAAAGTTTGCTTTGTTCCAGATAAAGCATTTTATCTCATCCAGTAGAGAAACCACTTATTTATTTTTTTGGTATGAAATATTGTATTGGGTACTTTGGTGTTTAGAAGATTAACTGAAATGTCAGAAAAATAGACAGACTCTTAGAAAAGTCAGATTGAAGAATGTTTTATTTATTCATTTTAATTTTTATTTTTTAATTTCAATATGTTTTTGGGGCACAGGTGGTGCTTGGTTACATGAATAAGTTCTTTAGTGATGATTTCTGAGATTTTGGTACACCTGTCACCCAAGCAGGGTACACTGTACACAATGTATATTCTTTTATTCCTCACTCCTCTCCCACCCTTTCCCGAGTCCCCAAAGTCCATTGTATTATCCTTATGTCTTTGCATCCTCATGTTATATATATTTTTATAAACAATTTTATTTTATTTTATTTTTCTGAGACAGTCTTGCTCAGTCTCCCAGGCTGCAGTGCAGCAGTGCGATCTTGGCTCACTGCAACCTCTGCCTCCCAGGTTCAAGCGATCCTCCTACCTCAGCTCCCCGAGTAGCTGGGATTACAGGTGTGTGCCACCACTCTGGGCTAATTGTTATATTTTTAGTAGAGTCAGGGTTTCACCATGTTGGCCAGGCTGGTCTCAAACTCCTGGCCTCAAGTGATCGGGCTGCTAAAGTGCTGGGATTACAGGCATGAGCCATGCGCCTGGCCAGTTTTATTTGTTTTTAATTGACATGTAGTAATTGTACTTAGTTATGGGGTCTAGTGTAATGTTTTCATACATGGACACATTGTGTAATGATCAAATCAGTGTAATTAGCGTATTCATCTCCTCAAACATTTGTCATATCTTTGTGGTGAGAACATTCAAAATCCTCTCTTTTAGCTATTTTGAAGTGTACATCATTGTTAACTACAGTCACCCTACTGTGCAGGAGAACACCAGAAGTTATTCCTCCTGTCTAACTGTAACTATGTACTCACTGAATAACCCCTCCCCATACCCCTCTTCCTACCACCCTCCCCAACCTCTGGTAATCACTATTCTACTCTCTACATCAATGAGATCAACTTTTTTAGATTCCACATAGGAGCGTGATTGTGTGGTCTTTGTCCTTCTGTGCCTCACTTATTTCATTTAACATCATGTCCTCCAGGTTCATCCATGTTGTTGCAAATGACAGGATTTCATTTTTTAAAATGGCTGAGTAGTATTCCATTGTATAGATATATCACATTAAAAAATCTATTCTTCTGCTGATGGACACTTGGACACGTAGGTTGATCCTATACCCTGGCTATTGCAATTCGGTGGTTTTCAGTATATTCACAGAGTTGTGCAACCATCACCAACTTCACATTTCCTTCACCCCAGAAATAAATCTGGCACTCTTTGGCAGTTACGCCCCACTGACCCTTGACTTCTGGACTTTGGCAACCAATAATCTACTTTCTGTCTCTATGGATTTGCTTATTTTGGACATTTCATACAAATGGAATCATATAATATGTAATCTTTTGTGATTGGCTTTTTTCACTTAGTATAATGTTTTTAAGGTTCATCCACTTTGTATCATGCATCAGTACTTCATTCTTTTTATTGCTGAATAATATTCCATTGTATGAATATATAATATTTTATCCTTTCATAGGCTAATGGACATTTAATCGGTTGTTTGCACTTCTTGGCTATTGTGAATAACGCTGCTATAAACATTTGTGTACAATTTTTGAGGTAGACCTATGTTTTCAATTCTCTTGAGTAGGTTCCTAGCAGTAGAATTGTTGGCTCATATTATAACTCAATGTGTAACCTTTTGAGGAACTGCCAGATTGTTTTCAAACGGGTTGACATTTTATATTCTTGCCAGCAGTGTATCAAGGTTCCAATTTTTCCACATCTTTGCCAACACTTCTTGTGCCTTTTAGATTCTAGCCATCTGTAGTGGGTGTGAAACAATATGTCATTGTGGTTTTGATTTACAGTTCTCTGATGGCTAATGATGTTACACAGGTTCTCCTGTGCTTCATTGGCCATTTCTATCTTTTCTTGGAGAAATATCTCAAAGATCTTTTGCCCATTTTTTAATTTGGTTGTCTTTTTGTTTCTGAGGTGAAAAATGTTACATAATTTTAGTGTGTTCAGGCAAAACATCAGAAAGGGGTTTTCATATGAGGCTATCAAAATCAATGTGAGACTTATATTGTCATGTCTTTTTAAAATGTATAAAATGATGATTGGGGAGTAACATCTCATCTAGGGGAACATATCAGGATGGGGCAAAAGGGTGCATATGTAATTTGCAAAGGCATAAATTAAAATTAGTGCAATTTTGATTTGTTTTTAGTCATATTTATTCTGAGATTTCTAATAACAGGAGATTTTAAGTTTTTTTTTTTATGTTTAACCAGAAGGATTTATTTCTTTAGGATATTCCCAAAGGGAGAGGCTTTTAAACTGTGTTCTGAGGAGTCTCTCACAGATTCGGGAGGGAGAGGGTGTCAGGCAGGGGACTGTACCAAGATCAACCAGAGAAGGACCAATTTTTTTTTTTTTTTTTTTTTTTTGAGATAGAGTCTTGCTCTGTCACCCAGGCTGGAATGCAGTGGCGCGATCTCGGCTCACTGCAAGCTCCATCTCCCCGGTTCATGCCATTCTCCTGCTTCAGCCTCCCACGTAGCTGGGACTACAGGCGCCCGCCACCATACCCAGCTAATTTTTTGTATTTTTAGTAGAGATGGGGTTTCGCCATGTTAGCCAGGATGGTCTTGATCTCCTGACCTCGTGGTCCGCCCACCTGGCCTCCCAAAGTGCTGGGATTACAGTTGTGAACCACCACGCCCGGCAGAGAAGGACCAATTTTATCCCTTTTATTTGCATCCCTTCAGGGTATGACTTTCTTTGCAAAAGGATTCCACAGCAGGGTAACACTGAAAACCAAACCTCACTTTTATATACCTAAGATATTTTTCTTAAATATTTACTCAGCCTCCAGAAATTACATTTTCATTAACATAAATACACAGTAAATGGAGACATTTCTCCACAAGTGTTTGCAGGATATATAGTAATGTGGGGAAAAGTTCTATCTTCTCTTTCCTATGATGTCTGATATGAGTAAGATGCCTTCTGGGTAAGATATGAGATTTGAGTTCATTTTCCAGCTGTGGAGATGCACTTCCCAAGACTGACTTGGCTAGCAAGAATAGAAGACGGTGCCTGGCTTGTAACAGACTTTCAATAAATACTTGCTGAGCAAATGAGTAGAAGAGCAAAGGCCTGCCTCAGTTCTTTACTTTGTTTATGGAGACAGAGATGTAGCCAAAGGTATTCTTTCATTTTAGTACTTAGGTTTTTGTGAAATTTCAGTATCCCAGATGCCATCAGGCTGTGAGTTTAAGCTGTTAATGCCCCAATCACAATGATTTGGGTATTTTACACCACATAATTAGGTGCAGCCCAGTCATTTAATGGGAATTTCATTCCCAAGTATTTCTACACCTAATTGTCTGCCCGAAACTATATTAAATTTATGCCTAGTGTTCCATTATTGGAACACTAAATGTGGGAGTTATTTATATCCTACTGCTCAAGGTCATTGCCAAGATCTGATTTTTCAAATTCAAAAAATTGCAACCTCAGGCATTAAGTGGGTTAAAAGGGACAGCATATTTACTCTTCTCAGTGAGAGCTCTTTTAAGTAGGTTTCCCTTGCTGAGGAAAGAGGCTCAAATCCAATCTCTGGGGTAGCAGAGTGAAGAAACCTTTTGCTGTTCACTTTCTTCCTGTCCCAGGATTAATTCTTGTCAGGTTGATTGATAGTGGGAATCTCCACTTCCTTTAGGTGGTGGTTCTTAATCAGGAAATTCTCCACACCTGCCCCACCCTACATTGGCAATACTTAAGAGACATTTTTGGTTGGTGAGTGTAGGTTTGCTATTGACATCTAGTGAGTGAGGCCAAGGTTGCTGCTAGACTTCCTACAACGCCAATGTATAGACAGTGCCCAACGACAAAGAATTGCCTGGCCCACAATGTCAGTTGTACCAAGGATGAGAAATCCTGCTTTGGAGCAAGTCTGACTTCCTCCTGCACGGGTGCAGTGTTGCCCTTTGCTTCCCAATAGATATTAGTACATTTCTTCATGCATTAAGCATTTGTACAGCTTCAACAACATAGTCTAGACTGAGCATTGGAAATCTCAGTTCAGTATCATTTATTATTCCTCCACCTGGATAAAATGAAGGTAGACTTTGACATCCTTTCTGTCATCTTGAGGCATTGACTCCTTCTGTCCTGCGTATGAATGCTTTTACTCAGACATAAGTCTCTCAAGATCCACCAACAATACAGTCTAAATCCCTATTTAAAAGTAAAATTCTCCCTATGATAAAGGTATTTTATTATATTATTTCCCCAAATTCTTTAGCTCACTGGGGCCAAACTGTCTAGAATTTTGCCTTTCCCAAATAAAAGTCCCTAGTTAACTTTGAAAGGGCCAAGATCCCTTGTAGTGGTCTCCTCAGCACAGAGAAATATTTATTCCAGTGATGGATCCATGTCTCAAACTCCTGCAATGTAAAGAATCTCCTTAATTTTGGAATTAATTTCCATAAAGTTTGAAAGTTTTCTTAACCAATTGACTTGGACTTTCCCTTCCCCTATTTGTTTAGTAACTAAAAACCTTTCCAGGCATGTGGCTTAGGATGGAGGCAACAGATGAGCTATGGTGGACTCCAAAGTTATGACCTTTTAGGCTATTGAATGGCGTCATGTGGAAAGCTATGTTACAGATTCATGACTGCAGAAATAAGATCTCTCTAACTGTGGTCTTCTACCCCCATATTACATTACACTGAAGGAAACGATACAAATAGAACCAATAAATCAAAGGCAGAACCACATTCTAGCCTATAATACATATTGATTTGTTCTTCAGATCATCTATTTATAAGATTGTTTTTGTAGCTTGATGTGCCAAGGTTTAATTATGAATTGCTAATGGATGAGCATAAATATGTCTATATAAATAGGTCCTGGACAGGAAACAATAGACATTTTGACAGTTTTCATTGGATGTCTGTATAATTACTTATCAAATACATGACACTAATTTAGAAACATATCCGCTGAGTCTTCTGGGTTCCAGTAAAGAAGAAATTATTATTGACTTTCTCCAATGCAAGATCAGACTAGATAATTTAGACTATTCTTTCAAATTGTAAAAATCTATGATTTTGTGATTTTTTATCTCTGACAATCAAAATTAATGACAGATAGCTTCAGGAGTTTTACATGAGGTTAGATATGGAGCCAGGGAAATAGCCATTGTTATCCCCATTACCACCACCTCCCAGACTGTGATTTGAAAGTAAAGTCCACCTAAATCATTTATATGACACAAGTAATTTGAAGAGAAAAATAGAACAGGAATAGATGATCTGTTTGATGCATAGGGGATTTAAAGCATGTCTCTCTCTCTTTCTCTTTTTTTTTTCTTTTTTTTTGGAATGGAGTCTCACTCTGTCGCCCAGGCAGGAGTGCAGTGATGTGATCTCGGCTCACTGCAGCTCCACCTCCCAGGTTCCAGCGATTCTCCTGCCTCAGCCTCCCGAGTAGCTGGGATTACAGGCACACACCACCATGCCTCGCTAATTTTTGTATTTTCGGTAGATACAGGGTTTCACCATGTTGGCCAGGCTGGTCTCAAACTCCTGACCTCAAGTGATCTGCCCGCCTCGGCCTCTCAAAGTGCTGGAATTACAGGTGTGAGCCTCTGTGCCTGCCTCTTTTTTTTTTTTTTTTAATTTATATAGGCTTTACTCATTAATGTTTAAAAATAATTACATGAGGAATTTTACTAATTAATATTTAATTATTGACATTTACTACCTAAGCTATGCTTAGGGACACAAAACTCTAAACATTTAATCAGAAGATAGGCTTGATTTCTGGCTCACTCTTATTAGCTGTGTGACTTTTTCCTTTAAATGGAGCACTTTCAGTTTCTATTTCCTCATTTTTAAAACATAAATTACTGTATCTCTGAGCTACCTTTTTCTTCAATTATTTATTCAGTAAGTATTTATTGTGAGCCTATTCTATTCTAAACAGCATGGAAGATCCAAAAATCAGTAACAGCCCAAAGGAACTTTGTTTATATGCGTATCAGTGATGTACCTTATCTTCCAGTTTTGGACACTTTCTAACATCTGGTTTTGCTCAGTGGACACCAAAGTGGGTATCCAAGGCAGGCCATTGGGTGCAGGAAGAAAATACTAGAACTTTTATCCTTATTTACTCCTTGTCTTTTTTTCAGGATAACTGCATTTTGATAGTTTCAAACTTAGAGAAAAATTGCAAAAGTAGTATAGAGAACTCCCAACCGGGCGTGGTGGTTCACGCCTGTAATCCCAGCACTTTGGGAGGCTGAGGCGGGAGGATCACCTGAGGTCAGGACCAGCTTAGTCAACATGGTGAAACCCCATCTCTACTAAAAATACAAAAATTAGCCAAGTGTGGCGCACACACCTGTAGTCCCAGCTACTCGCGAGGCTGAGGCAGGAGAATCGCTTGATCCCAGGAGGCAGAGGTTGAAGTGAGCCGACATCACGCCACCGCACTCCAGTCTGGGTGACAGAGTGAGACTCCATCTCAAAAAAAAAAAAAAAAAAAAAAACAACACTCCCATATATCCTTTACTGGATTCACCAGTTACTAAACTTTCCCCAGTTGTGCCTTATTCTTCCTCCCACGACAGTACTGGGGTTTTCTTTCTCTCATACACACACATATACATATATACATATGTGTATGTATATATGTGTGTAAATACATGTATGTATACGTATGCATATATGTGTGTCATCATGCTCCACATTGCCCTAAACACTTCAGTAAGTATAGTCTAAAACAATAACATTCTCTCATTTAACCATGGTATAATAATTAAAATCAAGAAATTTAGCATTGATATATTATTATTATTTAATTCACAGTCCATATTCAAATTGCATCAATTTCCCAATAATGTTCTTCAAAACTATTTTTTTTTCAGTTCAGAATAGCACATTGCCTGTGTTGTCATTTTCTTTTTTTTTTTTTTTTTTTTGGTTTCTTTAAATACGGAGGAGTTCTTAACATTTTTAAAGATACAGGTTAACAATTTTGTAGAATTTCCCTGAATTTGATTTGGTCTGTATGATTAGATATAGAGTGTACATTTTTGGCAGGAATACCACAGAAATGATGTGTGTTTCACAGTGCATGTGATGTCTATTTATCTCATGACTAGCAGTGTCAACTTTGGTCATTTGGTGAAAGTGGCCTTCCAGTTTTCATCACACATTTCCCTTTTCAATTAAGTAATTTGTAGGAGACACTGAGGTTATGTAAATATTTTGTTCCTTATCAGACTTTCACCCCCCAGGTTTAGCATCCGGTCTTATCCTGTTACATATCCATATTTGGGTATGCTTTATAATGTATGTAATATATTGGCAGGTATATAATTTATGAATGAATATGCAGACATACGTAGAAGTAGTTTGGGTTTGTGTTCAATTTTTTTTAACCAATAGTATTATATAATAAAACATGTTTGGAGACCTAATTGAATGAGATGGTCAGGCTGTTTTCTAGCTCTGGATTATTGAAACATTACAGGTTGTGTTTTGATGAGCAACCCCCCCCTCCCCCCGCCCCTTGTTCCCAGTGGCCACAGGCTTATTTCCAATATAAACTTGAATATTATTGCTTTTCAGGAATATATGTATTTTCCTTTCTTCTTTTCATATTATGTAGTGTCAGATCAGTATCTGATCAGTGGAAGAAGGAAGAGGAGAGGCTTTTAGAAATGTAGCCAACTGTAGTGATGAAAGAATGTAAGGAAGATAGTATTTGCATGTATTTTATGCTAAAGCAATGTTATTACTACTTTAAAACAGGGGTTCAAAACTGTTTCCTAGGAACACAACTGTAAAACATCAGGAGCTTTTCAGGGTAGGGGGAACCTAGGAGGAGAAGCCTTGGGACTGAGACTGGTGGCAGTGTGTCCTAAGCTTTGGTCATTTGGGTACAACTTCTGTGAATGATCATGAAGTAAGTTCCAGATACTTCCACATCTACATTATTATTGACTCAAACTTTTTTTGTAAGTCATCTTTATGTAGATCTTCTTTTAATTAGCCTCCTTTTAGGGCACAAGATCTTTGAAATCATATGTTAGATGCGTTGGTTTATATTTAAAAATACACATTAATTTAATTCAAAAGTCTAATGAAGCTTTCAGTACAACCTACAATCATCTAATGCTAACACCAGCAGTACAAAGCCTTCCCTTTGGAAAGCTCATCTAGAAAACTATGTATCTGAAGGTCATTTACCAACTGTTTTTTGCCCTACAGAGGAGGAAGAAATGTAAGGCAAAGGAGAATTCAGTTAGATTTTGTCTAGGTTAGGATTACCTGACCTCCATGATGGAGACAGACCTGGTATCCTTTGGGTTATCATGTTTATTAAATCTACACATGGACTGAAGATCTTTAGCTCATTATTTCTTTCCTTTTTTGAGACAGGATCTCACTCTTTTGCCCAGGCTGGAGTGCAGTGGCACAATCATAGCTCACTGCAGCCTCAACCTCCCACGCTCAAGTGATCCTCCTGCCACAGCCTCCCGAGTAGCTGGAACTGCAGTTGTCAGCCATCATACCCAGCTAATTTCCCAATTTTTTGTAGAGATGTTGTCTCGCTATGTTGCCGAGGATGGTCTCAAACTCCTGGACTCAAGAGATATTTGCCTAGGTATCCCAAAATGCTGGGATTACAGACATGAACCACTGTGCCCAACCTTTAGCTCCTTATAATGTGTATTTAAATCAATGAATTATTTACAACTATTAACTAAGAACTAAGTTTCTTTAAAGTGTTTTCATTACAATTTTCCTACAGTAGCTTCAGCCTGCTTCCTCAATTCTGGAGTCACGTCAGCATCAAATGTGGACACAGTTTTGTTAATTTGGGCTGCAATATATATGTAAGGATTAGGGAAAGACATAGGAGGTAATATCTACAAGGACAGAGTTGGGATTCTGTAGTTCAAAGAAGTCTATTGGAGATTTGTTCAACTCAGATGTAGGAAACAAAGGAAGATAACAACTGAATTTGGGGGACAAAGACTCAGCCAAGAGAAAACTATAGTTGTCCTCTCTACAAGACAATAGGCAGCATCTTAAATTATGAAAAATTTTACACAGATATTTTTCTAAATTATTTTTACAATTTTCTGTATTTTTAAAATGATCATGTTTTTGACTACTAAAGAACCTATGGGACTTTTGGTGTATGGTTAGTATTTTGGAAGTGTCTAGTCGAGGTGCTAGAATAAAGGGATATAAAATTTGCAAAGCTGGACAAATAAAAGTCATTGGAGGCAAGTAGAGATGGGAAAAAATTCAGAACAGCAGAATGAATCATTCTACTTCCATCATGCTATTACTGAATAATTTAATTTGCTTGCATTGAATTCTGTGCTTCTTCCTGCCCTTTACCCCGAATCTTCAGGAAGGAGCTCATTGCCAAGTTAGATCAGGCAGAAAAGGAGAAGGTGGATGCTGCTGAGCTGGTTCGGGAATTCGAGGCTCTGACGGAGGAGAATCGGACGTTGAGGTTGGCCCAGTCTCAATGTGTGGAACAACTGGAGAAACTTCGAATACAGTATCAGAAGAGGCAGGGCTCGTCCTAACTTTAAATTTTTCAGTGTGAGCATACGAGGCTGATGACTGCCCTGTGCTGGCCAAAAGATTTTTATTTTAAATGAATAGTGAGTCAGATCTATTGCTTCTCTGTATTACCCACATGACAACTGTCTATAATGAGTTTACTGCTTGCCAGCTTCTAGCTTGAGAGAAGGGATATTTTAAATGAGATCATTAACGTGAAACTATTACTAGTATATGTTTTTGGAGATCAGAATTCTTTTCCAAAGATATATGTTTTTTTCTTTTTTAGGAAGATATGATCATGCTGTACAACAGGGTAGAAAATGATAAAAATAGACTATTGACTGACCCAGCTAAGAATCGTGGGCTGAGCAGAGTTAAACCATGGGACAAACCCATAACATGTTCACCATAGTTTCACGTATGTGTATTTTTAAATTTCATGCCTTTAATATTTCAAATATGCTCAAATTTAAACTGTCAGAAACTTCTGTGCATGTATTTATATTTGCCAGAGTATAAACTTTTATACTCTGATTTTTATCCTTCAATGATTGATTATACTAAGAATAAATGGTCACATATCCTAAAAGCTTCTTCATGAAATTATTAGCAGAAACCATGTTTGTAACCAAAGCACATTTGCCAATGCTAACTGGCTGTTGTAATAATAAACAGATAAGGCTGCATTTGCTTCATGCCATGTGACCTCACAGTAAACATCTCTGCCTTTGCCTGTGTGTGTTCTGGGGGAGGGGGGACATGGAAAAATATTGTTTGGACATTACTTGGGTGAGTGCCCATGAAAACATCAGTGAACTTGTAACTATTGTTTTGTTTTGGATTTAAGGAGATGTTTTAGATCAGTAACAGCTAATAGGAATATGCGAGTAAATTCAGAATTGAAACAATTTCTCCTTGTTCTACCTATCACCACATTTTCTCAAATTGAACTCTTTGTTATATGTCCATTTCTATTCATGTAACTTCTTTTTCATTAAACATGGATCAAAACTGACAGTTTCTAGTTTGCTCCTTTCTTAACCTCCTTTGTGCTAGATGTTGCGATGACCTAGCCCTAGTCGGAAACTGATTCTTAGCTGTATTTGCATGTGCCAAAAAAAAAGAAGTGAAGTCCCCTTTCTTTCTTTTTCTCTTTCTTTCTTTCTTCCTTCTTTTCTTTCTTTCCCTTTCTTTCTTTCTTTCCCTTTCTTTCTTTCTCTCTCTCTCTCTTTCTCTCTCTCTCTCTCTCTTTCTCTCTCTCTCTCTCTCTCCTCTCTCTCTCTCTCTCTTCTTTCTTTCTTTTTTTCTTTCTTTTTTTTTTTTTTTGACAGAGCCTTGCTCCGTCACCCAGGCTGGAGTGCTGTGGCAAGATCTCAGCTCACTGCAACCACTGCCTCCTGAGTTCAAGTGATTCTCCTGCCTCAGCCTCCCAATTAGCTGGGATTACGGGCGCCCATCACCACATCTGGCTAATTTTTGTATTTTTAGTGGAGATGGGATTTCACCATGTTGGCCAGGCTGGTCTGGAACTCCTGACCTTGGGTGATCTGCCCACCTCGGCCTCCCAAAGTGCTGGGACTCCAGGCGTGGGCCACCACACCTGGCCTGAAGTCCCATTTCTTAGAAAGACTGTGATTTCACATATAAACAACTCAGAACTTCAATATTGAATGTGATGCATTTGTATCTTGAGATATTTGCCCCAAAAACAGAAAAAAAGGAATAATTCATTAAAACAAGATGACCTCAGATAAATGAGTGGTTTTCAAATGGGCGTGATTTTGCTCCCAGGGGACCTTTGACAATGTCTGGAAATAGTTTTTGTTGCCACAGCTAGCATGAGGGAGTCCTACTTGTATCTAGAGGACTGAGTCCAGGATACTGCTAACCATCCTGCCCAGAACAGTGCCTGCAACAGAGTTGTCCACCTCAGTGTGACAATAGCACTGAGATTGATGTGCCCTGGGATAGACAAGTCTCTGGACAGTTTGGGCAAATGTGAAGGGAGGCATGGTGCAGGGCCACAGGTTTTTTTGCCACGTGATGCAAAAGAGCATAAGAGCTGGGAGGCCCTTATGCATGTTGATCTTCAATTTCCTCATTTGTGAAATGAAGCTTTTTGATAGACCTCAAAGTTTTCATGTTATGTGAGCCTATTCACCCTTAAGCTGCTTTAACATTTGACTGAAGGTGAAAGTCTCTACTGTTCTGGAAGAACCTTCTGTTTCAGTAACCCACCTCCTCTTTTTAGTATAAGGCTAATAAACACCAGTATAAAGGAGGAATTGTTCACTAAGTTAATACAAATACAAAGTTAGCAGAATGGGAGGAAGAAAGGTAAGTTACTCATCTTTAAATATAAAGATTAGTTTTTGGACACTGCTCATCTGAAGACAGTTGCATATATTTACAAAATTCAAGCAGTCACAGTCCCTTCTAGAAAATGGGAAGCCGGGAAATACGGTTCCAAAATCTCTTTGCTTTACCAGAATGAAAATAATTTAACAAAGTAAAAGTATTTGAACACAACTATTATTACATTAAGGAGTCACTGATGGTTTTCTTATCTTTGCTGGTGTTAGCTTGACTTTTTACTATTTCCAAAAGTTATATATTTGTGACTCAAAAGCAAGCATTTCCCTAGGTGTATATGTTGTAAGAAGATTTTTGTTAATTAGAACATGAAAATATTATCTACTTTTATAGCATGTCAGAGAAATCTTATGTGAGAAGGTGGAATTTCTTATATTATCTGTCTCTTTTTTTTCAATAATTTGACAAATTTCCACCAATCTTATTTACCACTGCATATTATCTATATAATGACCATTTAAGAATTTTCTATCTTCAAATATATTTGCAATATTCTTGCTATTAGCAATAATGACAATATTATAGAGCATAAAAACGAGCACAGAAGTATTATGGTGTTATTAGTACTATAGCATTAGGGTGAGGGTGCTTGCTTTAGAGATAGAATTAAAATAAAATGTAACTCACATTATATTCTTTAATTGCTCTACTAAAGAATTTGTCATTTATGGGCCATTTATTTTGTGTAGACATGAAAAGAATGTGGTTACACCTAGCTAGAAAATGTATAACCTTTCATATGGGCAGGGCATGTTTCTCTTTCTCATCCTGGTACCTGAGTTTGAGTGTATGATTAACTCAGTGCAAGTAAGGAGCTAAATAAAAGAGATCTGGAACTGAAATTCAATTCAACAAAAATTTATTATACACTTAGCTGGTGCAGGGCCGAGCAACAGCAATAGAAGATGCAAAAATGACAAAGATAATGTGGTCCTAGCACATTTAGGGATGGATTGCACTAGATTGCCCTAGAGAATAGAGGCACAGGGAACTGATACAAGGCTAATAGAAAAGCATGTGCAAGGCAAGTCTAAGAGCAGCAGCATTTGAAAGAGAGTAACAGACTAAGAGGGATGGGAAAGACATAATGGGAGGTAGACTCCACAGGGCTTCAGATGGATTGCATGTGTGATTGAGGCAAGGAAGAGGAAGAGAAAGAACATTTAATGACCTCCTTCAGTGCCAGACTATACTAGGTGCTTTGTATAGGCTGTATTATTTTAAACACCTGAGAGACAGCTGTGATTGTCCCTTTTCTCCAATGTTGTATAATTTGTAGAAAGTTCTCAGAGCTGGGATTCAAGTGCAAAGTTTCATTCACTCATTAATTCATATAGTCAATATTTATTGAATGTCCACGCTCTGCCAGGCATCCTGGAAGATACCAGGGACACAAAAGTGAACACTAGAAACAAGGGTTCTATTGGGTTCTCAAGGAACCCTTAGTCTAGTAAGGGAGGTAGATATTTATCTAAATACCCAAATGGGATAGTTTTAAAACATATCAAAAAATTTCCATAAGAGGTAGAGCCTAATTTCTCTCCCATTTAGTGTGGGTTGGACTTAAAGACATATTTTTAACAAATAGAGTCAAGCAGCAGTGACAACATCTGACTTCTAAGTCTAGGTCATGAAAGACATTGGAGCTTCCTTCCCACCTGCTGTCTCTTGGATCACTTGCCCTGGGGTGAGCCAGCTGCCACGGAGAAGCCCACAGGTAAGGAACTGACACCTTCGGCCAACAGCCACGTAAGTGAACTTGGAAGCAGATCTGCCAGCTCCAGGCAAGACTTCAAACGCTGCAGTCTGGCTGACATCTTGAGTGCAGCCTCATGAAAGTCTCTGAGTCAGAACCACCCAGCTGAACTGCCCCTGGTTCCCGATTCTCAGGAACTTTGAGGCAATAATACTGGTTTTAAGCTGCTAAGTTTGGGGTGATTTGTTTTGCAGCAATAAGTAATGAAGATAACCACAAAAATGAGATAAGTGACAAAATGTAGTTGATGAATGCACCTTAAAAACAGAATCTTGCCAGGTGCGGTGGCTCACGCCTGTAATCCCAGCAGTTTGGGAGGCTGAGGCGGGTGGATCACCTGAGGTCAGGAGTTCAAGACCAGCCTGGCCAACATGGTGAAACCCTGTCTCTACTAAATATACAAAAATTAGCCGGGCGTGGTGTTGGGCACCTGTAATCCCAGCTACTCGGGAGGCTGAGGCAGGAGAATCGGTTGAATCCGGGAGGCAGAGTTTGCAGTGAGTTTGCACTCCAGCCTGGGCAACAAGAGTGAAACTTTGTCTCAAACAAACAAACAAACACGGAATCTTACTGAGATAGGGAGTCTGGGATGGCTGCTTAGTGTAGTGTCTACTGAGCTAAGATCTAATGGATGAGTAAGAACTAAAGAGGCAAAGAAGGCAGGTGGAGGAAGACAACCTAGACAGAGTGAAAACACATGCAAAGGCCCTGTGACATGCTCAAAGACCTGAAGAAAGGCCAGGATGGCTGAGCATGAAGGGGTAGGGAGAATATAGTATTAGGTAGTATAGTATAAGGTAAGGTTGTAGAATAGGTCAAGAACTTGAAGATCACATTAAGAATGTTGGCCTAAAAGCAAAGAGAAGCCATTGGAGAATTTTAAGCATATTACAGGGGTAACATGTTTTTTGCTAGAATAGCATGTTTTTTAAGAGTTTTCTGGCTGGGTACAGTGGCTCACACCTGTAATCCCAGCACTTCATGAGGCCAAGGTGGGCGGATCACCTGAGGTCAGGAGTTCGAGAACAGCCTGGCCAATGTGGTGAAACCTCATCTCTACTAAAAAAAAAAAAAAAAAAAAATGTAGCAGGGCATGGTGGCGTGCCTGTAATCCCAGCTACTTGGGAGACTGAGATGGGAGAATCACTTGAACCCAGAAGGTGGAGGTTGCAGTGAGCCGAGATCACGCCACTGCACTCCAGCCTGGGTGCGACAGAGTGAGACTCAGTCTCAAAAAAAAAAAAGAGTTTTCTAAGTTACCTAACTTAAGTTGCTTAGAGTGCTATATAGGGTTATTTATACTATACATATTTAGGTAGACAGATAGTAGAAAGATGATAGGGTTCTTTAGATGGGGTTGTTATACACATTTTACTTGCGATGTCCTCTGTGGTTGTTATTATTTTGTATTACAAGAAGGGAAACCCCTCAGATTGCACCCTCTCTCTCTTACTTTCCCAGAGGAAGAGCGGAACAGTTCTCAATGGCAAATGGAAGTTGCAGTGAAGCAGCACCCAGAGCCAGTGTCAGGCTCCCGAGAGAGCGCTGCACCGCTGCATGTGGTTTCTGGTGCTCTACATGTTCGGAGAAACTTATCTGGTAGTGAGCTATAGAAACAATCCCTGCAAGCGTCGTCTTTATAAGGTCATTTTAATGACTATTTTTCTCCTCAGGAAATAGGTAAGCCCTCAGCAGTATCAAATAGCCTGGCAGAATAAAAGGCTGATTGAGTCGGCCTCCGCTGTGACCATTAACATATTTAATTTGGTGACACCAAATAATCCTGCCTTTTATGAAAATGTCTACAATCTGTCTTGTTTTTTACCACTTTAGAGTTGACAAACTCCATGTTGGAACAGAGTATTCTTAAACAGAACCCTTAAAACCATATTTTTCACCTCTCTGTTTTTATCTATCTATCTATCTATCTATCTATCTATCTATCTATCTATCTATCTATTGAGACAGGGTCTTGCTCTGTCACCCAGGCTGGAGTGCAGTCGTGTGATCACGGTTCTCTGCAGCCTCGATCTCCTGGGCTCTAGCTATCCTCCCAACTAGCTCAGATTACAGGAATGCACCATGAGGCCCAGTTATTTTAAAAAATATTTTGTAGAGATGAGGGTCTCTCTTGTTGGCCCAGGCTGGTCTTGAACTCCTGGGCTCAAGCAATCCTCCTGCCTTATCCTTCGAAAGTGCTGGAATTACAGGCGTGAGCCACCACACCTGGTCTATTATTATTATTTTATTATTATTATTATTTTTAATTTGAGATGGAGATGGAGTCTCTCTCTATTGCCCAGGCTGGATTGCACTGGTGCGTTCTCAGCTCACTGCAACCTCCCCCTCCCGGGTTCAAGCAATTCTCCTGTCTCAGCCTCCTGAGTAGCTGGGATTACAGACATATACCACCATGCCCAGTTAGTTTTTTGTATTTTTAGTAGAGACGGGGTTTCTCCATGTTGGTCAGGCTGGTCTCGAACTCCCGACCTCAGGTGATCCGCCTGCCTCGGCCTCCCAAAGTGCTGGGATTACAGGTGTGAGCCACTGTGCCCAGCCCCTCTTATTTTTAAAGAATGAGAATAATCTGAGCTGGGAATGCAGCTCACATCAAACATGAACATAGAAAGGGAAATGCACAAAGTGAGAGATGAAATCACTCACAAAGCTGATAGCATGAACTTCTAGATTCCCTGAATACCCTTCCAGTTTTAATTTCCTATGTTTTAATTCACTGGGAATATATTCCTTAATTTCTCATAATTACAAACAAATGCTCCCTAGAAGAAAAATTTATGCTTAAGAGAGTATTCGGTTCCAGTGTTAAAATCATATCCTTTCATTTTTCTCTGAAACTTTGAAAATGTCTCTGTTCAGTCCTTTGTGTGTACTTCTCAGGCAGTACTGAAGACAGAGAGATAAAAGGGGCGGTGCTGACACACGTAGATGACTGGGGCTCTGACAATGACCGTGAGCTGATGACCTGAGTCACACAAACTGGAAAACAAAGTTTTTCCCTAAGGAGTTGGACTTTTAAAAACTTTTTATTGGCTGCTTTTGGATTAAGGTGTTTAGGACCAGCATTATGAGCAGAAGGACTCAGTGTGTATGAAGAAGAAACCAAGTTTTTCTACAGCAGAAGAGGAGGAATTTGCCTTTGCAAAATGTTATACTGTTTTATCTGTCGCTGAACGTGTCTGGGCAGTGGCTGTTCTCCCAGGTCTGAGTCCTGAAAAGGGAAAGAGAAAGAGATTGTAGGACACGGTGAAATGATACACGAAACAGCGTTTCCCCAGCTTCTTATTTGCCTGTACATTTCTCATAAATGGAGTAAATGCTGAACAAGCTGACTTTCTCCCATCATTCCTGTAAATAAGGATATGACTCACAGACCTTGCAATCTCTAAAATGCCATAGCTACTACAGTGATTTGATTATTTAAAAATAGCTGGGGAAAAAAACAGCAAGAAATTGGTCCTGGGTAAGTTAGGATGAATTCTTTTCTGTTTGTTTTTGTTTATCATTTAAATTGTTATTGTATCTCACCCTAAGTATTCTGACAACATCTAGTTTGCCAAACAAATCTTAGGGATTTATGAGTTCTGGAAACTAACAATATGAACGTGCTGGTCAGATCTCAGATCCCAGGCAAATAAACCCAAAAAACAAAAAACAAAAGACAACAAGACACAAGGTTCACCATGGAGTCACTGTGATCTGCGGGCAACTATGGATTTGGTTATATGATCTCCTTTTCTATAAAGTGGAGAGAGATAAGTGTTGACATCACTTAAATACGCTGAGCCCCACCCCCAAATAACACAAATGCTGGTAACAACAATAATTTATATTAAGCCTACTGAACGGCTTTTGTTGATCTTTAACTAGCCTATCTAGAAATGGGAAACGAGTGACCTCTATTATTACTCAAGTACTAAAACTCCCCAAGTAGGACTGTTTGTCAAAACTAGGAGTGAGTTTGAGATTCAGGATTAAGGTTCAAGTAGGGAATCTCCATTTACCCTGCATCTCAGTCTTACACTGTATTATCAGGGTCTTGGGAGGAAAGAGAAGCACACTTAAGAAGGCATGATAAAAAGAGAAAGTAATGAAGGGATTATTATAAAGTTAGAGGAAGAGTTAAGGGAAATAAGAAGGGTTGATGAGGTCCTTGGGGTGGCTGCTTCAGGGAAGTCTTCTCTAGGCTTTCAAGGGCAAGCAAAGGACCACTGACATTCCTCACAAACTTGCACTTTGGTGAGGGAGCCGGGCCACAGCTGACCTAGGGCTTAGCAGAAAATCTCTCTCTCCTTCTGTCCTTCCATCCTCTCCTGGTGGCTGCCACTGGCCAAGCCCAACTACAAACGACAGAACAAGGGAGCTTGGTTGCTGGGGTCCATCATACAGCCAGTCTTTCAGGGTGCAGAGCAGGGTGAATGGGTGAAGAGTGGATCTGCAGGGGAACATGGATAGTGTCGGGCACAGACCACTGACAAACGAAAGAGATGGAAATGCTTCAGAAAAGAAAGCAGGATGGCCAGGTCGGTGGTTTTTTTTTTTGTGTGTGTGTGGAGATGGAGTCTTGCTCTGTCACCCAGGCTTGAATGCAATGGCGCAGTGTTGGCTCACTGCAACCTCCGCCTCCTGGGTTCAAGCAATTCTCCTGCCTCAGCCTCTCTAGTAGCTGGGATTACAGGCGTGCACCATCACGCCCAGCTAATTTTTTGTATTTTTTTCTAGCAGAGACAGGGTTTCACCATGTTGGCCAGGCTGGTCTTGAACTCCTGACCTCAGATGATCCACCCGCCTCAGCCTCCCAAAGTGCTGGGATTACAGGCGTGAGCCACCTCACCCGGCCAGGCCTGTGATTTTAATCATGGGATCTTGCCTAGTGGTAAAGCCCCATTAAATGTCTGAAAATCTGAATCAGAAGGATCAGCAACTGTTCTTCCCTAGGAATGGATCAAAGGTAGGTCCTATGGATACGGCTTGTCTGTCCCCACCAAAACTCATGTTGAAATTTGATCACGAATATGGTGGTGTTGAGAGGTGGGGTCTAGTGGGAGGTGTTTGGGCCAGGAGCATGGCCTTATGAATAATGCAGTTTTCCAGGTAGTGAGTTCTTGCTTTCATGAGACTGCATTAGTTCTTGTGGGAATGGATTAGTTCCCTAAAGTGTGAGTTATTATAAAGCAAAGTTCCTGTTCCTGTTTGATCCTCTCTCTTCTCACTTGTCTGCTTCCCCTTTGACCTACTCTGCCCTGCAATGTTATGACACAGAAGAATGCCCTCACCAGAAGCCATGGCCATACTTTTGAACTTCTCACCCTGCAGAACCGTGGACTAGATACACTTCTTTCCTTTGTAAATTACCCAGTCTCATGTATTCTGTTATAGCAAGACAAAATGGACTAAGACAGTAGGGTTGCCAGGGAAAAGACAGGCATCCAGTTAAAATTGAATTTCAGAAATTAGATAAACTTTTTTTTTCAGTATAAGTATATCCCAAATATTGCATGGGAGGTACTTAAAGAGTTGTTGTTCATTTGAAATTCAATTTTAACTGGGCATCCCGTATTTTTATAAATATGGTAATTCTAAGGGCACTTCCTTCTCACTAAAGATACTAGAATTAGAATTTGAATATGGTATAGCATTCCTGAAACCTTGTTCTTTCAACACCAATTTTTGAAATGTTAAGTATTTCCAAACAAATGAACAAAAAAACAAGCTAAACACTGTTTCATAGTCAAAGAAGTTAAAAAAACAGTGGATTAAAATAAAGTTAAATAGTTCTCACAGCTTTAGGATTTCTCCTGGGACTTAATGCTAACATGCATTGTGACAACAATGATAGTGTTTTTCCTTGCTTTATTTGAAAACCATCACAACAAAGAAACAGCCCAATATTCTTCTGTTTCAGTGTGACCATAGGTTTCCATTGAAATGCAGTTTAAATTTTAAAAAGTCATTTTGGTGTCTATTATGTTAAAGTAAAATTTTACTATTACCAAAGTAAAATTTTACTATTACCTCAATCTTGCTTTAAGACTAAATTTATATTTATAAAGATGTTTTAAAGCTCTCTATAAATGTTTGCAAAGTAATAGCATTGTATTTAATAAGCTATTAAATTGTTCACTTGATACTGGTTTTGCTAAGCTTAATATGAAGAATCAATTAAAACTAAATTATCATCTAAGCAGGGACAATCCTAGATTATTCAGAGAGAAAAATGAGGATAAAAACATTAGCTCTGTCTGCTTCTCAAGGTTATTTTTGGAAAGAAATGAAGTAATGTTGTGAAAGGCTGTGCAAATATTACTGCAAGGATACAAATTACCCTCCCTGTAGAGTGGATGGGATTTTCACAATTTTCTCCCTTTCTGGTCATAGGTATTTTATCTAATTTGTTGTCCAGTCTGTAATTCTACCCTGTTGTGTGCAGTGGGAGTGAAAGGGAGGTACATGAATTAGGATTAGAATTGCTTGTGAAGGACAGAAACCTGCCAAATAACGGTGCCTTAAACAAGGTGGAAGTTTCCTTTTCTCTCATGCAAAAGACTGGGATGTGTAGTCCTGGGCTGAAATAGAGGCTCTTCTCCATCAAATCTCCAAGGCTTCAAACTTCTTTGCCATTATTGAGCAATGTTTCTCAATCTCATGGTCCAAGATGGCGGTATATATATTCCAGGCAACCAGAGAAGGAAGGAACAAAGAAGTGGCTGAGGCAGTGGGGTGGCTGGCTGTCCTGGAAGCTGGCACAAGATGCTTTCAGTTACATGCTTGAAATGGTTAATTTTATGTATCAAGTTGACTGGGCCACAGGATGCCCAGATATTTGGTCAACCAGTATTCTGCATATGTCTGTGAGAGTATTTTTGGATGCGGATAACGATTGAATCGGCAGACTGAAAAAAGCATATTTTCCATCCTAATGTGGGTGGGCCTCATCCAATCTACTAAAGACCTGAAGAGAACAAAAGGTTGACCCTCCTACAAGTAAGAGAGAACTCCTCCTGCCTGACTGCCTTGACCCTGAGACATGGGCTCTTTTTTGCCTTCAGTCTCAAACTAAAATATTGGTCTCTTCCTGGATCTTGAGCCTGCCAGCCTTTGGATTGGAACTACACCATGGCTCTTCTGGGCCTCCTGCTTGCTGGCTGCAGATTTTGGTACCTGTCAGCCTTCATAATCTCATGAGTCAATTCCTTATTGTATATTGATATCTATCTATCTATCTATCTATCTATCTATCTATCTATCTATCATTGATAACCTCTCTATCTATTGGTTCTGTTTCTCTGGACAATGCTGACTAATACAATCCTATTGTCTGGAACTTAGTATGCAAGAAAGAGAGTGAGTATATGGGGTGAAATGTATAGGAGTGGAGCTAAAAGACTTTGCTGCAGGAGAGGAGTTCAAGTCATTGAGGGCAGTTATGAGTCAGCAATAATGTTGGTGCAGTATTTTATTTCAGGAGTCAATTAAAAGTATTGTCATTTTAGCAGTTTATGTCTTCCATTTATCAAATTGAGTATAGTGCCTTCCTCTGTCCTACCAGATGAAAGTTTATGAAAGATACTAATCATTTCCAAATTCCTTCATTTTTACTATCTATCCAGATTATTTTAAATACAGTATCTCTATAAATAGCACTTTGTCCATTGATATATGTTTGTGTTTACATGATTGTGTGTGTGTGTGTGTGTGTGTGCACGTGCAAAACATGGAAATAGGATATTTGGTCTACCTTAATCCCTGGAATGGAAGTAATGGTGATTACTTTTGTATAGCAAGTAATAAACTCCCAAATGGTTGGCATTTCCTTTTTCTTATACTAGACAGAGTCAAAGGTGAAGGATGATAAAGAAAAGTTTTGACAATAGTGCCAAATTACCTTCCTCAGTTCCTAGATTGGGGATTTTCAATCTAGGGGCAGATGTCACTATAATATAAGAGGTCTAGTCCTTGATTTCAGAAGCAGCTATCCAAGCTCTTATAAGAACTGATGATAGGAACTTGTCTCTCTTCTCAAGTTCTGTACAACAACCACTTATCCATAGCTCTTGATGGTTACTGCTCAGCCATTTCTTGCCAGCTGTTCTTTCCATGTGCAGGGAGAGCATGGGAGTATGGAGCCTCAGTTTGGTTTGCTATTGTCAGGACATCAAACTAATCATTAGGTAGAAAGTTGAATAAACATTTACTTTTGACTTTTAAATGGTTACTTCAGAAAGTTTTACTTAGCGGCAAGACCAACTACATAATTTGCGGGGCCCAGTGCAGTGTGAAAATTTGGGGTCCATTTTTGCAAAAAATATTAAGAATCTCAAGATAGTGACAGAGCTTTAAGGCCAATTCAGGCTCCTCCTGCGTGCAGGACTCTGTGTAACTACACAGGTAGCACAGCTAGGATGCAGACGCTGCTCAATGTTATACATTTAGTACTTTGATGTCCCTGAATTCCTTACAAAACTCTTACTTCCTCCCCTCCCCACCCAAGTCCCCAGCTCTTCTGTTTTTTTCCAAAACTTTACTTGTGTACAACACTATGAAACATGACAGGGTCTGATGAGAAAGTATTAATTGGCTTTAACCTAGTTTTTTTTCATTTTTATTTCTGAATATCAGCACTCATAGCCCTTTTCCCTATTTTCTGACTTACCCTAATACAACTCCATATCGTACAAAGCTTCATAGTCCTGTATATGCATGTGGTGAACATTTGTGTGGCTATTTGCAGCTGATGGATTAGTATCCATAAGTTGAGAGGATTCTTCAAAGGTCCTGAGATTGAATATGAAAAAATGACCTGTAAGAATTAAGTCATCCACATGTAGCACAGATGGACGAATTACCAAGGGAGATGGCATATATCTGGATCACAAAAGACTTATAAGGCAAATTAAAGGCATGTATTCTCATCAAAGTAACCTCTGATTGCTTTATTTCCTGGAATACTCTATTATCGGTGTCAGGGTTCTCCAGAGAAACAAAATCAATAGGATGTATATAAATTTCCTGTATGGAATATGGTTTGGTTATGTAGGAAGTGCAGAAGGATGAGTGAGTGGAATTACATGTGAGGAATTGGCTCCCATGATTATGAAAGTGGGCAAGTTCAAAGATCTGGAGGTGAGTCAGCAAGCTTGGCTAGAGACCCAGTTGGCAGGCTCAAGACTGAGGAGGAGCTGATGTCCCAGTTTGAAGGTAGCCAGGCAGCAAGAATTCTCTCTTACTTAGGGGACAGTAGTCTTTTTGTTTTATTCAGGCCTTCAAATGATTGGATGAGGCCTGCGCACACTGGAAAGGCCAATCTGTTTTATTTGGTCTGCCTGTTTAAATGCCAGTCTCACTCAACAACACTCCCAAGAAACACCCACAATAATGTTTGACCGAATACCTGGAGACCCCATGGCCCAGTCAAGTTGACACATGAAATTAAGGTACCACAGATATCCTATTGTCACAAACTCTGTATAGCACTTAAAATTCCTGGTTTCATGCTTGGTACAGAAAGTTAGCTACTGTTCATCATTTGTTTAATTCTACACGTGGCCATAACTTAAGATTAATTATAACAAAGTTTAATTAGAACGAAAGATGTAATTAGATGTAAATTCTTGCATCAAGTGGTTGCTTTGTGCTAGGCACAGGTTAGGACTGCAAAGATGACTACAAATGGCTGATTACTACAAAGGACATTGTAGTAATTTTATTTTTATTTTTATTATTTTTTTTGAAATGGAGTTTTGCTCTTGTTGCCCCGGCCGGAGTGCAATGGCGTTATCTTGGCTCACTGCAACCTCCGCCTCCCGGTTCAAGTGAGTCTCCTGCCTCAGCTTCCCTAGTAGCTGGGATTACAGGCACTCGCCACCATGCCCAGCTATTATTTTGTATTTTTAGTAGAGACAGGGTTTCACCATATTGGTCAGGCTGGTCTTGAACTCCTGACCTCAGGCGATCCACCCACCTTGGCCCACCAAAGTGTTGGGATTACAGGCGTGAGCCACCGCACCTGGCAGGACATTGATTTAGAAACAGCTTTATTAAGTGGATTTTACCTGAGAGTTTCTTCCTATACTTTTAGTCCTTGTCAGAGATGTGATGTATTTTCTCTTGTGACTGCACTTTTAAAGTTGGAATCCTATGAATGCCGTCAGCACTACTATGTGGAATATGGTTTGGTTATGTAGGAAATGCAGAAGACTGAGTGAGTGGAATTACTCAAAAGTGGATCAGAAAGCAGTTATGGTCATAGACATCAGCCTCAGTGGGGCAACAGGAGTTGGAAGGAGTAAACTGAGGGAAAAAATCAGTAGAATACTGGATGGAGCAGACAGAGTGAGACTGAATGGGAGAAGGGTGAGGTGGGCTGAGACAGCTGGTCACATTCAGCTCTAAATTCTTGAAGAAGTAGTTTAGACTACACCAAGGATGGGGGATAAAACCCAGCCTAGAGCTCAGAGAAGGTGGATGTGGCACGGGAAATAAGAATTGTCATTGTTGAATTCCTTGAGAAAAAAATGTGAAGAAGAGGCTTGAGGCCTCAAAGACATTGCATGCATGAGTCAGAACAAGCTTGAACTACAAGGAAGATTTGATTAATGAATCAAATATTAATGCCACATTTTCTCTTATTTCAAGTGTTTTTTTTTCCAACTATTATCTCTGTGTAGAATGTCTTCGCTCTCTGCCATCACCTTATTATTAATAACTCCTATTAACTCTTAGGTCTCAGCCTTGCTGTTACTTCCTCCCCAGAAGTCTCCTTTAACCCCTAAAGACTGGGCTTGGTGCTTTTCTCCTGTGTTCTCAAGTCACCCTACTCTAGAACTATGTCACTGATTTAAATTGCTTTCTGGTAGGGCGCGGTGGCTCACACCTGTATTCCCAGCACTTTGGGAGGCCGAGGCAGGCAGATCACGAGGTCAGGATTTCGAGACCGGCCTGACCAACAGGGTGAAACCTCGTCTCTACTAAAAATACAAAAATTAGCTGGGCATGGTGGTGGGGGCCTGTAGTTCCAGCTACTTGGGAGGCTGAGTCAGGAGAATCACTTGAACTCAGGAGGCGGAGGTTGCATCCAGCCGAGATCGCGCCACTGCACTCCAGCCTGGGCAACAGAACGAGGCTCCATCTCAAAATAAATAAATAAATAATAAAATAAAAAAGAAATCGCTTTCTGACATGTCTATTTTCCTGAATGAGCTGGGAGCTCCTCAATGACAATAGCTATTTCTTGTTTAAAGTCGTATCCCCAGAAACTATAAGCTTAGTAGATATTTGCTATGTGAAAGAAGGAATGAAAGAATGAATGAGGACTTGATTCCTGTACTCCCAACAACATTTAAGACACTGTGCTGAGTATTCAGTAAGGAGGCATCAGGAAGGGTGAGGTAGAGGTGGTAGTGAAACCAAAAAATTGAACACTGTTCCTGGCTTCAGAGAACATGTAGTCTATTAACAATTGTGAATAATGGTGTAATACAAGACACATGACATAATACAGTACTACAACACAAGACAAGAGAATAGGATTGCCATATTTAGCAAATAAAAATACAGGATGCCCAGTTAAATTTGAATTTCAGGTAAGCAACAAATAGTATGTATATATCTCATGGACTATTTGGGAGATACTAATACTAAAAATTATTCATTGCTTATTAAAATTCAAATTTGATTGGATAGCCTATATTTTAGCAACCCTCAGTGAGAAGAACTGGAGCTGTAAGAGATTGCTTTTGTTTTTGTTTTTTCATTTTTTCAGGGATGGAATGGAGGTCTTGGAGAAAGGTAAATGATTTGGGAAATGTTTTCCGGAAAAGATAGGAACAGAGTTGAGTTGCAAAGATCACAAGACAAAATGTGAGGGGGTGCAGTTCTGGTAGAAGAAACCTCAGATGAAAAGGTGATACTGTGGCAGGATCAGAGACTGGCTGACATCTGGTTTGGCCAGAGTGTGAAAGGGTGGTGAGAAACCCAACTACAGGGTTGGGCAGGGCCTGGTGACTCCATATGTTCCAAAGCCTCAGTCTCCTGGGCACCCTGCCCCCTTCGCCTTGGCCACGTTTTGTGAACAAGCAGAACTAGATCTTGCTGCCTGGGCAAATGTTTCATCCTTACCTAGTTAATTAGGCTTGAACATTAGTTTCTCTCTGGAAATAGTGAAGAAGAAACACCAGGAGCATTTTGCAAGGGTCATACATTGCTCAATGTTTGCATTTTTTCAAAAACACTGGTGTCAAAACAGCATGTCCAGCAAAGTTGAGGGAAAAGTGAAAACTAATGATGACTTATCAAAACAAGATGTGATGGTGTGGGAAATGCTACTAACTTCTACAGCATTTGTAATTTTCGTCTTTCTCTTCTGTTATAACATATGTTTAGCATTATATAGTAAATATAGAATAAAACAGATACAAATAGCTTATTTGTAATCTAAGAAGAGGGGGAAATGTTTAGATAATAAAGTTGGGCACCTACTGTGTTCCAGGTGGCAACATATGTTATTTCTCTTAATCTTCATAACAATACTATAATACTATGGTATATATTATGATGATTTTAATGTGCATCTTGCTGAATTTCACAATGTTTATTTGCTCATCTATGATCACTCAACTAGCAATTGGTTATTTTGAAATTCAAATCTGGTTTGACTTCAACATCTATATTGTTTCCATTTACCACACCTATAGATAGGTACTCACAGATAAACAATAATTATGGTGCAGTTATGGCAGATACACTGTGGGAACAGACAAGAGGGAGCATTTAATTCTGTCTTGAGGACATCAAGGGTGGCTTTGGAAGGAGATGATGCTTGAGTGGTGATTGATGACAATGATCTCATTTTCTAATAAGTTTAATAACAGGCAATGCATGAAACATATTCACAAGTAAGATAAATATTAATAGTTTTAAAAACACATGTATTTCATCCTAATAAGCTCTCATTAGGTTTCTGTAACCTTTTATTAAATGTTCCACACTGATCACATTGATGACAAACACAAATTCTTTTTTTTTTTTTTTTTTTTTGAGATGGAGTTTTGCTCTTGTTGCCCAGACTGGAGTGCAATGGCACCATCTTGGCTCACCGCAACCTCCACCTCCTGGGTTCAAGCGATTCTCCTGCCTCAGCCTCCCGAGTAGCTGGGATTATAGGTGTGCACCACCATGCCCGGCTAATTTTGTATTTTCAGCAGAGACGGGGTTTCTCCATGTTGGTCAGACTTGTCTCGAACTCCCAACCTCAGGTGATCCGCCCACCTCGGCCTCTCAAAGTGCTGGGATTATAGGCGTGAGCCACCGCACCCGGCCAACAAACACAAATTCTTATACTTGCTACCACAAACATCATTAGTCATATTTATTAGATGGTCATTATTTATTAATTTAAATTAAATAATTAAATATTCATTAAATCATTAAAACCTTCAGCTACTTATATGATTATAGTTTGGTGCTGTTTTTGCAAAGACACTACACATTCACATAGAAATATGTCTAAAACTTTTTTATAATTCTATAAACTACATGAATGGTTATACAGTTGAGTTGACTAAATTCCTCCCACATAATTATTTCAATTACATAAAATATTACTTACATAACTGGAATGGTATTATAGCTATAAAATACTCAAGTCTGTAGTTACATAAAATTAAATTCAGTAAAAAGAAAGGCCTAAAATTTTAGCAACATACTCTCTAGAGAAAAGCTGCTAAACAGTTGTGTTTCTATAAGTTTTAAAATACAATTGTAAAAATAAAAACTAAAAACAAAATTTTTCAAAATTTTGCTTTCTCAAAAGACATTAGCCAAATTTTAATAAAAACATTGAAGAGTTTGTTTTGCATACACTCCGATGAGATGAACTAATATTATCATCCCCTTTTAAACCAAATTTTGTTTGCAAATCTTCTCTCCAAGAAGCCCCCTAAACAGATCTTACTTTCCTTTTGGTAATGCTTACTTATGATCTGTTGGCAACTTATTCGTATTGTTACAGGTAGTTAGATAGGCATGAGTGGGGCAGGAGAGCGCTCTTCCCCCACCCACTAGGAATGTCCGGGGATGGTTTGACAATTATCACACTGCCTCTCTAGCAATGATAATTCAGCAGCCTGTGCCAGGGAGAGACAATCTCCTGATGATCCACAGCTGTTAACATTAAAGTGTTAATTGAATGCAGATGCCAGGGAAAGCAGCCTCCTGGGCATGTACCGTAAAAGACAAGTTGGCGGAGTATGACCTTTTGGGGACACTCCATCGGAAAAAAGGGAAGGAAGGATCAGACGCGGCTGTATACAACTTCTTAAACTCACTGTGTGCTCAATTCCCAGAAGTAAGGAGGGCACTGCGCATGCGGGAAGCCCACCCTAAGGGAGGAATTATGGGAAAGAGGCAAGCCTGTAAAGCCCGAGGATCAAGGTTAAACGCTCTCTTTTTGACCTTCAGGCACCCTCTTGGGTCTTTTACAAGTGAACTTTCTTTCCTGTTTTAAAGCCTTTTAAATAAACTTCCACTCCTGTGCTGAAACTTGCCTTAGTCTTTTTTTCTGCTTTATGCCCCTCAGTCGAATTCTTTCATCTGAGGAGGCAAGAATTGAAGTTGCTGCAGACGCCTGTGGATTCACCACAAGTACATTGGAGTAACCACTGGGAACAACAGGTTGCCTTAGAAGCTTTGCAGGTTGTTTTGTTTTTTTGTTTGTTTGTTTTTTTGAGACGGGGTCTCACTTTGTCGCCCAGGTTTGTTGCCCAGGCTGGAGTGCAGTGGCGCAATCTCGGCTCTCCGCAACCTCTGCCTCCCGGGCTCAAGTGATCCTCCCACCTCGGCTTCCCGAGTACCTGGGACTACAGGCATGCACCACCACACCCGGCTAATTTTAATTTTTATTTTGTATTTTTAGTAGAGTTGGGGTTTCACCATGTTCCCAGCTGGTCTTGAACTCTTGAGGTGAAGCAATCCGCCCACCTCAGCCTCCCAAAGTGCTGAGATTACAGACGTGAGCCATCGCGCCTAGCCTTGCAAGTTGTTTTTTGTTGAACAGAAGAAGCTATTCAAAAATGTCCAGGACTCTGTTATTTATTCAGCAAGCTTACAAAGCCATCTTTGATTGACTGATTCTTTGACAATGACTATCTGGATGACACAGGAAGGATGCAATTCTGGCCTTGGAGAGAAAACTTGCAAGGAAAGGAACATGTTTGAATTTCAGATGTGTTCCTCAATGAATCACGTAAGTTTGCTGTTTATATTCATTAAAGAATACGTTTTAAATGAGGATAAAATTACAACTTTCATACAATATAAAATAAATGTGTCGGATTTAACTCAGGAATTAATAAGGTGATAAATAGATGTTGCAAGGAGTTCAAAAGAGAACCACACATTTATGGTTAAATAAGGAATGTGAAATGAATTTACAAACAAATGCAAAACTGGCAAAACTGGTCAATATCCACACAAACCCAGTTTGCATTTTCATGGACAGAGATTATTTGCATTCCAATCAATTTTCTCCAAGGTAACTTCTGTGTCTAAAGAGTTGTGAAATAGCCCAATCAGAGGCAAACAAAGGCACAGATAACCCAGACGGATGAGCTAGACAAAGCATTTCACCTTTTTTCTCTACGTATTCTTTCTTTACCAGGGTGATTTTGGTGCATCTGACACCTTTTCAATGATTAATAAATCAAGATCCAGAAATTAGTGAATAAAATTAAGTATTGGGGACTGTAGGGGGAAAACATTTCTCTCTACTCTGCATATCTTTTAGCTGGGGCAGACCGCCGCAACAAAAGACTGATTAACGAGGGAAAAAAGGACGTTTCATAACGTGTATCTTCTGTATACCTGGGAGAAACTTAGAGAAATGAGCAAATCTCAAAGACATGGCTTTGAATTCAGGCTTAAATCCTATCTTCCACTGAAACAAAGACAGAAGGGTGAGGGGAAGGCCAGTTATGGTGAGACGCCCAGGAAAACACAGTAAGCAAAGGTCAAGTTTGTTATGCAGATCTAAGTTGGTGCCTTCTCCACTGAGTCTCTAATGATTTAGTCATCCTTCTCATCCTGGTACAGAGAGGAAGACACTTACAAATGGAGATTTCCTTTACAGATATACATTTTTCTTACAAAAGGGTAACTTTTACTCTGTTTTCAGAGCTTCTCCTGTGTCTGCAATTTCTCAAAATACCTCAAAATAATCCTTATGCCAAACAGGCATATTTTCATCTCCTACAGGTCAAAGATATTCACATTCAAGAGTTTGGGAATGAAATTCATTTTGGATAATAATATAAAAATCAAGGTTTCTTTTGAGGGCATGGCGTTAACTAATTACAATTTGACACAAAAATGGAACTGTCATTCTATTTTCTGTACATGGTCCATGAAATACAACATGAGAATTTGGAATGATTTGGGTCAGTTATCCAACTACCAGCAATCTCCTTGTAACTCACAGATCCCCCTCTATAATAATCACAATGATAATAACAGCAATAATAATAAAAACTGTGACACCTGAGTCTTATTGATCCCTTAACAGGTGCCAGACGCCGTGCTAGGTGTTTTAGCTATAATTTCTTAAATTGAATTTCCATAATAGCATATACAGTGGATGTAATTATGCTAATTTGTGAAATAGCAGTTCATGCCTTCCTTCCTCTCAGCCCCTCTTTTCAATAAAGTAAAAAAAATTTAAGCAAACAAGTTTCATTGAATGATCTCGATTATAGTATTTCAAAAGCGTGGTTCAGGGAACTAAACAGCCATCCTTCTTTGGCTATGGTTTCCTCAACAACTTGGCTTCTTTCCCCTCAGTTTGAGAAGTTATATATAACTTTATGTAATCACTGATGTTTAATTTCTGTGAAATGCTTTAAAAAGCTCACAAGATATAAAACTCTCATTTATTCCCCTTTTTATAAGTGGAAAGACTTGAAGAGGACTTGAGTCCTTTGCTTTTACAGAGTTAGGGTCTAGAGCTGTTGACTTCTAGCCATTCAGAGAGAAAACATCTGAAAGAGTTATGCAGTGAAATCACAAAGCAAACATTGTTTGGGGAACTAAGATAGTATCTAGACTACACACACTGAAAAGCGAATTTATGTCCACACTTATTTTCTTCTTTGCACTCCTCTCTCTCCTTTCTTCTTCGTCTCTGTTCTCTTTATCCACTTCATATGCTGCAAGAGACATTTAGTACCTGACTACACAAAAAGAAATGTGCTGAGTTTGACTTTCTTTTTTGCATACACTAGGGAACTAATTTTAGCGTATGTTGCATTCTTTTATAAATGACTTTTTTTTGGCTGTCTTAGAGTTCTAAACTCTCGCTATCGTGCTGTGCATTTTTATTTCCCTGCTTTGCACTGTGGCAGAAAGAAAGCAAAAAGCCATCACTACACTAGGGGCGCCCTCTAAATAAAGACGGCTTTCCCCAGGTCTGACTGTGACTTTCCCCCACCCCACTAATGGAAAGGGTTAGAAAAAGGAAGTAGCATGAGTCACTGCTATTGCCACACCCTCAGGAAAACCCCTGCTCCATCTTCCTCTTGTGCTACGATGACTCTTTCTAGCCAAGGTCCTGGGTCACAGGAGCAAAGTTTTCAAAACATACTCATGAGTTTCTGGAGGAATGCAGTGTCGAACTGATTGACAACAACAAGAATCAAAACAAGGTTAGATACCAAAAAATAAAAATAAAAAATTATTTGACTGAAAAATAGAAGAATGGGTCTGATCCAAACATTCATTTATGAGCTGGTTGTTTGAAAGTGAAAACGTAGTTTCCATTTTTTACATATACATCCTCGATGATTGTTAGGACTGCTAGACTATCCACTCAAGGCTATCCTACACCCAAATGGCTGAGGTGCGTGTAATATTGTTTCTGTGGGGAAGGTTCAGTTGGCTTTCCTGTTTGGTTACCAGGGACATATTTTCCCATCCTTCACCACGGTTCTAACAGCTGGTGGGGTGATGTTCCTTTAGCCATTTGGCTGGGCAATGAGAATAGGACTTCTGGAGACAAAAATACTTGCCACAGAGATAAATCTGGGAAGGAAGAGGGGAAAACCCTGATTTCTGTTGTGGAGGAGAGAAGGTAATTTTGATATGGACAGAAGACAGGGAAATATTGGGTAGAAGAGGGTGGTTCCCCAGCAAAGTCCCAACCCTCAAGCCTTGAGACCCGTGGCCGTAAGTGGGAACAGGCATTATGTGCCCCAAAAGTTGCCTTTTGGCTCGCCATGCCCCTCCATCCTGTACCCATATAAACCCTGAACCCCAGGCTCCAGAAGCAGATGAGCAGATGAGGAGACAAGCAGACAAACAGCGCAGCAGAGAAAGAGAGAAGAGAAGGAACATCTGAACGCTGAGAGGAGCTCAGCTGGGGGTGGTTGGAGGGGAGTTTGACTGCTGGATGGCCAAACTCCAGGGGAAGATCATCTTCCCACTCCATCCTCCTCCCAGCTCCCCATCCATCCTGCTGAGAGCCACCTCCATCACTCAGTAAAACCCCACATTCATCCTTCAAGCCCGTGGGTCACCTGATTCTTCTGGGATGCTGAGCAAGAGCTAGGGATACAGAAAGCTGCCATACTGGTCCTCTGCCCTTGCAAAAAGGGGCCGCAGGCACCCACCCCTAGATACGGGGCTGGAGCCCAAGGCACTTGCCCCAGCTCCTACACCTGTCAGTCTGTGTGTTTCCCCTCCCATCAGGGGTTTGAGCAATGGTGACAACTGAAGAGCAGTGGTGTCGACTGAACAGGCGAGCCATACCTCTGTTGCATGTCCTGCGAGAGGGATCAGGAAACTTTCCCGTTTCAATCTGGGGCAACTGCCTGGGTCATTTCTGTCACTAGGGATGGGAAAATAGAGGAGAGGCAGGAGAAAATGTGGGGCAGTGGGAAGTGATGGTCTTGGTGAGGAACAGAATGAAAAGTCATACCTTCTAGGAGAGTGAGGACTGGTTTGCTGTCCTCACTTGTAGGTGTCAAGTGGTGTCGCATTGTAATTTTTATTTGTATTTCCCTAATGACAAGCACGTTTTTATGTACTCATTGGCCATTTGGACATATTTGAAGACATGTCTATCAAATTGTTTATTTCTTAATTGGGTTGTCTTTTTATTGTTAATCTCTAGGAGTTCTTCATATATTCTGCATTGTATATTCAGTCTTTGATTATATATATTATTTGCACATATATTTTTCCAATTCTGTGCGTTGTCTTTTTGTTTTATTGATTGTGTCCTTAGAAACGGGGTTTTTGATTTCTATGAAATCCAATTTATCTGCTTTTTCTTTTGTTGCTTGTACATTTGGTGTTATATCTGTGTATTAGTCCCTTTTCACACCACTGATAAAGACATACCCATGACCAGGCATGGTAGCTTGCACCTGTAATCCCAGCACTTTGGGAGGCCAAGGTGGGTGAATCACTTGAGGTCAGGAGTTCAAGACCAGCCTGGCTTAGATGGTGAAACCCCATCTCTACTAAAAATACACACAAACACACAAAATTAGCTGGGCATTGTGGCACATGCCTGTAATCCCAGTTACTTGGGAGGCTGAGGCAGGAGAATAGCTTGAACCCAGGAAGTGGAGGTTGTAGTGAGCTGAGATTGCACCACTGCATTCCAGCCTGGGCAACAGAGCTAGACTCCATCTCAAAAAAAAAAAAAAAAAAAAAAAAAAAAAAAAGACATACCCGAGATTGGGTAATTTACAAAAGAAAGAGGTTTATTGGACTCGAAAGTTCTATGTGGCTAGGATGGCCTTACAATCATGGCAGAAGGTGAAAGTCACATCTCACATGGCGGCAGACAAGAGAAGAGTGAGAGCCAAGCAAAAGGGGTTTCCCCTTATAGAACCATCAGCTCTCATGAGACTTATTCACTACCATGAGAATAGTATGGGGGAAGCTCCCCCCATGATTCAAGTGTCTCCCACTGGGTCCCTCCCACAACACAACAGAATTATGGGAGCTACAATTCAAGATGAGATTTGGCTGGGGACACAGCCAAACAGTATCAGTCTGTAAACCAAAAATAAAATTCTAAGCCCTTCAACCATCTGAATGAACCACTCCTCTTGGCCAAGGGCATTCCAAAGTTAACCTGAAAAACTAGTTCAGGCCATGATGGGAAGGGAGGGTCAGAAGTGCCTCATTATATATCCTCTTCCCTTTTGGAATTCAGGAAAAGCCTTCCAGCACTAACATCAACACAGACCTTAAGTCTTACAAGAAACATTTACCATCTATTCTCTCTGAAGCCTCCTACCTGGAGGTTTCATCTGCATGATAAAACTTTGGCCTCCACCATCACTTATCTTAACCTAGACATTCCATTCTATTAATTTCAGGTCTTTAGATAATAGCTTAACTCTTTCAACCAATTGCCAATCAGAAAATCTTTAAAATCTACCTATGAGCTGGAAGCCCAACTTCAAGTTGTCCTGCCTTTCTAGATCGAAACAAAGTACATCTTACATGTATTGACTGATGTATTATGTCTCCCTAAAATAGATAAAAGCAAGCTATACTCGACCACCTTGAGCACATGCCATCATGACCTCCTGAGGCTGTGTCACGGGTGCATCCTTAACCTTGGCAAAATAAACTTTCTAAATTTATTGAGACCTGTCTCAGGTACCTTTGGATTCACAAATCTAAGAAACCATTGCCTAACCCAATGTCATGAAGATTTACTCTTATGCTTTCTTCTAAGACTTTTTTTTTTTTTGAGACAGAGTCTCACTCTGTCACCCAGGCTGGAGTGCAGTGGCACCATGTCGGCTCACTGCAACTTTCATCTCCTGGGTTCAAGCAATTCTCCTGCCTCAGCCTCCTGAGTAGCTGGGATTACAGGCACCCACCACCATGCCTGGCTAGTTTTTATATTTTTAATAGAGATGGGGTTTCACCATGTTGGCCAGGCTGGTCTCAAACTCCTGACCTCAGGTGATCCACCCACCTTGGCTTCCCAAAGTGCTGGGATTATAGGCATGAGCCACCATGCCCGGCCTCTTCTAAGACTTTTATAGTTTTACCTCTTATATTTAGGTCTATGGTTGACTTTTATAGTTTTACCCCTTATGTTTAGGTCTATGAATTTTTGTATATGGTGTGAAGTAGGGCTTCAAATTTATTCATTTGCATATGGATATTTAGTTGTCCCAGCACCATTTGTTGAAAATACTACTGTTTCTTCATTAAATTTTCTTGACATCTTTGCTGAAAAATCATTTGACCTATAAATGTAAGAGTTTATTTCTGAATCCAATTCTATTCTGTTGATCTATATGTCTATGCTTATGCCAGTACTACATTATCTTAGTCACTGCAGTTTTCTAATAAGTTTTGAAACTGATAAGCCTAAGTCCTACAATTCCAGGTTGTTTTGGTTATTGTGGTTCCTTTGAGTTCTTATACAAATTTTAGGATTGGCTTGTCAATTTCTGAAAAAACATAGCTGAGATTTTGAGAAGGATTGAGTTGAATATGTGGATTAATTTGTGAAATATTGCCACCTTAACAGAAGTAAGTCTTCTGATCCATGAACATGAGGTATCTTCCCATTTATTTAGATCTTCTTTAACTTCTTTCAATGATCTTTTACAGATTTTCAGTGTACAAGTCTTTTACTTAAAAAAAATTATTCCTGAGGTTTTCTTTTATACTTTTGCAAACAAAATTGTTTTTTATTGTATTTCTTATTGTTTATTGCTATTTTATAGAAATAAAATTCATTTCCGTAAATTGATCTTCTATTCTGCAACCTTATTATGCTGGTTTGTTAGATTCTTATAGTTTTTTGGTAGATTTTCCTTAGGATTTTATATATACAAGATTACATCATCTGCAGATAGAAACAATTTTACTTCTTCCTTTGTAATCTGTCAAGTCTGTATTCTTTTTTATGTGCAG
This sequence comes from Homo sapiens, assembly GCF_000001405.40. Classification (NCBI taxonomy): domain Eukaryota; kingdom Metazoa; phylum Chordata; class Mammalia; order Primates; family Hominidae; genus Homo; species Homo sapiens. The sequence continues at coordinate 29,200,962 of NC_000021.9, forward strand.
CCACTGAAGTCTCTGCCTAGTCTGATTAGCAGTCAGCTAATTATTAGACAGAGATTTTCTTAAATGCTTTGAACCACTAAGTTTCCCAGTCTTTGCTGATGGGATATATGTGTGCTTACCTTTTATTTCTTTCTTTCTGCCTAGCTGCTCTGGCTAGAACCTTCAATACAATGTTGACTAGAAGTGGTGAGAGTAGACATGCTTATCTTGTTCCTGAACTTTCTTTCACCATTAAGCATCATGTTAGCTAGAGGTTTTTCATAGATGGCCTTTATTGGGTTGAGAAACTTCTCTTCTATGCTTAGTTTGCTATGGGGATGGGGGTGGATTTCATCAATTGCTTTAAGAAAATGTATTGAGATGATTATGTGGGTTTATCTTTAATTCTACTAATATGCTATATTACATTGATAGATTTCTTATGTTGAGCCAACCTTGCATTCCTGGGATAATCTCACTTAGTCATGGTGTATAATCCATTTTATATGTTGTTCAATATGGCCTGCTACACTTTTGTTGAGGATTTTTGCATCTATATTCATAAGAGATATTAGTCTGTGTTTTTTTCTCTTTTGATATCTATATCTGATTATGGTATTATGGTGATATGGCCTCCATAGAATTAGCTGGGAAATGTTCCTTTCTCTTCCACCTTTTCAGAAAAGTTTGTGAGTGATCTTCATTCTTTCTAAATTATTCAGTGGAATTCATTATTGAAATCACTTGAGCCTGGACTTTTTGTGAGAAGTATTTGGATTACTAATTCAATCTCTTTACTTATTATAGGTCTATTTGAATATTCAGTTTCTTCTGAGTCAGTTTTGGTAGTTTGTATCTTTCTAGGAATTTGGCTACCTCATCTAGGTTATTTAATTTGTTAGCACACAATTGTTTGTAGTATTTTCTTATAATCCTTTTATTTCTTTAAACAACTTAATGATGTTCTTTATCATTTCTGATTTTAGTGATTGGAGTGATGTGTATTTCTTATATGGCATGTCTGCTACTGATGAATTATTTTAGTTTTAGTTTATCTGGGAATATCTTACTTTCTCCTTCATTTTTGAAAGACACTTTTGCTTAATATAGAATTCTTGATTGACAATCTTTTTCTTTCAGCACTTTGAATATATTAACTCCCATTTCCTTCTGATCTCAATGGTTTCTGATGAAAAGCCAACAGTTAATCCTACTAAGAATCCTTTGTATGTGGTAAGCCATTTCTCTCTTGCTGCTTTCAAGATTCTTGCTTTCTCTTTGTCTTTTTACAGTCAGATTACAATGTAACTCACTGTGGATCTCTTTGAGTTTATTCTACTTGAATTTATTTAGATTTTTGACTGTGTAATATGTTTGACCAAATTTGGAAAATTTTTGGCCATTATTTTTTCAAATGATATTTCTGTCTTTTTATCTATCTTTTCTTCTCTTGGACTGCCATATGTTTGTATGCTTGATAGTGTCCCACAGGTTTCTGAAGCTTGTTATTTTTTTTTTTAATCTTTTTTCTTTCTGGTCCTGGATAATCACAATTGGCCTATCTTCAAGTTCACTGATTCTTTCTTCTATGAGTTCAAATTTGTTGTTAATCCCATCTAGTGATTTTAATTTCAGTTATACTTTTCAACTTCAGAATTTCTATTCTCTTAAAACAATAATTTATATCTTTTTATAGATATTTTTGTTTGATGAGACATTATTCTCACACTTTGTTTTAATTTTTTAGATGTGGTTTCCTTTAGTTCATTAGATGATTAAAGGTCATTGTTTTTTGAGTACTCACGGACATATATATGGCAGAAATAGACACCGGGGACTACTAGAAGAGGAAGGGAGGGAGGGGGACAAGGGTGAAAAAAAAAAAACAACTATTGGGTACTATACTCACTACCTGGGTTACAGGATTATTCATACCCCAAACCTCAGTATCACACAGTATACCCATGCAACAAAGTTGCACATGTTCCCACTGAGTCTAAAATAAAACATCAAATTATAAAACAAAAAGCAAAATAAAATCTTTGTTTGCTAAATCCAAAGTCTGGACTTTGTCAAGGAGAATTTACTGCTTGTTTTCTTTTGCACGGGACATTCTTTTTTTTGTGTGTGTATGTGTCTCTCTGTTTTTGTTAAAAACTGGACATTTTAAATAATATGTCTATTCGGGAAATTGGATGCTCTCTTCTCCCCAAAGTTTGTTGTTATTGTTGCTATTTTTTCTTACTATTATTAGTTTGTTTATTCGTTTTTTTAGTGACTTTCCTGCACTAATTCTGTAAAGTCTATATTCTTCTTTTATATGCAGCCATTGAAGTCTCTGCCTGGTTAGATTGGTAGTCAGCTAATGATTAGACAGAGATTTCCTTACATTCCTTGAACCAATAAGTTTCCCAGTTTTGGGTGATGGGATATATGTGTGGGTTGGGGTATATCTTTAATATTCCTACAGGCAGTTTACAATTTTGCCTTAAACTTTCTTCCTGCTTGTATGTAATCTTAAGGTAAGCCAGAGGTGAGGAATTAGGATCTTCTCAGGTCTTTCCTGTGCAGGTACACAGCCCTGCACATGTGAATGACCTTCTGTATTTGCAGGAATATGTGTTTGCTTTCCAAAGTCTCTTATGGACATCTTAATTCCTTGGTGGTTGTGTTTTGGTCGGTTTCCTGTTAGCTCCAACCAGTAACATTGTCTCAGGCAGCTGCAATGTGAAATAATTGCCACCTATTTTTTTTTTTAAACAAATGTCCTAGGAATAGGGCTGTTGGCACAGAGCAAATTCTGGGTTAGGTCAAATACAGAAAAGCCCTGAGAACGGATATTTTCAGTGAACTGCCACACAGGTCAAGTCTTAACAATTATGAGATTTGGGGGAAGTTTTATATCCATATCCATTTGACCCTCTCCAGTGGCTGCCAGGCTGCTGGTTTTCATAGCTACCGTAGTTGCGAGGCTGTTGGTTTTCAATGTTACCATGGCATTGGGGTGGGGGAGAGGGATTAGGTCAAGTTAAAATGCCACAAAATAGCTCACTGGTCTTACCAAGATTCAGCCATTTTTTCCTGACTAAACAGTCCTTGACATTTTGCAATCTTTTAGTTAATTTCCAGAGTTCTGAAAAAGTTAATTTTGACAATTTTTGCCACTGATCTCATTGCTTTTATGGATGAGCAGATTTTTGATGGTCTTTATTCTACCATTCAAGAAGTACTGTCTTTTTTAGCATGTTAAAAGGTAAGTTTTTTTAAAAAACATAAACCATGACACAAAAATTATAAAAATAGTAAATGAACACACGCCAAAGACTTTATTTAACTCTGTATTTATTGTGGAGCATATTAAGATACTATACATTCAAAAGAGAATTAAATACACATACACACAGAGGGAATTGAGAATGCTGAAATCATTTTACAGGCATATTGGGTTAATACCTACAGCCCAATAATCAATTGTATTTCACAGGGCCCAATTCACTTTCATTTCTTCAGGCAAGCATCATTTGTGTTATTAGTTTTTGACAATATTGAGAGTAGTGAAGCAGCTGAAAGGGAGTACAAGGCAAAGATACACTAGAAGGATAGACAGACAGAGTCCTGGTAATCTTTTTTCCCCACAATAAAGTTTTTGTAGTTTTTCCTGATAAGGGAATGGAGAAGAGAGTGTAGGGAAAAGCAGTATAACATTTTGAGACCCTGGACATGTGACTAAAACAGTGGAAAAGGACAGAGCAGAGTGCAGGGGTGTTCAAGGTAGCTGTTGCTGGCCTCGCCTTCAGTGATAAATTCTTCTCTATGCCCCGCTTCCTCATCTGTAAGGTAAAGATATGGATCAGCTGATTGCTAAGGCTCATCCCATTCCAGCTGTATTCAAATGTGGCCCCCAGAACTGCAGCATCAGTATCACCTGAGAACTTGTTAGAAATGCAGATCCTTAGGCCCCATCCCAGTTTTACTGAATTGGAAACTCCAGTGTAGATCTCAGCAAGCTCTCTAGGTGATTTTGATGCAGCTGAATTTTGAGAACCATTGTATATCAATTTTCTATGAGATGGAAATTTGATATTGATATGATATAGTTTGGCTGTGTTCCCATTCAAATCTCACCTTGAATTGTAATAACCCCTGCCGGGTGCCAGGTGGAGATAATTGAATCATAGGGTCAGTTTCCCTCCTACTGTACTTGTGGTAGTGAATAAGTCTCACGAGATCTGATGGTTTTATAAATGGGAGTTCCCCTGCACACAGTGTCTTGCCTGTCGCCGTGTAAGATGTGACTTTGCTCTTCACAGGCCTTCCACCATGATTGTGAGGCCTTCCTAGCCATGTGGAACTGTGAGTCAATTAAGCCTCTTTCCTTTATAAATTACCCAGTGTCATGTACATCTTTATTAGCAGCGTGAGAATAGACTAATACAGATATCAAGGAAACTCCATTAGCTATCATGACAGCATATTTAGAATTTTCTCCTAAACTTTGAAAGCATCAATTATTTCTGTGTGTAAAAGGAAAAAGTCAGTTTGGTTAAAGCTCTTTTTATTTTTTATATAAAAAAAGGAGTTCGGCCGGGCACGGTGGCTCACGCCTGTAATCCCAGCACTTTGGGAGGCCGAGGTGGGTGGATCATGAGGTCAGGAGATTGAGACCATCCTGGCTAACACGGTGAAACCCCGCCTCTACTAAAAATACAAAAAGTTAGCCGGGCGTGGTGGCGGGCGCCTGTAGTCCCAGCTACTCCGGAGGCTGAGGCAGGAGAATGGTGTGAACCCGGGTGGCGGAGCTTGCAGTGAGCCGAGATCGCACCACTTGCACTCCAGCCTGGGTGAAAGAGTGAGACTCCGTCTCGAAAAAAAAAAAAGAAAAAAAAGAATAAAAAGAGTTCATTTCTTCTTACTCAGAATTCATTATAGAGAGTAGCTTATCATTGCTCTATGTCCATTTGTTGTAGGCAAAACCTCAATTCACAATTTATTTTAACATAACCAGTCCAAAGAAAGGTCAGAGAGGTATTTTTTGTAGCTTTGAGTTTCATATATTTTATATAGTTAGAAACTTCTCTCCTAGTTATCATAGTGGGGAAGGGTGAGGTCAGACTTCCGAAGTCTTGTGCTGGAAAGTTTTTGGTCTTTCTCTTCACTCACAAAGGCAGTGATTACAGGACACTATGGGCTGTGCTTGGAAAACTTTTGTATAAACCTCAGTCCTTGGGTTGGGCACTTCTCTGCTTACTTATGATGAGCTATTCTGTTTGTTTGGTACACAGTAGACTGGTCCTGTTTGCCACTATCATTTCCTTACGGTTTACAGCTATGGTGCACCATTTAAAATGATGGTTTTCAGTATCCTAATTGTATGATGTGTCCTTTGTACATTCTCAGCATGATGCTCTTTCCAGCGTTTTCTACAGTAGCTGTTCTCTGCTCAACCCCATCTAATCAACTCGTGCAAAGGTGATCATTGTTTCTAAGTGGATGCCCTGGCCAGCTTTGAAAACTCTCTTAGCAATGACTTATATTTAAGCATAGGTCACTGATTACATTGGTCAAAGTAATATCTATGAAGTTAAGAACAATGAGACCTCAGAACTAGTAGTCAAAACCTCACTGTTCACAATGTAGGGAAGTTTCTCCAGCAGGTGTTAATAGGTTTACTACAAAGAAAGCATTGTGTCTGTGGTCAAATCTCTCAAAGACTTCTGATGTACATTCGTATCGAACACTCTGAGAGTCTTATAGTAAAGAAACATCTAACTGTGTGTAACTCACGTTTTCAAACTTATTTGAGCATGAAACATTTTTACCACTGGCATATCTAATCACATCCAGTTTGGGAAAGGATGTGTAGAATATTTGAGATGATCGTTAGAACTTGTTAAAAGGAGAGTTTCTTAAAAATCCAGGAGTGTGGTGCAATGCTGAGTCCTCAGAGCCTCCCTGTGTTTCCATAACAGAGATAAAATAAGACTGGATATTCACAGAATCCTGTTTTATTCATCTAATGATCGAAAGAGGTAAATTATGTGAGAGACCGTCCTGTGCAACAAAGGATCAATATAAATGTGAGTTATTCGTGATTATGGTAACTGAGTTGACTGCAGCTTTGTTACTCAAAATGTGGCCTATGAAAGCAGAGCATTGGAATCACCTGAGTGCCTGCTAGAAATGCAGAGTCTCAGGCCCTAATCCAGATTTATTTCATCTAAGGCTGCATTGTAGCAAAATGTGATTCCTAGGCATGTTAAAGTCTGAAAAGCGTTGATTACAGCCTTTTGTACTCTTCCTCTTCCTGACATATCTTAGGTTCATTTCTTCTACCTCATTTCGGTGCCTGCCCCATCTGGAATTCTTTGCAATACTTCTCTTCCTGGAAATTCATAATCTTTACCATTCACTTCCATCAAAATTTTGTTCCTCTTTTCCCTCCCTGAATTCTAATATTATATGTGGTTTTTTTGAATGCCAATAGTATGCCTGGACCTAGGAAATTTCTCAGAAGACCACAGTAAACTTTACAAAATTTTAAAAATTCCGTAAATTGTTCAACACTTGTTTTCATCTGTTTTCTGCTGCTATAACAGAATGGATGATTTATAAAGAAAGGTTTATTTAGATCATGGTTCTGGAGGTTAGGAAGTCCAAATGGCACTGGCATCTGGTGAGTGGCATCCCATGGTGAAAGGGTGGAAGGTGGGATTGAGCCCATGAGACAGAGACAGAAATAGGGGCCGAACTTAGGTTTTTATCAGAAGCCCACTCTTGTGATAATTAACCTACTTCCAATATACTGGCATTAATCCATTCACGAGGGCAGAGCCCTTATATTTTCTTTATAGTGTTAACTTCTTAAATAAAGGTTCCACCTTCCAATACCCTTACAATGGCAATTAAATGTCAACATGAGTTTTTGTGGGGACATTCAAAACATAGCAACTGTCAATTAGTTTTCCAAAGTCAGTCTCTCTAGGTCTTTCTTTAGTTATAGGAAGGGACAAGGTACGGGGCTGGGTGTGTTAACAATCCCTTTCCATTTAATAAAGGTTGCTAAGAGTTAAAAATCTAAGTTCTGCCTATACAAAAAATAACATTCATTATCATAATAGTTTAATTTCGGATGAGATCGGGCACGTGCAGAGTGGTATGGCTGTAGACACACAATAGTTTCAGAAGTCAGACTGTCAGAACCATATAGTGAGAGCTACCATAAGCACCAAAAAGCCCATGTATAGATTTCTCTAGCAAAGACGCTTCCTTAACGGCGCCACTGCTCCAGGATGGGGTTGAGGTGTTGCTGGGGATTGGTAGCCACATTGCTTGTAAAGAGACTGTACTTGCTCCTTCCAGTCTCCCTATGATAAAGTTTTAAGAATATCATAATGAGAATTTTTAGGCTACATATAGATTTTTCCACTGTAGGCAGATGAAATCACATATTCTGGTTAGACATTAGATAAAGCTTCTGAGATTTGGACATGCTTTCATTAGACAAATGAATGTAATTTTTGATGATCTAATACTCTGCATGTTTCCGGAGGAAGCAGTTAAAGACAAATTTAAATTCTGACAAAGATTTATTCAGCTTGTTCTTTGGTGGGGAAAGGAAGCTGAATAGTAAAATGTCAACGATTCAAAACTCCTAATTTTCCTTGTTCCAAGTAAAGAATGAGTTTCTAGATAACAGAATTTAAAAAAAGTTCCCGTAAGTTTTCCCTTCTTCAGTACTCTCACAAATATCCATGCATGCCAGTAAATAATGTAACCTTAATACATTAAAAGATGAATCATGTAAAAGGGAAGTGAAAATGACAAATATGGGAAAAAATGTGACACAAAGAAGTGCATTATGTGTTTATTCGAGAAACCATGAAAACTTCTGTGAAAAAGCTAAGTGCATGAGATCACTACTCAACATTTTAAATCCCTCAGTGCTGAATTTTCATGGTTTGCAAGCAATCTGAAGGGCATTCAGGCTTCTAGGAAGAAGTTTTGCAACTTTGAATTTTTGCCTGTCTCTTGGCCTTAATACAGCAATTTAAAAATAAAGTATCAAGGGAACTCAGCCTGTCTCTAAATTGAGGAATAATATTCTGCCTTTACAAGCCTGTGACATCACGTATCTTCTTACTTTACAAAAGCTCAAATTGCTTGAGCATTAAGATATTAAGAACCTAGTCATGCACAGAAAACACTAGTTTTTTAAATTTTCCAAAGTGATTGGCTCTGAAACTCTAGAACAGTGTTGTCCAAAACAACTTTCTGTAATAGGCCAGGTGTGGTGGCTCATGCTTGTAATCCCAGCACTTTGGGAGGCCAAGGTGGGTGGATCACCTGAGGTCAGGAGTTCAAGACCAGCCTGGCCAACATGGGAAACCCCATCTCTACTAAAAATACAAAAATTAGCTGGGGTTGGTGGTGCATCCCTGTATTTCTAACTATTTGGGAGGCTGAAGCAGGGGAATCAGTTGAACTTGGGAGGTAGAGATTGCAGTGAGCTGAGATTATGAAACTGCACTCCAGCCTGGGCAACAGAGTGAGACTCTGTCTCTAAAAAAAAAAAAAAAAAAACTTTCTATAATGATAAACATTTTCTGTGTATATGCTGTCCAATGTGGTGGCCATTACTAAATGAATATTTAATTTTTTAAAACTTTAATTAATTAAAATTTAAGTTTAAATAGCTGCATGTGGCCAGTGGCTACAGGGTTGGATAATGCAACCCTAGGAATATTTTCTTTATGGTGTTAACATATAATTTAAAGCATTATTTTTATGTCTTAATACTATTTTCTAGTTTATGTATATAGAAAAAAACCTTTAATACCTTAGATGAGAACAAATTTTTAGTGCCATTCCTTAAAGATTATTTTCTTGGAAATAATGACATAAGTGGTCCATTAGATGATGTTATATGAGTCATAGAAATGCTTGATATAAAGTCCAAAATATCCTCACACATGTGGTCTGTGAGGCAGGCTTGTATATAGAAAAAAGGTGGAGGAAATTATGAACACAGGGAAGGAGGTAAAATCATTGCTGGTGCCATATGTCTGGATCTTCTGTTTTCTTCTATTGTGATTTATGTTCTTTTTAAATGACTTTACTGAGCCCTTTGATTTATTTTGTGATAAAGATTAAATATTTTGTCCTTTTCTGATGTTTAAAATCTGAGATTAGTCTAAATAAGGTGACCCATTTTTTTGAGGCACACACTGCCCACCTGTCATCATACCACTGGCAAAGCCTTTAGATAATGAACTAGTACATGTGATAGCCTCCAAAATGCTCCCTTTGAGCTCTTTCTTTATTTTTAAATGTCTTGCTAATGGAGTTTCTTAAAACTGTTTTTTTCTTGGAGTATTTCCTTCAGGGTTGGTTTATATACCACACAGGAAACCAGTTTCATTACCTGATAATTGTGCTTTGGTTATAGAACCAATTCTTTGAATGGGCTGGACATAGGAGGCCAAGTAGAAGTCAGCCTTGTTCTTTCAAACCCCCTCTCAGATTTCTCTTTCCTGTCTATGGATAAATTTGTCTTAAAGATCCCATTTTCAGGTATTAAAAAGTCCAGCCCATGGGAAAACAATATTCACATGTAAAATAATGAAGTTGGATCTTTACCTAACATCATATATAAAAATTAACTCAAGGTATATCAAAGATCCATTTGTAAAACCTAAAATTATATAAATCTTAGAAAAAACACAGGGCAAAAGCTTCACAACATTGGATTTGAAAACAATCTTTTGGTGGCTGTTATACCAAAGGCAAAGGCCATAAAAGAAGAAATAAACAAATTGGGCTTCATGAAAAATTTTAAAATTGGACATCAAAGAAAATATCAGCTGGCTAAAAAGACAACCCACAGAATGGGAGAAAACATTTGCAACTCACAGAAGGGGTTGATTAGTATCCAGAATATATAGAGAACTCCTAAAACTGAACAACAACAAATGACCTGATTCAAATGGGCAAAGAACTTGAATAGGCATTTCTTCAAAGAAGGTGTATAAATGATCAATAAGCATGTGAAAAGATGTTCAACATTAACAGTCACTGGAGAGATACAAATCAAAACTAAAAGGAGATCCCGCTTGACACTCATTGGGATGGCTACTATTTAAAACAACACAGAAAATCACAAGTGTTGGTGAGGATGTAGAGAAATTGGAACGCTTGTACACTATTGGTAGGAATGCAAAATGGTACACTGTTGTGGAAAATGGTATGGTGGTGGATCCTCGAAAAATTAAAAAATAGAATTACCATATGATCCAGTAATTATGCTTCTGAGTATATACCCAAAGAAATGAAAGTGGTGCACCCATGATTATAGCAGCATTATATTCACAATAGCTAATATGTAGAAGCAACACAATTATCTATTGATTGATGGCTAGACAGGCAAAATGTGGTAAATACATACAAGGAATATTACTCAGCCTTAAAAAGGAAAGAAATTCTGAAATATGCTACAACATGGATGAACTTGAGGATATTATGTTAAATGAAATAAACCAGTCATAAAAAGACAAATATTGTTTGATTCTACTTATATGAGGCACTTAGGGTAGGCAAATTGATAGAGACAGTAGAATGGTGTTTCCCAAGGGCAAGGGGGAGAGGAAAGTGGAGAGTTAGTGGTTTATGTGTACAGAATTTTAGTTTTACTGAAGAGTTATGGAGATCGATGGTGATAATGGTTGTACAACATTATAAATGTATTTAATACCACTGAACATATACTTAAAAATGACTAAGACAGTAAATTTTAGTTATATGTATTTTAACACAATTTAAAAAATTGGAAACAAAAAGTCCAACCTAGGGTAACATCAAACTTTCAATCACTTGTCCAATTTAAACCTTCTCCCATCCCCCCACAGCTCAGGTGCCTGGGTCCTGGAAGCCTACAGTGGGGAAGGGGTGTTGCGGTCAGCTTCTCTGGTCCTCCTGACCACCTTTTCTCTCATCCACGGTTCCTCACGCCTCTAGGGTAGAATGCAGGAGAGTGGGAAGACTAGAGGCATAGCACAGTCTTAGTTGGCTGGCACTGTTACAACTGGCTGTTTCCAGCCCTCTGGGAGGCAGATGCCCAAATGCACCCTCCACACTTTCTCTCATGAAGTAGTTTCTGAAAATGCCCAAAGGGTCCTCTCACTACCTTGTTCTCTGGCTTTGAGTATGAAAGACTTGGTTGTGAAGTAAGCCATGTGATCAGATGACTGCTTATGAGCCTTGCTTAGCAACCTCATCTGATCAGATCCCATAGCCTCTCCTTTAGGGGTTGCTTTGCCCTGCCAGGCAGATGCCTTCTATATGGCCCTTTCAAGTGTTCCCAAGACGGTTACCTTCCATAGTCTCCATTTAACCCATAGAGCACTCAGCACCTGGCCTCAGACAGGGTATGAAGGTGTAGGCCGCTTCTCTTCACTTTGCTTAGAAGGGAGCTCTAGCTGGCCTCTCATTAGACTTTGTCAGATGAGAATCAGACACCTGTCCTGTGTCCCTGTAAGTCCAGGAAACTCCAGTTCCTCTCAGGGCCCGTGCTGTTGCTGGGGCCCAGAACCTGCCCCAATTTAGCTGGCTCCAGCTGGCTAGGGGTGGGGGACGATGGGAAGGGTGTGGTAGTGGTAAGCTGTCTTACTCCCTTCCTGCCAGACACCCCAGTCTCTATAAGCAGTTATTCTGAAGACTCTCATTTGGCATGCGCTATGGACTGAACGTGTGTCCCCCGCCCCGCCTAAATTCATATGCTGAAACTGTAATCCCTAAGATGATGGTATGAGGAGGTGGAGACTTCAGGAGGTAATTAGGTGGAGCCCTCATGATGGGACTGGTGCCCTTTTAAGAGACAGGAGAGCGCTTGCTTCCTCTCTCTCCACCATGTGAGGACATACCAAGAACTGATTCAGCCTGCACCTGGGTCTTCACTTCCAGCCTCCAAAACTGTGAGAAATAAATTTCTGTTGCCTAAGCCACTCAGCCTATGACATTTTTGTTATGGCAGTCTGAACTAACTAAGGCAATATGAGAATGGGAGAGAAGCGCTCCAGCTACTCTCCCAGGGGGAGGTGGGACAAACATACAAAGAAATCCCTATTAATCTTTGTACTCCTCCTGAATGGAAACTGAAGGAAGGTGAAGTAGATGAGGTTCAAGTCACCTCCTAGCAAATCATACACAGATATTCTAAAACTCTCTTTAAGTTTTGAAACTGGTGCACCATGATAATTCCACTGAACTAATTAATTGTCTCTGGTTGGAAAAATCTCAAAATTGTGAGGTACACGATTTAGAAAGAACAAGGACTATAAATACATTTAAAATATTTTTCCTAACCCTCCATACTAAGATGCAAAAAAATACCAATATTCATCTTCTCTGAAGCATGAATCACCTCAGAATAGCCCACGATGTACACTAATATGTGGAAGTACCTTCATGGGATTTAAATATATTTACCTTTCAATTATAGAATTAAGATGATTTTGGAAAATGGATAAAGAGACATTGAAATGTGGAAAAGTTGAACTCTTACACACTCATGCAAAATAGTTGATTTCCTCTTTTTGGCAATATCCCACCTGCTTTGCCCCTGCAACCCTCTGCATTCCTTGCTGCTGCCACACATGGAGGCATAGATACATGCTCTCACACACACACACACACACACAAACACACAAACACATAGACACACACAGACACATACAGACACATACACAGACACAGACATACAGACACAGACACACACACAGACACATACACAGACATATACACACAGACACATACACAGACACACATACAGACACAGACACACACACACACACACAGACACACACACAGACACAAATACAGACAATACAAACACACATACAGACATATAACATACAGACACACACACAGACACACACACAGACACAAGTACAGACACTGCAGACACACAGACACACATGCAGACACAGACAGACACACACAGACACACAGACACAAATACAGACACTACAAACACATACAGACATATATACAGACACACACAGACACACATAGACACACACACAGACACACAGACACAAGTACAGACACTGCAGACACACAGACACACACGCAGATACATACAGACACAGGCACATACAGACACACACATATACACAGGCACACACAGACACACACAGACACACACAGACACACACAGACACACAGACACATATGGAGACACACATACAGACACACATGCACACACAGACACACAGACATATACACAGACATACAGACACACAGACATATACACAGACACAGGCACACACACATGCACACAGACATACAGACACAGACACATCAGGCACACACGTAGACACATACACACAGATACACACATAGACACATACAGACACACAGACACACATAGACACACACAGAGACACACATACAGACACTTAGACACACCTGTGTATGGGAAAACAAGCCCTTAGTCTTTCCACTTCCTATTTGTCCCCTGACCCTTCTTCTATACCGTATACTCCATTTCAACCTTCCAATGCCGTTTACCATGTTCTGGATCTCCCATGCCTTGTAAATCCTGACAACATTTGTGTGTCTTTTGTCCTAGACCTTTGGGCTTCACTTTCTACTCACTGCCAAGAAAAAGTAATTCCCGATAGTGTTCTTGTTGGGGGTAAAAAGACATTCTTATGTGGTATCTCTCAGGCACCAAATGTACACCTTCTTTGCTCTCTTCAGTTCACACCACATAGACAAGCCTATAAAGAATTCCTTCTAGGAGGTTATTTGACATCTATTGAATTGGTTTTGGGGGCTCAGCCAAAAATAAGATAACGGAAAAATTTTATTTCATACCCTATTATATAGTAAATATTGTCCAGATTTAATAAACGATGTTTCTATTCTTTGCAAGTAGAATTATTTATCAGTAAATCCTAAGTGGCTTTTTAAAAATGACTAGAGTTTCCTGGAGACTAAAGCTTTCACACAAGTTTAATTTTAAAGCTTTTCATTATTTTCTTTGTCTTCATTAGTCTTTAAGCAGCAAGTTCTCATTATAAACTAAACCATGCAAAGCGTGTAATATACAAGACACTCCTCCCGCTCCCTTGCAGCCGGAGGCATCCATGAACTTAGTAAAGATTGTTTCAGCAGAAATGCAAAAAGAGTCCATTTTTGGCCTTTGGCTGCAAAAAAGTCCCTTGAATCCTCCCAATTTTTTTTCAGCACTTTCATTGGTTAATTCCTACTCGTTAAAAAAAATTACTTGAGGTAAGACTGCTATACAAAAAGCCATACATAGTTAATGTGTACAACTTAATGAGTTTGGAGATTAGTATATACCCATGAAACCATCACCACAATCTATGGTACAAACCTATTCGTCACCTCCGAAAGTTTCCATCTACCCTCTTCATTTATTATTATTATATTTTTGGTGATAAGAATCCTTAACATGAAAAATACTCTTAGTAGGTTTGTAAGTATACAATACAATATTGTTAGGTTATGCAACATAAAAAATACTACTCATTTTTTATCACTTGGCTCTGGTCTCATCTCTCCATAATGCCTTTGCCAGTTTCTACTAAGTTCTCCTATTTTGACTTGATAGTATTAATGCATACCCTTATCTCGGTACTTCATATGCACCTTGAAATTATCCGTGTTACCTCTTTCTCAGTCCTTACAATGTTCTCGGAAGGAACCATGTCTTACTCTTCTTTGTTACCCCTCTTCCAAAGTGCCTATCACATAGTAGGTGCTCAATAAATGTTTATTGAATAGAGAGAAATAGGTAAGATTAGGATCCATTTCTGATCACATTTTACAAGCAACAAAACTAACGCTCTCCAGGAATGGGCAAACTATTTCAGTAAAGGGCCAGAGAGTAAATATGTTATGCTTTGTTGGCCATCTGGACTCTTTCACAACTACTTAACTCTGCTGTTGTAGCAGGACAGCAGCCATAGACAATCTGTAAATGACTGGGTGCGGCTGTGTTCCAATGAAACTTTATTTACAAAACAGATGGCACACAGATTTGCTTCTAAGGCTCTAGTTTGCAGCTTCTCCTCTACTAAACTAAGAGTGGTTTACTGACTTAGTTTCACATCTAGAGTATATTTGTGTATGGCAAAACTCAAAGTCTTTTTACATAGTTGAATGATAGTATATTGTGGTGGAATAGTAATCTGCTCAATAGTTTGCTAGTGGTCTAAAGATCTGATGTTCAATCAAAGATGTGTAATTTACTACTAAGAGGAAGCAAGTTAAGCCTCACTAATTCTAATGTACTTGTGAGTGGAAAGATACAATGAATATCATGTTAAGAAAATAGTACACGTTTAAGAACAATCTGTTCCCCTATGGTCTCCTAGGTCATCAAGAGAATGGACTCTTTAATGGACAAGAATTATGTGCTCAGTAAAATGGTAATATTGGCTCTGCCTGTCAAAGGAAGCGTTCATTATTCACAGGTGTATATTTATCAGCATCTTCCTGAGTTGATGCCTGTTTCCCAACCATTTCTTGGCATTAAAGACTTCCTCTGGTAGGTCTATCTCCTCACAGGGCTCCATGTGGTCCAGGCTGGATCTTTGCATATATGGCTTTTCCCACCAGGATGTGGGGGTGTTAGAGGATAGATTCCAAGATCTCCAAGGTCCCAAGCAGTCCTCAAATTTATTAGCTATTATCTCTTTTCAAATGCATCTTTTCCATGCGAGCCCCTTTTGGCTTGAAACATTATCTAAGTTTAAATTAGCTGTTTCTTCTCTGACCTCAAGTTGCTGCAACACATATGGCAGGATTATCTTGGCTATTAATCTGATCTCTGTGTAATTCCCTCTCCTTCTGTTTCTTACCTTCAGTGAATCCAGGGGCACCCGTAAACTCTAATCACACATTGATCTAAGCATTTCAGATACTTGCTTGTAAAGACTACCTGAACCTGGGGCTGAGACTGTGAGGAGAAGATGGAAGAGGGGTGATTGGGATATGAGAGAAAAGTGTGGAGGCAACAGATTTTTCGGAGTGAAGCCAGGAAGTAGAAGGAGGACCAGGAAGTAGAAGGAGGACCGGGAAATGGAAGGAGTGCCAGGAAGTGGAAGGAGTCAATGCCACACTGTGCTTGAAATCAACTTGCCCTCAGTGACTCAATGCCCGTGGACAACACACCATCTAAAAGTGTTGGGTCCTTATTTGTCCCCTGAACAGAAGGTAGGCTTCTTGGTTGCCTTGTCAGGGCAGAAAGCGTGGAAGAAAAACATGGTATCCTGGCCTACATGCAGCTGATCAGAACAGCTGGGAATTTCCCTGTGAGATGGAACAACTCTGGACCTACCACTGCTGTTACCCGCACTGCTTCGCCTTTAATGGTTGTTATTTCTCATGGGTTAGTCTTGTTTTTAGTTACTATTTTATGAAGAAATTCCTTCCTCTCAAGGTAGATAGAATAAGATCAACCTCACGGAGTTATTGTGGGGATAAAATAAGAGGACGTGTGGGCCGGGTGCGGTGGGCTCACGTCTGTAATCCCTGTACTTTGGGAGGCTGAGGCGGGTGGAGCACTTGACGTCAGGAATTCGAGACCAGTCTGGCCAACATGGCGAAACCTCGTCTCTGCTAAAAATACAAAAATTAGCTGGGCATGGTGGTGCACACCAGTAATCCCAGCTATTTGGGAGGCTAAGGCAGGAGAATTTCTTGAACCTAGGAGGCAGAGGCTGCAGTGAGCCAAGATTGAGTCTCTGCACTCCAGCCTGGGTGACAGAGCAAGACTCTGTCTCCAAAAAAAAAAAAAAAAAAGCAAGTATGGAATGCCTCTGAAATTATTATGATATTCCAAAATAAAGAATTGTTATATGTTAAAAGCTCCCTGAGGATCAAGTTTTGGACTCCTCTCATCTCACGTAATGACTCATATGACAGCATATCATCAGGATATGGTTTATGAGATTTTCCTGGAATTACATCATATTGATGACACATTTATGCGCCTTTGCAATTACAAAATTCCTCCTATGTTGAATGTTGTTATTCTCCCCTCATGATTCAGTTCAAATGCCTTCTTCTCTTTAACGCCTTTGTCAACATCCCACTTCCTCCAGTCTCCCCAGTGCTCTGCTCATAATTCTCCTATCCACATCACATTGTGTAATGATTGTTTATTTACATGTCTGATTATCCTGCTAGTTTGTGAGCACTTGGAGAAGAGAAAATGCACAGCCTATATTTTATTCATGTCTGTATGCCCAACGTGTGCACCAACTGACAGCATAAGTGCTCCATGTGTATTCAATATTTCCTAAATGTAAAGTTGAGAGTAGTCCTTCAGCTTTGGGATTTTGTTGACGTTCTCAGTGAAACCCAGGTTTGGAACTCTAACAAATATATTTGAATATTTCTCGGGCCTATAAATGCAGCTTGGAACTAAAGACATCTGGTCTACTATAAAAATCTTCTGAATGGTCTCTATTCCTCTATTCATGTTTCCTTTCAATCATTTTCCAATTCCTGCCAAAGAGAATATTCCAAAACAAATCTGTTTATTACTTTTTAATTAAAAGTCTTCAAAGTCTTCCCCTTGCTAAAGGATAAAATTTTTTTTAGGGTGGCATCCAAGACCTTACTTAATTTAATCCTCTCGATCTTCCATGACTTATCTCTTGATGCATCTTCTCCATTCTCCCCTCAGTCCCCCACCAATACACACAACTACCTCACAACCCTGCACTTTCCACCCCACCTACCTGCTTTATAGATGCTGAATTACAAGTAATTATCTAAATGGACCACACTGCAGGAACTTCTGTAGCCATTTTCCATCATTGTCCTGTTCTTTCATTGTTGTTTCTATTTCTTTTTTTATCTCCCTAATTATTTAAACCATATTTTACAGACTTGTTACATTTACTGACTCTCATGGTGGTGGAGATGGATTTTTTCCTAGTGTGCCTGTGTGTGGGTGAGTTTTGTTTTATTTGCTTATTTTATTGTGAGATCATTTTCAGCAGGGGTTGATTCGCTTCCCACTCCCAGGTAGTAGAAGTACCAGTTTTGCCAGTTTCCTAGTGGTTTTATGGGTCCTAGACCAGCTCTATGTTAATGTCCCAGCTTGGGATTTTGATAGCATGGGGACAATATAAATTGGAGCCTTACATGCTTGTGTGCCTTAGGTTTGCAATTTCTCGTTTTTTCCCTACTGAGTCGCGGGTAGATGGCAAACTTCCTTGCTACCTCTCTAGGCTTTTGGGTGGAGTATTTCTAGTTCCTTTTTAACAGATGGGCCTGGCTAAATGTAGAGGATTCAGCTCTAGCTCTCCATGTCAGATCTCACATGGGTCAGTGTCCTTACCCTCTTCCTGCCTGGACATTAAAACTCAGCTGTATTGCTAAGCAGGCCTGACAACCCCGTGAGAGGCTGTTGCATCAGCTCTATTTACTAGCCTGTATTTAATTTCCCTCTTCCTTGCTTAAACCTATGGGTTTGTTTCTGTTTTCTTTTTTCAAGCTCAATCATTTTTCCTTACGCTGTTTTATCTAGCATGTGGGAGAATTGGTGTCAGTGTAGTCCAATAGGTTGTTGGAGGGCCTCTGTGTTACCTGCTGTGGTTATTCCCACGTTCTCCTTTACATGGAAGACTCTGTCATCAAACCAACCCAGACTGCAGGGCAACCTTGCTCTTCATACTCAGCCGAGCATCCCCTTCTCTATTGAACTTTTTTAAACCTTTCTCCAGATTAGAATTAGTCTCTCCCTCACTGGTACTTCCACCACACACTGTTTAGTTTTAAACCGTAAGACCCGTGACGCTGATGTGCTTACATTGTGTTCATGAGTCCTTTTTCCTTCTTGAAGATTATATTTTATTTATCTTTGTGTCCTTAGGGTCCTGCGCTTTGCAGGGTCCATAACAGGTGTTTAATACAAGCCAAATAATGGATGAATGAGTGAATACATAAAATGGGTGGATAATAAGAAATGACAGAATAGTAGCAATAGTAGAATTTCATAGTTCCCCTAGGTCAGGCATGGTGGTGTGCACCTGTAGTCCTTGCTATCCAGTAGGCTGAGGCAGGAGGATCACATGAACCCAGGAGTGCCAGGCTGGAATAAACTATGATTACGCCACTGCACTCCAGCCTGACAACAGAGTGAGACCCTAAAAAGAAGAGAGAAAAGTTCCTCTCTCTCTGTCTTTATGCTGTGTTTCTAGGCCACATCTATAAATAAATTAAGAAAGTCAAATTTAAACTATCTTATCCTGAAAAGAAGTGAAATGTAAGATGTTTATTGAAACTAGCAGCGATCACATCTAGTGCCCCCCATGTGCCAGGCACATTAAATTCACATATCTACTTTTTACAGCAACATTTTGATGTAGGTGCTATGAATATTCTTTTTACACGTGAGGGAAATGAGTCACCAAAAGGTTGAATAACTTGACCAAACTCAAAAATGATAGAGCTGGGATTTGAGCTCAGGTAGTCTGGCTCCAGAGTCTGTATTTTTAACCATAATATTAGATAACCTATCAGTACTAACGAAGAAGACAGAAGGAAGTTTCTGGGTCCATTTTTTTAAAGGAATTATTTGTGAGTTTAAAGTGAATCATTATTTTCTGATGAATATTCAGGTACTTTTTAGAACCCTGCCATGCGGGAAGATAAAAGTCTCACTCAGTAAAATACCTCTAAATTTAACTGATAGGTTTAAAAATCCTTCCACAATTGAACCTAGATTTCAGATGTTGTTATTTAAACACCTTTCTTTCTGTTTCCTTCCTTATTCACAGGAAAAAAAAAAAAAAAGAACAAATACAACCACCTCCTTTTGGTCTTCCTAGAAATATAAGTTGAAGCCTTATTAGAAATCATTTGGTATACATCCCTTTTCCTTAAAATCCGGAAAGCACCACGAATATTTTGAATTTATTTTATTTTATTTTTGAGATGTAATCTCACTCTGTCACCCAGGCTGGAGTGCAGTGGCACAATCTTGGCTCACTGCAACCTCCACCTCTCACGTTCAAGCAATTGTCTCACCTCAGCCTCCCAAGTAGCTGGGACTACAGGCTCCCGCCACCACACCCAGCTAATTTTTGTATTTTTAGCAGACGCAAGGTTTCACCATGTTAGTCAGGGCGGTCTTGAACTCCTGACCTCAAGTGATCCACCTGCCTGGGCCTCCCAAAGTTCTGGGATTGCAGACGTGAGCCACTGGGCCAGGCTATTTTGGATATACTGATAGAAAATCACCCTGCTCATTCATTCTCCTTATCACCGACTGAGAAGTAAGAAGCAAGACATACTGGATGGAGCAAAGCAACAGGCTCCATCTGCCCAGTCATTTTGACTGTCATACTGCCTGCAGGTGGTAACCACAATGCTTATACTTGTGGATGCAGAGGCCCAATAATTCCTGCATTGCAAATATGATCTCATCTCCTATCGAAGCTCCTTTAATGGAATTTTGTGGAGAAGTGATAACCTTCCCTGAATGTAAGAGTGGGCGAAAGAATCTCAAACCACAAGACACATTGACCATAAGCAAAATGGGAATGTGTTTTTGGAGCAGCAGAAACTTTTTACTTAGGATTATTAAAGAATATGCTAAAGAAAGATAAGCAACTTGAGCGGTTACTAAATATACCAAGCATGCATGGGGCTGAGATATGTGGGGTTATGTGCAGCTGAGCAAACAAAATGACTATTTTTGTAGGGACCCTGAGTGTGTGGCGCTTTGGGTTTGATGACGCACCTCACTATTTAAGGAATGCTGGAGAATTATCCTATCTGAAGTCCAGAACAGATTTTTCTCTTCGAGAGAAAATTAGTTTTTTAATGTTTGAATGGACATTGAGTAAAATGTATCATGAAAATATCTAATAATTTACCATGCCACCAAGATGGCACAGCCTCAGAGCCATGCTGAGATCAGAAGAAAATTGAAATAATTGGTAGAGTACAAAGGGCTTCATTTTTCTTTTCCTTTTTGGCAATAAACTGGCTCCATTACAGTGTTAGTGAGTTTCAGAAAATGGATGGTTATTGACATGAGATTACTTGTGAAGCATAGTGTAGATCATTCAGTTGAAAAGGATTGTGTTTTTTTCTTTTTAAGCCCAAAGTACTATATTTAGGTCAATATTTAAACACATGGTAGAACTTATTAAAAGTAGTAAAATTGAAATGTTTGTCACTTAATGAATGATTGGCAACCTTGCTTAAGATATCTTGGCCACGTGTGGGCTCATAAGCAAGATCCTTAAGGTATTTAAAAGGAAATTAGGCTCTCTGCTCCTCCGGTTTGGCAGCCACATTTTCTCATGCAGTGTCAGCCGTGTCCCTGAGACACCATGGTGGAAGTGCAGGTCAGACTAAACGGATTTGGCCATATTGAGTGCCTGGTCACCAAGGCTGCTTTTAACTTTGGGAAGCAGATATTGTTGTCATCAATGATCCTTTCATTGACCTCAACTACATGCTCTGCATATTCCAGTATGATTCCATGGCATTGGCAAGGCTGAGAATGGGAAACTTGTCATCAGTGGAAATCCTATCACCGTGTTCCCGGAGGAAGATCCCACCAAAAGCAAATGGGGTGATGCCAGTGCTCATTATGTTGGGGAGCCCACTGGCATCTTCACTCCCACTCCCATGGAGAAGGCTGGGGCATACTGAGAGTAGGGAGTCAAAATGGTCATCATCTCTGCCCTGTCTGTTGATGACCCCATGTTCGTGATGGGGGTGAACCATGAGAAGTTCAAAAACAGCCTCAAGATCATCAGCGATGCCTCCTGTACCACCAACTTCTTCGCACCCCTGGTCAAGGTCATCCATGCCAACTTTGGCATCATGACTTATGACCACAGTCCATGCCATCACTGCCACCTACAAGACCAGGGAATGGCCCCTCTGGGAAACAGTGGTGCGACAGCCGCGGGACTCTCCAGAACATCATCTGTGCATCTACTGGTGCTGCATCTACCAAGCTGAACAGGAAGCTCACTGGCATGTCCTCACCACCAATATGTCGGTCATGGACCTGACCTGCCATCTGGAGAAACCTGCCAAATATGATTACATCAAGAAGGTGGTGATGCAGGCATTGGAGGGCCCCTTCAAGGGCATCTTGGGCTACACTGAGCACCAGGCTGTCTCCTCCAACTTTAACAGTGACATTTACTCTTCCACTTTCCATGCTGGATCAGCATTGCCCCCAACAACCACTTTTTCAAGTTCATATCCTGGTATGATAGTGAATTTGGCTACAGCAATAGGGTGGTAGGCCTCAAAGGAGTAAGGCCCCCAGACTGCCAGCCCCAGCGAGAGCACGAGAGGGAAAAGAGAGGCCCTCAGCTGCTGGGGAGTCCATGCCACACCCAGTCCCCCATGACAGTGAGAATCTCCCTGCCTCACTGGTTCCATGGCAAACACCCTGAAGTGGGAGGGGCCTAGGGAGCCCCACCTTGTGTACCATCAATAAAGTCTCCTGTACTCAAAAAAAGAAAAGAAAAGAAATTATACTGAAAGATAGTATTTAATAAAGAGTTCAGATGTTTTATGTTCATATGTGAATCAGTATCAGGCAATGGATTTATCATTTTGGAAATTAAGCTCCCTTGTAAAAAATATCTGAGTTGTTTATTGAGTTACAGGCACTTTCTTATAAAGCTCCAGTTGTTGCTTTTCTCAGAGAACTGGGAAGCCCCTTTCAATTTTGTTGTGTTCTGTGAACAGCTTTCCACCCCGAAGACTGGAAAATCTCTTTTCTAACCATGGGAGAAAAACTGAAGCAGAAACAGCAAGAAATACAGGTATTTTGACAAAAGGATTTTCTCATCCCAGTGCTTTCTTACTGCCTGAAATTCTAGTAGTTAACAATTCTTCAAGAGTCAGATACTTGTCACAGTGTGATATGGTTTGGGTCTGTGTCCCCACCCAAATCTTACCTTGAATTATAATCTGAATTGTAATTCCCACATGTTGAAGGAGGGAGCTAGTGGGAGATGATTGGATTATGGGGGCGGTTTCCACCATGCTGTACTCATGATAGTGAGTGAGTTCTCATGAGATCTGACGGTTTTATAAGTGGCAGTTTCCCCTGCGTGCTCCTCTCTTTCCTGCCACCGTGTAATACATACCTTGCTTCCCCTTCCCCTTCTGCCATGATTGTAAGTTTCCTGAGGCCTTTCCAGCCATGAGGAACTGTGAGTCAATTCAACCTCTTTTGTTTATAAATTACTCAGTCTCAGGTAGTATCTTTGTAGCACTGTGAGAACGGACTAATATACAATGACTCAGAAAGAAAAAGACATCTTTTGACTTTGGAGGGATATATTTTTAGGGTGAGATGATATAAATGGGGATCTCACGGTACCAGGATAGTTGACCTCAGTTGACCAAAGAGCCTAAGCTGAAAAACAAAAATAGTAGCTTATTTTTAAAAATAGCTAATGCTATAGAGGAAAGCAGTAAGTAACTTGGAGAAAAGGCAGAGAAAGCACAAACACGGTCAACATCTGGAGAAGCTTGAACCTCATATGGCAGATCATAATTGTAACACAATTGCTTATTTTATACCCTGAAAATTTTCAGTTCTAAATGAAATCTTGCTGGGTAAGAATATTTTTCAATGACTATTTTAAAGAAAAGCAATTCTGCCAGTTTTGTGGTATATGGTTATTAAAGAGTTAAAGAGCAACAGTTAAGTCATATTGTTAATACTGTGGCATAGAAAATAATCTAATCATGTCCTTTGCCCATTTCTAAATTGGATTAATTTTACTAATATATTTTATTTAACCCAATATATATAAATGTTTCATCATGTAATCAACATAAAATGTTAATGAGATTTTTACCTTTTTATTCATAAAGTCTTCAAAATTCAGGATGTATTTTATATTCGGAATGAAACTCAGTTTAAAGTGGTCACATTTCAAGTGCTCAAAACACAGATGTAGCTGTCATATTGAACAGCACACTGCAGATAGTTCTCATTTCTAGCTGGGTGTTTGGCTTTGCAGAAGTCTGAGGTCCGTATGGTTTTTTTTCTCCTTGTAGGTGATTAGCTTTCTGATACCTGAACAATTATTTTTCATTCTTACAATTCAATAACTTAACAAAGATACATATCAAAGAGGTCCATACTTAATTTTCATGTTCATTCACTGTGCCAATTGAGTTCTCATTTCAGGACTGTTACTTATTTTGTGATATATCTTTGTAATACTTTTCTTATTCCACTGTTGAGTTATTTTTTCTTCTGAGACATCAGTTAACATTTGTTGGGCTCTCTATTTTTGTCCTCCATATCTAGTAGTTTCTTTATGATTCTTTAAGCACCTCATGTTATTTGCATTACTGTAATTATCACAATCTTTTTCTAAATGTAAGTATATTGATTTTGTTTTCTGCTCTTTTGATCTTATTTAACTTGTGTTTTTAGCTTGCTTAATTTTGATGACATTATTTTGGTTCTTATTTCCTGTTTCATACTACAGCATTCTTTATATTCTAATCTTTTTGCTCTCATTTTGTCAAATTCAAGTGGCTATTGTAAGCTTGTCCTATTACTCAAAGCTTTTTTGAAAATGTTCCTTCTTACTGCAGTCGAGTCATATAAATGAATAAACAACAAAAATATACAAGAGAATTTTTTTAAAAAGAAAACTAAAGAAAATGTTCCTTCTGTTTCTTGTTTGCTTTAGTTTTTTTTCCCTTAAGATTAGGTTGTTTATTTGGTATCTAGCTAATGTTGGTCTTGTAAAATAAAGTGGGAAGTGTTTCCTCCTCTTCTAAGGAAGAGCTTATGTGGAATTTGTGCTATTTCTTTTTTAAATGTTTGGTAGAACTGATTGGTGAAATAATTTGTCCAAGAGATACCTTTTTCAGATGTTTAAACTATCAATTCAATTTCTTTAATAGTTTTAGGACTATCCAGGTTATCTATTTCATCTTAGGTAAGCTTTGGTATTTATTGATTTTGGAGAAATTGGTCCATTTTATCTCAGTTGTCAAATGTATGTGTATAGAATTACTTGTAGCCATTATATATTATCTTTTTTTCACATCCATGGGGTTTGTAGTCATATATTCTCTTTCACTCCTGATCTTGCCAAGTCAGTTCCAAATAATAGAAATTTTCAGTTGATAGAATTCCAAGAAAATTAGATTTTATCTCAAAGAATTCCAAGAAAATTAGATTTTATCTCAAAGTAAAACAAAATAAGACCTCTAGATCTTGAAATCGATGTATCTCAAGTTAATATGTTCAAAATGAATTTCATCATCTGTTTTCCAATTCCTTTTCCTGTTACATACCTTTCTTTTTCAAATGTCACTTATCCAAGACAAAAACTGGGGTACTTCACTATCCCCTTTCCCTAATCCCCCAACTGGTGTGTTAGTTTTGAAAGTTTGCCTTTTTAATATCTCTAGGAGGCATTCCATTTTCTCTAGCCTATCTGCACTGCACTTGTTCAGATTCCCTTTACTTCTTTCCAGGATTATTTCAGAAGCCTCTAAATGATTTTTCCGCCTTTGGCTTTAGCTTCCTTCTAAACTATTCTCTATGTTGTAGCCAAGCCATATTTTTAAAGTATGATTCTAGGAATATTATCTACCCCTCACTATCATGGAAATCCTTTAGAGTTTGCCTTAGTCTTTCAGGCTGCTATAACAAAAATCCATAAACTTAGGTGGCTTATAAACAATAAACATTTGTTTCACACAGTTCTGGAGCCTGAGAAGTCCACGATCAAGATGCCAATACATTCAGTGTCTGGGGAGGGTCTATTTCTGGTTCATAGAAGACGTCCTCTAGCTGTGTCCTCACATGGTGGAAGGCTCAAGCTAGCTCTCTGAAGCCTCTTTTACAAGGGCACTCATCCAATTAATGAAGTCTCTGCCCTCATGACCTAATCACTCCACAAAAGGTCACACTTCCTAATATCATCATGTTGGGGGTTAGGATTTCACCATATGAATTTTGGGGGACACAAACAGAACATAGCAGAGGCCCTCTGCAGTGGTTGAGATAGAGAATAAACTCCCAGGCACATTTGCTCTTTCTGTGTTTTTGTTTGTTTATTTGTTTGTTTGTTTGTGATCAGATCCCTGCCAGTGTCCATTTTCACATGTTGACACTCTCTTGTTTTTGTACTCCAGCCATTGCGTTTATTTCACCAAGCTTTTATTCATCTCTGTGACTTTACACAAATTGTTCTTTATGCTTGGGGTGCTCTCCCTTGTCACAGCTCCTCTCCTGTCTAAGACATGCTTAGAAGATTCAAGAATAAGCTCCTTTGGTGGCCTCCCTGACCTTCCTCATCTCAGTCCCCTGTGTACTCTCAAAATATCCTGTACACGCTGTTTGACACTTACATTTTACTTGTCTAAGCCCGCTTCAGGCAGAGACTGTATCTTTTTCATATTTATCTTGGTACATAGTAAGTACTCAATAATTATTGAGTGAAGTTCAAATCTTTTGCATTAAGGGATATGAAATTCCAACTGGAAAAGTTAACAATTGTAATGTGAGAATAATATCTTTAATTAATTTTGTTTGCTTGCATATTTTCATTTTGTCCTTATAGTAACTCTGTGAATTAACAGGAACCCTCAATTGAATAGAGAAACAAAGTGAGGCTTGGGAGGGTTGGTAATTTTCCCAAAGTAACTCAGCTAATAAGTGGCAGAACCAGGAGTCTGGTATGTGGTCTTAATTTAAAGCTGTTTTCTTCCCACTCTAACATCAAGCCCAGAATAGGAGAATAAAGGGTAAGAGAACCTGAAGGTGTTTTAAATGTGCTCATACCCCCAGTATTAGGTAAATTACTTTTCAGGGTATAAAGGTCTCCTGGATGTGTTATCAGAGACAGTAGGGAACTGCAGAGATGAAAGAAGCTTGGAAATGTGCAAATATTTAAAAAGTGTATCTGAGAAATCCTTTTCTCAGAATTTTTTATTAGCTAGATCGTTGTTGAACATTTGGAATAGAAGATGGCAATCAATCAGGACTGACACACGTTTCCTTCGAATAGATCAGGTAAAGTAAACTCCAATTTTCTTTCTATTCTAAGTTTCCTAGATTGTATGATCACAATAAAATAGCAGACAAAATGTTCACTTATTTGTTCTGGGACCACCCCTCCCCCCCACCACCAGTTGTCATCATTGGGCCAAAATCCACACAGAATAAGATAAAGTAATCAGCAAATTCAAATGAATTAGCAAGGACCAGTCTCAAGACTGTCTACAAAAAGAATGATCAGATCTTAACTCTAAGTCCTCAAAGGCTTCATCTTCCATGACCCAAGTGGGTGGTCTCCATCTCTATTATCATTGTATGGTATCTACTGCATCCTATAATGTACTTATCCTTTCATGCACCCTAAACATTTCTACAATATCCTAGCAGAGTGAAGAGGCATATTGCCTAGAAACATGGGAGTTTTCAAAGGGATAAGGATTTCTTCATTGTCATGACCTTTTGTACATGATGTACATGATTTGGTGGTGTGTCCCACTATCTGGGCCTTGTGGTTTCCTTACAGACAGTTTCTGCTGTTGTTTTTGTGGTTGGTTCCTCCTTCAGCCTTCTTATCCGTTAGATATCTGTGCAGTTCTTCATTTTTCTTCATAAAAGTAACAATAAACAGCACAAATGAACCCCTGGCAACCTTTATTATTGTATTATACATGAATAAAGCCTATTTTAATAATCTTATGAGCGAGATAAAAGCATGTGGGATGGCTACCTCTGATGTTCCAGATGATTTTTTAAGTAGTTGGACAGTCACACAAAAAGGGTATAAACCAAGGGAGGTCAACCTTAAAAGAAGTTTCTTTGTTCTTTGACTTCTGTGAAAATGTTATCGGAGACTTGAATATAAGCATAAAAGCCACATTTATCAAATTTAAAAATTTATAATGCAAAAAGCTGCCAGCTTAGCGAAAAGAACTCTTTTTTTTTTCTTTTTTTGCTGCTAGTTGAAGATGAAAATTCTAAGTAATCTCACCAGGTTGGACAACTGGCTATGAAATGGCATGAAATATGTAAGTTACTATTGTCAGCTTTAAAAGAGCAAATCTGCAATGATAAGATATAAGATCTGAAAATCTTTGTGGCAGCAGCTTTTGTAAAAACGAAAATAAGACATAAACAAATAAATTAATTACAAATTTGCTGTGAGACCAAAATACCACACAGCCCCCAAAAGCTGAGATAGTCACTGCAGATATTGAAGATCTGCATTCTAAACCACATGTTTTATCCCCAATGTTCAGCTCAATGTATTGTGCTTGGTAGATTCTTAATTATTATTTGTTCAGTAACAAATATAATGATCAGGTCTTTGCAGGAGTATTAAATTAAAATTTGTCTGTTACACTTTAATGGTCAGTTGTTAACCTGGAGTGCACACAAATAATGATAGATCAGCAAGGAGGGTCTAAAAACCACATACTAGGAAGTCCAATGGAAGAATTAGGCGTGTACAGAAGAGAAGGTTAATTTATTAAGAGACCGGCTATTAGGCCGGGCGCGGTGGCTCACGCCTGTAATCCCAGCACTTTGGGAGGCCGAGGCGGGTGGATCATGAGGTCAGGAGATCGAGACCATCCTGGCTAACAAGGTGAAACCCCGTCTCTACTAAAAATACAAAAAATTAGCCGGGCGCGGTGGCGGGCACCTGTAGTCCCAGCTACTCGGGAGGCTGAGGCAGGAGAATGGCGTGAACCCGGGAAGCGGAGCTTGCAGTGAGCCGAGATTGCGCCACTGCAGTCCGCAGTCCGACCTGGGCGACAGAGCGAGACTCCGTCTCAAAAAAAAAAAAAAAAAAAAAAAAAAAAAAAAAAAAAGGGGGCCGGCTATTTTATTATAGATTGTCTTATTCTGTCCCAAGGGAAGTATTCTAATTGATGTTATAGGGAGGCAGGTTTAAACTCAGTATTAAGAAGAGCTTTCTATAATTAATAAAAGACAATGATATGGACTTGTATTAGTTTGTTGTCACACAGCTATAAAGAGCTACCCGAGACTGGGTAATTTATAAAGAAAGGAGTTTTAATTGACTTACAGTTCCACATAGCTGGGGAGGCCTCAGGAAACTTATAATCATGGCAGAAGGTAAAGGAGAAGCAAGCACCTCCTTCACAAGGCAGCAGGAGAGAGAGAGAACAAGGTGGGAAGTGCCACACTTTAAACCATCAGATCTCGTGAGAACTCACTGTCATGAAAATAGCAGAGGGAAACCCGCCCCCATGATCCAAACACTTCTCACCAGGTTCCTCCCCTGACATGTAGGGATTATAATTTCAGATGAGATTTGGGGACGGGAGCACAGAGCCAAACCATATCAGGACTATTGCATGACCATCTATTAGGCACGTTGTAGGGAAAATTTCTATCTATATATTTGGTGTAGTGATTTAGCTTGGATTGTCTTTCCAACTCAAAGACTACATTGGGTAGTAAGAGCTAGTCTAATTTTTTTAAAAAATAATAAATATCTGGGCTATATGCACTTTTTTCATTATCAACAAAACTACTAAAATATCTTTTCACAGATTAAGCCTAACAATGGGGTTTCTAATTCTTTCTTACTATATTACAGTTTTGTTTTTTACAGTTTGTTAGAGATCACTAGACAGTTACTAATATCCATTATTTTGTCAACATGTAGCTATCTCTGTTGGTTTTTAAAATGCTTGAATATTTTCTGAATTTAAGAAGTGATTTTACAGTATTTGCTGTATTTACAGTATTTGCTGATTCAGATCATTATGATTATTTATAAAGCCAATCATATGTTTCTGTTTCTGTGTATTTTACAATTTTTTTCAATATGTAAGTGAGGACTGAGAATTAAGAAGTTTTTTGGAAAATGCTAGTTTTTATTAGATGGTGCCCAGAATATCTCAATAATGAAAAGTTGAGTATGTTGGAGTTAAACCAATTGCCTGCCCTCAATGCAGTGCTTATTTCAGTTTGCTGACAGCACTAGTCAGCAGTTTGCTGTTCTGAGTGTTTACTACCACATCCCTGACATATTCTACCCTGGAATCCCAGGACTCTGTGTTTTCTGGTTACGCTCGGCCTCTCTGGCTTCTTCACAGCTGCCGCTCCCTCATTCTCATCTTAACTGTGGCCACACCCAAAGGAAGGATTTGTAATTCTCTTCTTTGCAATTTTCTGCTTAGAGGTCTCCTCTGCTTCCATGCCTTAAATGGAGAAGCCCCAGTTCTTCACCCATGGCCCTGCCATGAATCTCCCAGCTCTGTGTGAAGGCTCTCCATTGAAATTAACAGGTCTAACATCCACCTCATCACGTTTCTCTTCACAAGAAGACTTTGGGATCTTCTCTGTTTCTGCCAGTGATTCAACCTTTCTCTCAGTCACTAAAGCTCAGATATATTGTAACCACCCAGTGGGTTCACCTTGCCTGCTGCCTAGACAGAATCTATCAAGACAGGGGAATTGCAATAGAGAAAGAATAATTTACACGGAGCCGGCTGTGTGGGGGACCAGAGTTTCATTATTACTCAAATCAGTCTTCCTGAGCATTTGGGGATCACAGGTCTTTTTTTTTTTTTTTGAGATGGAGTCTCATTCTGTTGCCAGGCTGGAGTGCAGTGGCGCGATCTCAGCTCACTGCAACCTCTGCCTCCCAGGTTCAAGTGATTCTCCTGCCTCAGCCTCTCGAGTAGCTGGGACCACAGGTGCCTGCCACCATGCCCAGCTAATTTTTGTATTTCTAGTAGAGACGGGGTTTCACATGTTATCCAGGATGGTCTCGATCTCTTGACCTTGTGATCTGCCTGTCTCAGCCTCCCAAAGTGCTTGGATTACAGGCGTGAGCCACTGGGCCTGGCCCAGGGTGTTTAAGGATAACTTGGTGGGTGGGGGAAGACCAGTGAATTGAGAGTGCTGCTTGGTTGGGTCAGAGATGAAATCATGGCAAGTTGAAGCTGTCCTCTTGTGCTGAGTCAATTCCTGGGTGGGGGCCACAAGATCAGGTGAGCCAGTTTATCAGTCTGGGTGGTGCCAGCTGATCCATCAAAATATCTGCAAAATATTTCAAGCACTAATCTTATGAGCAGTTTAGGGAGGGTCAGAATCCTGTAGCCTCCAGCTGCGTAAGTCCTAAAACATAATTTCAAATCTTGTGGCTAATTGGTCCTATAAAGGCAGTCTAGTCCCCAGGCAAGAAGGAGGCTTGTTTTGGGAAAGGGCTGTTATGGTCTTTGTTGTAAACTATAAATTCCTCCCAAAGTTAGCTCGGTCTATGCCCAGGAAGGGACAAGGACAGCTTAAAGGTTAGAAGGAAGATGGAGTTGGTTAGGTCAGATCTCTTTCACTGTCTCAGTCATAATTTTGCAAAGGCAGTTTCAATATCACAGTTCCTCTCCTCCCTGCTTAGGGAGACAGTGTCCCATAATTGTTAAGAGCACACCCTCTGACTCAAGCCATCTAGGTTCAAATCCTAGCCCTTCCCTTCTCCAGTTGCCGAACTCGAACAAGTATTGTAGCCTCTTCAAGCCCCATTTTTCATATCTGTAAAGCGGAGATCGTAACAAACTGTACATGTCGATGATGTCCACAGAGTTGGATCAAGGGTTACGAATCTGACAGCCCAAACCTCCAGACTGGCTGTGCTATTATTTCAGTTATTCTGACATGGCTCTGATGCAATGTGGACGTCAACAAAGCATTAAAAGTGAGAGACAGATTAGTAAGCAACTCCCTAAGGGTGGATTTTTAAATATGCACTAAAATTGTGGAGAAGTTAATATACTATATTAGTTCACTAGGGCTGCCATAAAAAAGTGCCAGAAGGACGCTAGGTGACTCAGAAAACAAAAATTTGTTTTCTCACAGTTCTGGAAGCTGTGAATCTAAGATCAATGTGTCAGCAGGTTGACTTCTGAGGCCCCTCTCCCTGGCTTGTAGATCTGTGACTTCAGATTGTCTTCCTTCTGTGTGTCTGTGTCCTAATCTTATAAGGACACCAGTCAGATTACATTAGGACCCATGCCAATAACCTCATTTTACCTTAATTACCTCTTTAAAGCCTTTATGTCTGTTAAAGCAAACTATAGCCTGAGAAGGACTCCCTACTTCTATATTTGAGTCCTTGCGGATGAACCGTAACCTAACTTAATAGGCAGATAAAATTGAAAACCTAACTTAGTAGTATGCACCTGTAACAATAGCTAAATCCTAGCCAATCCCAGCAGCCATATTTCAACCATTCATACACTGCTTAGTGCTCAAACTGTGTTCAAATAAGGCAAACGCCAACCTCTAACCAATCCAGCCGTTCTGTACCTCACTTCCAATTTCTGAACGTCATTTCTCTTTTTTTTTTTGGTCTATAAATCTTCCACCACATGGCTGCGCTGGAGTCTTTGTGAATCTGCTGTGATTCTGGGGGCTGTCTGATTTGTGAAACGTTCATTGCTCAATTAAACTCCTTTAAATTTAAACCGACTGAAGTTTTTCTTTTATCATGTCCCAAAACAGGAACATTCTGAGGTACTAGAGGTTTGGAGTTCAACATATACATTTGGCGGAGGTTGCAGGAAGACAATTCAGCCCATAGCATGTACCTACCT
Source organism: Homo sapiens (assembly GCF_000001405.40). Classification (NCBI taxonomy): domain Eukaryota; kingdom Metazoa; phylum Chordata; class Mammalia; order Primates; family Hominidae; genus Homo; species Homo sapiens. The sequence continues at coordinate 29,233,587 of NC_000021.9, forward strand.
AAGGTCTTAACTGGTAAACAAACAAACAAAAAACCAACCTAGTTATAGTTTTAAATTTGTTTCTATTTTATTTCCCATGAGGTAATCTAAAAGAACCTGGGGAATCCAGGTGCTTTTCAAAGCAGTACTTGTATGGTGTTTCATCATTACCTCTCAGCGGGAGGGAAATGAAACTCAGACGGGCCCATTTGGTTTCTATGATACCAGCTTTCCTCACCTTTCTTGGGGAGAGTGATTTTGAAACTATGGGCTACAAAAGACTTTTGGATTATGTGTGAGCTATGCTCTCTCTCTGGGACTCCTACTATGCTTTGTGATTGTGAAAATAAGTGATTCAAAATCTAAGCTGTTGGAACTCTAAATTATTTTGAGCCATAAGGAAATGTGAATTATGGGGCCTGAGTCACAAGACAGGCAGCTGTAAACTAGGCAGCTGTGAACTTTTTGTAATATTTTTGATTGTCTGAATTGTCTTTTCCCTTACCTACATTATTTTGTAAAATGTTGTGAATGGTTGTAGGACGTGCGACAGGTGTAGCTCACCTGCTTGGTCGCCCCAAAGCTCAAAGGAGGAGCATGCAGACAGGCAGGTGCAGAGGCCAGTACAAGCACTTTTGGGCTCCTGTCCCACGGCAGAGTCTAGGGGTGGGTCTCTGTGTCACTCGAAGCCCATGTAGGCATGTATTACAAAGCTCTTTCAGATTTGTTGTCTGCAGACGGCTTGTGTGTTAATCAGCTTAACGGACCCTCTGCCTTATTGTGAGGGCAGGGGGCCAGCGTGACAACTTTCTTTATCCCAAGCTCTTGTCCAGTGTCCTGAAAGAATCAGATCACACATGGGCTTGAAGGATGAGTGCAAGGTTTCATTGAGTGGTGGAGGTGGCTCTCAGTGAGATGGATGGGGAGGCAGAAGTGGGGATGGAGTGGGAAGGTGGTCTTTCCCTGGAGTCGGGCATCCAGCGGCCCAACTCTTCTCCAGCCACCCCTGGCCAAGCTCCCCTATGAGTCCAGACATCCTTCCTTTTCTCTCTTTCTCTGCTGCATTGTTCCACTGTCACTGGTCTGCTGGTTCACTGGTCCACTGGTCTGCTGGTCTTGATGTCCAGCTTCTTGTGTATGTGCCCGCTAAGGTCTTGGGTTTGTATGGGGGCAGGATGGGGGGTGCATGGCAGGCCAAAAGGCAAATTTTGGCCATGAAAACAGAAATGCCTGTCCTCCTTTAGGGCTGCCGGTCTTCAGGCTTGAGGGTGGGCCGTTTGTTGGGGAACCGCCCCCTTCTACCCAGTATTTCCCTGTTTCCTGTCCATATCAGTGAAGGATGCCAGAGGAGACCCCTTCCCTCTTACTATTGACTTTCATTATAGATTAACCTCTTTCTTCTCACACAAAAACTTTATGGCCATCTCAATGCCTCAAGATGGAATGTTAAGCACACTCTTTTAAAATCAAAAGGAAATGAAAAGGAGCGATAAAGAAAAGAAAACAAGCTGCATGGAAAAGAAAAGAAAAGAAACTGATTAATTTGTTGTAACTCATAAACTGGCCCTGTATTGAAAATGTTGTAATCTTGTTAAATTTCTTTGCTTTTTCCTATATAAAAGAGAATTTAGCTTTTAACTTCAGAGCACTACCCCCATTTCTCTGGGACAGAGCATCCAGAAATGGCCATTCCCAGCTTTTTGCTTGAATAAACTCTCTAAAATTGGAATCTGACCCTTTAGATTATTTCAGGTTGACATGATGAGGAGTTGGCTATAAAGTCACTGCTCTGGCAAAGACTGAATTTCTCTCCTAGTATCAATCCAACACCACTGTTGCCCTGATACATACTGCATTACTGTGGAAGGTTTAAAATCAATCTACTTAGTATTTTCCCTTTTGTAGAAGTGGATTTTAATTATTTCAAGGATCAGGTTTATGGTGTGGGGTGGGGGCTCCAGGGATGTGGGGAGGGTAGCATCACAAGGAATTTTCCTCCAAAATGAGTGTAAGCTCAAGTCCTCTCTTGTGTCTGCTTTGCCTTACTTTGCAGGGAAAGAACCCAAGTTGCATGCAACTTCCCATCTAACTTCTCATTCTCTCTTAATTTTCAAACTTGTTTTCATCCCTATTAATAGCCAGGTCATAGAATCATTTTCAGAAACATTTCAGGTGCTTCAGGATTTTTGAAACCCTTTAGTTCGCATGGTTTGAGTGTGTCACAGGTTAGTAAACCCTCAAAGCTATGCTGTCATGGTTATTGTGTGGTTTATGCCGAGAGAAACTGGTCATAGTCTGCCCCAAGTAGCAATTAATGGGGACCCTGAGGGGCAGTCGGGAGAAGTGACTAAATCAATCCAGCAAGCTCTAGAGAAGCATTTCCTCTTGAGAAGTTCACTATTTTGTGAAAATCAAACGCAACCAAATGCCAGGGGAAAGAACATCTCCCACTGGAGCTTGACAATATTTGTAGAATTAAGTGAAGTTGTGTTTCTGGTGGTTGAAAGTGTCTGTTTGTGATCTCATGTATTCTATTTTGCTGAATAGGTACTTAGGATCTGATTTGGGAGGAAATGAAAGCATGACCACTGGCAAGAGTCAGAAAGAGCTACAGGCATTGGCATTTTCTGTCTATTTCTAAGATCTTTTTGTCAATCCGGTGTTTGGAAACAACTTTCAGTCTACCTGCAGGCATTTTAAATGAGTCCTTTACCTTGTTTCTCATAGGAAAACTTCATTTAGCTGCATCCACTCCAGGCAAGTTCTTTGTTTTCACTACTTGTCAGTGTTTTTTCTTAATCACTTCCCTCATCTTCCTTCCTCTCTGAGCCCCTCCTTTTCAACCTCCTCCAGTTCCCTACCCCCAGCCCCTAATGGAGTGTGATGTATTATACTTACGCTTTATGAAATTCTCATTAGGGAGGATCCTGTCCATTGACAATAATGGTTGACTTGCAGAATTCTCAAATATGAAGTTTCAATGGTTTGTACATCACATATTGATTTTCTTTCCTTCCACATGTGGATAATATCCACACAACAGTATCTCACACCCCTATTCTTTGTGAAAACATTATGTGGAAAAGTCGATGTCTTGGGTGGATCAATTGTCAATAACAACAGTGTTTCGGATACATAAGCCCTTCCTGTTGTAGTCACACCTTCTCTCTGACTTTAGGGGCTCCTACAAGGTCCTTGTATTTATTTCAGAATAGGCTAGTGTAGAGACTTAAGGAAGAGCTCTCGGCATCAGTCAGGAATTCATCGGTCAGGCCCTGAGCCCTGCCTCTGCCATGCTGTCATTGACTTTGGCCTTAGGTGGGTCATTTTGCATCTCTGGGCCCAGTTTCCCCACCCTTAAAAGAAGAAGACTGGCCTGTCAGGAGTTCTAGCATCCTTGTGATAGGTCATCCTTGTTGGACAATCCTTGTTTTGTTCCCATTAAGCTTTACTTGCCAGTGAGTTCCTTTTCGTCCTTTTGTAGATTCCGTAAGACCCAGAGGGTGAGTCTAGCCAAAGAGGGAATCAAGCTGGGCTAGCCAAAGAATGTATCCTCTTTGCTCCTAATCTTCTGAAGAATAAGTCACTCCAGAGGCAGGAGGAACCATCTCTGATTGAGCCAGTGAGCATGTGGCTGGCTGTCCTTATGAGCCCCAGGCCCCACCATCAGAGCTAAGCTTGCCAAGGAATGCGGTGTTCCTTCCATAGCTCTGCTTCAGATCTGCTTCCCAGCCCTGTCTGTCCTTCTTGGATTAGGCAGCAGCATTCTAGGAACAAATCCCCTTTGCTCAGCCATGCATCACTGCCTTCCAACTCATTTTCTGAATCTCACAGTTCTTGTCCCCTCCCTGCTGGTCCTGGCAAGACTGAATTTGTCAGGCCTTGTTGAGTTCCTGTAGCCTGGTGCATGTGGTTAGGACCTAGGTTGCTTTTGGCTGCTCTAGATATTTTTAAGTACTTTTAATTGATTGGAAAAACATGCTAACTTTGAGTTTTAAAGTATTTGTAATTATACCCCCCCAAGGCCACTGACTTAGCTGTGGGGTTGTCAAAGAGCCATTAATAAGCAAATTAAAAGGAAGAGGTGGAGCCGTAAAAGCAGTTGCAGAACTAGAAGCCAAAAGCAGCACTTTCTGTTTAGTGACTGTAATAGCCCTGACTGTGTGTGGACTCCTGAGATGGAGGACAAGTGAACTTACTATGTGTTTGAAAAAATGGTTGCAGTGGGGCAAATATAAACCTATGCTGTGCCACACTCCTTCAAGGCTGATCTATTTCATGGCCACTTCCAGAATTGTGCAACAGGTGACCTCCAGGATAACTATGGCTTATCTTACAGCAACGTAGTTCATCTAGGATAGAAAATTGTACCTTTATCCCTGGTACCTTCTGACTACAGATGACATAGTGCTTGAACCAATCCTATCTAATCTCTTTCCACTCATTTTTAGAATAAAAGCCAAGCCTCTCATGGATTGGGATGCCCTTAGAGAAAGAATGCTTATTTCAATGCAGTTGTGTTACTGCTTCGTGGTGTCATATATATTAGTCAGTTTCACTGCAATAATATATAGTCTCCAAATCTCAGGGGCTCACGCCAACAAATTTTCATTTCCCACTTGCATTACATAGTGATGGTCATGCACTGATTGCTACAGTTCTGCTCCCAGTGTCTTCTCTTTCCTGGAATCAGAAACATAGCCATGTATAGTTGGGACTTGCTATTTTTGTTTCATAACTGCATTTTTGTACCCAGTAGCTGTCTGCACTCCTTCCCCTTCCCTGTCCTCTTCCCAGCCTCTAGTAACCATCATTTTACTCTTTACCTCCATGAGTTCAATTGTTTTGATTCCTAAGTCTCACATATGAGTGAGAACCTGCGAAATTTATCTTTCTGTGCCTGGCTTTGGGACTGCTGTTTTTGTGGCAGAAAGAAAAACAGAGTATTGGCTGGAAAATGTCATGCTTCAAAGTGTTTGCTTGAACTGGCACACTGTCACCTCTGCTTACATTTCACTGGCCCAGACACCTCATGTTGCCAAGCCTGAAAACATGGCAGAGAAATATTCTCCACGTATGGAGAGGCACCACAAGTCATTCGGAAATGGGTTGGATGTATAATCACTTACAGGGAAGAAAGCCAATATGGGGAATAACAGTCCCATCGATCATCAGGTTCACATGCTAGACAGGTAACTTCATGAGAAAGGCCATGCTCTGGACAGAAGCCTCTGATCCATAAATCTGTCTTTCCTATCCTTGAGTGCTGTTATGTAAGGAAGACAGGGGAGAATAGCTCTTTGATTTTTATATTTGGGAAGGCCTGTGCCAAGATTCCTTTTATGAGATGGGATCTGTTTTTGTTCTAACACCCTTCAGGTTCACTTATTCCTGCCTTAGACGGTGTCTCCTCTTCTGCAAATTGCTCGATTTGTTTGGCTTCATCTTTTGATTGCAGTTGATGGCTTTGGCGTTAATAAATGTTTTGCTCTTCTTTCAGCTGACTCTCAAATGTGCTCTTGCAGATGCAAAATCACTGTGGTTTGGCATCAGACCAGAAGATGTAGGAATCAGTATCAGCAGAGATGTGGGCTTCTTGGTCCAAGGCAGATTCAAGAAGTAGAAGATTACAGGAGAAGAGCTAGACATAGGAATAAATGCATCTATTTCCTTGTTTTAAGAGAGACTATAAAAGTTAACATTTTTTTCTTCACTTTCCACAGGTGAATCTTTTTTGGACCATTTTGCTGTTTTAGCAGTGTCTTTCTCATGGAACATATAGCTTAGATGGTGAAATTATTTTTCTTAACTTTCAGACTTTCTGGAAAGTCAAGGAGGATGGGTGTTTCTGATCTGTGACAACAATGAATTTTTTATAATAACTTGAGATAGGAAAAAAATCTGATTGCAGTATATAATAATCAGAAAATTTCCTCTTTGCAGAAATCAAAATTACTTCCAGCATATATAAAACAATCTTTGCTAATAAAGTAATACAAACCCTCCAGTTATTATTTATTTTTATTGGCTTTTTTGTAAAAGTATAGATATTTATAATACATAATATCATTAATTTTTTTTCCATATCTACATGGTTATTGGCACCCAAAGCAGTGGTCTTTTATTGGGAACAGAATTGCATGGGAACATCTGCTTAAACCCCTTGCCTTCACCATCCGGTTTTGCATTTGTCAGTTTCCTTGTCTGATCTCCTACAGGGACTTGAGATTTGAGAGAAGTTCAATTTCCGCCATTTTCTGTTCCCTCTCTCCACATTTTGCACAATGTCTTTTGTGGCTTTTTTTGTTTTTGTTTTTGTTTTTGTTTTTGTTTTTTTTTGAGGCAGAGTCTCCCTCTGTCACCCAGGCTGGAGTGCAGTGGCACTATCTGAGCTCACTGCAGCCTCTGCTTCCTGGGTTGAAGCAATTCTCCTGCCTCAGCCTCCCAAGTAGCTGGGATTACAGGTGCCTGCCACCACCCCCAGCTAATTTTCATATTTTTAGTAGAGACGAGGTTTTGCCATGTTGGCCGGGCTTGTCTCGAACTCCTGACCTCAAGTGATCTGCCTGCCTTGGCCTCCCAAAGTGATGGGATTACAGGTGTGAACCTCTGCCCCCGGCCTTTTGTGGCATTTGTATTGAATGGAATGAATAACTAAGCCAATGAATGAGCAAAATATACAGTCTTGTTCCAGAAAACAAAAGAACAACAAATGCAGACCAGGCAATAGATAGGGGGAATGCCTGCCTGCCCCAGTTTCCCAACCTTCTTTCCTTGGCTTTTCTGCCTTCCATGCTGAGTTACCTCATGGACCTGCAGCTACTGTGCCAGGACTCCTGGTGTTTGCTTTTTCTCTTCCAACTCCAAGCAATGACAATATCAAGTTTTTTACTCCATGTTAGCACTCTTAGAACCCAATATTTTAAAAATTGACTAAAATTCTAAGAGAAAATGTAAAAAGAAAAAAAATTACAACTCCCATTCAAAAGATGAAAAATAACAGCCTACCACTAATTGACATTTTCCTGTACGCCGGACACTGTGCAAGGTTTCTACAGACATGGGAAGAGGGATTACTCTCTCCATTTTGGAGGTGTGGAGATGATATGGTTTGACTGTGTCCCCACCCAAATCTCGTCTTGAATTGTAGCTTCCATAATTCCCACATGTTATGGAAGGGACCCGGTGGGAGTTAATTGAATCCTGGGGGTGATTTCCCTTATACTGTTCTTGTGGTAGTGAATAAGTCTCACGAGATCTGATGGTTTTATAAGGGGAAACCCCTTTTGCTTGGCTCTCATACTCTCCTGCCTGCCGCCATGTAAGATGTGCCTTTCGCCTTCCGCCATGATTGTGAGGCCTCCCCAGCCACGTGGAACTGTGAGTCCATTAAACCTCTTTTTTTTTTTTTTTTTTTTTTAAATAAAGCAACTGGTCTTGGGTATGTCTATCAGCAGGATGAAAATGGACTAATACAGGAGCCGAGGCCTGGAAAGAGTTTTCCTTGTCCTGTGTCCCACTGCTGGTCAGTGGTGAAGCTTGGGATGAGAACAATGGTTATTTCATTCTACAACCCATACTTTGAAAAGCAGGCATTGCTAAGTAAAATAATTCTAGTTTATGCAGAGAAGAGATTGACTTAGCATAAAGTTCCCTCTTTTGAAGACTCAGTGAGCAGCCTTGCAGCTGCTGCTGTGTAGGCCTTTCACAGTCAGGTTGCCTGGATTTTCTGCCCATGCATCTGACAGTAGCTCTTCTCCCAGCCATAGGTTACTTGTTTTCAAAACAAACACAGGCTTTTCTTTATAAGTTTTTTTCTGGTGCTCACCTCTCTCATCCCCTATACCTCTCTTCAACCTAGGCTCTTCCAAAAAGTACATCAAGCAGGTGAAGTTTACACCTCTAACTTCAGAGAAGTGGTTATTGGTACCATAAAAACCCAAAGCATGGCCAGGAACAGTGGCTCACACCTGTAATCCCAGCAATTTGGGAGGTTGAGGTGGGCAGGTCACCTGAGGTCAGGAGTTCGACACTAGCCTGGCAAACATGGTGAAACCCCGTCTCTACTAAAAATGCAAAAATTAGCTGGGCATGGTGGCGGGTGCCTGTAATCTCAGCTACTCGGGAGGCTGAGGCAGGAGAATCACTTAAACCCAGGAGGCAGAGGTTGCAGTGAGCTGAGATGGTGCCATTGCACTCCAGCCTGGGCAACAAGAGCGAAGCTCCATTTCAAAAAACAGACAAAAAACCCAAAGCTTGGCTGGTCTGCCTCATCTTATTTCCCAATATTTTCCACTTAGTTTCCCTATGAATCTCTTAGATCCTTTAGTGTCTTACTTCTACCCCACCAACAAAAGGAGTAGTGTGTATGAATTAGGATTTTACAATATAAATATACATTTACAGTAACATACTTATAATGAGGATGTTTTTCTCTAAAAAGAACTATGCTAACATACTTTATATAATTGCAATGAATTTGTTTTTCACTGTTTATAACTTCTTAAAAAATATACTGGGCATGAGAAGACCTATCCAAAAGCAGGAAAATCTTATTTTAAGTGCTGCAATTGTGTCAGTTATGTCATGAAATCATAAATGGTGGCTATCTGTCAAAATGTGCTATGTTTCCTTAGACATAAGGAAGACAATGAATTTTCAAGATAACTCACTGATGTGTCTTTGTTAAGCTGACATATTTGGAAGAATTCCCAAATAATTTTCATGGTCAGAGAGATTCTCATTTTGCAAGCTACCCCTAAGCAAGAGGCACTGGGGACTTTGCCCAACCAGTAATATTCAGATGAGTTGCAGATTGTTTAAGTAGCTAAATCATGTTAATCCTCTTTCCATGTATGGCAGCATTTATTTAAAATTATTTATTGAATGCATTCTATGTGCCAGGCCCATTTCCAAGTACTGGATATTCCTGGTGAACAAATCCTACACATATTACTACCTTTAGGGAGCTTACACTCTGGCATTAGGCATCAAAACAACACATTCTGGCAAATGAGGCTGGTAACTTTTAAGGATTAAATAGCTTAGAGTTATCAGAGTGTTGACCAGGCATGGTGGCTCATGCCTGTAATCCCAACACTTTGGGAGGCTGAAGTGGGCAGATCAATGGAGGTCTGGAATTTGATACAAGCCTGGCCAACATGGTGAAACCCGGTCTCTATTAAAAATACAAATATTAGCTGGGCGTGGTAGCAGGCACCTGTAATCCCAGCTACTTGGGAGGTTAAGGCAGGAGAATGGCTTGAACCCGGGAGGCAGAGGTTGCAGTGAACTGAGATCTAGCCATTGCTCTCCAGCCTGGGCAATAAGAGTGAAACTCTGTTTCAAAAAAAAAAATTATCAGAGAGTAGATTTATGTATTAAGCATCTTTCAAAAGGCCTTACACAGTTACAGTTTACATTATTAATGTACTACATTTCTTGGCAAATAATTTATTGCTGTTGGTCTTCCAGTCCCCATTCTATAAGATACATATGCAAAGTCAGGAAACAAAGTAAACTTTTCTTAAAACAGTATGTTAGTTATCTTCAAATAATATGCTTTCAGTTGAAGTGGATTTGCTCTAGATTTAAAATAATGGGCCTAATTGCTGATCTAGAAAAAAGTAACTTATAAAACATATTGAGCATCCAAAAATTCTGGCAGCATAGGAAGCTTACTATATTCATTATACTTTTGAAGGGGAATGGAAGTTAAAGAAATGCAGATTATGTTGTTTGAAAATTATCTGAGTCCATTTGTGTTGCTATAAAGGAATATCTGTGACTGGGTAATTTATAAAGAAAAGAGGTTTATTTGGCGCACACTTCTGTAGCCCATACAAGAAGCATGGCACCAACATCTGCATCTGGTGAGGGTCTCAGGCTGCTTTCACTCATGGTGGAAGGTGAAGGGAAGTCAGTGTGTGCAGAAATCATTCAGCAAGAGAAGAAGCAAGAGAGGCAGGAGGTGCCAGGCTCTTTTTAACAATCAGCTCTCACAGGAACTGATAGAGCAAGAACTCACTCATTACCATAAGGATAGCACCAAGCCATTCATGAGAAATTCACCCCTATGGCCTAAACACGTCCCCTTAGGCCTCATCTCCAACACTGGGGATCAAAGCTCAATGTGAGGTTTGGGGAGACAAACACCCAAACCATAGCAAACATATAAGTGACATACTGTTAAAAGATGGATTTATCCTATGTTTCTTTTTCTTTTTTCTTTCTTTTTTTTTTTGAGAAGGAGCCTTACTCTGTTGCCCAGTCTGGAGTGCAGTGGCATGATCTTAGCTCACTGCAACCTCCACCTCCCGGGTTCAAGCAATTCTTCTGCTTCAGCCTCCTGAGTAGCTGAGATTACAGGCGGGCACCACGATGCAGAACTAATTTTTGTATTTTTAGTAGAGATGGGGTTCCACCATGTTGGCCAGGCTGTTCACCCCAGTAACTCTCCCCTTAAACAATTGGCAGTTGTAGGAAGGAGCAAAAGATGCACAACTGTGCAGAGAACAAGGGTAGTATCCCATTACTTGTTATTTAGGATTCCGTGGCATGTACTTATTCTTGAATAATTTACTCAAAAAAAAATGGGAAGCTTCCACATCTTGGCGATTATATATAGTGCAGCAGGAACATGGGAATGTGGATATCCCCTCCATAAACTGACTTCCTTTCTTTTGGGTATATACCTAGCAGTGGGATTGCTGGATCGTGTTGTAGTTCTATTTTTAATTGTTTGTGGAGCATCCATACTATTCTCATAGTGGCTGTGGAGAATAATTTACATTCTAATTTAGTACTAATTTATATTCCCACCAACAGCATGCAAGGGTTCCTTTTTCTCCACTTGAATAAGATCTAATATTTAATAGCACAACAGGGTGATTACAGCCAACAACAATTTATTGCACATTTAAAAATAACTAAAAGAGTATAAACGAAATGTTTGTAACACAAATAAATGATAAATGCTTGAGGTGATGGATACTCGGTTTACCCTAATGTGATTATTACACATTGTATGCCTGTATCAAAATATCTCATGTACCCCATAAATATGTACATCTACTATGTACCCATAATTTTTTTAAGTAAGCACTTTCAGAAAGGATGCTTCTCAGAACTCACAAACATTGCATTTTTATACTTTCATAGTTGAAAAATATAAATCAGTTTTGTTAAAGGTGGTGCATTAGAGAGTAGGAAGATGAGGCCCGGAAGATCTCGTGTATTTTAACATGTTGTTCTCAGGAAGCTTCATATGGATATCTGTAAATTTTAAGAAGCCACCCTAGGATACCCCAAAATAAGTCTGTGGTCACGCACTGCTCACAAACAGAGCGTAAGGCAGAGGGCACTGTTTCGATGCATCCTCTATCCAGCTGGAAAGCCAGAAATATTATTTTCGTAGTCAAATGATTAAAATAGTAATGGTTTATTTACTCTCCCCAAGTGTAGTTGGGAAATACATGAGGTTAAAATTCAGGCATCTGAGTTTCTGTTTCTCCTCCTCCAACTATGAAGGTAAGTTGGTCTCTCCCTGTGCCCATTGTGGCAAGTGTCTGCCCAGGCCCTTGACCAGAGAGACAGGAAGCAATGATGACAGAGCCAGGCAAGCCCAGACCTCACATGAGCCTCCTCTGTAATTTTGGATAGTTCTGGAAACTGGACCATCAGCCTTAATGGCCTATGCTGGGAATCCTGTGCACACCAGGCCACATTTCTCAGCAGCTTGCCTGTGCCGTGCCCCTAAAAAGAACAGCTCAGACCTGCTCTGCAGGGGCATTTATCTTGTCAGCTGAAGAGGGTGAGCTCATTTTAGGCACGTTGCTGTAAACAACTGAAAGATCCACTCTCCTAAGCATAGACCTGACTCAACTATGTCTCTGCAAATGGTCTCCCTTTTGCAACACAACTGCACCGAGAAGCTACACACTTTCACCTTCCAGCAGATCTTGGTCAGATACATTGCAGTGAACTTCCCACTCTCTTCCCACTCCTTTCAAACTCAGTCACTGAAACCACAACCACCCCACCACTGTAACAACAGAACCAATTTCAATAGTTTGAGGCCATTCCCAAGCTCTATCTCTCAGGCTAGAACAAATGAACAAGCTCCTTGTGCCATCAGCATTAATATTTGTGGTGTCAAGTGGGCATTGTATAGATTTTCCCCACTATCTACACATCAGACTGTGAGGTGGGTAGAAGGGCATGATGGCCATTTCACAGATAAGAAAGCCAAGTTAAAATTAGTTGCACAAAGTTATAGCTTACAGCGACAGAATTGGCCCATGAATTCATTACCCTTTCATTCCACTACAGTATCAGTCAAATTTTAAAAACAAGCCCAAAAATATATTTCCATATATGTTTTATTTTCATCCTAGGATTTTGAGCTGTCTTGTTAATATTAATTTATTTAAATTTCATAGGAAGAATACTATTGAAGTTTCTATTACTACTTCTGAGTGACTGTATGCTAAAAGGGAATGATATGACTTGCAAATATGTTTTGAGGAATGTTCTATGAATATGCCTAAAATTCATGGTTTCTACCCAATTAAAATTTTGTATTCATGTGAAATAGTTTAAGAAAGAGAAAATATACCACATATTTTTATTTGATGATTTTTAACAATTATGAAGAAAAAATTGATGAGAAAAAGTACAGACTATACTCTTAGATTTTTTTCTTTTTCTTTTGTTTGTCCTGTTTTGTTTTGAGACAGGGTGTTGCTCTGTCTCCCAGGCTGTAGTGCCATCATGGTTCATTGCATGCAGCCTTGACCTCCTGGGGTCAAGTGATCCTTCCGCCACAGCCTTCCGAGTAGCTGGGACTACAGGTGCATGCCACCATGCCTGGCTAATTTTTATTTTTATTTTTATTTTTGTAGAAGCAGGGTCTCACTATGTTGACCAGGCTGGTCTCTAACTCCTGAGATTACAGGCAGGAGCCACCACGACCAGCCCAGACTATAATCTTAAATACATTTTTCAAATATGTGTTAAGAACTAGTTGTGCGCAGGCTACTTTGCTAAAGAGTATCTGTTCATTGGAATGTTCAGTTTTGAGAAAATAATTATTTTATAGGCTTATCAATGGCCATTATCTTGAGTAAACTAAAATATTTACATTAATGATCTTGAGAGGAGATTGACAACAAAGAGCCAGGTTATAGAGCAATCTTCTCTTGAGCCTGGATTTGTTCGGATGAATGATTACATAATGATGTCCAGTGGGAATCGCAGGATGTGACAGCTGTTTGACAGCCTGTCAATTTTACAAATGAAGCAACTGAAGCCAAGTGAAGTTATGTCTTGCTCAAGCTTCTAAGGATAAGCTGAGTCTGAAACCTAGATTTTCTTTTATTTTTCTTTATTTTAATTTTTATAGATTTAGGAGACACAAGTGCAATTATGTCACATCAATATAGTGTATGGTGGTGAAGTCTGAGCTTTTAGTGTAACCATCACCTGAATTGTGTACATTGTACCCATTAAGTAATTTTCATCCGTCACCCCCTTCCCACCCTTCCACCTTTCTGAGTCTGCAGTGTCTACTCTTCTATTCTTTATGTCCACGTACGCACATCATTTAGGCCCCACTTATAAGTGAGAACATGCAGTATTTGACTTTCTGAGTTATTTCACTTAAGATAATAGACTCTAGTTCCATCCATGTTGCTGCAAAAGACTTGATTTCATTCTTTTTTATGGCTGAATAATATTCCATGGTGTGTGTGTGTGTGTCACATTTTCTTTATCCAGTCATCCCTTGACGGACATTTAGGTTGATTTCATATCCTTGATATTGTGACTAGTGCTTCAATAAACATACAAGTGCAAGTATATTTTGATATGATGATTTCAGGTTTTCTGATAGTAAGCCATTTGCTGGTTTTAGCAAACCCTAGGATCTCTTCTAAAGGAAAATTTCTCCACCTGGCAGCTTTGCAAAATTTATTCAGGGAAATTAATTTCAGGTTGGCCACTCCCAAGGCTATGCTTCTGCAGAGAAGAAGTTGGATGTGCTTCTGAGGTATATTTTTTCCCCATCAAGAAATAACACAGGAAATTATAGTAACACATTTTACGTTTAAAATTCATATTTTAAATTGATTGTACAAGGTGAAAATGGGAAATATTTCTTCACTTGTCTTAAGAATGTCCATATGAAGATTTCTCATACTTTAAAATTTTTATGATAAAGGTGAAGAAATGTAGCCAGTAAGCTTTGATTTGACCTCTGGTAACAATGCATGTTTCACCATTTTCCAAACTGGGAAACTGGTTTATGTCCTACCTTTCAATTCCTTATAACTCTACATTTCTTGAGTTAATCAAAAGTAAAAATTGTCCAATGTTATTTCATGTAGTATTCAATTACTATTTCCCATTGACTGTACAATGATTTTTGTTCACATATAGAAAATAGCTAAAAGTGGGATACATATTGTTGAATGATTATTTTTTCTAATAGAACTTTTGTCTTTTGGTTACATGAACTTCTATTTTGAGTTTCCAGATAATTTAATTTTTATTTATCTTTAATTTTTTATTTTTATCTATTATTTTAGTAACAGACATTAAGCTTCCTATTGAACATCTCCTATTTTCAGTCTATTTACTATTAGATACAGAGACACTGAATCTTTATTCATAAGAGGAAGAGCTTATTTCCTCATTTTTGTCATAGTTCCCAAAGTGCTTTTTTTAGATGATTTCGTTTCTTCTTCCAAGAAGAAAATTGGTCAACCTTCCTTTAAAAGTTATATTGTACATCAAGTGTTCTGATGTTTCATTGAGTCATAAATGAGAAACAGAATTTATTATAACATAGCTTTCATTCTGTGTGGAGAGCTGTGTGGGTGGGTATTAGCATTATTTATTTATTTATTTATTTTTTAAAAAGACAAACTCTCCTTTATTCTCCTGTTCCAGATTCTATAAATCTGGAGTTCCATCTGAGCTCCTGAAATCATGTAATTTATATCCATCTCTGCTTTCCTGATAAGAAGGCTATATGCAGAGATTTTTAGAACAAGACTTGTTCAGCTTGAGCTAGAACTAAAATTTTTATTTATTTTCACACTTAAAGTAAACCTTTCCAGCTTTCAAATTTTTTTTCCTATAATCTGATTATTTGGTGAAGAATAAAAATAAGAAGCCAGAACTTTGTTTTTAAAAAGCATTAAGTATGAGTATGTATTTAAAAAAAAAATTCAGTAATGATTGATAGTGATATCTATTTTACCATAGTGACATTGAAGAGGTTTTAATATCTTACTGTATTAGGTATTCTCAAATATTTTCAACTTTAAACCTTCAAAATTCATTCAGAAATTATTTACGTGTCTTCTTTATGATTAGGATTCTGTATAAGAATTCATTTGAAAGAGATTCCCACTTCTTTAAAAATTTGAAACCATCACTTAGAAGACTTTCTTTTTCCATTGTAAAGTACCACATTTTTATTAACAATATTTAGAACACATAAAAGACTTAAAACATGCCAATGATCCCAGCTATACACAACCACTGTTGATGTGTAGTATTTCTTTTTCTTTTCTTAAACATTTTCTCCCCTCTATATGTTTTTACTTATTGATTGGTTAAACTTCAACTTTTATTTTAGACACAGGAGGTCCATGTGCAGATTTGTTACATGGCTATATTTCATCCAGGTAATAAGCATAGTACCTAATAGGTAGTTTTTCAATCCACACTCTCTCCCTCTCCCTCTCCATCTCTAGTAGTCCACAGTGTCTCTTTTTTCCCTGTTTATGTCCATGTGTGCTCAATGTTTAGCTCCCACTTGTAAGTGAGAGCATGTGGTATTTGGTTTTCTGTTCCTGCATTAGTTTGCTTAGGATTATGGCCTCCAGCTCTGTCCATGTTCCTGTGAAAGACATGATGTCATTCTTTTTTATGGCTGCATAGTATTCCATGGTATGTAGGTATTGCATTTTCTTTGTCTAATCCACCACTGATGGGCATCTAGGTTGATTCCATGTCTTTGCTATTGTGAATAGTGTAGTGATGAACATATGAGTGCATGTGTCTTTTGAGTATAATGATCTTATTTTCCTTTAGGTATACACCCAGTAATGGGATTGCTAGGTTGAACAGTAGCTCTGTTTTAAGTTCTTAGAGAAATCTCTGAACTGCTTTCCACAGTGGCTTAACTAATTTTCAGTTCCACCAACAGTGTATGTGTTCTTTTTTCTTTGCAGCCTTCCAGAATTTTCTTTTTGACTTTTTAATAATAACCATTCTGACTGGTTTGTGATGATATTTCACTGTGGTTTTGATTTGCATTTATCTGATGATCTGTGATGATGAGTATTTTTTCATAGTTTGTTGGCTGCTTGTATATCTTCTTTTGAGAAGTATCTGTTCATCTCCTTTGCCAGTTTTTTAATGGAATTTTTTTTTGTTGTTGATTTAAGTTCCTAATAGATTTTGGATATTAGACTTTTGCTGAATGCACAGTTTGCAAATATTTTCTCCCATTCTGTAGGGTGTCTGTTTACTTTATTGGTAGTTTCTTTTGCTTCTCCGTATATATATTTTTAAAACATTTTGATAATTATAGTATATATGTATTTTTCCATGCCTTAATTTTATATGTATTTTCCATAGAATTATTATATCAGTATTATCATATCTCTGGGAAAGAGATAGGTGCCAAGATGGTTTTTCATAGATGCCTAGCTAATTATTTGAAAGTATGATTTGTATATGATTTGATTTGGCAATGGCATGATAATTCATAGAGCTTGTCATCATTAATCCGGAATGCTATCTTTATTATATACTAGATTCTCAAAGGAATTTGGGTCTATTTCTATACTTTGTTTTCTTCTATTGGTTTATCTCTCTGGTGGTAGCAGGCAGATTTGTACGATGATCCCTGCCTCCTGGTATTCATACCCGTGTGTAATCCCCTCCCCTTGAATGTGGGCTGGACCCAGTGATTTGCTTCTAATGAACTGAATACTGAAAAATTGATGAGATGTCACTTCTGCAATTAGATTACAAAAACTGAGACCTCCATCCTACTGGTACTCTGTTGCTCTCTCTCTCGTCCTCTCACTTGCTTGCTCTGCTAAAGCCACCTGCCATGTTGTGAGTTGCCCTGTGGAGAAACTCATGTGCCAAGAGAATGAGCAAGATCGCTAGCCAACAGCTGAGGAGGAACCGAGGTCATCAGTCCAACAGCCTGAAAGGAACTGAATCCTTCCGACAACCAAGTGAGTGAGCTTGGAAGCAGGTCTTACCCTAGTTGAGCCTTGAGATGACTGTGGCCCCAGTAGACACGTTGATTGCAGCCTTGTGAAACACCCATAGTCAGAGAACTCAGCTAAATCATGCCCTGATTCCTGACCCACAAAACTATGAGATAATAGGTGTGTGTTGTTTTAAGCCAATATGTTTTGGGGAAATTTGTTATGCAGCAATAATTAACTAACACAGTAATCCTGCCACAAAATGCTTTAGTTCCTGTAGTCTTATATGCTTTGATATTTGATAAAAATAGTTCTGCCTCATCTTATTTTTTCCACATTTTTTCCATTTAATCTTCCAGGCGAACTTATTATAATTTTTTCAAATACCTCCCGAATTCCTGTTGCTTTTTTTGAATTTTTGAAAGTTGATTTGATAATTTTAGAGTTTTGAGTTTTTCTATATGGGGACATTTACTCAATTCTGCTTTTATGTCTCTTCAGTAAAGTTGTAATATTTTCTTTTTATTTGTCCTGTATGTTAACTGCTAAGATGATTTCTAATTATTTTTGTCTTGTTATTATGGGGTTTTGTTTAATCCTTTTTTTCTTATTATGATTTTGTAGATAGGTAAACTACTCATTTTTGTAAATAACATTTTTAACCAGCCACATTATTTTATCCTTTTACGCAGTCCTGTAATCTCCAAATTATGACAATTATGCATCTTCTTTTCTAGTACATATACTCTCCTTATTTATTTTTATTTGCTTGCATTAAATTTTACTTCCAGAACAATGGACAATAATTGTGATAGCACCATTGTTTCGTTTGTGAAATTTGAATGGAAAATCGAAAGTTTACTGTTAAATTTGTTGCTAGCTTTTGATGTGATTAAGTGTAAGAACTGATCAATTTTGCTTTGTGTCAGAAATGGGTGTTGTATTTTATGTCATTTCTGCATTTATTGAGATATTTACCTGATTTTTTATGTGAACTACTAAAATTAGAAGTTATATAATAGATTCTCTAATGTTCACCAATGTAGCGACTACATAATATTTCATCAGGTGAAAAGCATTATAGCTCATATACCTATGCAAGCCAGTTTTTGCTTTTGTAAACACCTATTTGACAAACATATTTACATAGACAACTTTATCCTTTGTTAAAAATAATAATGGGTAACACATGGAAATGTCTGTATCTCAGGTACTTTACAATCTTTCTATTTACTAACTCATTTTTTAACAATTACAATCACCTTATGAAATAGGTATTATTATGATATCCATTTTACAGATGAGATAACTGAGGCACAGAGAAGTTAAATAACTTGCCCAAGTATATTAGTCCATTTTCACACTGCTGATAAAGACATACCTGAGACTGGGAAGAAAAAGAGATTTAATTGGACTTACAGTTCCACATGGCTGGGGAGGCCTCAGAATCATGGAGGAGGTGAGAGGCACTCTTACATGGCAGAGGCAAGAGAAAAATGAGGAAGATGCAGAAGGGAAAACCTCTGATATAACCATCAGATCTCGTGAGACTTATTCAATACCATGAGAACAGTATGGGGGAACTGCCCCCATTATTCAAATTATCTCCCACTGGGTCCCTCCCACAACATGTGAGAATTACGGGAGTCCAATTCAAGATGAGACTTGGGTGGGGATACAGAATCAACCCATATCATTCCACCTCTGGCCTCTTCAAATCTCATGTCCTCACATTTCAAAACCAATCATGCCTTCCCAACAGTCCCTCAAAGTCTTAAGTCATTTCAGCATTAACCTGAAAGTCCACAGTCCAACTCATCTGATACAAGGGAAGTCTCTTCCACCTATGAGCCTGTAAAATCAAAAGCAAGCTAGTTACTTCCTAGATACAATGGGATACAGATATTGGGTAAATATAGTCATTCCAAATGGGAGAAATTGGCCAGAACAAAGGGGTTACAGGGCCCATGCAAGTCTGAAATCCAGCAGGGCAGTAAAATTTTAAAGCTCCAAAATGATCTCCTTTGATTCCATATCTCACATCCAGGTCATGCTGATGCAAGAGGTAGGTTCCCATAGGCTTGGGCAGCTCTGCCCTTGTGGCTTTGCAGGGTACAACCCCCCTTCTGGCTGCTTTCACGGGCTAGCATTGAGCGTCTATGGCTTTTCCAGGTGCACAGGGCAGGCTGTCATTGAATCTCCCATTTTGGGGTTTGGAGGACAGTAACCCTCTTCTCACAGCTCCACTAGGTGGTGCACCAGTAGGCACTCTGTGTGGGGGCTCTGACTCCACATTTCCCTTCTGTACTGCCCTGGCAGAGATTCTCCATGTGGGCCCCACCTGTGTAGCAAACTTTTGCCTGGGCATCCAGGCGTTTCCATGCATCTTCTGAAATCTAGGAGGAGGTTCCCAAACCTCAATTCTTGACTTCTGTGCAACTGCAGGCTCAACACCATGTGGAAACTGCCAAGGTTTGGGGCTTGCACCCTCTGAAAACATGGGCCAAGCTGTATGTTGGACCCTTTTAGCAATGGCTGGAGTGGCTGTGACACAGGGCACCAAGTCCCTATGCTGCACACAGCATGAGGACCCTGGGCCCAGCCCATGAAACCATTTTTTCCTCCTATGCTTCTGGGTCTGCGATGGGAGGGGCTGCCATGAAAACCTATGACATGCCCTGGAGACATGTTCCCCATTGTCTTGGGGATTCACATTCAACTTTTTGTTACTTATGCAAATTTATGCAGCCAGGTTGAATTTCTCCTCAAAAAAATGGGTTTTCCTTTTCTACTGCATCATCAGGCTGCAAATTTTCTGAGCTTTTATGCTCTGTTTCCCTTTCAAAATGGAATGCTTTTAACAGCACCCAAGTCACCTCTTGAATGCTTCTCTGCTTAGAAATTTCTTTCACCAGATACTCTAAATCATCTCTCTCAAGTTCAAAGTTCCACAAATCTTTAGGGCAGGGGCAAAATGCCACTAGTTTCTTTGGTAAAACATAACAAGAGTCAACTTTGCTCCCGTTCCTAACAAGTTCTTCAGCTCCATCTGAGGTCACCTCAGCCTGCTTCTTATTGTTCATATCACTATCAGCATTTTTGTCAAAGCCATTCAACAAATCTCTAGGAGGTTTCAAACTTTCCTACATTTTCCTGTCTTCTTCTGAGCCCTCTAAACTGTTCCAACCTCTGCCTGTTACCCAGTTCCAAAGTTGCTTCCACATTTTCAGGTATCTTTTCAGCAACACCCCACTCCTGGTACCAACTTACTGTATTAGTCCATTTTCACACTGCTGATAAAGGCATACCTGAGACTAGGAAGAAAAAAAGGTTTAATTGGACTTACAGTTCCACATGGCTGGGGAAGCCTCAAAATCATGGTGGGAGGCAAAAGCCACTTCTTACCTGGTGGTGGCAAGAGAAAAATGAGGAAGATGCAAAAGTGGAGACTCCTGATAAAACCATCAGCTCTCATGAGACTTATTCACTACCACAAGAACAGTATGGGGGAACCACACCCATGATTCAAATTATGTCCCACCAGGTCCCTCCCACAACCTGTGAGAATTATGGGAGTACAATTCAAGATGAGATTTGGGTGGGGACACAGAGCCAAACCATATCACCAAGTAAGTGTCAGAACCAAGATACAAATCAGGTAGACTGGGCCTTGTTACAAACTAGACAATGGCCACTACCACAGTCAAAATATAGAACATTTCCTTCACACCAAAAACTGTCTTCCAGCATTTATGCATTCAGTTTCCTATCCTGCCTAGCTGCAGGCAATCACTGATGTTTGCTTATCTCTATAGATTAGTTTTCTTGGACTTTCCTGTAAATAGAATCACATTGTAAGTCTTCTTTTACATCTAACTTGTTTTGGTCAGTATAATGTTTTTCAGATTCACTCATGTTGTTGCATATATCATTAGTTTGTTCCTTTTCCTTGTTAAATAGTATGCCATTGTATGGATTTACCACAATTAGTTTATCTATTCACCTATAAATGGACACTTTGTTGGTTTTTCATTTTTAACTATTATAAATATAGCTGCTGTGAACATTTGTATACCCGTTTTGTGGACATGTTATTATTTCTTTTGGGTAAATAAGTAAGTGTATAACATGTCTTTGCTTACATCAATACTGGAATGTCTTGACTTCTAAATTCTCATAACCACTCTTCTATTAAATTTTGCTTGTAAAAATATATAAACTACTATTAAAATTTTTAAGTTAATTCTTTTCAGACTCTGTCATCTCAGTGTTGTCATCTATTGCTTGCATTTTTCATTCAGCTCACGGCTTTCCTGGTTTTTTGTGTGACTAGTACTTTTTGATTAAAACCTGGATACTCAGAACACTTTCATCAAAAAACAAAAATTTCACTGCTGCCTATTTATAGTCATTTCCCACTTCTGCACCTAGCCCCAGGCAACCACTGGTCTGCTTTCTGTTTCTATAACTTTGCCTGTTCTAGAGATTTCATATAAAATGAAATCATATAATATACAGTCATTTGTGACTGGGCGCAGTGGCTCACGTCTGTAATCCCAGCACTTTGGGAGGCTGAGGCGGGTGGATCACGAGGTCAGGAGTTCAGCCTGGCCAACATGGTGAAACCCCATCTCTACTAAAAATACAAAAATTAACTGTGCGTAGTGGCACACGTGTGTAATCTCAGCTATTCGGGAGGCTGAGGCAGGAGAATCGCTTGAACCTGGGAGGCAGAAGTTGCAGTGAGCCGAGATCATGCCACTGCACTCCAGCCTAGGCGACAGAGCAAGACTGTGTCTCAAAAACAACAACACAAAAAAAATATATAGTCATTTGTGTCTAGCTTCTTTTACTTAGCGTAATATTGAGGGTCAGCCATGATTTTTCATGAATTAGTAGTCCATCCTTTTTATTGCTGAGTAGTATTCCATTGTATGAATGTACCAAATTGTTTACTTATTTACCATTTGGAGGAGATTTAGGTTGTTTCCAATTTCGGACTATTCTGAGTAATTCTGCTATGAACATTCATATTCATTTCTCTTGAGTAAATACTTAGAGTGAAATTGTTGGTCCTACTGTAAGTATATGTTTAACTTTTTAAAAAACTGCAAAATTGTTTTCCAAAGTGACTGAACCATTTTACATTCTGACTGGCAAGTGTGAATTTCCATTTTCCTTACATTCTCCAGAGGTCGTTTAAGCTAAGTGTGCTGTATCCAATGAGCAATGATTCCTCCTCCTTCTCCTCTCCCCAACTCTTGTCCTCAACCTACTGTTTGCATATACTGCATGGCATGTAGTTAAAATTGCCTACTTTATCCTGCACTGGGGCTTGGTGTTTAGGGGGAGTTCACATTCACTTGCCTACGGGTTGTAGATTTTCCCACACACTTGGCTGAAATTGGTTTGGCCTATTAGCTCTTTGATTCAGTGTTTTTTTCAGGTTCCTCCTTTTTTTGTACTACACCGTTTTCTGCTACCACAATACTTCAAAATCTGACTATGTCATCTGTAATGTTTACTTTTCTGAAGGAAAGGTTCGCCACTCACTTCCTAGATAATATGCAATGATAAAAACTTGGCACAATTTATGACACTGGAACTGGCTACCGTTTTCTACTATGTGTCAATTCCTCTAACTCCAAGAACTGTTGTCCTCCTTTAAATGTATATCTTATGCTGTCCTAAGTTGGCTATGATGTTTGTAATCTGCTAGTACTTGAAGTAGCCATTGGGGCTTATGTAAGAAAGTGGCCTACTACTCACCTGTGGCAGATGGAAAAGAGGGGTACTGCTGCCAAAAAGCCCATCTGCTCCCATTGTCTGTGGACTATTTTCAAAGCAAGAGCTCATATGATTCACAGTCATCATCGCTCTAGGAAAATAAAAAGTTCAGCACATTGGAGCTACCAGCTGTAGGGGAGGGCATCCAATCACTTAGCTTCCCTATCCATTCTAGTGACAAAGGACGCTTTGAAATTATATTTAACAAGATATATTATTTCAGGAAGTAACTATTGCTCTCTAAGCAGCATTTGCCTTAGCAGCCTTGAGCCATATGCTAACATATGAGTGTTGCATAAGTTCATTTTGTGATCTTCGGTGAGTTAGATACTTTCCTAAATCTCCTTGTTAAAAATCTGTGAAATGGGGCTAATTATGCTAACACATCATGGCATGTTTGTAGGATTAGGTACTGACAAGATTTGTAAAGAGATTAGCCAATAAAAATCCTTACCATATATATATGCCTTCTATTTAGAAAAGATACCAAGTTCAAAATATTTTTACTTATTACATGTACAAAAGAAATTAGAATCTTAAGCAAAGAGGCAAGGATGTGACCAACAGGTCACTTTTGAATGATAAAATTTTTGGTTTTGGCTTTCACATAAGTGCACAGACTCTGGCTTCTTCTTGCATATGGTAAATTGTTGTAAATGGTTTATTGAGAATTCTCAACATGATATGGCATAAACAGAAAACTTCTGTTTCAATGACTTCTTTCTCCCCAACTGCACTATAATTACCATCTCCTTTCTTGCTGGGTATATTCACTCTTACCAACATCTTGGTCAGATTTTCTAACTTTTCGCTCTAGGTATTAGCTTGGACCTACTTAGGTACTTGCAAATTATCTGAGACTCTTTTACCATTGATAGGTAGTTTAGGTTTTCTCTCCTTGAGTCTGGGTGAATTTGGGGCTGCTTTAATCATCAGAGAACCACAGAAGTGATACTGTGTGACTTCTAAGGTTAGATCACAATATACTTGGTGACATTTGTTATATATTATATAATATATATATAAACTTCCATATATATATATACATATATATATATATCTCCTATTAGTTCTGTCCCTCTAGAGAACCCTGACTAATACAGCTACCACGAAAATCATCTGTGGTTTTTAAAAACCCAGTGATTTAACTTATGTGCATAATTAATGAATACCTATAATGTCCTGGGTGCTATGGTAGGCCTTTTACCTTTATTATTTAATCTTCATAACATTTATATAAAGCAACTTCTATTACCTGTCTCTTTCAGAGCAGGACACTGATAGTCTGGGAGGTTGCGTAACTTGCCTGAGTGGTGAAGTCAGGACTGCAGGATTTCTGTCTGACCTCGGAACCCATTGTCATTTCTCTATACCACCTGCCTCTTTGTTCAAGAATGTTAACATGTAATTCTCAAATCAAGTTTTTAAAAATACCTTGTTACTTAAATTGTAAAGTGGACAAAAGTCAGAGTTGCTGGAATTTTCCAAGGAAGTGACCTTCATGTTTCCTATTTTGCCACTTTTCTTGGGGTAAATTTATTTTAAACTCCTCTTTAATCCTCACAACGTCCTTATGAAGTATGAAGGAGGAAAATATCATTCTTTTTTCCAAGGACATTAGACTAAAGAACTTTAGAATGTGGCATAGTAGAAAAAGTATAGACTTTGGAGTCAGACAGAAGCTCTAATCCTGACAGATGCTAAAAATCTAAGTACTTTCAGGAAACTTTCTAAATAGTGCTCTTTGGCCAGGTGCGGTGTCTTACGCCTGTAATCCCAACACTTTGGGAGGCCAAGGCAGGCAGATCACTTGAGGTCAGGAGTTCAAGATCAGCCTGGCCAACATGGTGAAACCCCTTCTCTACTAAAAATACAAAAATTGGCCGGGCATGGTGGCATGCGCCTGTAGTCCCAGTTACCTGGGAGGCTGAGGCAGGAGATTCTCTTGAACTCGGGGGCGAAGGTTGCAGTGAGCTGAGAGTGTGCCATTGCACTCCAGCCTGGGCAACAGAGTGAGACTCCACCTCCCCCCGCCAACAAAATAGTGCCTTTACCTGTAAAATGAAAATAATACCACCTCCTTTATAGGATATGAGACTTAATACAATATGATCAAACATGATAAGCGTCTGTCTTGGAGCCTAGTTCACAAGAGAAATCCATTAAATGTTAGTCCTTCTTTGCCTATTGCAGCCACAATTATTTTACTAACCCTGAGACATTCAAGTGAGGCTGAGTATGAATCACACAGGAAAAATGCTAAGAGCTAGTCCTGTTTTGAGGTAATTTGATCAGTTATACATAAAGTGATGCTGTGCAATGGTACTCACAAACATGGGACACCCCAAATCAATATGTTTAGTGAATATTTAAAATACAATTCCAAAAGTTTAGGAGAGAAGGGGCAAGAAGATACATAGATGATAGAGAATGGGAGAAACCTAGGACTTGTTATCGATTGCAGGAATTGTGATTTCTTTCTGTTGGAATGAGCCAAGGGAAGGGGAAGAAAATTCATGGAACAGGAGATTGGAATTTGGGTGCAGCCTCCTGGCACGTGCTCATCCTGTTCTTCCAATTTCTGGAGGCTGTGCCTACGTGCCTTTTGCCTGTTGCATACCTCGCATCAGTCAGCTCTCTTTGTTTTATTATAGAAAATTGTGCAATCCTTTCTGGTTTGTTTTTGTTAGGATTTCCTTCCCTTTATCTCTAGCAGGAAAATATTATCCCTTGAAATTTCCTCTGGGACATGATTATTTACAGTAAACTACAATTTAGTGAATTCTTGAGGATTTCTTCTTGATGTATCCTCTTTTTTATTTTTCATTCTTAAATGCCTTTTGTTTTTGGCTGCTTCTCTCTTGAGTGTTTTGTATATATTTTGAAAAATACCTACCGGCAGCTTGTATATCTTTTTTCCAAAACCTCTCCAAAGTATTTAAGAAGATATCTTCCATATATATCTTTTGTATATACAAATATATATATTATTTACATATAATATATATTTCATCAGACATATAGTATTTGTGCATCATTATTTTTGTGCATCACAGCTTTATATCTTATATATTTAAGATAATAATCTGCATCATCTGGCTAGCTTCACTGCTCAGGGGATGGTCAGCTCAGTCCAGATCAGTGTAATCTCTTGCTCCAGTTACCAGATCAGCCTCCTGTCTAGTCTTCCTGGTCCTGGATTTGCTCACCTTCCCATCTTCCACACACTGAAGGCAGACAAGTCGTCTTCTGAAGAGAAAACCTGATCATATCTGCTTAGTATCTTTCAATAGGGTCATCAGACTCAGGGAAGCATGATCTGGCCCCTACCTGTCTCTCCAGCCCATCTCATGAGCTCCCACCCCATTCTATGCCTGGCCATAATGCTGACTTAAGAGTTACCTGAAGAATGTTTTCCTCTTTCTCCCCTCCTACCCTCTGCACTTGTTACTCTCTCTGCCTTGGGAAGCTCATCTTCACCCTGTAGCTACTTTTGGCCTGTTTAATTCCCACTCATTGTTTAGGACCTTTGTTTTGTGCTGCTCTAACAGAATACCATAGATGGGATAATGTTTAAATGAACAGAAATTTATTTCTTACATATCTGGAGGCTGGGAAGTCCAAGATCAAGTGCTTGCATCTGATTGAAGGTCTTCTTGCTGTGTCTTCACAATAGTGAGGCCCAGGGAGAGAGAGAGAGAGAGAGAGAGACCTGAACTCACCATTCTATAATGATCACACTCCAGCAATATGACACTCATTAATCCATTCATTAGGGTAGAGCTCTCATGCCTAATCACCTTTTAATGGTCCCCCTCTTAATACTGCTAAAATGGCAATTACATTTCAACATGAGTTTTGGAGGGGGTAAATATTCCAACCATAGCAAGACCCAACTTAAGCATGACTTCTTTCTGGAAGCCTTCTCTAATGTCCCTAGACTGATTTTGTGCTGTTTTATTACTCCTATTTTCTATGCCTATCATGATACCATACTCTTTTCAAATTATTTGACTGCCACATTAGGGCAGGGCCCTGGCCTGATGAGGTACGTACTCAATAAATATTTGTTAACTGAGTGAGTGAATGAATGAAGACAATGCCTTGAGGCAGTGTTGCTCAAAGGTTAAGGAAGCTGGAGTGAGGTGGTCTTGGTTTGGATCCTGGTTCTACGCCTAACTAACTGTGAGACTTCTGGCAAGTTATTGCATCTCAGTTTCTTAACCAGTAACATGGGGATTATAACAGGAAACATCTCATTGAATTATTTTGATTAAATGTTAATAGATATAAACAGAATGGTACTTACACAGAATACAGTTTCAGGTGTTAGCTATTATTATTATTATTATTGCCTAAATATTAATCTGGCAACTTAATAGCCAAAGTGGAGGCGTAGCACCTGACACAGTTTATGAGGAATCGTCCACTCTTAGCTCCATGAGGGATTCACAAGAATTGATTTTTTTAAACTGCTGGATTTCTACAACAATGTTGTAAATGATTTTAAAAGGTATCCTATATTATAATTTAATATTACAGTTATGGAGAAGACAACTCATATCATTGCTTGAAGGTTTTTAATATGTGCTGGATAAGTATGTTTTAAGGAATTAGCATCTATTATAGGCTGAATTTTCAGTTAACACAGTCTTGACGACAGACAGAAATCCATGTTAAATAACGTTCTCTAAAAACTATATTTAAGATACCAGAAATTAGGTAGAGGAAACTGTAGAATTTTTCAAATAGAAAATACTGATTAAGACTTAGATGAAAACTGTTAGAAAGGTCATAAATTAGAGAAAAATCATGTTTCACTTGAGTCAACAACAATGGTGTGATTAACACTTTTTTTTACTGGGTCCAGAAATGAAGGAGGAGGGAAGGAGAGAGAGAGGGAGGGAGGGAAGGAGGTAGAGAAGGAGGGAGAGAGAGAGAGAAAAAAAAAACTTGGAAGGAGTATTTTCCATCACAAATTATAGGGAGTAGCTATCAATCACACTTTTTAAGGAAATCAAAGGTGGGATAAAAGTGCTTGCAGGGTCTTTGGATACAAAGATGGTGAGAAGCCAGATAAGCTTTGAGAAGCTCAATCTTCAAATTACGAGATTCAGCATGAATTAGATTGACTTGAACCAGGGGAAAAACCAGGATTAGGTTAAGCAGTGATTCAGAAATGTTCAGTTAGTAACTGAGACAACTCTATGTAGGTACTAACATAAATGATATTGAATGTTTGAGTGTCATCTTCTTTAGGATTTATGTTTTTGTTATTTTGGCAAAATAGCATTAACTAAATGGAAACCATACTGTATTTTATTTTCTTCATTTTAGTTACTTCTGCCCATAGCAAACAGCTTTTTGGATTGAGAGGCAGTGTTAAATGTAACATCGGCTACAGGAATAAACAAGAGTTCCTGCCCTTGCCTTGAGGCAGTGTAGCTTGAGTCAGACAGCCTGCGTCTGGGTTCTACTGCAAGTCAGTACAGGCATACCTCGAAGATATTGTGGGTTTGGTTCCAGACCACCATAATAAAGCAAATATCACAATCAAGCAAGTCATATAAATTTTTCCATTTTCCAGAGCATATAAAAGTATGTTTACGATATATTATAGTCTATTAGGTGTGCAGTAGCATTGTCTAAAAATGTACATACCTTATTTAAAAAATATTTTATTGCCTAACAAGGCTATCACCTGAGCTTTCAGTGAGTTGTAATCTTTTTGCTGGTGGAATGTTGATCAGGGTGGTGGTTGCTGACTCTTAAAATAAGACATTTGAAGTTGGCCTCATCAGTTGACTCTTCCTTTCACGAAAGATTTCTCTGTAGAAAATGTTGTTTGATAGCATTTTACGCACAGTAGAACTTATTTCAAAATTAGAGTCAATCCTCTCAAACTTTGTCACTGCTTTATCAGCTACATTTATGTAATATTCTAAGTCATTTGTTGCCATTTCAATAATGTTCACAGCATCCTCACCAGGATTAGATTTCACTGGAAACCACTTTGCTCACCCATAAGAAGTAACTCCTTATCCATTCAGGTTTTATCACGAGATTGCAGCAATTCCGTCACATCTTTAGCTTCGACCTCTAATTCTAGTTCTCTTATTTCCACCACATTTGCAGTGACTTCTTCCTCTGAAGTCTTGAACCCCTCAAAGTCATGCATGAGGGTTAGAATCAACTTCCAAACTCCTGTTAATGTTGATATTTTGACCTTCTCCCATGAATCATGAATGTTCTTAATGACACTTAAAATGAAGATTTTTTTTTTTCCAGAAGATAGTCAATTTATTTTTCCCAGATCTATCAGAGAAATCACTATCTATGGCCGCTATACCCTTATGAAATGTATTTCTGAAATGATAAGACTTGAAGATTACAATTATTCCTTGATCCAAGGGCTGCAGAATGGATGTGGTGTCAGCAGCATGAAAACATTATTCTCCTGTACATCTCCATCAGAGCTTTTGGGTGACTGGATGCATTGCCAATAAGCAGTAATGCTTTTAAAAGAATCCCTTTTTTGAGCAGTAGGTCTCAACAGTGAGTTGTGGGCTTCAAATATTTGATAAACCATGGTGTTACCAAATATGCTGTTATCCAGGCTTTGTTGTTCCATTTATAGAGCATAGGCACAGTAGATGTAACATAATTCTTAAGAGCTGTAGGGTTTTCAGAATGGTAATGAGCATTGGCTTTAACTTAGAGTTGCCAGCTGCATTAGCCTATCTTTTGAATTTTTGAAGCCAGGCACTGACTTCTCTTTAGAAGTCCTAGATGGCATCTTCTTCCAGTAGAAGAGTGTTTCATCTACATTGAAAATCTGTTGTTTAGCTTAGCCACTTTCATCAATGATCTTAGGTAGCTCTTCTGGTTAACTTGCCACAACTTCTACATTAGCACTCACTGCTTCACCTTGTACTTTATATTATAAAGAAGGCTTCTTTCCTTAAAAATCATGAAGCAATCTCTACTAACTTCAAACTTTTCTTGTACGGCCTCCTTATTGCTCTCAGCTTTCATAAAGTTAAAGAGAGCTGGGGTCTTTCTCTGGATTAAACTTTGGCCTGAGGGCATGTTGTGGCTGGTTTGATCTATCCAGACTATTAAAACATTCTCCATGTCAACAATGCATCTGTTTTGTTCTCTGATCATTCTTGTGTTCACTGGAATAGCATTTTTAATTTCCTTCAAGAATTCTCCCTTTGCATTCACAACTTGGCTGTTTGGTGCAGAAACCTAGCTTCTGGCCTATCTTGACTTCCAACATGCCTTTCTCACTAAGCTTATTAATAATGTCTAGTTTTTGATTTAAAGTGTGAGATATGTGACTCTTCCTTTCACCTGAACACTTGAGTGTTGAACACTAAGTGTTCACTTGAACACTTTGAGGCCATTGTGGGGTTATCAATTGGCTTAATTTCAATATTGTGTCTCAAGGAACAGGGAGGCCTGAAGAGAGGGAGAGAGGTGGGAAACAGCCAGTTGATGGAGCAGTCAGAACACAAACATTTATTAAGTTTGCCTTCTTATATGGGCGGGGTTTGTGGCATCCCCAAACAATTACAATAGGAACATCAAAGATAACTGCTCACAGATCACCATAACAGATATAATAATAACGAAAAAGTTTGAAATATTGCTAGAATTACCAAAATGTGACACAGAGGCACAAAGTGAGCACATGCTGTTGGAGTAATAGCATCGATAGACTTGCTCAACACGGGGTTGCCACAAACCTTTAATTTGTAAAAAGCGCAGTATCTGCGAAGCACAATAAAGCGAAGCGCAAGAAAACAAGATATGCCTGTAGTTTGAAGGACATTTTCACCTTCTCATATATGTACTATATTTATTAAGCCAAGATTATCTGGTAAGAAAACATATTTCATTTTATAAATGTCACAATTCATGACAGATACTTTCATAGTTAATGAGAGTTTACAGTACATGTGACTATTTAGATAAGGCACTTATTTTTGACACTGTGTTTTATGTTACAAGTATTGTAGTTTCACAACACGCAATAAGGTGGTCCCCTGACCTTGCTATGCCAAGGAATCTGAAATAAGCTTGACCTTGCTTTATAATCCTATTCTTCTCTCCATCTCCTACTTTAAAAGAAGGATTACACTGCATTACAATAAAATGAACTGATATATAAAGAGTACATAGCCAGGTGGTGGCACATAGAAAATGATCAGTGGACATTATCTGCTCTTACTGTTGTTAGTGGAAGAGGTATGTGTCTTTGAAATATGCTGGATGCTTTGCTGAGTCGTTTATAGTGATCACATCTACTCCTCAAAAGAACCATGGGAAATAGGTGACATCATTTCCATTTCTAGATGAAGAAACTGGGCTCAGAGAAGTTCAGAATTTGTCCTAGAGAGTGGGGGGCAGAGCCAGCATTTAAGCCAGACTGGTCCAA